>NC_000014.9:44611713-45236713 GCF_000001405.40 Homo sapiens | reverse complement strand
TAAAAGTTTCTTAAATAAGTAAATAAAGCAAAAGAGAATTGAAGAGAAGTAATACTGTATTAAGGTATAATGTGTGAGTTTAATCCCAGTTGACCAAAGAAAAGTAACTTGATTTCCTTATTCGTCATGCTTATCATCAGTATGTTTATTATTATTAGTTATCTGATGAATGGGACAGTGTTCATCATTTATCTAATACATCTTCATATTTTTTTCTATTTCATATTCTTTAAAGAAATATAAAGAATAGATTTATGGGTCAGTGATTTGATACAGTAATTTCTTTTTTCCCCACTTAAACCTCATTTGGTACCTTCCAAAATGAAAGGTAAAAACATTTGGCTGTATAGCCAGGGTGAAAAAACACCAGATTAGCTGGATCCAATCTACTTTCTGCATAAAAGCTAACACAGTATAGACCCTGAAGGAGAGGAACAGGGAGATCATTCTTTGGAAGCTTAGCATCAGTTAAGCTGAAGCTGCAAGTATTTATTGCCAGCATCAGATACTGAGACAAGGCCTCTGCTCCCTTACTAATAATATTTTGTAGGAGGGACATGGTTTGGCCACAGTATAGTTTTTTTGGTACATAATCTGAGGATTACAATAGCCAAGCAGTTGAGTTCTGCTGTAATGTTTGGCCTTCAAATATTTTGTAATTAGACTAATAACATTCTTAGTGTTGCTGTAGCTAAAGTGTAAAATTATTTTCTGTTAGAAATTTCTATATGAATATTTTGACCTTACCAAAACTATTTTTTTTTCCTAGAGACGTCACTAACATATATTGGCACAGTAATGTAATTATAGAGCGGATTGAGCACAACAAACTTAGGACTATATCAGGCAACGTTTATATATTAAAAGGCATGATAGACCAAATTTCCATGAAAGAAGCAGGTAAATGACTGTCATTATTGATAAGTTATTTTAAGAAGTAAAGCAGTTAACCATGTTTCTCACAGTAATACACATTTTTTTAACTTTTAATTAGGTATTTTTAAATTATGAATAAATCAAAACAACTGATATTATATAAAACTGGTAATTTTTTTTCTGATTTTTATCACTCTTATTGACAATTTCTAATAAGTTATGTGTTTTTGTTTTTTTTTTTTTTTTTGGAAATGGAGTCTTGCTCTGTCACCCAGGCTGGAGTGCAGTGGCACGATCTCGGCTCACTGCAACCTCCATCTCCGGGGTTCAAGTGATTGTCCTGCCTCAGCCTCCTGAGTAGCCGGGACTAAGGTGCCTGCCACCACACCCAACTAATTTTTGTATTTTTAGTAGAGACGGGGTTTCACCAGGCTGGTCCTGTGCATGACCACTTCCAACATGGCACAAAAAAATGATGCAATAGCAACTGCAGGTAGCTGTGGATAAATAAGCCTGGAACAACATCGTGGTTTCCTGTGGCCAGTCCTTTTCATGCACAGGATCCACATATGCCCCCAGGGAATGGATACAGAAGTGTTAAGAGGCTTGGGGTTGTTTTTTTTTTTTTTTGGAGATGGAGTCTTGCTCTGTTGCCCAGGCTGGAGTGTAGTGGCGTGATCTCAGCTCACTGCAACCTCCACCTCCTAAGTTCAAGCGATTATTCATGCCTCAGCCTCCCGAGTAGCTGGGACTACAGGAGTGTGCCACAGTGCACAGCTGATTTTTGAGACAGGGTGTCACCATGTTGGCCAGGCTGGTCTTGAACTTGTGACCTCATGTGATCTGCCCACCTCAGCCTCCCAAAGTGTTGGGATTACTGGCATGAGCCACTGTGCCCAGCCTAATTTGTGTGAGTTTTAAAATATCAAATGAAATACTCCTTATTTACAAGGAATTATGTTATAAGAATATCATTTAACTCCCTGATTCCTCTCTTTGTTGAACCCACCTGGCACCACCCCAGTCCTGGTGTAACCTAATTTTCCACCTATGCCTTGCACACAGCTGAATATAACTGGAGAAAAACACATCCAAGTAGTCTAAATTTATGTTTACTAGCAACAAGTTACAGTCCCTTAGTGGTTTCTTGGTGCTGCTTGGTATCCTACCATATTTCCCTAATTCATTCACTCTCCCAACCTTCCTGATGACTCCTTCATATTTTGACAAATCTCCAATACCTCCTCCTTTTTACCCTCTCTCAGATGGGCAAAGTAGGGGAGAGGGCAGAGCACCTGAGCAAGAGGAACAATCAGGATATTTCTTTACCACATCTACTCACCTGCTTGGATTAACACCTGCTTTTATTATGGATGAACTAGCACGTTACTGTCTATGTCAGCCTCTCCATTTGTACACTAGCTCTCATTTTCTCTTTTACTCAAGGATGTTATTCCAGTAACACTCCCTTCTCCTTTTTTTTTTTATTTCTCTTTTAACCACATTTCTCCTTTTAGCCAGTATTGCTCTCATTTATAGCAAAACAATTCATATAGTTTGTTTACATTTACTTCTGTAAATCTAATTTCTCTTGAATTTTCTTTTTTTTTTTCTTGAATTCTCTTTAACCTCCAGTTCTTCACCAAAACAACCTGTATCAAAGTCACCAGTGGCCTCCACATTGCTACATTCAGTATACACTTTGAACAGAGTTAATCATACTTACCTTTTTGAAATACTTTACTTAGCTTCTCTAATACCATATTCCAATTTTTATGCTGCCTGACTGCCTCTTCCTTCTTAGTTTCTTTGTGTATTTCTCCATTTTTTCTAATAATGGGGTAGCTTGGGGCTCTTTCTTTTAATACACTGCGTGGTATGCTGATTCCTTTTAGTCATTAAATATAATTTATATGATGATGAATGCCAATTTTATATCTCAAACCAAGACCTCTCCCCTTAGTACCCAATTCATTTTCCACCTGCTTATTTGACATCTCCACTAGGATGTCTGTAGGCATTTCAAACTTAATAAATCTAAAACCTGATCTTCTCCCTTAAATTTGCTTAACCTATATTCTTCCCCATCTTTCCATGTGTCCAGTAGCCAGAATTCTTGGAGGCATCCTTAAATTCTCAGTTTCTCTCATACCCACATCAGTGTGTGTGTGTCAGTACATCCTATTAATATATCTCCAAAATATATCCCAAACTCAGACCTCTGCAGCATCACTGTAGTCCAGACTTTCCTCATAATTTGTTTGTATCATTACAGTGGCCTCCTAACTGGTCTCATTCTTTCTTCCCTTGCTCTTCCACAGGTTCTTCTCAAAATAGCAGTTTGCTTTAGCAGTCCAGTTAAAGTAAATTAGATCCTGTAGCTCCTCTGCTTGGAATCTTTCCATAGCTTCTCATCTTGTCCAAAGTAAATGGTCAGTTCTATAAAATGACTCTAAGGCCTTATATTATAATCTCTCATGCTTCCTACTGCCTCTGTTACCCATCTGAGTGGCCTCCCAAGTTCTAACCCCCTCCTCATGCCACTTCAAGTATACTGGACTCCTAATTGTTTCAAACAGGCCAGGTATACTCTTGCCTTTCCCTTTATGTTTTGTTTCCAGTATTCTAACCCAATATTGCCACATAGCTCAATCACTTTGTTCAAATGATGCTATTTCATTGAAGACTTCCCTGATTATCCTTTTTTAAATTGCTGTTCACCCCTTTACTCCCCCATGGACATATCGATACACCTGTCCACCGTCCCTGCATAGCCATCTAACAAACAAGATATTGTACTTATTGGTTAGCTACTTTTTTCCACATTAGAAGCCAAGTTCCATGAGGATAGGAGTTTTTGTCTGCTTTGTTTACTGCCGAATTCTGAATATCTATAATAGTACCTGGCACATATTAAGCAATAGGTGCATATTTCTTGAATGATGTAATGAATTAATGATATCTGTTTAAAATTCTAGGCTTTTAAATACTTTTTGTTGTTGTTTATCCTTAAATAGGATATCCAAATTATCTCATAAGGAAATTTATGTTTGGATTTCCAGAAAATTGGAAAGAGCACATTGATAATTTTCTGGAACAATTAAGGTAAAATGTTGTTTTATGTTTTTAGAAGTCAACTTTATTGAGATATAATTTACATTTAATTATGTGTGTGCCACCATGTCCAGCTAATTTTTGTATTTTTAATAGAGATGGGGTTTCGTCATGTTGGCCAGACTGGTCTCGAACTCCTGGCTACAAGTGATCCGCCTGTCTCAGCCTCCCAAAGTGTTGGGATTACAGGCATGAGCCACTGTGCCTGGCCTGAGGTACAATTTACATTTAATTAAGTGCACCTGTTTTAGGTATTTGTTTGAAATGCCAGTTTTTTTGTTGTTGTTTTTTTTTTTTTTTTTTTTTTGAGATGGAATCTGGCTCTGTCGCCCAGGCTGGAGTGCAGTGGCGCGATCTCAGCTCATTGCAAGCTCCGCCTCTGGGGTTCACGCCATTCTCCTGCCTCAGCCTCCCGAGTAGCTGGGACTACAGGCGCCCGCCACCACACCTGGCTAATTTTTTTGTATTTTTAGTAGAGACAGGGTTTCACCATGTTAGCCAGGATGGTCTCGATCTCCTGACCTCCTGATCCACCCACCTTGGCCTCCCAAAGTGCTGGGATTATAGGCGTGAGACACCGCGCCCGCCTGAAATGCCAGTTTTGGAGTTTGCTTTGGTCTGTGAAGCATTTCAGAAGCAATAACATTTTACTAGAACTTCTGTTGTATTTAGTAAATCTCAAAGGAAAATAAAACTTTTGACATATGTCAAAGAGTAATTCTAATCATTTACCCTTCAGAAGGCATGCAGTTATTAAATACTAATGTGCAGTTCTTCCTCCTTTTTTTTTCATTCATTTTCTCAGTAGTTATGGAGTGTCTGCTACTTTACAGACACTATAGTTGATGCTGGTGAAAGACAGAAGAATTTGATTTATTCTTGCCCTTGTGGAGCTCATAGGGGATACGGACTTTAAACTTAATCACAGCACAAATATAATAACTGGTAACGGGGGCTGGCAGTTTTTTTCTGTAAAGGGCATATTCTGTAAAGATAATATTCTTGCAGGCATATTGCCCCTATTGCAGCTATTCAACTCTGCCTTTGTAGCAGAAGAGCAGCCGTAGATAATATATACATGAATTAGCATGGCAGTGTTTTAATAAACTTCATTTACAAAAACAGGCAACTGGCAGTTGTCCTGTAGTTTTCCTATAATATCAGTTTAAGTAGGAATTATAAGAGCATATAGTAGGAAGCAGTTTGGAGATCATATTTGAGTCCTCTGACTTAAGATGTTACACCTCAGTTCTTTGTGAAGGAAGGGAGTGAAAGCCATGAAGGATTAATAATGTAAGATTAAAGATACCCTGCCTGGGTGGAAAGAGCTTTATGTGAGGGGTTTTTATTTATTTATGAAGATTTTTTTTGTTTTGTTTTTTTGAGAATCAGTATTAAGGAAAAATAAAATAATTGTTTTTAAAGGGCTGGTGAAAAGAACAGGGAAAAGACCAAACAAAAACAGAAAACTGGAAGATCTGTCCGTGACATAAGGAAATCAATGAAAAATGATGCACGAGAAAACCAAACAGATACTGCTCAAAGAGCCACCACCACTTACGATTTTGATTGTGATAATTTGGGTATGTTTTGTCTTTACTTCTCTGTTGGTACAGTGGTTAAGTTCTTACATGGTCTACATTGTTTATGGTTTATAATGTGTATAGTAGTAATGTGTATAGTATAGTATTCTTTGACTTATACTGCCCCCACATTCCTGCTTCTTCACTACTATATGAGAAGTAACTATAATACAGATTAATCATGGTCAGGATTCAGCTTGCTTCATCAAATACCACCTTTGCCTGGGCCCAGTGACTTATGCCTGTAATCCCAGCACTTTGGGAGGCTGAAGCGCAAGGATCGCTTGAGCTCAAGAGTTTGAGACCAGCCTGGATAACATGACGAGACCCTGTCTCTACTAAAAGTCAAAAAAATTAGCCACACATGGTAGTGCATGCTTGTGTTCCCATCTTCTTGAGAGGCTAAGGTGGGAGGATCGCTTGAGCTCAGATGGTTGAGGCTGTAATGAACCATGTTTGTGCTACAACACTCCAGTTTGGGCATCAGAGTGAGGCACTGTCTCAAAAAATAATAATAATAATAATTACCTTTTTATTAATCAGAATACCAAAGAACACTGGTAAACAAATTAATGAAAGATGATTGTTCTTTTAATTTCCTTGACCCAAAGTATTTAAGCTGCCAACCTACCGCAAACCTGTTGTAAAGACATATATTATTTTTGTACTAAATTTCATTCCTACGGATAGGCAAAATCTGTTTCCTTTCATGGAAGAAATGGAATTCAAGAAAATGCTTTTCTTGAATGACCATTGCTGTAACGACAGATTGCAGAACTGTTCTTTTTTTCCTCTCTCTTTTTTAATAAGGAGACCAACTTGCCAGAGCAGAACTGTTCTGTATCAGCTCTTTGCCAACACTATAATCTGCTTCACTTGTATAAAAATGTATGAACATTAACTTACAGCTCTTTCTAAACAATATAGATGAGTAAAAGTTACTAAAATATGTTGTAAACATTTCTGCTGATTTTGCCTTAAACTTGTAACTAAGAGCTTTACAGAACTTCCAAAACTTGAAAGAGTTCAGGAATCCTTCTGCCAAAAACATAGCACCATACTGGATATAAATGTACCTGTATCCTATTCTAACCACTCCCCAACCCGCATTTGAACTTCCACCCTTGAAACTTTGCTTATCCTTTCTAATGCAGAGAAAGGAATACGTTAAATATGTAGATGACTGCTTCCCCAGAGCTAGCAAAAAGTCACTTACCATTGCCCTAGTTCCTTCTCAACCCTTCCTCTTTTTATCAAAAGTCATCCTATTTTCTCTAAATTAGGCATATTGCCTATTTTTATTGCTGGAGCATCTTGAGTATGCTGGAACCTTGGGGCTTCGGCACCTGCTCTCTACTTTTTTACTCCTAAAACAAGAAAATCCTTGACAGTATATCTCACTTTTAATCATTTGTTGGTCTTTAGTCTTGGTTCTTACCTCTTCCTGTACCCCATTTCACTTAGAGCCAGCACTTATTAGGGATTTGATCTTAATTGCAAATATTATCAGTAAAGTGTTTAAGAAAGCTATTGACAAGAGAAATGAATACAAATTTAAAAGACTAAAGTTTGGTAAACTATTTTACATACCAGCTGTGTCCATAGGAAAATCACTCAGCAATTTTTTTTTTTTTTTTGAGACAGGGTCTTGCTCTGTCTCCCAGGCTGGAATATAGTGGTGCAATCATGGCTCACTGCAGCCTCAACCTCCTTGGTTCAAGCAATCCTCCCACCTCAGCCTCCAAAGTAGCTGGGACTACAGGCATACAGTACTGCACTTGGCTTGTTTTTTATTTCTTGTAGAGATGGGATCCTACTATGTTGCCAGGCTGGTCTCCTACTCCTGGCCTCAAGCAGTCCTCCCACCTTGGCCTCCCAAAGTGCTGGGATTATAGACATGAAACATGGCACCTGGTGTCAACATTTTTAAAGTGCTTTCCATGAACCCTGGTCTATTAAGTTTTAGGAACTTAGAGATGAATAAGGCATGATTCCCCCCACCCCCACCCCCAGGGATCTTGGTTTAGGGGCAAATATTAATATATTCTGTTATGATTGCATCATTTTTCTAGTGTAATTCATTAGATCTTTTCTTAATGAAACTGTTAGACACTATCTTCATATCACGTAAGTTATTTTGAGTGGTGGTTGGGGCTGTTATTAATTTTATTATTATCATTGCACTTTGCATGAAAAAAACAAAACCACATCTAACATTATATAGCTAAGGTTATGTA
Organism: Homo sapiens; assembly: GCF_000001405.40. NCBI lineage: Eukaryota > Metazoa > Chordata > Mammalia > Primates > Hominidae > Homo > Homo sapiens. Next base: position 45,228,903 of record NC_000014.9, on the reverse strand, counting down.
AAGGTACCAACCCATGTTAATTTAAGATAATGTAATTTTATGTATGTGTTTTAATGATTTGCCTAAAAAGTACTTGTGTATCATAGTATTGCTCTTAAAGCACTTTATCTCTGTTATTACACTTACCAGAGTATATGATAAATGACCTATCATAATAGAAGCTTCCTTCATTATATGGTAATATTTTCAAGAGCAAGGACTAGTCAGTACATCTTTAAAGAATAGCTTCTAGAAAAATAACAAAATGTTTTTATACTTTTTATGAATCTGTTTTAACTTACCTAGAATTCCAGCTTAGTAACTGTTTGTTGAGCATATATTATATACTGTATAATTTAGTTTTGCTCAAAATTTTAATTACAGAAATTTAGTTATACATTGGAGTACATAAACTAGTTGAAACATAATTCTACATACATGAAGAAATAGAAGAAGAACAGTTATTAGCTTTCTATTTAGTTGATGTGCAGTTAGGATGAACAGGAATTTTTATTTACAAAATGGATTAACCTTACTATTCTGTCTTTAGATGTGACAAAGGAGATCCAAAACAGATGGTCGTGAATAATATGGCTGTCTAGGCTTTTTAAATTTTTTTTGAAGGAAAAAAAGTGATTCAAACAAAATGTAGCGTAGCGCTATACAGAGTGATTCTTTCCAAATAAAATTGCTTTATATCCTAGTCAAATTATAACAAATATTTATGACAGAGGGATTAGACAGATTATCATTATTATTTCTGAGACAGGGTGTTGCTCTGTCACCCAGGCTGGAGTACAGTGGCACAATCACGGCTCACTGCAGCCTCGACCTCCCTGGCTCAAGTGATCCTCCCACCTCAGGCTCCCAAGTATCTGGGACCATAGGCTTGCACCAACCTTTTATTCTTTGTAGAATCAGTGTATCACTATTTTGCCTAGGCTAGTCTTGAACTCCTGGGCTCAAGCAATCCTCCTCCCTCGGCCTCCCAGAGTGCTGGGATTACAGGCGTGAGCCACCACACCTAGCGTCAAAGTTAATTCTTCATGTAGAAAAGCAGCTTCTCTTTTATATAACCATTTATTGAAATCTCCATCTTTGTATTCATAGAACTGAAGAGTAATAAGCACAGTGAGTCACCAGGAGCTACAGAATTAAACATGTGCCACAGTAATTGCCAAAATAAACCAACATTAAGGTTCCCAGATGACCAAGTAAATAATACTATTCAAAATGGAGGAGGAGATGACTTATCTAATCAGGTAAGGCTTTATTGTACACTGTATAGTTCAAGTTGATATTTAGAAGGGTGATTTACTACTGAAAAGGTTTGGGACCATATCAGGGACGTGAGTTCTGTTTTTTTTTTTTTTTTCTTTTGAGATGGAGTCTCCCTCTATTGCCCAGGCTGGAGTGCAGTGGCGTGATCTCGGCTTATTGCACCCTCTGCCTCCTGGGTTCAAGTGATTCTCCTGCCTCAACCTCCACCTCCTGGGTTCGAGTGATTCTCCTGCCTCAGCTTCCCGAGTAGCTGGGACTACAGGCATGCACCACCACGCCTGGCTAATTTTTGTATTTTTAGTAGTAACGGGGTTTCACCATATTGGCCAGGCTGGTCTCGAACTCCTGACCTTGTGATTCACCCACCTCTGCCTCCCAAAGTGCTGGGATTACAGTCGTGAGCCACTGCGCCCAGCCAAGAGTTCTGTTTTTCAAGTATCAGCTTTTCATTTACTTGGGGACTGAATGTCTTGATATTTATTTTCCCTGTCTCTCAATGAAAAAATGCAGGCAACAATAAAAGTTTTAGCTTTTAGAGTAAAGCTTAAATAAAGCATATTTTTAAAAGCACTTGAAAAACCACAAAGTATTAAATTAATGTAGAAAATATGTAGGATAATGGATTCCCAGATGTTGCTCGTAGTGCTCAAGGTCTGGCAAGTAAGTTTCGGAATGTGTCCACTAATGAAATTTGCGGAACTGTAAGTACCTAGAAATTTGTATGCTTGATGCATACTATGAAAATGCTTCAGATCATGTTTTGGTAGTAGTTTTAAAATAAAACCTAGGTATCTTTTTGTTTTGAAGGAATTAATTGGAAAAAAAGAATATAAAATGTCTTCAAAGAAACTAAAAATTGGTGAAAGAACAAATGAAAGGATAATAAAAAGTCAGAAGCAAGGTAATATATCTTTAATGGTTTTTTAATCATAAGCAGAAAGCTACTATGTGAAATGTTTTTAATATGATAAAAGTGATCTTGTAAATTTCCTCATGTAAAATGGCAAATTATTTAATGTTTTTAAATGTTTGGTTTTGTTATTTTTACATAAGATGATTTTCATAATAAAATAGCCCTTTTAAAAACCACCTATACTTACAGGTTTGCCTTCTTTAATCTGGGTACTAAAATATTTGTTTAGATCACAAAACTATATATCATTTAACATATGCTTACAGGAATGTGTAAAGAGTGAATCCTTTTATGAATTTAGTACAATAATTTAGTTTTAAGTGTGGATTTTCAGAGTGATTTAATTGGAATCCTGCATGCCATAATTTAGAGGCTTTCGTCTAAATGTTAGCAAGTTTACAATTTCATGTTGAGCTAAATCCATTAGCTTTATAGCATTTTTTTGTGTTTTATTTCCTCTTATAAGTGAAAAGAAGTGAAAGTGAAGAACATTTATTTGTTTGAAGAAGATAGGAAAGCAGTGCTACTTATACTTCCGAGTTCATATTCGGTTTAAGTATCCAAGATAGCTGGATCTTTATTAAATAATTTATTAAAATTAACAAATACTCTGAATGGAAATATTGTTCAAAATTATAATGTTGAAAATTTTCAAATTCCCAGGTAAACATTTGAATTGGATTTATATGAGGAGTTAGAAGAAAATACTTTTCTCATAATTTGAAGATATATGATGCCAGTGGAAAATCTTGTAGACACTTTCTAAATTATTTTGATTATTACCTTTTTCCACGGATTGTAATTTAGAGGCTTCTTTTCTCCCCAGCATTCAATATTATCTATCAGTCTCATTCTGTCAGTCATCTTGTAAACAATGGCACATAATATGTGGAGGTGGTTGTAATATGTTTCTATGACAGTGGGATGATTTGCAGTTTATATGTATTTCTAATTACAGTTGGATAGTTTCAGTTAGTTTGACTTCTCATTACTTAGGTTTTGAATTGGTGAATTGTTCTCATTTTAATTTGCTTTCTTTAGTGACAAGATATAAGATTCTCAGGTTGTTCTCTTTTGCTTGTTTTGTACTTCATGGTGTTTGGGGGGATTCATTTTGAGTGTGTTTCTATGACCACCATTGGCAATGAAAGTGGAACCATGCAGATGGAGTTCCATGTCCTCCTAACTAGCACAGCTCATATAATACTTAGTAAGGTTTCAGTGACTACTGGTTTTCTTATATCTTCTGAATATTTTACCTCCAGGGCTTTGATTTAACAAGTATTTACTTATTGCCTACTGTATATGTGAAAGGCTCTGTACTAACTCCAGCAAAAAAAAAAATCAAACCATACAGATAAAGTTCTAACCATTAATTATTTTTTCCAGTCTGATTGAAAGACAAGTGTGCAATTATAATACATGTCTCACTGTCAAACATGGCATTATTTAAAGTATTCTGGAAACTTGAAGGAGAGCTTTCATTCAGTGTAGGGAATGTGTACAAGTTTGTACACTAGGTGGGTTAGAGAATAAAATCGAAGCAGGTAGTGATTTTGTTTATAGATGAATGAAGAACATCTTCAAAGCAGAGTGGACAACATTATTAAAAGTGGAGAACCAAGAAAATCTGAGAAATAGCAAGTGGTGTGGTTCTGAACATAGAATATAGTTGAGATTTTGACAACAGTGAGAGATTGGAACTATGTGGAAGGCCAGGCAGAGGAGCTTATTTATATGTCTACTAAAAGACTGTGAGAAGTCACTGTCAGGTTTGTATAAACAATAGTATATGTTTACAGTTGAAGGGGCAGTGGTCTGAATAGACCTGGGCTTCAGAAAGATTAATATGACAGGTGGGTATACAGTGTAGCTCGTGGATAAAAATAGTATCTTTTATTTGTGAAAATATATTTTCTGTGCTTATATTTGTTTATAGCTAATTTGAGATTTTGGTCTTTGGTTTTGTCTTATGAAATTAAAGAGACAACTGAAGAATTGGATGTATCCATTGATATTCTAACCTCAAGGGAACAGTTTTTCTCAGATGAAGAAAGAAAATACATGGCCATCAATCAGAAGAAAGCTTATATTTTAGTAACACCACTTAAATCTAGAAAAGTGATAGAGCAAAGATGCATGAGGTATAATCTGTCCGCTGGCACCATCAAAGCAGTAACAGATTTTGTAATACCAGAGTGTCAAAAAAAAAGTCCCATCAGCAAGTCCATGGGGACTTTAGAAAATACATTTGAAGGTCATAAAAGTAAAAACAAGGAAGATTGCGATGAACGTGACTTACTTACTGTCAACCGGAAAATAAAAATATCTAACCTTGAAAAGGAACAAATGCTCACCTCTGACTTTAAGAAAAATACCAGACTATTACCAAAATTGAAGAAAATAGAAAATCAGGTAGCTATGTCATTTTATAAGCATCAGTCCTCACCAGATTTGTCAAGTGAAGAAAGTGAAACAGAAAAGGAAATTAAAAGGAAAGCTGAAGTTAAGAAAACCAAAGCAGGAAACACCAAAGAAGCAGTGGTTCACCTGAGAAAGAGCACAAGAAACACAAGTAATATTCCAGTGATTTTGGAACCTGAAACTGAAGAAAGTGAAAATGAATTTTATATCAAACAAAAGAAAGCTAGACCTTCCGTCAAAGAAACTCTTCAGAAGTCTGGTGTTAGGAAAGAGTTTCCAATTACTGAGGCAGTAGGATCTGATAAGACAAATAGGCATCCCTTAGAATGCTTACCTGGTTTAATTCAGGATAAGGAATGGAATGAGAAGGAGTTACAGAAACTTCATTGGTAAGTAGTTAGATTTCATTCCGAAATATCTACAGAGCAGCCACAAGACAGTTAAAGACATAAAAATAGCAATAAGGGGTTAACATGGAAGATGTCATTAAAAAAAAGGGAGAAATTATAATTTGCACAGGGAATGGAGATAGACTACACATAACTCCTAGTGGTATTTTTGTGGTCATCTCTAATACGAGGAAAGTACGAGGAAAGCCTAAGTATGAGGAAAGTAAAAGTGACCTTTTCATTCCCATGTAATATTTCAAGATAGCCAAATAGTACTCTCTCACGTAGCTTCATATTTTAAGAAATGCATTTTTTTGTTTTTTGTTTTGTTTTGTTTTGATTGAGACGGAGTCTCGCCCTGCTGCCCCGTCTGGAGTGCAATGCCACAATCCCGGTTACTGCAACCTCTGCCTCCCGGGTTCAAGCGATTCTCCTGCCTCAGCCTCCTGAGTAGCTGGGACTACAGGCGCACGCTGCCACGCCTGGCTAATTTTTATATTTTTAGTAGAGATGAGGTTTCACCATGTTGGTCAGGCTGGTCTTGAACTCCTGACCTAATGATCCGCCCACCTTGGCTTCCCAAAGTGCTGGGATTATAGGCATAAGCCACCGTGCCCGGCCTAACAAGTGTTATAAATAGTAAAGTTTGGTGCCCCACAAGTGAGACTCAAGGATACTAGAAACCTAGAAGTGGGCACTGAAGGGTAACAAAGAGAGTTTAAAGAGGAGCTCTCCAGTTCTGGGTTGAGGAGCAGAAAGGGGGACTTCTGACACTCAGAAACAGTAGAGGAAATCCCCAGTGTTTGGTTTGGTTTGTTTTTGTTTTGTTTTGTTTTGTTTTGTTTTGTTTTTGTCTTTTCTCTTAACTCAGTCCCCATGCAATCCTGCAGGGGCTACAGTCACAGCATCAGCTGGGGCTGAGATATATCTAAAACTCTGAGAGATGAGAACCTTCTCTACAATTAGGAATGGTTGCCTCAAAGTAGTGGGGCAAGTACCTGTTGCTTCTGTTCTCTTTCTGTTGTCTGTTGCTTGGTACTGGACAAAAATTCAGTTGTGTGAGGCATACAGCAGAGCAGAGTAATAAAAGCCCCAGCTTTCTGGCCAGAGCACTGACAAGGGAAACTCCAGGGAACCAGAAATCGCGGAAAGAGAGGAAGTAGGAAAAGCAACCCCATAAAGTTGTTTATGAACTTCTATGCCACCCAGGAGTTGTACATATGTGGACATGGTCCTAAAGAGCATATAAAAGACTGAGAACTGAACTAAACAGTAGACCACACCCAGTTTCTAGGCTAGCTACTCAGTGTCCCACACACAGGAAGATCCTAACAGCACTGCAGAGCTTTGAAAAATGAAACTGACATTGAAACAACAATGATAGTAGACTGAACGTATAGCTTGGGATACCACCAGGTTGATGACCTGCTAAAATAAAAATATTAACATTTCACTTGAAGCAGTAAAATATTGATTCTAAGTAGACTGTTGAAGTTAAGTATATTTAATGTCATCCCTAGAGCAACTTCTAAAAAAACTATACAAAGAAATAATTTCAAACATAAATTAAAATACTGGAAAATCAAATAGCCCAAAAGAAGGCAAAGAAGAAGAGAAGTGGAGGATTTTTTTACATGGAACAAGCAGAAAACAAATAATAAAATTATTGACCTAAATCCAACATAATTAAATTAAATGGTCTAAACATACCAATTAAAAGACATATTGTCAGAATGAATTTAAAAACATGATCTAACTATATGCTGTATACAACAAACTCACTTTAAATATAATGATATAGGTAGGTTAAAAGGATAGAAAAATACCGTCTAAACACAAATCAAAAGAAAGCTTGAGTGGCTATATTAATATCTGTCAAAATAGACTTTAGTAGGAAGAAAATAACCAGGAATAAAGAAAGACATTACAAATGATAGAAGGGTCAGTCACCAGGAAGGCATGAAATTCCTAAGTGTGTATGCACCTGACAATAAAACCTCAAAATACATGAGTTAAAAACTGACAAGTGAAAGCAGCGGACTAAACTACAAGGATAGTCAAATCCACAGTTATAGGAAACCACACTGCTCCTCTCTTGGTATTTGATAGAACTGACTGAAAATTAGCAGGGATATAGAACTGAACAACACCATCAGTCATTCGTATGATTCACATTTACAGAACATTCCACCCAATAATAAGAAAAAGAATAGGTTATTTCCAAGGATAGGTTGATCATTCATCAAGATAGATCATAAAACCTCTTAACAGATTTAAAATAGCTGAAATCATACAAAGCATATTCTCTGATGATAATTGAATTAAACTACAAATCAATAAAATAAAGATAGGAAAATTTCCAAGTGGTTGAAAATTAAATAACTTATTAATACGTATAACTAATCTGTGGGTCAAAGAAGAAGACTTAAAGGAAAGTAGAAAATATTCTTTTATTTTATTTTATTTTATTTATTTATTTTTGAGACGGAGTCTTGCTCTGTCGCCCAGGCTGGAGTGAAGTGGCGCGATCTCTGCTCACTGCAAGCTCCACCTCCCAGGTTCACACCATTCTCCTGCCTCAGCCTCCCGAGTAGCTGGGACTACAGGCGCCCGCGACCACGCCGGCTAATTTTTTGTATTTTCAGTAGAGACGGGGTTTCACCGTGTTAGCCAGGATGGTCTCGATCTCCTGACCTCGTGATCCTCCCGCCTTGGCCTCCCAAAGTGCTGGGATTACAGGCTTGAGCCACCGCGCCCGGCTTCTTTTATTTTTTTTCTTTTTGGAGACAGAGTCTCACTCTGTCACCCAGGCTAGAGTGCAGTGGTACGATCTCAGCTCACTGCAACCTCCGCCTCCTGGGTTTAAGCAATTCTCCTGCCTCAGCCTCCCAAGTAGCTGGGATTACAGGTGTGTGCCACCATATCCAGCTAGTTTTTGTATTTTTAGTGGAGTTAAGGTTTCACCATGTTGGCCAGGCTGGTCTCGAACTCCTGACCTCAAGTGATTCACCTGCCTTGGCCTCCCAAAATGCTAGGATTACAGGTGTGAGCCACCAGCCCGGCCAGATATTCTTAACTGAACAAAAATGAAAATATATCAAAATTTGCAGCATGGGCCTAGGAGTTCATAAACAACTTTAAAGGGTTGCTATGCCAAGCTCCTCCCTCTCCCTGATTTCTGTCGTACTTTCTACATAAACAAATTAGGGTGCATTCTTTCAGTGGATTACTAAGCAGTAAAAAGGAAGAACTATTGATACATACAACAACCTGGTTGAATTTCAAAGGCATATTGAGTGAAAAAAGCCAACTCAAAGGGTTATACACTATATGATTCCATTTATATGACATTCTGGAAAAGTGTGCTACACACTTTTAAATGACCAGATTTCATGAGAACTCCATCAGAAGGATGGTACCAAGAGGGATGTTGCTAAATCATTCATGAGGAATCTACCTCCGTTAACCAATCACCTCCCCCTAGGCCCCACTTCCAATACTGGGAATTACATTTTGATATGAGTCTTGGGTAGGGACACATATTTAAACTATATCAATAAATAAGAATTATTTAAGCCAAGGATTCAAGACAAATGGACCTTAGAATAGCATACACAAAAGTATAAAGAAAGAGGGCATATTTGGAAATACTGAAAGAATGGGTGTGGGGTATGTGCCTGTAGTGCCAACCACTAAGGAGGCGGAGTCAGGGGGATCGCCTGAGCCCAGAAGTTGGAGGCCACATTGAGCTATGATAATGCCCGGCACTCCTGCATGGGTGACAGATTGAGACCCTGTCTCTTTAAAAAAAAAAGAAAGGTAAATAAAGAAAGCTAGAATGAATGGAATACTGAAAGTTGACCAAAGAGCAGTACAAGATGAGACTAGAGAGTTGGGCAAGGAACAATACAGCGTTACACTAAGGATTTGGGGTTTTATGCTAATAATGAAACAAGTTTTAAACATGGTGTGATATGTTTAAGTTTGTCTTTTTAAATTATCTGGAATAACCTAGAGGAGATGTGTTAAGTACTAATTTCTTATTAAATACATTATTATTTGTGTTATGTAATAGTTATTTTAGACAGTCGTAGATTTAGAAATTAGCCACACACACAAATAGAGAAGCTTGAGTTCCCAAGTCCTTCTAGTTGTTCACTTTAGAACACTGTGGAATGATTAATTATGTAAAAGAATTCATTAACAAGTATTTAATGCTCATAAGTATTATGCTTTTCTGCATGGAATAATATGCTGTGGTCAGCTGGTAGCTGTTCACAAGAGCTGATTGTTAAATTTTGGAGAATTTTACAAATTGAGTGTTAAAGTCATTAAAAAATTATATAAACTTAAATTATTTAAAACAAAGATAATGCTTAAAACTCATTACTTCCTAATTATTTTCCATTTTATTATATATATATGCTCTTGAGACTCTTCACCTCTGTGGTATGGTGGAAATACTATGTAATTGTGTGCTATCACACGTGTTTTATCAACTCCACAGTCAGTGACATGTTGGTAGCTTGACATCAACTACAATGGGAGTATTTACCCTATGAAAGTCATCAGACTTTATAAATCAGGACTGTTTAACCCCGAGAGAACTGATTAAAAACTTTCCCACATACTGCTACATGAAACCTATATCTATTAATTGGAATCCAAGTAGAAATAAAAATATTTTGCCAAAGAAACAGATTAAAAATAAAGACTTGGTGTAGTTGAAATGACATTGTTAATATCACTTTTAGGCTAATTGATGAGTTACATAGATGTTTTCTGGCTAAATTGTCAATCTAACCACAATGCATGAAATCTTTATGGGGAGAGTGGGGGTGGTAATGTGTATACCAGGTTCTAAATCATTTACAAAGGAACTTGTAGAATGCAACTCAGATGTTAAATTAGGGACTTCCTTATAGTTTTCTCTATTTCAATTTTCATTTTCCTTAATTAAGAGAGCATATATCTAAAATACTGAGTTCTACAAAGTATAGTAGAATGAAAGCAAGCATAACACTTTTTAATAGCTTATAACCTAGACTGTATAAGAGAACTAAGAGCTTATTGTCCAATATACTTAGCACCAATAAGATTTAAGGTAACAGTGAAGAAAATTTGGTCATGCCAAAATCTCCTAAAAAACCGTATCATCGATTAGTTGGACTTAGAAAAAAAAATGTTGAAAGGCTGAGGGTCATTTTTCAGGCTTAATAAAACACATCAGAATAGTTAGAAGACATCTACTAGATAGGTAAAATTACATCTTCATATTTTAAGCACTAGAGTTAAGTTATTGAGGGGAAGGAATAATATCTTTCTTAATTGTTATCCAGAATGATTTTGATAAAACTGATTCCTTCATCTCAGTAAATCTCATCAATTCAGTGTTATGCTTTTAAGAGGTTATTGTCATTGGTTTGAATTTCTTATTCTTTAATTGGTTTTGATCTTCCATAGTGCTTTTGCATCTCTTCCAAAGCACAAACCTGGTTTCTGGTCAGAGGTAGCTGCGGCTGTAGGTTCTCGATCTCCTGAAGAATGCCAGAGGAAATACATGGAAAATCCCAGAGGAAAAGGATCCCAGAAACATGTCACTAAGAAGAAGCCAGCCAATTCCAAAGGCCAAAATGGTAACCTTCGTAGTAAATAGTTTTTTTCCTAGTACTCAGTGTTGATTTCTGATCACTGAAATCAGATATATTTTATATTTATCCATGAATATTAATAGGTATTTTCTTAAAATTTTAAAGCTAGAGAGAATTTCAGAAATCATCTGTTTAATTTTTAAGTCTTACCTGGGTCTCTGCTTCCATCAGTAGTAGTTTAGTAGCCTTGTGCTTCGAGTTTTAGGAATTCTGCAGTTAGATCCAGAGATTTCAATATCTGAATTATTGTTCTAAGGGTTTAATTAAAGACCACTTGGGTCAGATCCCCAAGTAATTTATGAGAAAGCTCAGAAAATATTCAGTTTTCATAGTCCCATGATTACATACTCCTGTTCATGAGTACTAGTAAAAGGTTGATTATGCCAGAGAATTTCTATAATAAGCATTAGCGAGAACCCAATACCCTGTCATAATTCAGTAAGGTTTATATATTTTGGCAAAATCAATAAATTAGGCATTCAGCAAGAGGCAATGTAGAGGCAGTCATTCTTGCAGTGTAAAGATCTTTTTGGCCAGGCACGGTGGCTCATGCCTGTAATCCCAGCACTTTGGGAGGCTGAGGTGGACCGATTACTTGAGCTCACAAGTTCGAGACCAGCCTGGACAACATGGTGAAACCCCATCTCTACAAAAAAAAAAAGAGAAGATCTTTTTAACCTCACCCTGCCTAATCTTAGCCTCTTCATGAGTATCCTATGGGCTAATCATATTGCACAAATCCCAGATCCCAGTGTAGAAATAATCATTTGTTCTATAGGAGACTTGTAAAATAACAGGCTAAGTTTTCTTTCTTTTTTTGCTTTATCTATATCTGTATTTTTTTAGAGATGGGGTCTCACTATATTGCCCAGGCAGTTCTTGAACTCCTGGGCTCAAGCATTCCTCCTGCCTTGGCCTCCCGAAGTGCTGGGTTACAGGGATGAGCCACTGAGCCTGGCCAAGGCTGAGTTTTTTGGTTTTTTTTTAACATGAATGCACAATTTAGACTTTGCAAAGGTTGTTAACTTTATAGAGCAGTTACTATAAATAACCAAATCCTTATCAAAATGGTTTGCTGACTCTTAAGGCAAGAGAGGTGATGCTGATCAGAAACAAACTATTAAGATAACTGCCAAAGTGGGAACTCTTAAAAGGAAGCAACAGATGAGGGAATTTCTGGAACAGTTGCCAAAAGATGACCATGATGATTTTTTCAGTACAACACCTTTACAGCATCAAAGAATACTGGTAAGAGGCATGAAATCATTGTTTTCCTTATCTGTATTGACTTTTGTATCTTTCATTTTTATGTATGGTAGTGTTCATCACTAATATTTAGGCCAAGGATCAGTAGCCTCCGTAGACATGATCATAGTCTTATGGCAAACAATGTGCTGATATATGCCATTCTTACTAGTTTCTAGAGTCTGCACTTCAGTTGGTTCAAAGGTAATGTTTGTAGAACCAAACAGTAAAGTAAACCTAGAATTAGGTGAAACATATATATTTAAAGTTTAATATACTACCTAGCAAACTTTTTTTAAAGTTGATAAAAGATACTGTGTAGTAATTGAAAGGAGGGATTAAGTGATAGTAGCACAGTATTAAAAGATTTGAATGTATGAAAGAATTTTTGTCATATGAAGAGTAGAATAACTAAAAATTTCAGTGATTGGAGTAAAATATTCACAGCAAATACAACCAAGCTAGTAGTATCTGTGATATGAACAACTCATTCAAATGTTACTGGAATAACAAAAAGTACCAAGATCACAGGAAAAGTGTGAATAAGAAGAAATTCAAAAGGCTGAATAAACACTTGGGGAAGTGGTCATTTTAGTTAGTAATCCAAGAAAGTAAAGTAAATTATATTTATGTACTTTCTGAATTATAGAATCTTTTAAAAAAATAAGTTAAAATATCCACTGCTAACAGAAGCAATGGTGATACTGATACAGTCATACATCAGTGGGCATACAAATTGAATTGTACCTTTTAGTAAGAAAGCATTATGGCAATATATTATAAAAGCCATAAAGATTTATTCTATTCTTGAGAGTTTATCCTAAGAAATCCAAAAGCCCAAAATCTTTGCAAGATACTTATTGCAGTTTTATCTTCATAGCAAAAAACTGGAAACAATCTGTATATCCAATAAAGATGTTTTTCATAAACACAGTGAAATACAATACAAATATTAAATGCACATTTAAGACTTTCTAGAATCTAAATATAAATGTTAAGAATATTAAGATTAGCTGAAGGACAGGTGCGGTGGCTCACACCTATAATCCCAGCACTTTGGGAGGCCGAGGCGGGCAGATCACGAGGTCAGGAGATCAAGACCATCCTGGCCAACACGGTGAAAGCTCGTCTCTACTAAAAAGACAGAAAATTAGCTAGGCATGGTGGCGGCCGCCTGTAGTCCCAGCTACTCGGGAGGCTGAGGCAGGAGAATAGCATGAACCCAGGAGGCAGAGCTTGCAGTGAGCTGAGATGGTGCCACAGCACTCCAGCCTGGGCCAGAGTGTGAGACTCCATCTCAAAAAAAAAAAAAGCCGGGTGCAGTGGCTCACACCTGTAATCCCAACACTTTGGGAGGCCAAGAAGAGTGGATCATGAGGTCAGGAGATCGAGACCATTCTGGCCAACATGGTGAAACCCTGTCTCTACTAAAAATACAAAAATTAGATGGGTGTGGTGGCATGCACCTATAATCCCAGCTACTTGGGAGGCTGAGGCAGGAGAATCACTTGAACCCCATAGGCAGAGGTTGCAGCCACTGCACTCCAGCCTGGCGACAGCAAGACTCCATCTCAAAAAGAGAAAAAAAAATTATTAAGATTAAAGTAATGCAGAAATGTGTGGATAACAGACAATTGGACTATTGAGTATAAAAATTCAAACAGTTGTGTTAGTGAGCTAGACATAAGGGTAATTTTTTCATCTACCAATTTCTTGTCATAAAATTATCTTCAATTTAAAAAGGCTACACAATGCTTTATAAAGTTTAATAACATCATTAACTGGGCCCCCTTTTTGCTTACACTGATTATAGAGGGAAGTCTTTTAAGAGAGCCACCAGAGGCCCTGACAATGTTTTCTTCAAAACGCTATGGTCCACTAGGGGTTGTACCCTTTATCCCACCATCATTTCAGGTTCTATATATGTATATTTTAGCCTAAATGCAATAGTAGCATCATAAAGAACAGAACTGCCGGGCATGGTGGCTCACGCCTGTAATCCCAGCACTTTGGGAGGCCAAGGTGGGCAGATCACCTGAGATCAGGAGTTTGCGACCAGTCTGGCCAACATGGTGAAACCCCGTCTCTACTAAAAATACAAAAATTAGCTGGCATGGTGGTGGGCACCTGTAATCCCAGCTACTGGGGATGCTGAGGTGAGATAATCGCTTGAACCCAGGAGTGGGAGGTTGCAGTGAGCTGAGAAGGCACCATTGCACTCCAGCCTGGGCAACAAGAGCGAAACTCCATCTCAAAAAAATAAAAATGTAAAGAACAGAACTAAAGTAGAAATAGACAGCAACAAATTATATCATTTTCTGTGACATAGTTTGAAGGGGTGGCCTGCCCCTCCACACCTGTGGGCATTTCTCGACAGGTGGGACGACAGACTGGGAAAAGAAAGAGACACAGAGACAAAGTATAGAGAAACAAAAGTGGGCCCAGGGGACCGGCACTCAGCATACAAGGCCCCCTGCTGAGGCCCCGGGCGGCGCCCCTGGTCTCTGAGTTCCCTCAGTATTTATTGATCATTATCTCTACCATCTCAGAGAGGGGGATATGGCAGGACAGTAGGGTAATAGTGGGGAGAGGGTCAGCAGGAAAACATGTAAACAAAGGTCTCTGTGTCATAAACAAGGTTAAGAAAAGGTGCTGTGCCTTGATGTGCACATATAGTGCATTAAAGAGCAGTATTGCCACTAGCATGTCTCACCTCCAGCCTTAAGGCGGTTTTCTCCTATCTCAGTAAATAGAACATACAGTCGGGTTTTACACTGAGATATTCTATTGCCCAGGGACGAGCAGGAGACAGATACCTTCCTCTTATCTCAACTGCAAAGAGGACTTCCTATTTTACTAATTCTCCTCAAAACAGACCCTTTATGGGTGTGGGGCTGGGGGACAGTAAGGTCTTTCCCTTCCCACGAGGCCATATCTCAGGCTATCACATGGGGAGAAACCTTGGACAATACCTGGTTTTCCTAGGCAGAGGTCCCTGTGGCCTTCTGCAGTGTATTGTGTCCCTGGGTACTTGAGATTAGAGAATGGTGATGACTTTTAACAAGCATACTGCCTTCAAGCACTTTTTTAGCAAAGCACATTCTGCATAGCCCTAAATCCATTAAACCTTGAGTCAACACAGCACATGTCTCTGTGAGCACAGGATTGGGGCTAAGGTTACAGATTAACAGCATCTCAAGGCAGAAGAATTTTTTAGTACAGAACAAAATGAAATCTCTTATGTCTACTTCTCTCTGCATAGACACAGTAACAGTCTGATCTCTCTTTCTTTTCCCCACAATGGTTAACACTGCTTGGGTTCCTACTAACGGCTAAGCATAATAGTAAGTGAATTAGAGTTTTGTTTTGTTCTGTTGATACGAAGGGTCAGATTTGTTTGTATATTGTCTATGGCTACTTTCATGCTACGGTGCAGAGTTGAGTAGTTAGGACAGAGACTGGACCACAAAACCTAAAATATTCCCTATCTGATTATTTACAGAAAACATTTGCTGACCTCTGGTCTACATAACCTTCAGAAATAGGTGTTATTATCTCTGTTTTACACAAGAGAAATTAAGTCTTTTAAAGGCTAAGGCTCTGTCCTTGTCCTTGTTCCTTGACCTTAAAATTTCTAACAGACATAGCCTAAACCTGTGCAACCTGCAGACCCCCATCATTCTTGTTTATCTTCTGTCAGGGAGAGCCTCAGCACCTTAGACCTATACAGTGTAGGATGAATCCCTCCTGTTACTGGCAGCAAATCCATACGGGTCTGCAGAAACCACAATTCTTACCTCCTCAGAAGAAACAATTCTGGCCGGGTGTGCTGGCTTATGCCTGTAGTCCCAGCACTTTGGGAGGCCGAGGTAGGAGGATCCCTTGAGCCTAGGAGCTTAAGACCAGCCTGGGCAATATAGGGAGACTCCGTCTCCATTTTTTGTTAAATAATACTTATAAAAATTTTTTAAAAAGAGAATTTGACCAAGGAAACATAAGGCAGAAGGAGAAACTGAGGCAAGTTTTAGTGCAGGAATGAAAGTTTATTAAAACACTTTAAAGCAGGAAGCAAAGGAAAGAAAGTACTCTCAGAAGAGGGCCAAGCAGGTGACTTGAAGCATGGTTTAACTTTGTGACTTGGGGTTTTATATGTTGGCATGCTTCTGGGGGTCTTGTGTTCCTTCTCCCCGGATTCTAACCTTGGGGCGGGCTGTCTGCATGCCCAGTGGCGTGCTAGCACTTGGGAGGGGAGCAAGTTACAGTGTGTTTACTGGATTTATACACAGGCTCACTTGAGGCTTTCTCCCTTACCAGTCGGATGTCCTTAGGAGGTCATATACCAGTTAAACTCCTCCATTTTTCCTCTTAATGCACATGCTTGAGCCCACTTGCCCAGTTTCTGAGATCTTATGAGGAAGCTGCTGATCACCAATTTTAGGTGTTTCTGTTTATTGAGAGATTGCTTTTCCCTGGTGCTGGCTGCGATTAAGTATTATTTTAGAGACACAGTTAACAACCACCTGACCATCACAGGATGGTCGCCTAACAACATTCCTGGTGGGGGGTGGGGAGGCCCTCTCATTCCTTGCTTATCCCTGACTAGTTAACCTGCTGTAACATTCCCACTTCTGCAAGTCACCAGTCAAGGTTAGCTATTTCCAGCTGGAGGAAGCTAACGGTGTTTATGGCCCAGGGGAGTTTAGGCTGTAGATGGCTTGTTTCCAATTTAGTCAGTGGGATGGAGCTGGGAGGAATAGAAAAGATGGAGGAAGAGAGAGAGAGATTAGGGCCCATACACACATTAAGGTTACACACCTACACTGCAAACAAATGGTGCACTGCCTCCAAACAAATCCCCAGTTAAGAGGGCTGGGTAGAGTTCCAAACTCCTTGCCTCAGTTTCAAACGGCCCTCCCCAGGGGACAGTCCAATGTGAGCAAAGCCCTGAGGGTGCCACAAATACAAATGCAAAAAAATGGCCAAATGGTGACACCAACAGCTAAGTCTAAACAGAGCAGAGCCCCAGCAACACCCTAAAAGAGGCAGAGGGAGGCTGGGTGCACATCAGCAGCTCACCTGGTTCCAACATTTGTCGACTTCTTCAAAATGTCACATTCTCTTTGTATCAGTGAAGCTTTGGAAGCAGCAGATGCTGTGACAGAAATAGAAAAGGAGGTTCTGCAAGACAAAGGCACCTTGGCTATTGCTGGAAGCTCCCCTAATGTTCTTACTACAGGGTCAGCTAGCCATGAGCAGCTGGCACTCACAGGTGGCTCCATGGCCCTATCCAACAGAAGATCAGATAGGTGTGTCTGGAGCCTCCTGTGAATACACAGGGCTCCCTGTATGGGCCACCAAAAATTGTAACCAGCAATAGGGGTCCAACTACTTGCCGCTTGTAAAAAGAAGCCAATATAACAAGAGCAAGGTGTGATAGAGTTTTATTATCTGTGCCAGCAAAGGGAAGTGTGGGTGAAATTCCAGAAATTCCAGTCTTCAATTTGTGGAGTGAACATAGGAGTTTTTAAAGAGAGAATGATTTGGAATGCAGGAGAGGAGGGGGTTAGGAGGTGTTAGGTGGCTCAATCTGCTCCAACAGCTTATCTTGAAATATTATTCCATTTGGTGAAGGGGCCAGCACCATCCTGGGCTCAACCAGGTTACAAATTAATTGTAGTAAATCTTGCAGTAAATTTCTAGATGGGAGTGAGTTTTGGCCTTGACTGGGGAGAGAATTCTGGAGGTATCCAGTTTATGCCAGGATCCGGCCCCTGAAGCTTCTAAGGAAATACATGACCAGATAAATGAGCATGGTGTGCACTTAAAAAGCGTCTAGGTAAAAACATGTGCATAAGGCATGGGAGCATAGAATGGGTAAAGAAACGGAGGTTCACATTTTGAGGCTGTATTTCAAGATGAATGGAAACACATGTAGTTTATCTCAAAGTTATATCTTAAAATTGGGGAGAAAGAAAGAAAAAAGTTTTAAAACATGGTTTGAAGCCACGCTACTCGGTTACAGGCTGAATAAAGAGGGTGACAAATCCAGTTTCTCAGAAACATTTAATAGAGACTTTTGAGCAGAAGCCATCTCTTGGGTGGCCTCAAGATGGTGGATTTGGGCACTGTTATCCCCCCAGACCCAGGGTTTATATACCATAGGGAATTTGCCTAAGGGCTGTATTTATGGTAAGTATGTGTTTACGATAACACCAAGGTTGTTTTGACCTAAGGACAAGATTTCCAGTAAGTATATGGAGGTAGAAATCTTAGAGGCATTTCCAGATCCAGGTTTAATCAGAAGTCAGCATGGTGAATTAGCATCTAAAATGGAGTTCCTCTAGCCTCTACTCCTCTACGTACTACTGTTTTTAATTATCTAACTTGGAAAGTTACAAGAAGAACCAACTTATCAGTCCTCCAAAACTATTTTGTGATAATGAGAAAATACCTTTTATGGGGTGCCTGCTGATAATAAATACTTGTTTTCTAGTTGCCAAGTTTCCAGGACAGTGAAGATGATGATGATATTCTGCCAAATATGGACAAAAATCCAACAACTCCATCATCAGTTATCTTTCCATTGGTAAAAACTCCTCAATGTCAGCATGTCAGTCCTGGCATGCTAGGTTCTATAAATAGGTAAATATTCATGCATATGATATGTTAATTCTCTGCATCAGAGTAGTGAGGAACATTTAAACATTTCATGAGGACCATAGATGCCAGTAATGGGAAGAGGCATTATTTAAAAAATCAAGAATGTGTAGTTTCTAGAAGTTAAGGATGGACAAGTTCATCAAATCGGGGTGCTATTCAATAAACAGCATTGTGATATAACCCACATTTACTTCTGGATCAATTCGAAATGGATCAAGGTTTTACTTGTAAAAAACTTTAAAAAAAAAAAACTAAAGAAACCTTGGAGAATTATTTTATAATACCAGATTAGTGATGGTCTTTCTAACTATACTATAAAACCTACAAGCCATTAATGAAAAGATGAATAAAGTCAACTGTGTAAAAATGTTTAACAAATTTTACCTGGTACCAACCACTACAAACAAAAGACAACCTGAGAAAAGAATATATGCAACTTGTCACAGGCAAAAGGCTAATTTCCGTAATATATACAGCATTCCTACAAACTAACAAGGAATGCATTGTTAATTTTTGTGCATTGCTAGTGAGAAGGTAAAGTAGTGCGATCTTTGCAGCAACAATTTGTAAGTATCAAAATTATAAATGCACATGCCCTTTGACTTAGGAATTTTACTTATAGAATTGTGAATGTACAGCTTATTCATTGTAGCATTGTTTAAATGGCAGTACCTCAAAAATCTATCAGTAGGGACTAATTAAATGAACTCTGGTCCATTATATAGTCATAGAAATTAATGAAGAGCCAGGCACAGTGGCTGAAGCCTGTAATCCCAGCACTTTGGGAGGATCACTTGAGCCCAGGAGTTCAAGACCAGCATGGGCAACATAGGAAGACCCCATTTCTACAAAAAAAACCCAAAAATGTTAGCAGGATGCAGTGGGGCAAGCCTGTGGCCCTAGCTACTAGGGAGGCTGATGTAGAAGGATTGCTTGAGTCCCAGAGGTGTAGGCTGCAGTGAGCTGTGATTGCAACAATTGCACTCCATCCTGGGCAACAGAGTGAGATCCTGTCTCAAAAAAAAAAGAAATTAATGAAGATATTTTTTATTGCTATTATGATAAAATGCCTAAGATATATTAAATGAAACAAAGGTAGATGCAGTGAATAATATACTACTGTTTGTGTAAATAGAAGCTATATGTATGTATGCATATATGTATATACTTGTGTGTGTGTGTGTGTGTATAATTGCTTTTATTAGATTAAGTCTTTATAAAAGGATGCATAAGAAACCAAAACATTGGTGATCCTTAGGGAGAACTAAGGTAGCTGGAGGAAGGAGAGGGGGGCTTTTGAATTTTGAACCATGTGAATACAAGAACAATTTGAAACATATAAATAAATAAAATTAAGAAAAAAGTAGGGGTGACTAACAATAAAATGTCACCAAAAAAAGATGGAAAATAGTAAGAATGAGGCCTGAAAATAGGCTATTCCATTTGGCAAGTAAGAGGCCATTGCTGATCTTAGAGCAATTTCCACAGAATGAGAGGCAGAAGCAAGATAATAGTGACTGAGAAAAAAACTATTCAGTACTCTCAGGAAGCTTGCTAAATTGCTAAAATTTTAATTTGCACTTATTGGATAAAAATATAATTTTCCTAGGCATCTAAAAATTATTTTTAGTATTTAGTGCAGGGGAAAGCATACTGAGAATACTATTTTGGACAAATTTTTTGATAAGCACTTTGACCAGTTCATCAAAAGCCTTAAAATATTCATCCGTGGCCGGGCGCGGTAGCTCACACCTGTAATCCCAGCACTTTGGGAGGCTGAGGCCGACGGATCACAAGGTCAGAAGTTCGAGACCAGTCTGGCCAACATAGTGAAACCCCATCTCTACTAAAAATACAAAAAATTAGCCGGATGTGGTGGTGTGTGTCTGTAATCCTAGCTACTCAGAAGGCTGAGGCAGGAGAATCACCTGAACCCGGGAGGCAGAGGTTGCAGTGAGCCGAGATCACGCCATTGCACTCCAGCCTGGGTGACAGTGCGAGACTCCGTCTCCAAAAAAAAAAAAAAAAAAACAACTTCATCCTTTTGGCCGTTGAATTTTATTAGACACTTTAAGGAAATATGAGATTTGGAACACAGATGTTCATCATAAAACATAATACTGAAAGTTTGAGAATGACCAAAACATCCAAAAATAAGGAAAGTTATAAATTAAGATTTATCCATATAATGGAATATGAAACAAATCATGTCTTCAAGAATTTAATGACAGAAAAATGTCCAGTGGATAGTAGTTTTCAAAAGCTAGGAAAACTACATTCAGCATGATCCCAATTTTATGTAACAAATTCGTAAGGAAGGAAATTTCTTAACTTACACATCACCAGCCATTCTTTCTAGGTTGTAGAATGACACCAGTGTGGGTTGTGGGTTTTTGTTTTTTGTTTTGGGGGATATTTTCTGTCCATTTATGTCACTTTTACAATTAAAGAAACACGATAGATTCACTTATGTTATGAATCTATATTGTCTGAAACTTTTTTCTTAAAAAAATGATTTTCTTAGGCTTCTTCACTCTCTCTGACTTTACTAGCTCTAGTAATTGACGTACTTTTCATAACAGTTTTAAGTAATCAAACAGTTATATCACTTCAGAAGTGAAAAACTCTTTGTCTTCAAAGACATCTCTTTGATAATAGACTTACCAGTTGCTGATCCTGAACAACTGGCTAGGCCTGTTCATTTGTTTTTTGTTTGTTTGTGAGATGGAGTTGCTCAGGTTGGAGAGCAGTGGCACAATCTCGGCTCACTACCGCCTCCATCTACCAGGTTCAAGCAATTCTCATGCCTCAGCCTCCCAAGTAGCAGGGATTACAGGCGCATGCCACCGTGCCTGGCTAATTTTTGTATTTTTAGCAGAGATGGGGTTTCACCATGTTGGCCAGGCTGGTCTTGAACTCCTGACTTCAGGTAATCCGCCAGCCTCAGCCTCCCAAAGTGCTGGGATCACACCTGTTCATTTGTTAAGCAATTTGCTAAAAACTGACGAGGTTTATTCATTGCTATACAGCAGTGTTTGATTCAGATAAATATCTTAATAGAGTCACATTTCTTCATGTCATGCCTTTAAGGTTGTTCCCAAATAGTCATAAAGAACAGAGGATACTCAGGTATGTAAGATCTTAGAGCCAAGAGAGAGTATGGAAATGGATGTTCAGCTGGTATTTACTGTCATAAGTGGGATTAGGAATTGTGGGTTTAGGGAATTAAAAACAACCAACAATTCTACTTGGCTTTTAATCTCTTCAGTTATGAGTGAAGCATATTTGCTTGTAAGGGAAGAGATAAGGTAAAGGAAATGAAATAAAGAAAAAAAATTTGGTGGTTGGTATGGGGAATTCAAGAAAGATAAAATTTTGTAGAAATAAAAGGCTTGATGAGCTGGATTAGAAACCCAGCACAGTTGGAAAAATTGACAGTTTTCAATCACCAGGCATATCTTTAAAGTGAATAAACTGAGATTCAATTAGGACAGGGAAGGAAGTGAACAGGAGAGATAATGGTATAGCAAAAGGGAGTCCAAGGAGAAGAAGTCTCAGTGGGAGTTTTGGAAAACCAAGAGAGGCAGCAAGATACCGGAAAGAGCGTAGACGGTACAATGAACGGTAAGCAAAGCATAATTTCCCAAAATAGTCTTGATCAGTATTTCCTGTAAAATGTTTGATTTAAGCATTTTGTCCATCTCCATAGGCACATTTTATTGTCCTCTTTAAAATACAGAATGTACTTTTTAAAGATGGAAATACGTTTGAGGTCAGGCGTGGTGGCTCACGACTGTCATCCCAACACTTTGGGAGGCCCAGGAGGGCAGATTGCTTGATGAGCTCAGTAGTTTGAAACCAGCCTGGGCAATGTGGTGAAACCCTGTCTCTTAAGAAAAATACAAAGATTAGCCAGGCATGATGGCACGTGCCTGTAGTCCAAGCTACTTGGGAGGCTGAGTTGGGAGGATCACTTGAGCCCAGGAGGTTGAGGCTGCAGTGAGCCATTATCATGTTACTGCACTCCAGCCTGGGCGACAGAGTGAGACCCTGTTTCAAAAAAAGAAATACATTTGAAATTAATTTAGGCAATTGTTGTTCAACCTGTGGTTAAAAGTATGACAGTTAACTTAAAATTATTAGGTTGACTTAAAAATATTGTTGACTTAAAATTATTTCGTATTCAAACAGGAATGACTGTGATAAATATGTTTTTCGTATGCAAAAATATCATAAAAGTAATGGTGGTATTGTCTGGGGCAACATCAAGAAAAAATTAGTAAGTATTTTTCTTTATCCAATACATATCTATGAAACAACTTTAATATGTGATAAACTGTGGTAGTTGTAAGTCATGTAACAGTCCCTGTCCCTGAGGTGATTATAATGTAACAAGTTACAATAATGAAGCCATGAATGAGGTAAGCACATAAGTACTGTAGGATTACAGATGGCATCACATTGACTGAAACATTGGAGCAAGGGGAAAATGGCTAAAAACTTTGATTTTTGGGAAATGAAGGGTGGGAAAAATATACACAGAGGTCTGGGAAGGATATTTCAGGCAAAACACAAAAACACAAAACACAAAAACAATCCTGTTCAAGGATTGAAGAATAATTCAGACTGAGTCACAATTCTCATAAAGTAAGAAATTTCATCAAATTCTATGTAGCTTTAAAATGGCTTCAGGTGTTTTTCAGATTTAGCTACTTAATTTTATTTTTTTACTTTTTATTTTTTTACATTCTAACATTTAAAATCCAACTACAGAAAAATTTTTAACTGAAAGATGCCTTAATAGAATGATCTATATCCCTTAGAGAAAAGATTAGGACAGTCCTTTATCCCCTTGAATTACTTTTTAAATTTTTAATTTTCTGATTTTAATTGCAATAACTGATTATCATATATAAGTACTAGGATTCTGGAAAAAGTATTTCATCTCAAATTTCCTCTAAGTAGCTAATCTTCGAGAATGGTAACTTATGGGAACCCCCTTGATTCCCTTGCTTTATGACACTGAGCAAGTTACTTGAGCTTTCTAATACCATTTTATTCATGTGTGGTATGACAATGGGGATCATGATTATATTGATTTATGTTACCAAATGATTTTGAGGTCTAAATGATATAATGCAGTGTTTTACCTCATCTCAGAAAAAAATACATTTATATCACAGTCTGTGAGCATGAATTTGTATCTCAAAAATTTCTTAAAACAGTACTTACTCTAAGGGCTACTATATTTTCTGTTCTGTTACTTTTTATTTTTAAAAGATTTTTAAGGATTGCCAGCCATGGCCAATAGTTTGATAAGCATTGTAATGTGTGTGAGCATGTACTTCAAACTTGCCATTTACTTTACCATTTTAGCCAAGAATTTCAAGTACAGAGAATTAAAATTCTGCTGGTATAAAACATTGTACTGTTATAATAACAGACTGTAGGTAAAAGTAATACAGTAATTAGTATTCTGTATAGTAATTACTATACTGTAATAGTACAGTATAGTATTGTAATTATAATTACTATATATAATCATGATAAATTGTGTTTATATTTTAAGTTTACCAAACCAGTATATTCATTACTTAATTACTTAGCACATTTTGGCAACTTTTGGAGGCCCATAGACTATCCTTTAACTGCTATAGCATTAGTTTATAATAATTTCTTAGAGGAGTGTTTGCCAGCACTGGGAAACAACATTGAGTAAGTCATGGTTCTTGCCCTGGATAAACCCAAAAGAGAATTATGCATTTCACAGATAATTATAATGTGATTAAATGTTGTTATAGGCATATGTTCAAAGTAATCTGGGGATAAGCATGCTTAATTTTGTCTAGATTTGAGGTAGACTTCACCAGGAGGTACCATTTAGCTATTAATAGTAACTCTTTTATAGGTTGAAACTGATTTCTCAACTCCAACACCAAGAAGGAAAACCCCATTTAACACAGGTAATACACTTACAGCTTTCTTTTGTGGCTCAGTTCTATTATAAGGTAGGTTCTTTATTTAAATGGTATTAAAATTAATTGCTCTCAAGTGGACAGACTTAGCATTTTATTCCTTATAGTTGTTTTCAGTTTTATTGAAAGTACTTTTAGAAATTTATTATCTTTTTATTAAACTTCTCTTTACAGACTTAGGAGAAAACTCTGGTATTGGAAAACTTTTCACTAATGCTGTGGAATCTTTAGATGAAGAAGAGAAAGATTATTATTTTTCGAACTCTGATTCTGCATAGTAAAATGAGAAAATATGATTCCTGGGATTTTTACCATAAAGCAGACAGTGTTTGTATTTTCAACTGGAGTACATGTATTTTCTTTGTAAAGTAGCTTCCTATGAAAATGTGGACTTTTTTGAAGGTTTCATATGTTTGTGTTCAAAGTAAAATATCCTCATTGCTGCAGCTTACTAAAAATGTAAAGAAAATTGTTTTTGCTCGTGTAGATATCTGTAAATTTGTTTTTGCATATTAAAATATATATAGATAATTTTTTAATAAGCATCCAAGTCTGTTTACTTTAAGAAAACCATTTCCCAAACAGATTTTTTTTTATTTCAAGAAAATTTTGCTACCATTTAAGTAAGAGAAGGTGAGAAGGATGACAGAGGTTGTATTGGTAGCTATTGAATTCATGAAAACTTTTAAGTTAGCATTTGTTAGCAGTTATTATCCAAGCCAGAGTAGGATTTGTTACCAGTTGTTATCCAAACCTAATGTTTAAATTACACATTGTTGAAATTAAATTACACATTGTTGACATGCTTCTCTCCTGATTGTTTTTATTTTAAACTTGTGATAGGCATATCTATGAAACCTTTGTAAATTTAGTTTATTGCTTTACCATTATTTTACTAGGTAAAATTAGAGAACAGATTTTGTTCTCTAATTTTTAAGCCTTATTTACATATGCAGAAACAGCTTAAATATTTTGACTAGATTAGACAAACAGTTAATAGATCCACCATTAGGAATCAATATATTATGTCATAATAAACATCCTTTTTCTTTCACTGAAATTTCTTTTAGAAATAAACTTATTTTTGCTTGTTATGTTTTGAAACTTGACATAGGATATTTTCCCTCTGGCTACACATTCACCTACCCTTGTTCTCTATTTAGATTATTCAAATAAAGTTAGTTTGCTTTTATAGTATTTGTTTCTTGTTTTTTGTTTGTTACTAATTACTGGATGATAGAAATAAAAACAAATCATGACTGGTCCTGTTTAAGTTTCCTCAAAAAAAAAAAAAATGATTAATAACATTTTCTTGTTTCTTAAGTGTTTTAGTCAGAGCAGGCATGGTGTCATGTATCTGTAGTCTCAACTACCTGGGAGGCTGAGGAAGGAGGATAGCTTGAGCCCAGGAGTTCAAGGCTGAACTGTGCTATGATCATGCCTGCAACTGGCCACTGCACCCTAGCCTGGGTAACAGAGACTCCTTTTAAAATAAATAAATAAATAAAATAAAATAGTAATAATCAGCAGTTATATAATTATAGGACTTACGGAAACACTGTAAAAAGAACAGTGCAATTGGACTAAGATAATTCTTTCTTTAAACTACCATGATTATTTCTGCCATAAAGACCCTTGGTGGATATAGAATGGATCAAAAGAAAGGGTTATTTTGGAGTGGCCAAAAAAAATGCCGTTGCAGAACTTGAGTTGCCAATATTTGATCTAATGCTATACTGCTTGAAGTTAATGGATAGTGTTTTAGGAGTTAAGAAAGTGGTTAAATCCCTTAACAAAAAGTAAAAAGGTAATTGAAATGGCATAAACTTGAGTTTGACCCCTACTGCCCATATATCCGTATCAGAACTTCAGCGCCTTCCCTATACTAAGGTATCTCACCGGCCAGGTACCTGGCTTGTCCTATTTCTATCAGGTCATAAGATGAACTAATGATAAGGTTTAAGGTAAGTAACCCCCAAAGGAAACTTAAAAGTGGAAAAGAAAAAAGACCTTAAGGACTTAAATAATAAGATGGATAATGAATGGTTAATGGCTACCAATGAGGATATAGGAGGAGGCTATTGCAAGCCTAAATATGGATAGAGCTCTCCATACAGCAAGCATAAATAAATGAAATCCTCTAGGTTATGTCTGTAACACCATGTTAATTTATGTACTTTTTTTTGTCTGACGGGTGCACACACAGCTGAGTCTGAGCAGGTGGTGGTATCTCTGTGTGAGGTTGTTGAGGGACTGCATGATTCTGGCATGCAGCTGGGGCAAAGCACCACCAGATGTCCCTACCCACAGGCCCTGCTGACAATGTGGCAGGAGCAAGATACATGAAGATGTAGCACAGTGGAACCACAAAGAGGCTCCTTTCCTCCTGTCACAGCTTAGCATTGTGCTCACTACTAAAGGAGAAATACTCAAAAAGTCCAGTTATAATAAACTGATAACTGCACACTAGGCAATAACTTAGTGTTTCCTCTCTGTGGTTTTGACAGAATTATTGAGCAGCATACATAAGTCAGCTGCTTTCATACAAATTGAGAGTTGATACTATCTCAAAGGAGCTAAACAATTAGAGTAACTTTTTTGTCCCCTTTTATCAACACCATAGAGTGAAAGAGAATGATACCTAGTTTGTGAGTTCTGCTTCTAGATTTGCCAGTCTAAACTTGAATAAGTCACTTGTTTCTGGGCATCACTTTTATCATTTGGTAAGAAAGGAAAGAGAAGTGATTTGAATTACATGAGCTCTGAAGTCCCCGCCAGATTTAAGGTGAGGAGAGCTCTGCAGTGAGGCTGGTTCAACTACCCAACAATGTAATAGGGGTAAAAATGAGGCCGAGAATAAAGGACTCACATAATTCAAGGCTGCTTTAGTACTAGACTGACTAGAAGAAAGATGTCATATATATTGCAGATACAAGAAAAGCCTTCTTTTTTGGTTTGTGTTTGTTTTTGTTTGTTTTTGAGATAGAGTCTGGCTCTATCGCCCAGGCTGGAGTGCAGTGGCACGATCTCAGCTCACTGGAAGCTCCGCCTCCCGGGTTCACGCCATGCTCCTGCCTCAGCCTCCTGAGTAGCTGGGACTACAGGTGTCTGCCACCATGCCCGGCTAATTTTTTTATATTTTTAGTAGAGACGGGATGGGGTTTCACCGTGTTAGCCAGGATGTTCTTGATCTCCTGACTTCGTGATCCGCCCCCCTCGGCCTCCCCAAGTGCTGGGATTACAGGCGTGAGCCACCGCGCCCGGCCCCAAGCAGAGCCTTCTTAATGCCATCACAGACAACAGAATGGATCAAAACGGTAAATATAATAGGGTCAACATAATGGGCCTGCATTCAGTAATTTATATTAAAAAGAAACTTTCTAAGTCCAAACCAATATACCATTTTGAATATATTTCAGCAACAAAAAAGAGTAATGTAGCTGGGAGTTTGTATTAGTCCATTCTCACGCTGCTATGAAGAAATAACCCGACTGGGTAATTTATAAGGAAAAGATGTTTAATTGACTCACAGTCCTGCATGGCTGGGGAGGCCTCGGGAACTTACAATCATGGTGGAGGGGAAGCAAACGTTTCCTTTTCCACATGGCAGTAGGCAAGAGAACTGCAGAGTGAACAGAGGAAAAGCTTATAAAACCATCAGATCCTCTGAGAACTATCACTAGAACAGCATGGGGGAACCGCCCCCATGAGCTAATCACGTTCCAGGAGGTCCCTCCCCAATATATTGGGATTATAATTCAGATTACAAGTCAAGATGAGATTTTGGTTGGGGACACAGCCAAACCATATCAGAGTTCATATTAATAGATTTGACAGTACTTAACTGGGACACACCTTTGGTCAGATAAACATTCAGTTAAGTTTTCTACTTTCCTAGTTACTGGGTCATTTATCTCACAACCCACCCATCACCCACACCTTACCAAGTACATGTATTTAGAATCAGTACACTTAAAAGTATACTATCTACACATAGGGAAAATCGACAAGTTGGCTGTAGTCATAGACATGTCAACTTTACTATTTATCACAACAGTACAACTTTAATTTTGGGAAACATTCCAAAGTATATCTCTAGCTTAGCTTTTACTTTCTTAAACTATCCTTAGTAACACTTTTAATAAACCTTGTTTTATTTAATAAGAAAAATTAGTTTTATAATCTAGTCAAAATGATCACTGAACATCAGATTTTTCTTTTTTAATAATTTCTATAATCTATAAATAAAAATGTATACAATATAAAATATTTAAATAAAATATTCTCTTATTTACAAATAAACATAAAACAGCAATGATTATTGAAGTGCATTTAATATTGTGAGAGGTCTTTGAAAACCCCATCTTGAGCAGCTTGATTATATATCAGATTTCAGTCTATCTTGGTTAAGATCATTTGGTAACATTTGTATGTCAAATACATAGTGAATATATCTATAGATCTCCTCAGCCTTCTGATGAGTTACTTGTGCATACATGGAGATTTCTTGAAGTGAGCTGAAAAATAAATGAGACAAAATCATTACACTAGGACTTTTGGCTTTTATAAAATTTAATATTACCTAAAGAACACCAAACACAGTAGCCTTTAAGGAAATCATCTCAAGCATTATCCGCCCAGCTGATATGTCTTGAACATTAGTTTGGATAAAAGAGCTACTTGTTTCCTTTCCTTAAAATTATCTAGAATAACAATTTCAACATCTTCAATGAACTGAATGTTTTTGTGTTGCCCAAAATTCATATGTTGAAGCCGTAATCCCAATGTGATGGTATTTGGAAGTGGCAACTTTGAGAATTAGTTGATAAAGGTGGATATCCTTGTGCACTTTTAAGAAGAGGTCAAAGAGCTAGCTAGCTCTATTTCTGCCATGTGAGGATACAATGAGAAGGCAGTAGTCTGTGACTCAGTAGAAAGCTCTCTCCAGAACCCAGCCATGATCTCAGACTTCCAGTATCCAGAACTGGCAGAAATAAATTTGTGTTGTTTGTGTATTTTATCATTGCAGCATGAGCTAAGACAGTATCTGATGTAGGCCTTTAATTAAAATGAACTACATTCTAAAATCTCCCTCTTCAAGCAATATAATGATCACAACTAGTAAAATACTCATTTTTCTTGTTACAGAACTGAACAGCCCAGAAATGTTAGATTGCAAGGTCAAAGGAAACTGCTATTTATTGTCTCTCCACAGAGCTCTAAGCTTCTCAAAGGAAATCCCTACACCTATTTTTTCTTTTTTCTTTTTTTCGAATAATGTCCCTTAGCTTCATACAGTAACTAATATATGTTGGCAGGCAAAAAATGTTTACTGAATAAAATAATCTAACAGGCATGATGCCGCTTAAATTTTTTTAACATTAAACTTCTATGGAATGCTTTTACGAATCTTTTAAAAGTAATCATTTAAAAATATTACAACAGACATACCTGTTAGCCATCCTTTTCACAGATGAAAACTGGTGACACATATTTAATGCAGTTATATAACTTATATTGGGAATACTTAAATAAAACTGGAGTGCCTCACTTTTATTACTATTCACCACTGTTGGAACATGAATACCAACATTCTTTCTTTGTTCCACTAAAGACAGTTCCTTTAGCAAATCTGCGGTTTCTTCTTGGCAGGAACTGAAAAGAATTCGGATTCCAGCGCCAATTAAGGTAGTCAGCAGGCTGTCATAGCTCTTTGTTCTCCTAAACATCCTTGATGTGTCTCCTAAATATTCATATTTAGGGAAAGGCAAACTTCAGTAACTAATATTAAGTAGAATTATTAATATACTTTATTTTATTAAAATCCCAAGATCTACACCATTGAGCAAACTGGTGCCACATTCTGCTAATGAGAAACCCTACAACTAATGTTTCTCAAATATCTGAGAAAGAAAATAGGGGTAACTATGAGCGCCTTGAGCTGGAATCAACGTAGAAAGGTGAATAAGGAAGAGCTTATATTCCTAGATAATTCACTCCTGAAGGCCAAGACTGTATTACTCATCTCTAGTTTTTCATGCTAGCTCTGATGAAGGGTGCATTAAGTACTGGTTTAATATAAAATTATCTTAGGTATTTATTCCAAAGAATAACTCAACAAATACCCTGTACACCCATTTTAACATCATCTTGCCAATTACTTCCCTACCCTTTCTTGTTCATTTTCTATTCCATATTCTACTTAAATCCTTTTATTGGTATTCCCTATTATGGCCCCCGATACTTTTCTATAACCTTTGCCATGTTACCTTCCTGTCTATTCCAAATCTATTTCCTTTATCCCTGACTTTTCAAATTAAAAAGAAGGCTGGTGGCTCAAACATGTAATCCCAGCACTTTGGGAGGCTGAGGCAGGAAGATAACGAGGTCAAGAAATCGAGACCATCCTGGCCAACATGGTGAAACCTCGTCTCTACAAAAAATATAAAAAAAAAATTAGCTGAGCATGGTGGCACGCACCTGTAGTCTCAGCTACTCAGAAGACTGAGGCAGGAGAATCACTTGAACACAGGAGGCGGAGGTTGCAGTGAGCCGAGATTGCGCCACTGCACTCCAGCCTGGGCGACAGAGCAAGACTCCATTTCAAAAAAAAAAAAAAGAAGGCTGGGCATGGTGGCTCATGCCTGTAATCCCAGCACTTTGGAAGGCTGAGGCAGGCAGATCACCTGAGGTCAAGAGTTCAAGACCAGCCTGACCAACATGGTGAAACACCATCTCTACTAAAAATACAAAAATTAGCTGGGCATGGTGGCACATGCCTGTAATCCCAGCTACTCAGGAAGCTGAGGCAGGAGAATTGCTTGAACCCGGGAGGTGGAGGTTGCAGTGAGCCGAGATCATGCCACTGCACTCCAGCCTGGGCAACAGAGCGAGACTCTGTCTCAAAAAAAAAAAACAAAAAAAAAATTGGGTAACCAAAAGATAAAATGACTTATCTAAGGCCACACGGTTCACCAATGACAAAATGGGGATGAAAAGGCTGCCCAACTCCCACACCAATGTTTTACATAAACTACACTATTACCAAAAGTATAATTCTTCAATTCTTCCGCAGTGGCTTTCACCTACATGCTTTTACTTAGTTCTCATAATATCACAAGATGAGTAGAACAAGTGTATTATCAGTTCCTCAGAGGGAGTGATTTGTCAATGCAATATCACACAGAGAAGCCAGTAATTGGTGTGTCTTCTGATTCCATATCTCATGATCTTTTTACTGTTCTTGAGGGCTCGCCATACAATTAAATAATTACTGCAGAAATCTTCTACCTGAAGCTCCAATCCTGCACTTCCAAATGCATCCTAGGTACCCACTTCAGTGACCCATTGAGAACTCGATCTTAACGTGTTCAAAATTGAACTTCCCTTGTCCCTTATATCTGTTGCTTCCCTTATATTCATAATTGCAATAAACAGTACCACTACTTAACTGCCCAATAACCAAGAAGTTGGTCAACTCAGTAATTCTCAACTCCTCCCACCAACTCTTGCTAATCCTGACTCCTTAAACATCTCCCGAATACTACTTCTCCTCCCCATTGCTGCCTTAGTTAAGGCCCTCATCCTTCCTGGGTTCCTGAAAAAGTCTTATGTTTGGCAGACTTGCCTTCAGTTTCCAACCCTTCATTTCTCATAAGCTGCATTTAAATACAATGACTAATGAAAGCCATTATGGCTGTATGAAAATATGAAATGACATTCACCAGTCAGGTGTTTATATTTTAAGAGTTTCCCACATCCTAATAATAGAAGAATAAACTAAGTTAACCGTAAAGTTCCTTTACAGTCTTATAAACAAAGATATTTAAAAATACAAACCTGTTTTTTCTCTGTCCTTTTCCACAATCACACATATTCTTTCAAACATACTCTGCAGGTGCTGGATCTGCTCAATGAACTTGTTCTTATTGACACTATTTAACATCTCAGATTGAGACCTCCTTTCCACCACCATGCGATTACTCACGATGTAATCACAGCCATTAAGAGGACAAACTTCTACTTGCAACCCATGAATTGCTCTTAGGGAAGAAATTACTTCTAATCCAGAAGTGATTTCATGACCACCTACAAGAATACAGGTTCCTTTTCCTTCCTGCGGAAGTCTAAGAGAAGTATGTGTCCCAGCTAAATGTGGTCTTGACTTGGAACAGGATGCCCCTGAAGTGCTAGAATCCTCCAAAGCACTACCATCCTGAAAAAGTGGAAAACACTGGTCACATTCAGGTTAAATGCATAAAAATGCCATAAACGTCTCACACCCGAAGTTGATTATCCTTAATGAGAATGTCCAGTTTTCGTCCTTCAATTTGACCAAAGTGACAATAAATGAAGGAACACATAAGTCACTACTCTTACACCTCAAAAAATTCTAAAGCTATAATTAACAACAAAAGCTAAGAACAAAAGGATGTAAAGAAATAGCAGAAAGTCTAAAAATGAACAGGAAAGGAAATGTGTTAAAAAAGAAAATTATAATTTTTAGCCTAGAGAAAAAAAACAAACGAATGGAAGGTGAAATAACCTTTGAGCAGATTAGAGTTCATCATGAAGAATAAGGAAACCAGACAAGATATTTTTGAAAAATAATAGGAAGATCAGATAACCAGAAAGTATCTCCAGTTGAAAACAACTAAACCTGTTCAGTTTTAAAAAACTAACATGTTTGTAAAAAAATATTTAGAAATACATAACTGGTCTGACCAGAAAGTAAGGAATGCACCGAGGTCAAAAACAACATGGAAGTGAGAATTTTGGAAGTTACTTAAGTCAGAACATACCCAGCTTTCCTTTCCAAAGTAATCTGCCAAATCCTGTGGACCATGAGCTCCTCTTTTTGCAGAGGCAGAGGGCATGGGAAACATTAGTGCTAGATGTCCGAACCTCTGTCCCCAAAAACAGTTAAACGTTTATTATAAGCGCAAATAAAAAATAAATCTACTCCATAAAAACAGAAAGGAAAAAGTAGTTCTCAATCTTAATATCTGGTAGAGAGGTAAGATCTCGAATTGGTATCTACATACTGGCCCTCCAGCCCTCATGTAGGCTTGTAGCCAGAATACACAATACCTGTGTGATCCACAAAAACCTTAAGCAAGTAATAAAATGTCCTCTCCAAAAAGAAATGCAAATGGCTCTTATGAGCTATATGAATGTATGAAACTGAAAGAAAAAAGATGCTTTCAACTTTGCTATGGAAAGAAAAACACAAATTTGAAACTATGACAAGCCATCTCTCACTAGGTTTACAATATTCTCTGTTAATGAGGTTCTGGAGAAATCAGAAATTCTTTTACAGTGCTGGTAGTAATAAAAATATGATACAGCGGTGGCTCACACCTGTAATCCCAGCACTTTGGGTGGCTGAGGCGAGTGGATCACTTGAGGTCAGGAGTTCGAGACCAGCCTGGCCAACGTGGTGAAACCCTGTCTCTACTAAAAATACAACAATTATCTGGGTGTGGGAGGCGGAGTTGCAGTGAGCCGAGATCACGCCACTGCACTCCAGCCTGGGCTACGGAGCGAGGCTCTGCCTCAAAAAAAAAAAAAAAAAGGCACAACCTATAGAGAAGTTAGCAATATCTGGCAACATTACATATGCATTTACTTTTTACAGCAACTCCAAGAAATTAATCCCAAAGTTACACCGGCAACATTTAAGAGGATACAAACATGGCTATTTATTATAAGAATGAAAGATTAGAAACAACCTACATACGCATCAATATGGAAATGTTGAACAAATTATTACATAATCATACAATGGTGTATGCAGCTGCACAAAGTAATGAGGAATATATATCTGTATATTACTATTAAGTGAACCTGAGGATACAGTTTTAAGTAAAAAAATCAAGATGGGATAAAGTATGTATTGTATTTTACTACTTATCTAAGGAAGATTAAAAATATAAAAGTATCTAATTATATATTTCAAGCAATGTATAAACAAAGCGAAGTATGTAGGTATTTTTAATTATTACCTTTGTACAAGGAAGGAAGCAGTGAAGGACACAAAAATAAAACTGGAATTTGTTTGGTTTTTTTTTGTTTTTTTTTTTTTGAGACGGAGTTTCACTCTTGTCACCCAGGCTGGAGTGCAATGGTGCAGTCTCAGCTCACTGCAACCTCTGCCTACCGGGTTCAAGCCATTCTCCTGCCTCAGCCTCCTGAGTAGCTGGGACTACAGGCACCTGCCACGACACCTGGCTGATTTTTATATTTTTAGTAGAGATGGGGTTTCACCATGTTGGCCAGGCTGGTCTTGAGCTCCTAGCCTCAGGTGATCCACCCACCTCGGCCTCCCAAAGTGCTGGGATTACAGGCATGAGCTACCATGCCTGGCCTGGAATTTGTTGAATATAAATTCTTTTGCAGATTTTAATTTTGGACCATGAACAAAATAAATAAAAAGACATCCCATTTTCATGCATTGAGAAATTTAACATTATTAAGATGACAATACTACCCAAAATAATCTATGGATTCAACACAATCTGTTTCAAAATTCCAAAAGCATATATTGCAGAAATGGGAAAACTCATACTAAATTTCATATATTTCAAGGGACTCTGAATATCTAAAACAATGTTAAAAAAAAAAACAAAGTTAGAAAACTCAGACTTACCAACTTCAAAATTTCTATAAAGCTACAGGAATCAAGACAGTGTGGTACTGGCATAGAAAAAGACATATGCCAAAGAACTGAGAGCCTAGAAATAAACCCTCACATATATGGTCAACTGATTTTAAGCAAGATAGCCATGCACCACCAACAACAAAAGCTGGACTTTTATATCATTAACGAAAGTTAGCTCAAAATGAATCAAAGGTATACCCTGAAGAATTAAAACTATAAAACTCTTACAAGGAAACATAAAGAAAAATCTTCATGACTGGATTTGGCAAGATGTTCTCTTCCCACACTTGTGTCAGCAGATTGCTCTAGTTACCTGGTGTTTGCTAGCCTGGTGGGAGGGAGCACTAGGAGTATGGAATTAGTGTTTTCTGTTGTCCTGGTTCAGCCATAGTCTTGGGCAGGACTTGTGTCCCCAGGTCTCGAAGGTAGGAATTTCTCAGTGATCTTACTCTCCCTCCCAGTTATTACAGACCTCTAATTGTCTAGGCTTAAGATGTTTTCCTGCCCTTCTCCCAGTTATAGAGGGTATTTTCTTGTTTCCTTCCTGATCTGTGGTCTTCACCTAAGCTCTGAAGGCAATAGAGTTTGCTGCTCTTCCCACAGTAGCTTAAAGCTTTTTGTTCCATAGGGGAAACAGGGAAGGAACAAGGTGAGGCATGGTTCCTTTTCCACAGTAATTGCTTGTCTCTTCCCCAAGGACTGTACTAGGAAAAAGCATTTTTCTCATTCTCAGTCTTTTTTGTGAACGCCTGATGAGTGTGTGAAGAAAAGCCCATGAGTGGCTATAAATTCCCCACTGTGTCTACAACTCCCAGGGGTTCTAAACTTTCATGCTAGTCCACTGCCTTTTGCAATTCACTAACGTTTTAGCTGAAATTTTTTTTTAATTTTTTTTTTTTAGACAGAGTCTCATTTTGTTGCCCAGGCTGAAGTGCAGTGGCATGATCATAGCTCACCGCAACCTCAACCTCCCAGGGTCAGGTGATCCTTCCACCTTAGCATGCTGAGTAGCTGGGACTACAGGTATGCACCAGCATGCCAGGCTAATTTTTTTGTTGCTTTTGTTTGGTTTTTCTTTTTTTTTGAGATGGAGTCTCGCTATGTTGCACAGGCTGGAGTGCAGTGGCGCAATCTTGGCTCACTGCAACCTCTCTCTCCCAGCTTCAAGCAATTCTCCTGGCGCAGCCTCCTGAATAGCTGGGGCTACAGGCATGTGCCACCACGTCTGGCTAATTTTTTGTATTTTTAGTAGTGACGGAGTTTCACTGTGTTGGCCAGGCTGGTATCAAACTCCTGACCTCAAGTGATCCACCTGCCTCGGCCTCCCAAAGTGCTGGGATTATAGGCGTAA
Source organism: Homo sapiens (assembly GCF_000001405.40). Taxonomy (NCBI): domain Eukaryota; kingdom Metazoa; phylum Chordata; class Mammalia; order Primates; family Hominidae; genus Homo; species Homo sapiens. The sequence goes on along the minus strand of NC_000014.9, from coordinate 45,192,375 downwards.
GCCACTGCCCCTGGTCAGCTGAATTATTTTTACCAGATTTCACAGTGTCCAGTGATTGCCATGAATCAGCAAGCTTTTCATTGGAGGGGCCTGTTTTTCCTTAAATATCAGCCTAACTGTTTGCCCTACAACCTTAGCTCTGTAATTGTTTCAAGAAAACATGATTTTGCAGATGACTGGCTCTTTGTTATAGTAAGGATGGGAGCAATACTCCCTCCACCTTTCTACATCATAACTTAAGATGGACTTTCTATCTTTTAACATCCTAGACTAAGATCAACATCCCAATTATTCAGAAATTATCACTAAAATATATTTAATATTTAATTTTTAAAAATGAATAATAAATGTAATGAAGGAGGAAATGGCCCTAAAGAACTAGAAGAAAATAGTGGAAGTACTTAGTTTTCTTAGAGTATGGCTTTCTAAACATGACAACAAGGTCAGGAAATACAAAGAAAAAAAGTCTAGGCTGCATAAAGAAGTTATATTTCATATAGCAAGAAACACTAAACACAAAACAAAAAAGCAAAAGACAAGGAATACTGTTTGTAATATACATGACAATGCAAATATTAGTATTTTTAATCTGTGAAGATTTTTGTCAGGGTAGTCTATTTTATGTCTTTTCAAATTTACCTCAAAAAATTCTTTCTCCTCCTAATTTCAAGTAATAAGAATCACACTATATGTAATTTTATTCAATAACAGTAGAAAACTTAAAACTTTTTCCACTAAGCCCTACTGATCCCTTTTCATAGTCCTCTTCAAAGTATCACTATCCTATATCTATTTTTTAGTTAGGACATACCAAAGTACAAATATTGCTTAAAGTGTTAGTGCTTACCAGTGCTTATTTCTCTTTTCAAAGTAAAGAGCACTGGAGTGTGGTGTGGGGGTGAATAGGCAACTATGGTGATTAGAAGCCCAGAAGGGCAGTGTGGAGGCACCCAGGCTCTGTAGCCTCATCTCCACTGCTTAGATAGGCTTAGCCCAGGGTCAGGAGGGACTCTGCCTTGTCGAGAAAAGCCTAGGATACTGAGACACTCGCAAATGTCACTAGTGTGAATTACAGCTGAAGAAACTACACTACTGTATCCACCTAGAACCAAGGCCAACACACCCTACCAAATTGACACCCTAAGACACATTCATACAAATAAGTCTTTCCCTGGGAAATTACTCCATAAAACTTGAAGAGATGAATGTCCCACTGGATGTGTAGAAATCAACATAAGGACACGTCATATATGAAAAAGCAAGGACACCATACTTCCAAAGGAACACAATGATTCTCAAATAACAGACCCCATTTATAAGGAATTATACAAAAATAATAATCTTGCCAGGCATGGTGTTGCATGTCCATAGTCCCAGCTACTAAGAAGGCTGAGGTAGGAGGATCACATGAGCCCAGGAGTTCAAGTCAGCAGTGAGCTATGATCACACCTGTGGATAGCCACTGTAATCCAGCCTAAGCAACACAATAAGAACTCATCTTGGGATTTTAATCTCTATACTATAGATGAGGATATTGAAACTCAAAGAAATGAAGTACTTTCTTGTTCTCCAGTCTATTATAAAGACTTAATGTAGTCAATCTTTTCCTAACAATGCCTTCAAGAAATAACTATGACCAAAAAAAAAAAAAAATGGGGACAATTTGCAATGGGAAACACAAATATGAGGACCATTGTGTGGACACTGTCAAGCATGTGGCTAAGGCAGAGTGTGATGAAACACCTTGGGGATAAAGAGAAGTAGAAGCAGAGAGCAGAATAGTGGTTAGTAAGGGGGTTAAGGTTGGGGCGGAGGGTGTTGGTCAAATTATACAAAATTTCAGATAAGAAGACTATAGTTAATTACAAGGTATTTTATCTTGAAAATCACTGAAAGAGTAAATTTTAAGTGTTCTCATTCTCAACCAAAAAATAAGTATTTGAGGTAACACATATGTTAATTAGCTTGATCTAGCCATTCCACAATGTATACATATTTCAAAACATCATGTTATACTTGGTAAATATATACAATTGTCAATTCTAAAAAGTATTTTTTAGTAAGTCTATTTTCAGTCTCACTCCTAGTTAACCAAATAATGAATCAATATATATAGTTCCTATTATTATTTCTTTAACCCCTATTTAGCAAAATTACTGTAACTATAAACCCTTAAAAACGAGAAACAGTTTTACAGTGATTCTTCTAGAAATAGCACAATAGGAGAAAGTAAAACTGGACTACTTAGCAGCCATTCTGGAAGGAAATGGAAGAAAACTTTAAGAAGGAAACCAGTTGGTACTCCCAAATTCCTTTACCCAATAAAAAGGACTTACATACCCAAAGCCTTCTGAGAAGGAGAAAAGTTAACCTGGGAACTAGTTCTAGTTCTTTTTTTTTTTTTTTTTGAGATGGAGTCTTGCTCTGTCACCCAGGCTGGGGTGCAATGGCATGATCTCGGCTGACTGCAACCTCTGCCTCCCGGATTTAAGCGATTCTCCTACCTCAACCTCCCAAGTAGGTGGGACTACAGGGATACGCAACCACACCTGGCTGATTTTGTGTTTTTAGTAGAGACGGGATTTCATCATGTTGGCCAGGCTAGTCTTGAACTCCTGACCTCAAGTGATCCACCTGCCTCGGCCTCCCAGAGTGCTGGGATTACAGGCATGAGCCACCGCATCTGGCCAGGGAACTAACTCTGAACACATAATTTCAGTTAATTTTGCCTTGCAGAAAGCCCTATTTTCCCACAACCTTTTAATAAAATTATCAAGTTTCCTTACATAGTGTTAACAAAACATTAACATATTTAAAAAATTAAAACCTAAGCACCCTGTGAATTGCCCATATAATTTTGTGTATTGTTTTCTTGTTTGAAGACATTTTCTGCAAAATTTTTTTGTTAATTTTTCTTTGACCTAGTTATTTAATACAAAACACACACACAAGAAAGAAAAAGAAAAACTTCTGGTAACCATCTAAAGATATTTTTCCTTTCTTTGATCCATACCTTCTGTGGAACTGGAAATTTTCTACAGTCTTTCTGTGAATCAACAGTAGTGAAGGGTGGTGTGGTAGACTGGACTTCATTATGATTCTGAGGTTTGAAGTCTGAGACTTCGGAAATTGTATCCTTTAAATTCAGCGATGTCTGTTTGCTCTGCTTTGCTAATGGATTAACTCTTGGAGTAGAACGCACCTTGGACTGCGCAGAAGATCCAGAAGGCACTGAATTTAAACAATGGTCCTGTTGTTTGTTCTTCTTAACAGTGCTTGGGTTAACCGCAATATTAGATTCTCTTTTATCATTTACATTGTTCTCCTCCTCACTTGAATCATCTGGTAAAATAATTCTGGATAATTTCTTTTTTGAATGTGCACAATTTTGTTCCATCATTTCTTTTAGCATTACTGCACGTCGAGTTTTATACTTTTTACTATTTGCAAAGCAATCATCAGTTATTAAGTTAAAATCAACACAAACTTCTTCTTCACTTGATTGGCCTTTGCAAGACTCCTCTTCATCAACACAAAAACTATCCTCTAAATAGGTTTCATCTTGTTCAGGAATCTACAATAAAAACACAAGAATGTTTTATATTTATTTCAGACAATTAACAGGTATTTAAAATATACTTCTAGGCACATGAAATCTGCATTAATATTTGTTTAATTTACTTTATTAATTCAGCCACTTACTCAACTAACATAAACTAAGTACATTCTTTATGGAGGAAAATGAGTTTGAGGATAAAGGAAAAGAATGATTTACCGTCTAGAAATTTAAGGGCTAATAACAGGTAGGTAGAAAGTAAACAATAATAATAGATGATAAATGCTATATAATAAGCACAATGGAAGTACAGAGAGTACACATTACCAAGCTGAACATGGCAATTTATAAACAAACACAACTAATATGAAAATGTTATCCATAAGTGACATAACCTATAATTTTCAGCATTTAACATTTTTATGAAAAAAAATGAATTTTGATCAACCAAGGACAAAAAAGGAATCTTTTTTACTTTTTGAGATGGAGTTTTGCTCTTGTCGCCCAGGCTGGAGTGCAATGGTGCAATCTTGGCTCATTGCAACCTCTGCCTCCCGGGTTCAAGCAATTCTCCTGCCTCAGCCTCCCAAGTAGCTGGGATTACAGGCATGTGCCACCATGCCTGGCTAATTTTTGTATTATTAGCAGAGATGGGGTTTCACCATGTTGGCCAGGCTGGTCTTGAACTCCTGACCTCCGGTGATCTACCAGCATCGGCCTCCCAAAGTGCTGGGATTACAGGCGTGAGCCACCGCACATGGCCAAAAAGGGATCTTGAGAATCCATTTAGTCGAGCTTCCTGACTTTGGGCAGAAATGATCTCAAATAGCTCTGACAGCCCAGTTTTAGAAACAAAATGGAGGCTTCACTAACAGGAACATATTTCAACATCATCATCCAGAAATTCTCCATTATATTTCTATAGTTCATACCTGCGAGAAAATGTTTATGTTTTTATGTGTCTTATGAATCATTTTGTACTTATTGTTCATCATTGGACTACGCAAAGATTTCATGTAAATAGCTCTCATTTCAGAATCTGTGTAAAGATAAGAATTTAGATAAATTAGCAAAATTATTTAAATGAAAACCAGTAAAGTATTTAACTTCAATCTATTTCAAATTTACTTGATTCAAACCTTGTGCAAATATTTTACACAAAGACAATAAATATTAAAAGATATCTATAAACAATTATTCAAAAATATAAAGTTAGGAGTTTAGCCTTTGAAATCAGATTTTCTAGTTGAGTGATCATGGACAACTTAAGTTCCCTGCTTTATCTATCTCTCTGAAAATGAGGATTAAAATGGTGACTTTTCTTTCAAAACAAAGGTATACAAAGACCTTAAAACTGTACCAGATTTATAGAAGTTTCAAAAAAAATAAGAAATCTAGCCAGAAAAGCAAATATGCACTAAAAACATTAAAACCCACAGCCAATAAAAAGTATATTTCATAATTTTCAGTTAAGCAAAACCTGGGAAACACATTGGTTTTTTTTTATGGCTAGCATTTTTAAAAGTTATAATATAATGAAAGGTACTTGAGACATGATACATAAAAACAAAAGATAATGTGAATTTCGAGGTACTTTAAAAAAAAAAAAAGCTTTGAAATTGTACATAGTTCAAACATACTGTGTCTAAAATGGAATTTCAAACCTCTATAATCACCATCTAAATTGCTTCATCTGCAGCCTTCCCAATAACATAACAGCAAATATGTCCTTCTTGTTGCTCAAGCCTACTGACTCCTCCTTTTTTTCTAATCCATTGGAAAATCCTGTCAGCTTTATGTATCCAGAATCCAATCTTTCTCACTCTCCTCAGTGCTACTATCTTGGTAGAAGCCACTAGCATTCCTTGATTGGAGGACCTCAACAGTCTCCTAACTGGTCTCAGTCTACCTCTGTTCCCCTATAGGCCATTCTCAACACAGAAGCTGGAGAGATTCTACTAAATTATGTCAGATTATGATCTGGCTGCTAGTTCTCTGATCTTCCTACTACCTTCCCTTTTCCCTCATTCCAGTCACAACACTATTCCTTCAACAGGCCAGGCACACTACTGACTCGGGGCCTTTGCACTGGCTGTTGTCTTTGCATCAACATTCTTCCACTGGATTATATTGTAAACCTGCAAAACACTTCTGTTAATGAACATCAAGGACATAAAACCTTATCCTGCAAATTATACAAATTATATCAGCATTAAGGACAGTACTGAGAACATTGCCTTTTAAACACTTTTTTCTTAAAAGTCACGAACTTTGAGAAACTTTGTCACTTTAAATAATATCAGAGACTGCAAAAGCAGAATAAATGATGAGATCTGTGAAAGATTAGAATACTGAAGAGATATAGTCAGAATATTTCTCACTTCTGTTACAGCCAATCTGAACCATCTCCTCTAAATATATTGTATGTAAGATCCGTTCAAGCATTGGATGAACACACTGTTTTCTGAAAGTAAACTGCCCTTACATGGCAAATTTAATAAATTTAGCTTTGTATTGCAGTTGGTCTTAACAATCTACATCACTAAATCTCTCTTCTTCTAGTCTCTGATGATGTCACCTTCTCAATGAGGCCTCTTCCTAACTGCCTTATTTAAAATAACAGCTAGGCAGAGTGCAGTGGCTCACAGCTATAGACCCAGTACTTTGAGAGGCCAAGGTGAGAGGATTGCTTGAGGCCTGGAGTTGGAGACCAACCTGGGCAACATAGTGAGATTACATCTCTACAAAAGGCCAAAAAAATTAACTGGTCATGGTGGCACATGCCTGTAGTCCTATAGGAGGCTAAAGCAGGAGAATCTCCCGAGCCTAGGAGTTCAAGGCTGCAGTGAACTATGACTGCGCCACTGCACCCTACTCTGGGCAACAGAGTAAGACTCTGTCTCTAAAAAAATAAAACTAAAAAATAATACAATAAAATGGCAACTTGTCTGTTATTTATACCCTCAACCCCAGTTACTCCAAATTTTTCTCATCTTGGCCAACTTTTTTATTTTTCTGTAACTCTTTATCTTACAATAAACTAAATAATTTAGTTAGTATATATATTGTCTGTCTCTTTCCATTTGAATGTAGGCTTCATAAGAAGAAATTTTTTGTCTATTTTGTTCATTCATATATGGTTCTTAAATGCCTTACATAGTACTAGGCATGTAGCGGGCAATAAACACTTGTGAAATGAACATTTCACACTTGAGCAACCCAGGTCAATCTGAAGAGAAATATTCAAATTAGCAGAAGCCTATGAACAATCAGTCTAAAATAAAGCAAGTATTAAAGAATTTGAATGAAAATGACCAAATAAATATTTTGCACGTACCACATTTAATTACCTTTAAGGTCTAGTTTCATTAAAAACTGATTAAAATATTTAAATATAAGCACATAAAAACATTGAAAAAAATTTTAAGGATCATTATAACATTTACCATTTATAGCCTGTGAAAGTTGAGTTTCATCATTTAAAAAGTCAAGTAATGAGGAATCTTGTTCATTTTCTGACTCATCATTTTCATCTGATGAAACATATTCTGCATCTTCTTCAGAAAGTTCTGCTTCATCATCTAAAAACTTCCTAGCTACATGCTAAGTAAGACAAATTAGAAAACATGAAGATATCAGTGAGAAAATAATTTTCTTTCATGATTGGAAATAATTCTGGAAAACTGATTTCTTATCAATGCTTTTAAGATTAATAAAATAATAAAAACAAAATTTCTAGGCCCAGTGCAGTGATGCATGTCTGTAATCCCAGCACTATGGGAGGCCGAAGCAGGTGGATCACCTGAGGTCAGGAGTTCAAGGCCAGCCTGACTAACATGGTGAAACCCCATCTTTACAAAATACAAAAAAAAAAAAAAATTGGCAGGGTGTGGTGGCGCATGCCTGTAATCCCAGCTACTCGGGAAGCTGAGGCAGGAGAATCACTTGAACCTGGGAGGTGAAGGTTGCAGTGAGCTGAGATGGTGCCACTGCACTCCAGTCTGTGGCAGTAACAGCGAAACTCTGTCTAAAAAAAAAAAAAAGAAAATCCCAAGAAGAAATGATAAAGTTACCTATCTATTTAAAAATTCTGATAATTCTGTCATAAAATAAAGTAAAAGTTGGTATATTTGCTTGATCTTTTTTTTTTTTTTTTTTTGAGACAGAGTCTCACTTTGTTGCCCAGGCGGGAGTGCAGTGGCGCAATCTTGGCTCACTGCAACCTCCGCTTCCTGGTTCAAGAGATTTTCCTGCCTCAGCCTCCCGAGTAGCTGGGATTACAGGCATGTGCCATCACGCCCAGCTAATTTTTGTATTTTTAGTAGAGACAGGGTTTCACCATGTTGGCCAGGCTGGTCTCAAACTCCTGATCTCAGGTGATCCACCTGGCTCAGCCTCCCAAAGTGCTGGGATTACAGGCGTGAGCCACCGCGCCCAGCCTGCTTGATGTTTCTTAATAAGCATAAAATTTCCTGAGTCTTTCCAGCTCTTTCAAGAAAATTACTGCACCACAAAAGAACTTAATCAGAAAGGAAAGGTACTGAGAACATTTTCCAAGTATTTGAAAATTGGATACAAATAAGAAAAACAATATAATGATCATAAAAGCAAACATCTTAAAACTCAAATTTCTAATTCTATATTTTCTTCAATTTGAAACATAAATTCTCAATACACTTGAGTTTTTTGGTATTCATTCAAAGTAACACAACACTGCAAGATAAAGCATCAAAACACAAAGATAAACAAAAAAAAACTACTTTGAATTTAATTCCAGTAAAAAAAATCTAAATGGGTGTCAAAATACTTAATTTTTTTCTATAAAGAGAATGTATAGAGAAATCTACATTGATGTAAAACCAATTATCTTTACTGATAAAATGCATACATATTTAAAGAAACTAAAAAAAAGATTACCTTTAAGTGACTCTGTCTCTTTGGGACTTTGATGCCTCTTCTGGCATTCCCGTTACAAACCTTGAAGTCTTCTAATTGTGAACATGGTTTGGGAAAATTCTCACTCTCATCACTAGATGATAATTCTGACTATAATAATTCGACAAAATTCTTGCATAAGAAAAAAATATTTTCTTCCTAGACAAGTAAAATTGCTCTTACAACTCAGAGCCATGTTATAAATACATAATATTAATGTTATAAATACTTAAGAATGTAAAAGTAAATAACTTAGGTAATATTAAATGCTAAAATACTAAATTAGGTTATAAGTAATACTAGTATAGGTATTCATCCAATATAGTATTACATCGAATATGTTTGATGAAAACATACTTTTAGTTTTTATTTTTATTTTTTCTGCAAACACTATGGTGACTTAGAAAACTGATACTTTTAGTTTAACAGTATTTCCTTCAGAAGATCTTCAAGGGCTTCACAAAGAACAAGCCTATAAATTTGGCCATCAAAATCAGTCCAAATATAGGAATCATTTGAAACTAAGAAACAAATAAAACAATAACAAGTTTTGACTATGAGGCCTATCACCATATCTCTTATAGGATAACACAAAACCAGTCAAAAGAATCAAAAGTTTATCAAAATCATTTCAATTAACAGGAATAAATTTAGTTTAAAACAAATTGATCATCAGCATTATCAATATTTTAAATCATTTCTGATAAGTCAATCAGATGTTCTAGTTAAGGTAGCAAGTTGTTTTTCTAATGAAGTCTTATATGAGTACACAATGTTAATACGGACTGGCTGTATTTTTAATTACATATGGTCCCCAACTTACGATGGTTCAACTTAATGATTTTTCGACCTCTCCATAGTGCAAAAGTGATATGCATGCAGTAGAAACCAAATTTCAAGTGCCCATACAAACATTCTGTTCTTCACTTTCAGTACAGTATTATTAATAAATTACATGAGATATTCAACATTTTATTATAAAATAAGCTTTGTGTTAGATGATTTTGACCAAATATAAGTGTTTTGAACACGTTTAAGGTAGGCTAGGCTAAGCTGTGATATTCAGTAGATTAGGTGTATTAAATGCATTTTCAACATACAATGTTTTCCATTTATGATGTGCGTATCAGGATCCAACTCTATTGTAAGTTGAGAAGCACCTGTAATTTTACACAAATTATCCTAGACTGTATTCGAGAATTAAAACAGACAAGATTTGCTAGTCTCAAAATTTAGCTATCAGCTATAAACTGGTGAGTATCATTAACCTTAAGACCTGTCCATCTATCAAACTTGAGATTCACAGTCATCAATGCCTGCCAGACGCTGTGACTTTACTATCCCACAGAAACTTCAAACTCAAACCTGTTCAACACTTACCATCTCTTTCTTGTTTAGCCTAAATCCGTGACACACTTGCCAAACAGCTCAAGCCAAAAACCAGAGTCATCCTGGACTCCTTCCTTTCCTTCTTTCAAACTCATTCAGTAATCAAATGAAAAGAATAAGCAATTCTAACCCTTGACCTTGATTTTTCTCCAATTTTACTTCTTGAAACTCTTTTGTTTTTACAATCTAATAACATAGAGATGCCGTTTCTCACTTTTGGGTCTTCCTTTAGGCTGTTATTCTGTAAACAATGCCTTCTCTTCTCCCTTCTTTGGCCTCACTGCCAAATACAGTTTAAGGTTTAACTAAGGTATGACCTTCAAGAAGCTTGCCAGAACTCCCGAGATCGAGGTTAAGGGCTTAACTTTTCTTATCACTCAACTTTAAAAATTATACTGAAATTATCTGTTTACTTCTCTGTCTCTCCTATTGAGTAACTTATGACAGTTTTAGGATATATTCTTGAGAGTATCTCCAGCATCTTACACAGTAGACACATAGGAGGTATTTAATGAATGCTTGCCGAATTGCTCAAGTGTACTGACAAAAATAGGATGGTTTTTAAAGAGTCTAAAATTACTTAATATTTTTATTTATTGTGCTTAGGAAAGTTTACAGTGAATACATCTTTGAAAACTAACAGAAGCTAGAAATTCCAATCACATACAATAGAATATCAACTTTTCTACTAAGGATTAAAAATACCTATATTTATCTACACATATATTTCTCTCAAAATTTTTATTCCAAAGGAATTTGGATTACTATACATTACCTGGTATTTACTTACTCTGTTTATAGGAAATCTGCGCTTTTTGACAGCATGAAGTGGAGAATCAACTTCACTATTTTTCTGATCCTAAAGTAAGTAAATAAAGTAAAAGGCAACAAAAGTCTCAGCAGAAGCCCAAGGTATAAAAGGAAAATAGCCTTTGATATGATTATACTATTGTGATTACTGAATGACTCACCTCAGGAGAGTTTAAAACATTTCCTTTTGCTCTTTTAACTTTTCTTCGGAAAATCTCGTCATCTTCACTTTCGTTACTTGTTAATAATTGTCCATCTATAATTTATTTTTTAAAATAATGAATGGTTAATAGATTTAGGTTTACCCAATCATAACAATCTATTTTATTGATGGCTACATTAAGAATTATTTCACGCAATCTCAACATTTATTCACTTTCAAAAAAAGATAGTCTTGGAGAACTCTGAACAAAAAATCTAAACAAGAGACAAAAAAATTAAAATGCCAGTGAAGAAAATAAGACAATATCTTTTGCTAATAAACACATATTTGAATGAAGTTCAATTTTATAAATTAACTGAAATGAGGCCAGAAAAACACAAAAAGTAATTTCATTAGTCACTGGTTCCATTAATAGAATTTATCTCTAAAATCTACTGCAGTCTTTCTGCCCTTTGTGTCTTATTCTCTTTCTACTTGAAAGAGTTAAAGCATAAAAATGCAAGCTACAAAACAATATATTAAAAGATTCTTTGTTATATATGTGTTTTCCATATGTATTTGTGTACATGAAATAAAAATTGGTAAGATACAATTCAATACAAAATGTTGTAACTAGAACTGTACAGGCCATACTTAGTGACTTGCTTCTAAAAAAAGGATATAATGAAAATGAAGGTGTATGACTTATGAGTCTAGGTCATAAAAGGTATTGTGGCCTCATTTTTGCTTTCTCTCTTGCATCACTTGCACTGGGAGAAGTCAGATGCTTATGTTTTATGACCATACCAGGCCAGGAGTGGTGGCTCACGCTTGTAATTCCAGCACTTTGGGAGGCCGAGGAGGCAGATCACTTGAGCCCAGGAGTTTGAGACCAGCCTGGGCAACATGACAGAACCCTCTCTACAAAAAATACAATAATTAGCTGGGTGTGGTGGCACGTGCCTGTGGTCCCAGTGGCTGAGGCAGGAGGATTGCTTGAGCCCAAGAGACAGAGGTGGCAGTGAGTCGTGATTGCACCACTACAATCTAGCCTGAGTGACAAAGCGAGACCCTGCCTGGTGGGGGAAAAAACAAAAAACAAAAAAAAAAACACCACATACTTATCAAACTACCCTACGAAGAGGTCCACATGGCAAGAAACCAAGGTCTCCTACTAACAGCAGTATGACTGAGCCATCTTAAAAGCAGATCCTCCAAAGCTATTCAAGCTCTCAGATAACTGCAGCCCTGGCCAATGTCTTGACTATTACCTCATGAAATATCCTAGGCCAGAACCACTCAGCTAAGCCACATTTAAACTCCTGTTGTATAGAAACCTTGAGGTAACAAGGGTCTGTTATTTTACATCGTTAAGTTTTGCAGGTAGTTTGCTATGCAGCAATAGATAAATAATACAGATTTTGGTACCCAGAAATAGGGAGTTGCCATAACAAAAACCTAAACTGGGAAAGTCGCTTTGGAACTAGACAGTGGTGGATGCTGAAAGGACTTCAGTTTTAGTGAACGAAGGCTTGAAGAGCCTCAAAGAAATTGTAGGAAGGTTAGTTGGCCATTGAGGAAATGGTGGGTGAGGGCTTAAAGAAAAGTAGGAAAAATCTTAAATCCTTTAATGTAGTACCAGAAAATTTGGCATCATTGCAGTTAGCACGAAAAGCAAAAAATGGGCCAGGCATGGTGGCTCACACCTGTAATCCCAGCACTTTGGGAGGCAGAGGCAGGCGGATCACATGGTCAGGAGTCCGAGACCAGCCTGGCCAATATGGTGATACCCCATCTCTACTAAAAATACAAAAATTAGTCGGGCGTGGTGGCAGGCGCCTACAGTGCCAGCTACTTGAGAGGCTGAGGCAGGAGAATCGCTTGAACCTGGGAGGCAGAGGTTGCAGTGAGCCGAGATCGTGCCATTGCACTCCAGCCTGGGTGACAGAGTGAGACTGTCTCAAAAAAAAAAAAAAAAAAAAGAAAGAAAGAAAATGATGTACCTAATCTATGAGAGGTGATCTAGCTAAGACTTCCAGACAAAATGTTGCTTTTTGCTATAAGAGCAAAATGCAAAAAGAAAGACATTAAGGACAAACATAATTAGAATTTGCTGATTATGAAAACTCCCGGCCTCTCCTGATGGCGAACAATGATAAAATTAAGAAATTTTCTAGGCAAAGATCAAACCCAGAGAACAGCCAGGAAAATATTATGAAGCTGAGGGTGAGCTGAGGGTATAGTTTAAATGCTTTGTTAAGACCTCCTTAAAAATCAAAGATTGTGCCTTACAGTACTATTCAGTCAGAGAGTAAGGATTTTATTTTTATTTATTTATTTATTTTTAGACAGAGCCTCACTTTGTTGCCCAGGCTGGAGTACAGTGGCGCGATCTCGGCTCACTGGAACCTCTGCCTCCCAGGTTCAAGTGATCCTCCTGCCTCAGCCTCCTGAGTAGCTGGGACTACAGGAACGTGCCACGACGCCTGGCTAATTTTTGTATTTTCAGTAGAGACGGGGTTTCATCATGTTGGCCAGGCTGGTCTCAAACTCCTGACCTCAGGTGATCCACCCGCCTCAGCCTTCCAAAGTGCTGGGATTACAGGCATGAGCCATTGCGCCAGGCCCATTAAGGTTTTTAAAGAAGCTCCTCACAGATCCTCTCAAACAACAGGCCTTCTAAGAAGCTTATTTTATTTTACTGATTATTTTAGGCCACTGAGTTTTTTGGGGGTACTTTGTTAAACAGCAATAGATAACAAATACAAAACCACTCAGTAAATTTCTCCTCACATTCTGCTACTAAAACATCTACCCAGACAGACAAACTTGAGTGATTTCCTTTTTGCAGATGAACAATATATAAATCAACTAGTTTTTCTTTTTTCATTACCTTATAAGGAAGCCAAAGTTAAATGCAGGACTCGGCTATAGTAACCAACTCATTCTAGGAGGCTTTCTTTTTCAGTGCTTTCATGATGTTTTAATGAACTATGTTTTTCATATATAATACAGAAAATGAGCTTAAATTCTGTCTTGAATTAAGTAGAATAAAAAATAACTAAATGTTCTCTAATAAATAATTCCATGATACGTGTTTGTAATTATTTTGCCCATGATTTGTAGTTAAGTACAATCCTAGAAAAAATGTTTTTGTGCAAATCTGACGCAAAACCAGAAAAATTATCTCACTCATTAACGTGGACTTCATATAGAGGTATTAAAGCAAATATTGAAGGCTCACAGGCATCATACACTTTGAAAAAATATATATGTCATGGCACAACCCCAGACTATATAGAATAGTCAGGTTTTGAAAATTAAATGTATTTCCAGTACTTACTTCCAACATGCTTTCATCTTAAATAGAACATTCACGAACCATGTCCTCCATGCTAACGAGAATAATGTAAGGAAAAGATTTACAGAGGAAATGTTCCTTTTATCCTACAGCTACTTTTTATTCAGCTTTTAACATAAGGAGTAAAATTCATAAATGACTTGATATAATAATCTGTAGAGTTGTATTATACAGCACGACTTCATATCAAACATCTATCACTATATCATCTAGTTTTTCTGTAAGTGTAATGGTTAGATTACAGAAACCCAGAGATTTCTCTGATTTTTTGTGGTCTGGTCTCAATCTTCTGAATACAGTTTTTATTTCTCAAATATTTTGCTGCATAAAACTATTACTTCAAACTATCTCCCAAAATCATACTTTCCTTCTTTCCCCTCGCTTTCATCATTTTGTAACACCTAAATTATGTCTTTAGTATCTTCAACATACCAAAAGCATAAATATTCCCAAGGAACCCAAATGAAAATCTACACTATATATAAAATCTTGGCCAGGCGCAGTGGCTCACACATGTAATCCCAGCACTTTGGGAGGGTGAGGCGGGTGGATCACCTGAGGTCAGGAGTTCAAGACCAGCTTGTCCAACATGGTGAAACCCCACCTCTATTAAAAATACAAAACTTAGCCGGGCATGATGGTGGGTGCCCATAATCCCAGCTACTTGGGAGGCTGAGGCAGGAAAATCACTTGAACCTGGGAGGCGGAGGTTGCAGTAAGCCGAGACCATGCCATTGCACTCCAGCCTGGGCAACAAGAGCAAAACTCCGTCTCAAAAAAAACAAAGAAACAAAAAAAGTCCAATCTAATCAACCTCAAAATTTCATCATCCTCTGAACCTCCTAAACAGCCACTCTCTTATTATTCATTTGGTAGTTATTTCCACATTTTACTGGCATCTTTTCAAATACGTATGTCACATAATTATGTTTTACAACCAAGACCTAGGGCCAGATCTTACTCATCTTCGTGTATTTCATAATGTCTAGCAAGAATAACTTTTTCCATACCATGCGTGCCATAAGTATATGTAAATAAATCTAATATTAGTAAGATCATCTTAAGAAAAATATAACACATCAATTATCTAATTCAATATTTATATTGTACCATGTACTAAAAAATTACATTTGGAAAAATTACCAAAGTATTTCTAGAGTAATTATTCTAGAAAGAGTTATAGACTTTATAAAGATGGAATCTTACCTTCAACAGAATGACAGGATTTATGCAGATACATTGGACCACTGCTTTTAGACTTTTCTAGAGAAAATTCTGAATAATCAAAAGTTGAATTCAATGCTTCTTTGAATCTTTGTAGGTTTACTTTTTCCTTACTAGAATCTGGTGTCTTAAGTATTTCCTTTCTTATCTTAGAAAATGAGTTCAATGTGTTTGATTTAGAGAGTGGTGTACTCATAACTTTTTTTTGCACTGGTAAAGAAAACTGAGAATAACCAGGAGATAACAATTCTTCATTTTTTGCTGCACTCAGTGGCAAATGTACATAATTTGGATTCTGCATATCTTCATTTGATGGGATAATAACAGTTCCACTAGTAAAATTTTTACTATGATCTCTTGGTATTAGTGCTTGATTCGAAACATAATTTGCATCACTTATCTCCTTAATTTCCAAATACCTTCCATATAGATCATCTAGAGGTCTATTGCTATCTGATGTATGTTCCAATATTTCATCATCAGAATCTGGACTACAGAATCCTAAATCAAAGGTAACAGAAAATAAATCCCTAGAGCAATCAAAAATATCCTCATGATTCTTCACTTTTTCTTCCTGTACACCTCTCTGATCACGAGATTTAAAACTATTAGCATCACGGGTGATTTGATCTTGGAGTTCAGAATTATTGTCCAACAAAAGTTCATCAGAAATTAAGAACTGAGAGACCAGAGGCGTTTCACTAATAGCAGTTTTGTCTGACACAGGTAAAGATTCGCTTTTACTGTTCAAGGGTGAAAGACTCACATCGTCGAACTCTGTATTAACATCTTCAAATAACAGCAAACTTTCATCTTGATCAGTGGACAATACTGGGAGGTCACTGTTATCAACATCATGATTGTTCTCTCCAACTAAATTCTGTGCAGGGCTTCTGTGTATTTGAACACGATTGTTAGGTACTAAATTTTCATTTTGATTATGTTTATGTACATCACAGTCACAGAGACTTGGCTCATCAGAAATATTATCATTAGGTATATCATAAAGGCAACTTTTTTCAGATGGATAATTTATACATTTAAGTGAATTCAATTCTAAATTCTGTTGAGAATTCACAGCTGAATGTGACAGCAAACAGGTGCATTTATCACTTCGTAAATGCTCTGCACAGGGTAAGAAAAGCAAATTCTCAAGTGCAGTACCCTTAGCAATTTCATATTCCAAGTCTGAGAGTCCACTGAGAGGCGGAGGAGAATAAGATAAAAATCTCTCTACATTAGCTAGTACCTCTTTTGTCAATGAGTGACAATTATAAAATTGGTCATCTGTTCTAACAATATAAAGCTCTTCTTCGAATGGAAGAAATAAGTTAGATGAAACAGATTTTTCATCATTGAAACTGTTATAACCAGAATCTAAAACATTTCCAGCAAGTGAACTAGTGGATTTATTTGTAAACTGACACTCTGTTAATAACACACACGGTTCTTTAATAACATTTTCATTAATAGTACATGTGGCAGCAATTTCATCTGTATCTGATGTCCTTTTATCATTTGGTAGGTCTTCTTGAAAAATATTTTCAACAGTGGAATTTCTGTCATTATCTACAGAATCTATAATACCGTGATTATTTTCTTTTTTAAGCTGATCTTTTTTTATTTCTTTAGACACTTTTTTCTTTAAAGAAACAATTTTAGTAGGTTTGATATGAGTTTGTTTAACAATTTCAGCACATTCTTCATCAGATTCTATCACTGAGGATGAACTGCCTTGATTTATGTTCTTTATAAATGACGATTTCTTGTGAGTGATAAAGGTGTCACTGGCAAGATTATTAGATTCATTCCTGGGAGCAATAAATGTTGAGGTAACATCTTCCATTTGTAAATAAGATTCAACTTCCAATTCATAGCTGCATTCTCCCTATAAATAAGGAAAATTTAAAAAGCCACAGGAAAACAAAACAAAACAGAAAGCCAAATCTAAGAGAGGAGTTTCACTCTATATTAAAATATTTATATTATTACATTGTTCCAGTGATATTCTTTTATACCTTAAAAGTTATTCCGATAAATCAAAATTATAAAGTACACTACTGTGAAACTATCAAGTTATCATTAATCAGTTAACTTTTTTGTATCCCCAGTACTTAATACCCAAAAGACCCTTGGTAACTATTTGTAGGAAGAACAAATTGAATGAATACATAAGAATATAGTGAGTTTTACATTTCTAACATTTAACTGAATTATTCTAATTTCTTAAAAATAGATATTTTAAAAACATATATTAATAAAAACCATATACATTTGTTAAATTTACTCTTTCAATGACAGTAAACTAAGAATAGCTTTTGGAATGTCCAACATAGTAGTACCTGTATGTCTGCTAGGTTGTATCCTGGAATATACTTCTATTTGTAACAAAGTTCCTAATCAAGGATTCGTATAGTGAATTTCTAAGTCTTACTTATCTCTAAGTTATTAGCTAAAACTTACAATCTCCACCATCCCTCCTTTCCCCTAAGAATGCTACTTTAATCAGGATTCCTCTACTACTTATAGACTTAAGCAGTTACCTCTCTGGTTTTTTTGTTTTTTTTTTTTTTAGACAAAGTCTCGCTCTGTCGCCCAGGCTGGAGTACGGTGACTTGATCTTGGCTCACTGCAACCTCCGCTTCCCGGGTTCAAGTGACTCTCCTGCCTCAGCCTTCTGAGTAGCTGGGATTACAGGCATGTGCCACCACACCCAGCTAATTTTTGTATTTTTAGTACAGACAGGGTTTCCTCATATTGGCCAGGCTGGTCTCGAACTCCTGACCTCAAGTGATCTGCCTGCTTCGGCCTCCCAAAGCCTGAGATTACAGGCATGAGCCACCGCACCTGGCCCTCTGCTTTTTTGAATAATAAATATAATAAGCATTAATGTGAGCAAATGTCTGTCTCCCTGCTAGTATATATACTCCACATAAACAGAATATTTTCTCTGTTTGCTAACGGTTATAGCCATAAAGCAGGGAATAGAGTGTGGCACACAGAAGGCACTCAATAAATATATGTTAATTTGATTGCACACATTTTGCTGGGATCCACATCTAACTACTTTATTTACATGTATGCATGATCAAAGGCTAATAATAAAAATAGGAGCTACAATTTACTGTGTACTTATCATATGCCAGCTACTACGTGCTTTACATATATTAGGTCATTTAATCCTCACAACAACCTTATGAAATAAGTATTATCACTATGACTATTTTACAGATAAAACTGAAGCACTGAGAGGTTAAATAACTTACAAACACACAATCAGTAGGAGGCAGAGTTAGGATTCTAACCCAGGCACTATGGATTTCACACTCATAATTGGTTCACTATGCTGACTCTAGGAAGAATAATCAAGGAACTGCTCAAGGAATCTATAATTCTCTAAACTAGGACCAGGATACAAGAAAGATATCAAATAACCTAGATGACAGAGAGTATTTCAATAAATCCGAATCCAAAAGAATCCTAAATAAGGTTTACAAACAGTTTACATAAATCATTTAAGTATATTAAAATTCTACTCTGGTCTATCAATATTTACAGATGATATTCTTCTTCTAATTAATTAAATCTATTTCTTCTCTTAAGGCAGAAAACTCATTCTTTACTGAGATCACAAGGAACTATACAGAAAAACAAAGTATTTCTTATTACTTCAAATTAAGAAAAATAAAAGCTAAGTACTCTAGTTTTACTATCATACCAGCAAGAGAAAGTTACAATAAAACCCCACCTCTTCGTGTCTCATTCCCTCTATCATTTGCATAAGGCCTATAAAATGGCGGCATCGATCTGAGTGATCAACTTGATGTGTAGGCAAAGGATGATCTTGCCACAGTCTCCATTCAGAGAGAGAGAGTTGATGAATTCCAGTGGTTGATTCTTGAGCCTTAATTATTTAAAAAGTAATAAAAATGATGAAAACATACTGAGATTTCACAAACTAATTTTAAAAAACACTCAATATACATATAATCAGCTTAACATAATTTGGATCCATTTAGATACTCCCAACTAAAATCTCAGAAGAAAAAAAGAAAATAATTTCATAAAGCAGAAAGATGCCCTTTAAAATATATTTGTTAAGTAACTGTTATATGACTTACAAGTTGACAATATTCCTGTTTATATAGTTCCATGTTAAGAGCAAACAGTTAAATATTTTAAAAGAAATCTTTTCTGAGGTTGTTTTCCCAGCTCTCCAGGCACATCTACAACCTTTGATCAGTTCTCTTGACTTTCACAAAGTTAACAAAGAATTTGTTAATAATAAACAAAATAAACAATAACATCAAATTTAAAGTTTTAAATATAATTTCAAAACAAAAATTTTATTTTTTGTTTTGGTTTACAAGGATGCTTATGAAAGCATAATTTATGTTTACAGCCAACTGATCTTCAACAAAGCAAACAAAAACATAAAGTGGGGAAAGGACACCATATTCAACCAAATGATACTGGGATAACTGGCAAGCCACATGCAGAAGAATGAAACTGGATCCTCATCCCTCACCTTATACAAAAATCAACTCAAGATGGATCGAAGCCCTACCTCTAAGACCTGAAACCATAAAAATTCTGTCACATTGAAAAAACTCTTCTAGACATTGGCTTAGGCAAAGAGTTCATGACCAAGAACCCAAAAGCAAATGCAACAAAAACAAAGATAGATGGGGCTAAATTAAACTAAATGCTTTTGCACAGCAGAGTAAACAGACAACCCACAGGGTAGGAGAAAATCTTTGTAAAATATGCATCCAACAAAGGATTAATATCCAGAATCTATAAGGAACTCAAATGGCCAATAAACATATAAAAAATGTTCAACATCACTAATTATCAGAGAAATACAAATCAAAACCACAATACAATACCACCTTACTCCTGCAAGAATGGCCATAATTAAAAAAATCAAAAAATAATAGATGTTGGAGTGGATGTGGTGAAAAGGGAACACTTTTACACTGCTGGTGGGAGTGTAAATTAGTACAGCTACTAGGCAATACAATACGGAGATTCCTTAAAGAACTAAAAGCAGAACTACCATTTGATCCAGCAGTCCCACTACTGGGTATCTAATCCAGAGGAAAAGAAGTCATTATATGAAAAAGATACTCGCACACCCATATTTATAGCAGCAAAATTCGCAACTGCAAAAATATGAAGCCAGCCTATATGCCCATCAATCAGTGAGTGGATAAAGAAAATGTGACACACATGCACACACACACACACACACACACACACACACAACATGGACTACTACTCAGCCATAAAAAAAAGAATGAAATTATTACATTCGCAGCAACCTGGATGGAGTTGGAGACTATTATTCTAAGTGAAGTAACTTAGGAATGGAAAACCAAACATCGTATGTTCCCATTTAGAAGTAAGAGCTAAGCTATGAGGACACAAAGGCCTAAGAATAATATAATGGACTCTGTCGTGGACTCGGGGGGAAGAGTAGGAGTGGGGCAAGGGATAAAAGACTATACATTGGGTGCAGTGTACACTGCTCGGATGATGTGCACCAAAATCTCAGAAATCACCACTAAGAACTTATCCATGTAACAAAACAGCACCTGTTCCTCAAAAACTATTGAAATTTAAAAAAAAAATGGTTTACAAGGATGCTTATGAAAGCATAATTTATGTTAGTAAAATACTGAAAAAGCTAGATGCAGTGGTGTACACTTATAGTCCCAGCTACTTGGGAGGCTGAGGCAGGAGGATCACTTGAGTCCAGGAGCTGATGGCCAGCCTGGACAACAGAGCGAGACCTCATCTCTTAAAAAAAAAAAAAAAAGTTGAAAAGAATCCCAAAACACAATAGGTAAATAGTCAAGCAAACTATGGTATATCACAGAGTAAAGTGACAACCATGTAAGATTATGCCTATATAGAAATGTTTAAATGACAGTAATGAAAGAAAGGCATAATTTATGTAAAAATATCACAGTTGGTTAAATACATATATACAATAAATAATAGAAGAAAATTAGTAGTTTTGTAAACTTAGACTTTAATGATTTCTTACACTGATTACATTCTTAATTTCTTAAAGTAAGTTGACATTCCAATCACAATTATCTCATTATTCCCAAAGCTATTGCTTGATCATTATAAAGAACATCTGAGGGGTTCTGGCATTAAAATGAGGGGGGGGAAAAGAACATCTGAAAATATATTCAACTTACTGGTTTGTTTTCCTCATTTTGTAAAGAAGAAAACTGAACTTGAGGCAATGTTATCTCTTTAATTTCATCACTGTCCCTTAATCTATAAAGTCTGTTCCATAATTTAAATTCTTCTTCTGATAAGAACCAATCTTTCTTTAGGCTACTTTGCCTCATTCCTATAAGTTGAAAAAATAATGGAAAAGAGACTTTTTAAAAATCTGCAAAGCAAAAAAACCCACAATATCCATTCAAACTCTGTCACCCAGGTTGGAGTGCAACAGCACATTCATAACTCACTGTAACCTCAAACTCCTGGGTTCAAGCAATCCTCCTGCCTCAGCCTCCACAGGAGCTGGAATACAGGCTCATGCCACCAGGCCCATCTACTTTTCTTATTTTTTGTAGAGATGAAGTCTTGATATGTTGCCCAGGTTGGTCTCAAACTCCTGGGCTCAACTGATCCTACCTCAGCCTTGATTCTATTCCTTAAAACTAGTATTCTTCATAAAAAACCACTCAGTTTATTACTTCATGCTTCTAAATGTCTCCTAAACTTCTCTTACCTCTGAAAGTACCCATCTGTCTAGGAGCTATCCTTTGGTAATGAATCCATTAACAGAACAGAGCCAGGTACCTTGGCTCTCAGTCCTGGCTTCTTTTGGACTCTTTTCATTTGGTTGCCTAAGACCTGGCATGAAACAGAGTAAGATAACTCACAAATGAAAAACTGGTATTATGATTCTATCATAGCAGTATTGGAAAGTTCATCTGAAGCTTGGTGGGGGTGTTGAGAGTGGGCAGGAAAGGCCAAGACTTTTAAAAGGAGTATGTATCTTAAGTCTTAAATGGGGGTTGGGGCAAAATGAGTAAAGTGTAGGGGGAACAGACTTGTTGCTTTAAAAAAGGACATAATAGACTTTTAAAAATATGTATAGTATATTCATTCTTTTCAGCTTCTATAATCTCTAAGAATCACCAAACTGAAAAGGCTAAATAGTACAAAGCAGTAACTCTGGCTAATACAGATGAGAGCAGAAAAATTGAGACGCTACTGAATTAAAAATCAGGAAACTGGCTGGGTGCAGTGGCTGACACCTCCTCCTTGGGAGGCCGAGGAGGGAGGATCAATTAAGGCCAGGAGTTTGAGTCCAGCCTAGGCAACACAGCTTGACCCCAAGTCTAAAAAAATAAAATAAAATTAGCTGGGCATGGTGTTGCATCCCTGTAGTCCTAGCCACACAGGAGGCTGACAGGAGGATCTCTTAAGCCCAGGAGTTGAGGCTTCATGATGAGCTAGGATCATGTCTCAGGTATTCCAAACTTGTGTAAGAAGCTTTTTAAAAATGTAAAAAATAAAAAATTAAAAATGAAAAAAAAAAAACAAATAAATAAATAAAAGGCTTCTCTGCATCTGTTTCCTCATCTGTAAAATAAGGGGGTTTGAACTAAATGATCTCTCAGGCCCCTTTCAGACCTGACATCCAGAGACTCTAAGATTTCGAAATAGGCAGGTACCCCCAGTCCCTTAAAATAAACTCAGAGTGGCTGGGTACAGTGGCTCATGCCTGTAATCCCAGCACTTTGGGAGGCCTAGGTAGGTGGATCACCTGAAGTCAGGAGTTCAAGACCAGCCTGGCCAACACGGAGAAACCCCGTCTCTACTAAAAACGTAAAAATGAGCCAGGTGTGGTGGCATGTGCCTGTAATCCCAGCTACTTGGGAGGCTGAGGCAGGAGAATTGCTTGAACCTGGGAGGTAGAGGTTGCAGTGAGCCGAGATCATGCCACTGCACTCCAGCCTGGGCGACAACACGAGACTGTCTCAAAAAAATAAAATAAAATAAAAAATAGTCAATTCAGAGCTCTAAGCTCAGATGAATTACATACTAGTGTATATAATATATACTACAAATACACTATATATAATACTACATATACTATATATAGTATATAATATATACTATATATTTTAATATATATAAAATATATACTATGTATAAACACTAGTATATAGTTAGCATACATTAGCAAAATACATAGTAAATACACTAGTATATATTTTATATATTAGTATAAATACACTAGTGTATTTATATACTAGTACAGAATTATAGAATTATTCCATACATAAATCACATAATCTAAGATAAATCTTTGACACTTGAAAAATCAGAGAAAAGGGGAAGAAACAAGTATAGAAAAATGAACATAAGTTAACATTATCTCAATTTTTTAAAAGGATAGGTTCCAGATATTCACTAAAGAATTTGCCATCGACCTCAGTAACATTTTAGAAATAATTATTAAATATAAGATTAATTAGCAACTATAAAAAATATAATGATCACTAAAAATGATTTATCCAACCTAATCAAGTTTTGATGCTTTTATTAATTTATCAAATTCAAGAAAACTCAAAAGACATGCTGTGTTTTTATTTTAACCAAATAATTGGCAAAATCTTGAAAAATGACAGGTATGTTCCTATTAAGTGCATTTGTATTAAGTTTAATAGACATAGCCAAAAAAACATTGATTGACGGCTCTGAGTTAAGGGAAAGAACATTAACAAATCTGAATTGAAAGCAAGTAGTAGGAGGGTAAGAACCTTAAAAATGCATGGTATGACAACAGTGGAACAAACAGTTGAACAAACATAAAAGGTATGGCCTTCAAATATATAGAGAACTGTTATAAAGGTAAACCAAAGATGAAAACTGTACTTTTTATCTAAGAAACCAGATCAATGAGAAAAAGGTACAAAGACACAGATTTTTCAGCGTAAGAGTCTTCTACTATACAGGGCCGTTCAACAATGGAATGAACCCTCTAAAGAAATATAATTTATATTAACAGAGGTATTCAAGTTGAGACTGGCTATGCATTTAAAACAAGAATGATGCAGAAGCATTCCTACCTTGATAAGTAATTGGACCACATGACTCCCAAGGTTCCTTCCAAATGTTAGTTATATGATTTTTATGATTGTTTAAAACCCACTTCAGAGATTAAGTAAAATCCAAAAAATAAACATTTTTTCTCACTTTCATAGTGCAAATATCTCAAGATATTTGAGAAAGGTAACCAGCTAACACAAATGGCTACCTCAATTACCAGGTAAATATGGGATAAACTATGAAGGAATGTATAGCAAATGGTGCCCTCTTACATGAGGACAAGTTACTATTAATATTGACAACATGTATGTAAAGGATTCTAAGTGCTTGGGGATACATATAGGGAATTTCTTTCTGTCTTGGTATTATCTTAGTACATTATCTTCAGCGCACATTGTAATCTGGTTTAATGCTTATTAAAAAATAAAACTGTTTTCTTTCTTTTCTAAACTTTATGGAGAACATTCTCTGGGTTGGTAGGGTATGTTTAATTTTCCCCAACACTGAGTTTCTGTCACTCTATACTACCAGTGTCTCTCCATTTGCCACATGAATAATCTCGTACAGCCTTTCCAAAGAGAATGCCTATAATATATTAATTAGAACATATATTCAGTTTTTCAAACAAGAAATATTATATCAAGATACGACCTGCTAAGTAAGAACAGGGGAAAAATGCATGTGTCAAATGCAAAATTTATTTACCATCCCTATAGGAAAAGATAGATGACTTTCGCTGCAAGTTCCGAGAAGGCTTCTCTGGTTCATAGACACCATGTGTGATGAACATTTTGTGTAATTTTGGGTTGATTCCATCAGGAACCATTCGTGGACTTCTTTGGTAAAAATGAAGGACCTGCCTGTTACTTGAAATAGCTTTATATATACTTCTTTTGTTGGACTGACTCTGATTATAAATCTGTAAAAACAAATAGAAAATGTCAGATTATATTACTTTTATAAATAACAATTTATCCATAACAAGCAATTATTAGTTTGGATTTATTGTAAACATAAAATTAAACCCCGATCCACTTAAATACTTAGAAAATGGAGCTTCTGTTGTCTTGAATTTTTTTTTTTTTTTTTTTGAGACAGGGTCTTACTCTGTCATCCAGGCTCTGGAGTACAGTGCTGTGATCAGGGCTCACTGCAGCCTCAACCTCCTGGGCTCAAGCGATCCTCCCACTTTAGCCTCCTGAGTAGCTGGGACTACAGGTGTGAGCTACCACACCCAGTTAATCTTTATTTTGTAGAGATGGGGTCTCCCTGTGTTGCCCAGGCTAGTCTTGAACTCCAAGGCTCAAGTGATCCTCCAGCTTTGGCCTCCCAAGGTGCTGAAATTACAGGCGTGAGTCACTGAGCCCAGCTGTCTTGAATTTTAAAACCTATCAGTAAACTGTTAGATTAACCTTTAATGGAAATCATTTCAGGCTGGGTGCGGTGGCTCACGCCTGTAATCCCAGCACTTTGGGAGGCCCAGGCGGGCAGATCACGAGGTCCGGAGTTCAAGATCAGCCTCGCCAATATGGTGAACCCTCGTCTCTACTGAAAATACAAAAAAAAAAAATTAGCCGGGCATGGTGGCATGCGCCTGTAGTCCCAGCTACTCAGGAGGCTGAGACAGGAGAATCGCTTGAACTCAGGAGATGGAGGTTGCAGTGAGCTGAGATCATGCCACTGCCCTCCAGCCTGGGTGACACAGCAAGACTCCGTTTTTTTTGTTTTTTTTTTTTTAAAAAGAAAATCATTTCAAAGTCCATTATTACAAAAGCCCACCTTAGCAGTTATACTGCATAAAGTAAATCTATCTTTGTTAGCTTGCTGTTTTTAAAAAAGACTGATATTTACATAGAAGTGTAAGGTTGTCTTGTGTTTTTTTAAAACTATTCCCTTATTTCAGTTTGTTCGTTTTTCTACATTTCAGTTTCCTTCCCTGTATACAACAAAAGCGTTACTCCCTTTGCAGGGTGCTGACAGGATTAAATACAATAATGAATCTGAAACTTGGAACATTACGCAGCACAATGTAAATACTGAGTAAACGGGGCCACTGTTACTATTTTACAGATAAGAAACCTAACAAGTGAATGGAGAGGTTAAGTAACTTGGCTAGGGAATACAATTAGAACCCAATTCCACTCACTGATATTACACGGCCTTTTACCAAACATTTCATTAGGATCATTTTATGGATAAACTAGATGTTACATATGAATATGCTATAATCACATGAAAAGTATTAGAGAAATAATTCATTTTTCAGGATGATTTTAAAGAGTATATAAAATATTTAAAATCAGTTTGTTTTTTTCTTTCTGGAGATGGAGTCTCGCTCTGTTACCCAGGCTGGAGTGCAGTGGTGGGATCTTGGTTCACTGCAACCTCTACCTCCCAGGTTCAAGCGATTCTCCTGCCTCAGACTCCCAAGTAGCTGGGATTACAGACGTGCGCCACCACACCTGTCTCGTTTTTGTATTCTTTTAGTAGAGACGGGGTTTCACCATGTTGGCCAGGCTGGTCTCGGACTCCTGACCTCAAGTGAGCCTCCTAAAGGTACTGGGATTACAGGCGTGAGCCACCATGTCCAGCCTAAAATCAGTTTTTAAAAATTATCATGGCTGTTAAGACCTTTAATGTGAATCTATATATTTGGCTGCTGAACTAGTCTCGATAAGTTACAAAAGTTAGTTAATACTTTAGTGTAACAAACACAAAATAATATTTTATGTAACATCTTATTTAGAAAGGCCTGTCACTCAAGATTGTAGCACAGTATGAATATAACTCAAGTTCCTTATCACTTAAAATAGGCATCAGCAAACTTCCAAAAAGGGCCAGAAAGTAAATATTTTGGGTTTTTCAGGCTTCATACTGTCTCTGATACATGTTCTTTGTTTCTTATTTAGTCAGTTATTTTGACAGCCCTTGAAAAGGAAAAAATGATTCTCAGTTTACTATAGTTCAGAAAGAAAAGTAAACTAAACACAAAGCACAGGCCTTCTTTAGAAGCACAGGAAAATAGTAAAACAAAGTAATAGATATTGGTTTTTAGATCTAGGTATCTCTGAATTACTACTTAAGTATTAAAAATGTGTTTCTTTAGATGGATAAAAATTAGCAAACTGACTCCAGTCAAAAATTCTCCTAGTTACAAGAGAGAATCCAATACAAAGTGGGGGAAAATAAACCAAAACTATCTACAGAGTGTTTGGACTTGGAATGCTAACATGTTGATATTCACCTTTGGGCTGTATTTCTCAAATTTCAAGTGTCAAATTGTGTTTCTGCAGCTCTACTTACACGTTCCTCTCGTCCTTCAGAAAGGATAATAACTATCCTGCCTTGACGTTTACGGCCAGTTCTACCCATTCGTTGTACAAGACGAATTGGGCTCTTCTGGGAATCAAAACATATTATAAGATCAACTTCTCCTATATCCAAACCTTCTTCACCCACACAGGTAGAAACCAGCGTGTTGTAACCACCGTCACGAAACTGTTTCACTACCTAAAATAAAAACAATTGAAAAATAACTACATGCAAATGTAAGAGAACTGTAGATCAAAGCATATTTTTCCCCACTCACCTGAAAAATAGTAAAATCAGATTAAAAATCAGCCTCAAGGCTGGCCACAGCTCATGCCTGTAATGTCAACACTTTGGGAGGACAAGGCAGAAAGATTGCTTGAGTCCAGGAGCTCAAGCTCAGCCTGGGCACATAGAAAAACCCTGTCTCTACGAAAAATAAAAAAACTAGCCCAGCATGATGGTGTATGCATGTAGCACTAACTACTTGGGAGACCGAGGCAGGAGGATCTCTTGAGCCCAGGAGTTCAAGGCTGCAAGTGAGCTATGACTGTGACACTGCACTCTAGCCTAGGCAACAGAGTAAAGCCTCGTTTCAACAAAACAAAGCAAAAAAATCAGCATCAAGGATAGTATAGAATAGGAAAAGAAGCAACCAACTAGCAATATAAGCCAAAAGAGATTATGGTAAAATAAACAGTTCTAATTATTTTGCTTTAGTAATGGTTGTGATGTCAAAAGGATTTGTCAACAATTTAAGTTCGTCACTGAATGAGAAAACCCAGAGTTTACTTTTAGCACCACAGAAAGGGGAATAGGGCAGGGAAATGGCCTACAGCAATCACTCCTATTTATCATATCTTAGACCTAAATGTATAGCTTTATCTGAAATAGGTTTATAAATATTTCTTATAATATTTGTAAGAATGTTGTATTACTCTTAGAAGTCATATCTTACCTTTTATACTACCATTCCAGGATTTCTCTGATCAGTTTAATGAAACCACAATAGCGTGAGAAGGAGTTAATGAAAAAGTTAATGAAAGTCCCTTAAGCCTTATAAACTTAGTTCTCAACTGCTCTGAGCCTCAGTTTCTCCATACAGACCAATACCAACATTGTGAGTTTGTGTACAGTGGAGTGGTGGAGGTGGTAATTAAGTGAGATAATGCAACATCAAAAGCTGAATTAGCTGATAAATAATGATAGCTACTATGTGCAAGGGCACACTATGTGCCAGGTACCAAACTAAGTACTTTATATATTAGTTTCTACTGCCAACGACCCTATGAGGTAGATATTATCATTGCATTTTATTAAACAATCTGAAAATCTGAAAAGTTAAGCTATTTGCCTAATGTCTCACTAATAATCATCAGCATTTGAATGTTAGTGTCTCTGACTCCAAAAACCTAACTTAATCTGTAAGCTAGTTGTATTGTGAAAAACAACAACCTTAAAAGTAGGACAATAAATATAAATGTATTATGTTAAGTCTTCTCATAAACATTTCAGTTGCACTGGTCCAAGGATTTTCTTTCAATATGGAAATCCTCGGAGTACAGGGAGAAACAATGATCATGATTAAACATTAAGAGTAATTCATTTCCTTTGGAATTTGTACTGACATTAAGCCAACCTGCATATAACACAGTAAAGCAGATGTCCTTTTTGCCCAGATAAAGAAAAAAAAAAGGCCACAGTGCTAGATACATTTTTTCTTAATATAACTAACAGATTAATAAAGAATGTCAATTTTCTTTTTAGTTAACATGTATAAACTAAACTGTTACTTCCATGCTTAAGATTGATATTAATTTGCCATTGAATATACACTTCCATGAACCCTTTCCACAAACTCAAGACATATATTCAATTGTTTATCCAATATCTCTGCTTGATGTTTAAAAGACTGCTACTGAAAGTGTGCTCCATGAACTGTTTATTACTGGTGCCTGTCCAAAAACTGTTTATTACTAGCTGACAACAAGGTAAGTACAATAACTGAAAGTAAGGGTTTAGACACTTGACAGAGTAATTTTGTTGGCTGACTCTAGTAATATTTTAAAAATTGGACCAGAACTTTATTTTTCATTCATTTTACTTTCTAGTAATTCATTTTTATTGTTCAAAAGTATCAGTATGTCATGTAGTGGGGGAAATAAGCTGGTCCTCTACCAGTTTCAATAGTTTGAAAAGCATTAATCTGAGAGGCATGTCAAAGTTAACTCATCTAAAACCAAGCTCCTGATATTCCCTAATTCTCCTGCCTCAGCCTCCCAAGTAGCTGAGATTATAGGCATCCGCCACCATGCCTGGCTAATTTTTGTATTTTCAGTAGAGACAGGGTTTCACCATGTTGGCCAGGCTGGTCTCAAACTCCTGACCTCAAATGATACACCTGCCTTGGCCTCCCAAAGTGTTAGGAATATAGGCGTGAGCCACCACACCTGGCCTTTCCTGCAGTCTTATCCATCTTAGTTAATACCAGCTCCTTCAGTTGCTCAGGCCAAAAACCTTGGAGTCATCCTACAGTCAGACTTCATATGCCTTTATCTCATATCCCACTCTAATTTGTCAATACACCCTGTCAGCTTGACCTGCAAAATACATCCAGAACTTAACCACTTCTCACCACCTTCCTTGTTACCACCCTAGTCCAAGTCACCATCATCTTCAGCTTAAATTGTTATAAGTCTCCCAACCGGTCTCTCCACTTCCACCCTTAGCCCCTACAGTTTATTCTTCAGACAATAACCAGCATGATTTTTTTTTCTTTTTTTGAGACAGGGTCTCACTGTGTTGCCCAGGCTGAAGTGCAGTGGTGTGATCTTGGCTCACTGGAGCTTCGACCTCTGGGCTCAAGCATCCTCCCTCCTCAGCCTCCCAGGTAGCTG
Source organism: Homo sapiens (assembly GCF_000001405.40). Taxonomy (NCBI): domain Eukaryota; kingdom Metazoa; phylum Chordata; class Mammalia; order Primates; family Hominidae; genus Homo; species Homo sapiens. Next base: position 45,161,662 of record NC_000014.9, on the reverse strand, counting down.
AAACTACAGGCACATGCCACCACACCCAGCTAATTTTTGTATTTTTGGTAGAGATAAGGTTTTACCATGTTGCCCTAGTTGGTCTCGAACTCCTGGCCTCAAGCAATCTGCCTAACCTAGCCTCCCAAAGTGCTGTGATTACAGTCATGAGCCACAGTGTCCGGCTGATTCTTTTAAAATATAAACCGAGCTAAGACCATCCTCTGCCCCAAACTCTCCAAGAACTTCTCATCTCGGTCAGAGTAAAAGAGAAAGTCATTAAAATGGAAATGACATATAGGGCCCTAAAGGATCTGGCCCCCCCAATTTCTTCTGACTTAATATCGTGTTTCTAAATAAATGGACAATGTACAATTATTTGCCTGCAAGCTCGTTTCAAAATAAAACAGCTGTTATGAAAGCAATTACATATAGGAGTAATAAAAAAAGTTTTTACTTTGGCATACTTTAAAATATTATTGACATAAATGAGTAAATGATAAAGTCAGTAAAATCAATAATGTTCTTACGGTGCCTGACAAGCTCAGGAAATAATGACTTTAGGTAATACTGAAATTGATCAGAGATCGGATTGGGTACTGCAGGTATTTCAAATAATGAAAATGCTTGACCTCCACAGCAAAAATCCAATTCATTTTTCATTCATACATATATGTTAAGAGTAGTAATCACCCACTAGATGCCTTAAAAATATGTATAATCTGACTTGATAATAGGCAAAAGTATTATTTTCAGATTCAGGAAGGCACTCCCCACCATATCCAGTCAGCTTAAACAGACGCTTCTCGGTGTAGTGAGGGCAGGTATAAAAGGTATTTAAAGAATACCTGACCATGGCTCACGCCTGTAATCCCAGCACTTTGGGAGGCCGAGGCGGGCGGATCACGAGGTCAGGAGATGGAGACCGTCCTGGGTAACACGGTGAAACCCCGTCTCTATTAAAAATACAAAAAATTAGCTGGGCGTGGTGGGCACCTGTAGTCCCAGCTACTCGGGAGGCTGAGACAGGAGAATGGCGTGAACCCGGGAGGCGGAGCTTGCAGTGAGCTGAGATCGTGCCACTGCACTCCAGCCTCGGCAACAGAGCGAGACTCCGTCTCAAAAAAAAGAAAAAAAAAAAGAATACCTGACCAACATGGTGAAACCCTGTCTCTACTAAAAATACAAAAAAACTTAGCTGGGCGTGGTGGTGGGCACCTGTAGTCCCAGCTACTCAGGAGGCTGAGGCAGGAGAGTCTCTTGAACCCGGGAGGCGGAGGTTTCAGTGACTCGAGATTGGGCCACTGTACTCCACCCTGGGCGACAGAGAGAGACTCCATTTCAAAATTAAAAAAAAAAAAAAAAGAAAAGAAGAAGAAGACTACCTCCCAGCCAGGCGAGGTGGCTCATGCCTGTAATATCAGCATTTTGGGAGGCTGAGGCGGGCGGATCACCAGACGTCAGAAGTTTGAGACCACCCTGGCCAAGATGATGAAACCCCATCTCTACTAAAAATACAAAAATTAGCCAGGCGTGGGTGCCTGTAATCCCAGCTCTCTGGAGGCTGAGGCAGGAGAATTGCTTGAACCTGGGAGGCGGAGGTTGCAGTGAGCCAAGATCACACCACTGCACTCCAGCCTGGGCAACAGAGTAAGATTCCATCTAAAAAAAAAAAAAAAAACAAAAAAAAAACCTCATCTACTAACGTCTGCAGAATCAAAAAAGGATCTGTCAAAATTAATTAGAAATTAAAGAGATATCTAATTGTCAGTCACTACTCAAGTATAGACTTACATAGTTAATTTATAAAAAGCTGCATAGATTTTATAAAAATCAATAATGTAAAATTTCCCTCAAAACATCACAGCACTTAGAAAACCGAATGTCCTCTTACTCAGAGCATAAGGCTACCTTAAATACTATCATGGTTTCTTCTGACCCCACTTCTAAAATAAGATTTTTAAATAAATAAAAAGAGGCTAATTATTTGTTTAGAATAAATTATTAAAGCGACTTAATAAACATTTATTGGTGGCTCTACAATAAGATCTCTTTCAATGCTTACAACAACTCTATGATGTATGTTTACAGATAAGGAAAACTGAGGAAGAGGAAGTAAAGAAACTTTTAAGTGGTAGAGTCAGGATTCCAACCCAGTTAATATAATTCCACAGCTTTTCTGCTTAACTTTTACACTTTACATTACTTTAAAAAAAAAAAAGTTCCAAAACCACATAAAACATTTGTTATCATCTTTCAAAATATGCTTATTTTTACCTACACGTTTACTGTAAAATTCTTTTTAAGTAGCTAATTGACCAGTGAGTTAAAACTAACAAAAAAAGAACAAGTGCAAAGCTAATCAATCTTATTTTTATTTTTATCAATTCCAAAAATAATTACCTCCAGTTGCTCCTTCTGGGTAAAACCCTTCGTGCTTTTCCCTGAGGCATGGCCGACAAAAGTCATTACTCTAATAATTGGCTGATGCTGTGAAAGCATTTCTGCAATTTCTTGAACACTATCTCGAAATGAAGAGAAGATCATAACTCGGGTCTCATCACGTTTCTTTTCAGTAGTGTTTTCAGCTATATATATATATAAAAACTTTAATTACAACTTTTTACAAAGCATTTAGACAAGAAATAGTTCAAAAGACAAACCTGAAAGTGTTAATGCTAACGAATGATAATTCTTTCAAAAAAATAATTCAGCTGGATGTGGTGGCACACACCTATAGTCCCAGCTACTTGGGAGGCTGAGATGGGGAAATCGCTTGAGCCCAGGAGTTCAAGACCAGCCTGGGCAACATAACATAGCAAGACCCAGTCTCTAATAAACAAACATACAAATAAATAAATAATTTCAAACATCTTGAAATTTTTTAAACTATATTCTCTATTAATTTTAATAATCTTAGCTTATTACCATTGGCTGTCATAAAATAAAATCCTAAACAAATCAAATATGAATTATCTGAATCACTTTTGACTAGTCCTTCAACTCAGGCATAATGGCTATCATTTCCCTTTACCTTCTAAGATGGCCAGAAGCACAGAACTATGCAGCTCCCCCTAATTTCATAAGTCTTCCCTTTCCTTTCTGTTCACTAAAGGAAATGTCTTAATCCAAGCCATGCATTCTGTCCTCAAATCTACTATACTTTCAAATTCTCCAAAGACAACTGCAGAACATACCCTACAGTGAATTCCAAAGCTGCTCCCGATATGTCTGTGCTGGGGGGCGGGTGAGGTAGGGGGGTGGCGGGCAGTAGAATGCACTAATAAGAACATGATCTTTGTGGCTGGGCACTTAATTCTCTGGGTGATTGGTGATCATGGTAGTTATTTAAACTCTTTAAGCTTTAGTTTCTTCATATCTAATATGGATTGATGTATAAATGAAACAGTATATAGTTTTGCACATATAGTAATTGGCTAATTATTGCATACTGTGTGGGGTTTTTGGTTGTTTGTTTTTATTTTTGAGACAGGGTCATGTTTGGTCACCTAGGCTGGAATGCAGTGGCACCATCATGGCTCACTACAGCTTCGACCTCTTGGGCTCAGGTGATCCTCCCACCTCATGCTCTGAGTAGCTGGGACTACAGGCTCATGCCACCATGCCCAGCTACATTTTAAAATTTTTTTGTAGAGACGGGGTTTTGCCATGTTGCCAAGGCTGGTCTCGAACTCCTGGGCTGAAGAGATCTGCCCACCTCAGCCTCCCAAAGTGCTGGGATTACAGGCATGAGCCACGACATCCAACCTCTACTGATTTTTATTATCTTAATCATCATATGTGTTCCAAGGACCGCACTACGCATTTTATGTATGTTAACTCATTTAATCTTCACAACTCCTCTAAGGAATAAATGACTTATTAAATATAAAGTTAATTTACAATACAAAAACAAAACGTAGGACTTGAAGAAGCAGCTGTTCCAAGTAAAATTATTCTAAACAAACTTCTTTTGAATCATCATTGCATCAAGCATCAAGTCTCTGTATGTGACCAGCTCCTGAATGAATTGCTACTTTCATCACAAAACCTGTATCTCCTTCAATCTGTCACAGCCTGCCTTTTTACCCTCATTCCACTAAAGCTCCTTTCAGCAAAATCATCAATAACTTCCATACTGCCAAGTTCAATCGACACTTTTTAGTTTAACACACTTTCCTCTTTCCTTCTGAAATAGTCTCTTTCTTCAGCTTCTCTAACATTTTACTTGTCCAGTTTCCTCCCCAAGCTTTTTTTCCTCCAAACTCTTAACTGTTGATATTCTTCAGGACTCCATTCTGGACCCTCCTCTGTATATCTCTAAACTGTTGTCCTGATAATCACATCTATTCCTGAAACTTTAAATATTACCTTTATGCTGATAACTCCAAAATGTATTCACATATATGTAAATATGTAAAAACAGCAGCAATCATTCTTCTGAGATCCAGATTTGGTTATCTAATGCCTACTTGACACTTAGGTGTCTCAAAAACATCTTAACATGTTTGCTCTTTCTTTTGTTATTCTTTTTTTTAATTGACAAATAAAAGTTGTATATATTTATGTTGTACAATATGTTTTGAGATGTCTATATACATTGTGAAATGGCTAAATCAAGCTAATTAACATACATATTACCTCACATACTTATCTCTATTCTTCATTTTTCACTTTGCTCATGTAATCATTTGCAAACATGTACACATAAATGTATATACCCAGCCATATGATTCCTTTTTTCCTTTTTTTTTTTTTTTTTTTTTTGAGACAGAGTCTCACTCTTTTGCCAGGCTGCAGTGCAGTGGCGCAATCTTGGCTTACCGCAACCTCCGTCTCCCAGGTTCAAGAGATTCTCCTGCCTCAGCCTCCCGAGTAGCTGAGACTACAGGCACATACCACCACACTCAGCTAATTTTTGTATTTTTAGTAGAGACGGGGTTTCACCATGTTGGCCAGGATGGTTTTGATTTCTTGACCTCGTGATCTGCCCACCTCGGCCTCTCACAGTGCTGGGATTACAGGTGTGAGCCACTGCACCTGGCCAATTCCCTTTTTCTTATACCATACGTCTAATCCATCAACAAATACAATAAATAAGTTGGCTCCAATTTGAACATATATCTAGAATCTATCTCCCAGCACCTTGACCACTATTGCCTTGATGAACACCACTATTATGTGTCATCATCCAAGACTATCGTAATACTTTTCTAGGTTATCAATGTCTATGCTCCACAAAACTACCAGAGTGATCCTTAAAATGTCATGTCATTCCACTGCTACAAATACCTCTGTTTGGTTTTGCAAAGCACAAATATTCAGAAATTAAAAACTAAAGTCTGATATTATCTGCATACCTCTCATCTATACCACTTGTAGGCTCAGTCATACTTGTAGCCTCAATCTAACCACACTGGTCTGTTTAATCACACCAAGCACCCTACTGCCACCTCAAGGCCTTTGAATCTGCTATTTTTACTGCTTGGAATTATCTCTCCCCCAGCCTCCAAAACTCACAAGGCTTCCTCCCTTATCTCCATCATCACTTTAAATATCCCTCTACAGAGAAGTCTTCTATAACCATGCTATATAAAACAGCACTCCTCTATAACTCTCTCTCTCCTAATCTACTTTACTCTTTTACTGGTACTATATATTGTTTTACTCTCCACTTCCCTTATATTACCCCATGCTAACTTATATAGTACCTTATTCTTAACATTCCCACCACCACCCTTGCCCTAGCCCTTCCAAAATTTCTCACAGCTTTTTAGTATTCATTATCCAGAGTTAATTAAAAGCCCACCTTCTCCATAAGAAATGTTAGAATAAACTAATAGGTTGAAGGTTTTTCTTTGTTTGTTTTATTTTCGAGATTATTTATTTCAAGTTTTGCTCTTATAGCCCAGGCTGGAGTGCAATGGCACAATCTCGGCTCACTGCAACCTTCACCTCCCAGGTTCAAGCGATTCTCCTACCTCAGCCTCCCAAGTAGCTGGGATTACAAGCATGTGCCACCATGCCTGGCTAATTTTTGCATTTTTAGTAGAGACGGGGTTTTACCATGTTGGTCAGGCTGGTCTTGAACTCCTGACCTCCCGTGATCCTCGGCCTCCCAAAGTGCTGGGATTACAGGTGTGAACCACTGCACCCAGCCATAAGTAAAGTTTTACCTCTTGCAATAACTTTGTCTTGCCTTAAAGCTACTAAATATGACCTACCATTCCATGACTTGAAGTGTTCAATTACAACTTCTTCTAATTTCTTTAACTTTGGATGACTATAAACAAATTTTTTATTTTTATCTCCTGGAACAAAACAAAAATATCAAAATTTTTTTCTGTTTTTTTCCATATTCAATTACACTAATGTATATGAAAGTTATCTTTTCCAATGCATATGTTGGATTTTTTTTTAATTTTTAAAAAACTTAAACCAGAGGTAACATCTAGGTAGCACGTAAGTCTTACTGTAAAATGAACTTTGAACTTTCATAAAAATTTCATTCTGAGAGAACCTAAAGAGGAATCAGTAGCAAAGAAAGCAAAAATACATATCTAACTATAAATCAGGTTTTGATAGTTCTGAGAATTTTTACTACCACTAACAATTACCAACATCTGTTATATGTTTAAAGTTTGTAAACTTGTTTGAAGAAGTTTAAACATTGTTTAAAGCATATAAACTTTAAATTTGAATATATATTAATCTTAAAAAATGAAATATTTACACATTTAACAGATCTGTTGCTACAAAATATAAATAATTGTAGACATTTGCATCAAAGGAGCAAAATTTCAAAATTAACTGTGATTAAGAAACACAACACAATACATAATTTTAAAAGAAAAACCAGACCTTGTTGGATAGCAGAAATACCATTTGCTGAAGTACTACGTGTACGTGCAAACATACACTCTAGATGATTATAGAGTTTCATGAAGTCTTCATTTCGGCCAAGTTCATTTTTTGACCGTGTCATCCCTTCAGAAATTAAGAAAAGGTTTTCAAATAAATAATAATAAAACTGATAAAATGTATTATTTATTAAAAAGAAATTAAACTTTAGCAATGAATGTAAGTTTTTCAAGTGTAAACATGAAAACCAGAAACTTTTTGCAGTTCTACATTCATATATGTATTAATGAATGGTTTCCTTTTCTCCAGGAATTTATTAAAAACAAAGAAACATGGCCATTTGTTAATTATTCCAATGCTTTTTAAAATAAATCATTTTTAAGTAATCCAAACTCTTTAATATGTCTTTTTTTTTTTTTTTTTTAAGACAGTCTCACTCTGTTGCCCAGGCTGAAGTGCAGCAGCATGATCTTGACTCAAGGCAACCTCTGCCTCTCGGGTTCAAGCGATTCTCCCGCCTCAGTCTCCTGAGTAGCTGGGATTACAGGCGTGCACCATCATACCCAGCTAATTTTTGTATTTTTATTAGAGACAGGGTTTCACCATGTTGGCCAGGCTGGTCTTGAACTCCTGACCTCAAGTGATCCACCCACCTCGGCTTCCCAAAGTGCTGGGATTACAGAAATGAGCCACTGTGCCCAGCCCTTCAATATGTCTTTAGCCAAAATAATACATGTCATTATTTCTTTAAATAATTTGATATAATTTACCTTTAGTTCCATCCATAATTCCACAAAGGAAGAAATATAATGATCTCATTCCCATTTGCTGCAATAATTCATAACCATGATATAAACTAATACAAATAGCAAACTCTCCCTCGATTATGCCTTGTTGTATTCCCTAGAAAAACAGCATATGTCAAATTTAACCAGAGAAATAAATGAACATACATGCTCCATGCCCAAGTTGTCAGGCCATAGTCAGTGTAACATTTATAATATAATCCAAATGATCATAATCATCATTCCCTTCTACACTGCTATAACCGATTGGTTATTAAATGTCATCTTATAGGATGTTGCTATGGAAAGGTACCAATGTATTTTGTATGTAAAATCTGCCCCTTTATTTCTTTTTCTTTAATTAAACAGGAAACTTACATTTTAAAAATAATAAGTAAAGGAAAAAAAAATTATATTGTTTTTCTTTACAGGTAAATTAATTGGCAGTATATAGATATATTTGTTCTTTCAAAACTATATAGTAAGCATCTACTACCTGTCAAGCACTGAGCTAGATACAATGGAAATGGGAAATAAGTTAGATATGGCCTATCCTCATGAATGTTACTGGCAAAAGTACAAATATTTAATCAGACTGTTTTAATGCCAACCTTTAATACCAAGTATACGTCCTGTGAAAATATCTGACACTGAGCCCCAGAAACTATTCTAAGCACATTACTTGCACAATTCACTTAATCTTAGTATCTAGCAGGTAGCTATGTTATGCTCATTTTATAGATGAGGAAGCTCATACAAATGTTAAGTAGCAGAACCACTATTTAGACCCAGGAATTTTGGCTAAGAGGCCTTGTGCTTTCAACCACTACTCTCATGGAAAAATGAAGGACACATTCCTTTATGGAAGTACATGGTATGTGTATCTATCTGATAAGATAGTTTTTAAGGAGAGCATGGAGAACATATTCTAATTATTTTCCTTTGAGATGAAGACTACTGTTTTCTAACATTTTTAGTAGCACTTAACATCAATGTTAGTGATTTTAAATATTCCAGGATACTAACAAATGCCCTAAAATGGTACCCTAATTACCTCTCACCAGTTCCAGTTAAGATCTAGTTCAACAGGTTTAGATTTACTATTTCCTAGCAGAAATCAAAACATCTTTTTAAAGTTTTAAATAATAATATACTATAATTTTGCAGAAAAGACTCCTTTAGTGCTTCCCCAGATACTATATGATAAAGACCACATTTCGTGGTATAATAGTTAAAGTTACTCTCATGTAGTCACAACCTATATTATCATATCCGGTTTCGTGGTATAATACTTAAAGCTACTCTCATGTAGTACAACCTATATTATCATATCCAGTTTCCAAATCCTCAGCCAAATTGGTCTGCTCACTGTCTCCCACATGCTTTAATTCAATTGCCTCTGTTCTTTTGCACAGGCATTCCCTATCAGTTCAAAGATCGACTCGGTGCCCTTTTTTGTGTCTATGAGTGTCTTCTCTGACTTTGGACCTAGTTTGATAGATATTTTTTTATCCATTTATTTTTTTCCAATGCAGGTTAGAAATAAGAAGCTTGCTGTGATGCTTCCTTCAAACTCTGGTATTGAGAGTAAGAATAAATGTTCTGTGTCTAAAATTCAGTTACAATCTACCTTCTCATGGCTTTGAGACTTTACAAAATAAATAGACTAAAAGACAAATTCTTCTTAAAAGTTAAAAAGAAAGGTTGGGCACTGTGGCTCACATCTGTAATCTTTGGGATTACACTCTGGGAGGCCGAGACAGGCAGATCACCTGAGGTCAGGAGGTCGAGACCAGCCCGGCCAACATGATGAAACCCTCTCTCTACTAAAAAATACAAAAATTAGCCAGGCGTGGTGATGCGTGCCTGTAGTCCCAGCTACTAGGGAGGCTGAGGCACAAGACTTGCTTGAACCTGAGAGGCAGAGGTTACAGTGAGCCAAGGTCACACCACTGCACACCGGCTTGGGCAATAGAGCGAAATTCTGTCTCAAAAAAAAAAAAAAGAAAAAGTTAAAAGGTAAAATTTATCCTAATTCAAATCATTACATTGTATTCTTGCAGATTTTTCTCATGCTTTTATAAACTATATAAACATTTCTGATTTTTTTTTTTTTTTTTTTTTTAAGACAGGTCTAACTCTGTCACCTAGGCTAGAATGCAATGCTGCAATCACAGCTCACTGCAGCCTCGACCACCCAGGCTCAAGCAATCCTACCCTGCCTCAGGCTCCTGAGTAGGTACATACCACCACACTTGGCTATTTCTTTTACATTTGCAGAGACAGGGCCTCACTATGTTGCCCAGGCTGGTCCTGAACTCCAGGGCTCAAGTGATCCTCCCACCTTGGCCTCCCAAACTGTTAGGATTACAGGCATCAGCCACTGTGTTCGGCCTCATTTTTCAATTATTGATGAGCTAATAGGTACCCAAAATATCATTACCTATGTTTTATCCTGGCTTTCAGTGAAAATTTAATCTGTCATCAAAATTTATTTAAAAATACCTACCACAATATTCGGAGATGGGTTTTTCCTAAACTGATCTCTTGCCAGAATTATCTGATATTTTGTTAGATTTGGGATATCCCTTCTCATCAAAACATTCCTCTGAATCAAAGAACGAGCAAATGATTCCAAAATCTGCAAATTTAAAAGCAATCTAGTTTAAGCTTGCTCTAAAGTCCTTTTTCAAGTACAATCATTTTCTCACATATTAAAATAGGAATTATATATTTAATAAAGTTTGTCTTACAATGAATGTTTAAGTAAACTCAGCAATGATAACATTTAAAACTACTTGACATCTATCCCCAAATAATATCCATATAAAAATCAACATAAGCAATTATTATATACAACTGTAATTTAACAACACATTCGTTTATCTGTTTATTTCTTAACTCCTCTCTCTCTCAACCTACACACACTATAATCTAAGTGTAAGTACCATGAACGAAGACCTTTGATTTCTGCACTGTTACATCCTCAGTATCTAGACCAGTTTGGCACTTAGGTCCTCAGCAGATATTTGTAGAGTAGTTTGTAAAGTACTGAATAAATTGAAATGTCCTGAATATATTTAATTTTACTCACTGATGCATTTTTTTCAACAAATATTTATTAACCATCTACTATGTAACAGGCACTGTTCTAAATGCTGGGGATAGTGTGGCTAAGACTTTATTTGTCACTGCTCTCATATAGTTTACATTCCAATGGAGGGAACCGAAGAATAAAGAAGCGAACAAAGAAAGTAGATCATTTTCATTATAACAAATGCATTTAAGAATCTAAAACACAATAATGCTGTAGAGTCTTTGAGAGGAAAGGGATCATTATTAAATAAGGTGAACAAAGACTCTCTTTGAGAAGAGAACATTTGAGTTCACATGTGAATGATAAGGTATGTCTACCATGTGAGGTTCTAAGGACAAAGGATTCCAGAGAGAGGAGACAGCAAACAAAAAGTCCTGAGGCGGAAATGAGCTTAATGGCACAAAAGGAGACCTATAGATGAAGACCTACTACCGCAGTATGTAAGTGTTTAAATTTTTGCCTAATTTGTATTTTCTAAATTATGGCTAGTTTAATACATTTTTTTTCCTCCCTTCCAACTTTGCTGATCATACTGCCTAATAAGGCACTCTAAAAATACTAACAAAATTAAATTACATTTGTATATGATTATAAGAATTATCATATTTACATTGTTATAAATGGAATGATTTTCAATTAAAAATGCACTAGTATCAAAGAGACAATTACAAAAAGACTTTGCCATATCTTAACTCAATAATGCTTAGAATTTTGTTACAAACAATTTAAAAACAAAAAAGCTGTATTACTACAAAATGTCTCTTTAAGAAAGGCTTACTATAGATTAAGTGACAGATAACTTTTTGGTTATCTATTTCTGTAACCATCTTTAATCCATGGCAATGAAAATGTGAAACCATGTTGTTCAACCATGACACTAATTATGAACTACAGAAAAACAATGTGTTACCACAAATTTCTCCCAGTGAAAATGACAATTGTCTAAGCAGGTCCTTAACAGCTATAATATTGACATTTGAGCCAGATAATTCTTTGTTGTGGGGTTGCTGTCCTATCCATTGTAGGATGTTTAGCTGATTCCTGGCCTCCATATACTAGATGCCAATAATAACTCCACATTTCACCTGTTACCTCCCCCTTCTCTCCTGCCTTTTTGTTGTTGTTGTTGTTGTTGTAAGAACCAAAAATGTGTCAAGTCATTGCCAAATGTTGCCAGGTAGGTGAAGTAATTTCCAGATGAAAAGCACTGCTGCATAAAGATCAGGGAGGACAACAGTGAAAATATATTTCAATACAAAGAAACTTCTGGGGGCCGGGCGCATGGTGGCTTACACCTGTAATCCCAGCACTTTGGGAGGTCGGGGCAGGAAAATCACTTGAGGTCAGGAGTTCAAGACCAGCTTGGCCAACAAGGTGAAACCTCGTCTCTATTCAAAAATATAAAAATTAGCCAGATGTGGTAGCATGTGCCTGTAATCCCAGCTACTTGGGAGGCTAAGGAGAACTGCTTGAACCAGGGAGGTGGAAGCTGCAGTGAGCTGAACAAAAAACAACAAAAAGAAAACAAAGAAACTTCTGGCTGAATCTCAGTACGTGTTCATGTTACGGGTGTGTGCAATTTGTGAAAATTCACTGAGCAATACACTTATGCTTTGTCTACTTTTGCTGTTTGTGTGTGTGTGTGTGTGTGTGTGCATGTTCTATATTCCAGTTATAAGGTTTACTTAAAAAAATACAAAACCATGTAAGGCTATTATTTGCTTTACAAATGGCCCATCTTTTGTATTTTCCCTTTCAATAACAGTTTGCTAGTACATACAAAACACAGTGCTCATTCCAAAAATTTTAACTTCAAAGAATTTTTTCAACATATCAATTATATAAAAATAAGATAACTATATTATCACATCCAAATCCTGTTAGCTGAAATAATTCAATTACCAGTTTATTTATGAAATCCCTAAATGTCATAAAAATGGTTTACCTGGATATAGGTCTTTTGGATGGCTGCAAGTTCTTCACCAAGCGGAACAATAAGCTTTTCAACTTTTCTTTCATGAGAATATGTCAAAATATCTGGAGAATCTTCAGAACGAAGCTCTATCTGCCCAATTAGCAGGTTAGTAATAACTTGTTGCACAGCCTATATGAAATCAATTAAGTATGATTATAAACTACATGTTAAAATTTTTTAGTTTAAGTCACTAACAGAAATAAAATAGCAGTAAAATTTTGAAAGAAGCACCAGAAATTTATATCATTAAGTAACAAAAAAGAAAGAAGATAAGCCTATAAAAAAAGTACATCAGAAGTAGCACAACAGGTGAAAAGTGCTTCCGAAACATCTTTTCCCCACACAGACCTTCAAGCCAAGCATCCGAGAAATAAGAATATTTGTAAATGTCCAAAAAGTTCCTCAAATGTAGTTTGGTACTTTACAAATAGAGTCTTTATAAAGACTCAGACAAAAATTTCAGATTAGCAATACTCAATCAATTATTGATAAATTAGTAGAATATTTTCCATTTAAATCAACATATATGATGTGAATATATTTCCAGGACTAAATTTCATGTACCCAAAGCTTATAAAGAGACTTCATTGTAAAATTAGGAAACTGGAGAAAAAACATATAATCTGTTGTATTCTGTAGCAGGAGACTATGGTACTGACAGTGCGATTAACAATTAAAAAGAAAAAAAAAAGAGAGGATCCTGAGAGTATGTAAAAATTAAAAGTTGTTTTGTGTGTGTGTGTGTGTGTGTGTGTGTGTGTGTGTTTTTGAGACGGTGCCTCGTTCTGTCACCCGGGCTGGAGCACAGTGGCACGATATCGGCTAACTGCAACCTCCGCCTCCCAGGTTCAAACGATTCTCCTGCCTCAGCCTCCCCAGTAGCTGGGATTACAGGCGCCTGCCACTACACCCAGCTAATTTTTTGTATTTTCAGTAGAGATGAGGTTTCACCATGTTGGCCAGGCTGGTCTCGAACTCCTGACCTCATGATTCGCCCACCTTGGCCTCCCAAAGTGCTGGGATTACAGGTGTGAGGCATCACGCCCGGCTTTTTTTTTGGGGGGGGGGCGGTTTGGAACCTCCCTCTGTCGCCCAGGCTGCAGTGCAATGGCACAATCTATCTCAGGTTATTGCAACCTCTGACTCCCGGGTTCAAGCGATTCTCCTGCCTCAGCCTCTTGAATAGCTGGGACTACAGGCATATGTCACCATGCCCAGCTAATTTTTGTATTTTGGGTACAGATGGGGTTTCACCATGTTGGCCTAACTGGTCTCTAACTCCTGACTTCTGTGATCCGCCCACCTTGGCCTCCTAAAGTGCTGGGATTAAAGGTGTGAGCCATGGTGTCCAAACAAAAATAGAAAGCCTTGTGGGTTTAGGCCGGGCAGCAGCTCACGCCTAAGGGTGTAATCCCAGGGCTGTGGGAGGCCAAGTTGGGAAGACTGCTTGAAGCCAGGAATTTGAAACCACCCTGGGCAACATAGTGAGACCCCATATCTACAAAAAAAATGACAATTGCTGGCGAAGTGGCAAGCACCTGCTGAAGTATCACTTGAACACAGGAGTTCTAGGCTGCAGTGAGTGAACTACAGTTGCGACTGTATTCCAGCCTGGGTGACAGGGCAAGACCCTGTCTCCAAAAAAAAAAGAAAGAAAGAAAAAGAAAAGAAAAAAAGAAAGCTTTGAGGGCTTGGTTTTGGGGGGGGCGGGGAACAGCCTGGGGCAAGAATCATATCTTGGTATTCCCAATACCTGGCGCAGTGCCCAATACGGCACACCATAATCACTGGCGGCCTATACGTATTCAAAATCTAGAATACATTTGTGACCATTTTATAAAATTAAGCTTATTGCTTTTAATAGTTCATTCATGAAAGAAATACATGAGTAACTCCCACATGCCAGGTATTGAGTTAATGACAGAGAAACGACCAAAATCGGCATAATCCCTACATTCATGTAGCTGATATTTTACTGGCGCTGAAAGACCAAAATAATCAATACGCAAAAGAATGACCAATTATCACAAATGTTAAGAAGAAAATAACAAAATAAGGAACACTGACAAGATAGCTTAGTTAGAATAGACCTTTCTGAAGGGATGACTTTTTTTTTTTTTTTTTTTTTTTTTTGAGACAGAGTCTTGCTCTGTCGCCCAGGCTGGAATGCAGTGGCGCGATCTCGGCTCACTGCAAGCTCCGCCTCCCAGGTTCACGCCATTCTTGCGCCTCAGCCTCCCGAGTAGCTGGGACTACAGGTGCCCACCACCATGCCCGGCTAATTTTTTGTATTTTTTTTAGTAGAGACGGGGTTTCACCATGTTGGCCAGGATGGTTTCGATATCCTGACTTCGTGATCCACCCGCCTCGGCCTCCCAAAGGGGGATGACATTTTTAAGCTGACTGAAAAACATGAATGTTTAAACGAGGTCAGGGAGAAAACCAGAGATAGGATAGAATTTCTAAGCTCATCAAAAAAAAGGATAGAAGAAAAAAGTCTTGCAGCTTGCAAGAGTTAAAAGCTATCATTGGAAGCATGGAGCAAGATGGAAATACAGATAATCGCCCACACAGAACATCAAATTTGACAACTATCTACACAAAAAAAGCACCTTCATAAGAACCAAAAATCAAGTGAGCAATCACAGTACCTGGTATTCACTTCATATTGCTAAAAGAGGCACTTTGAGGTAGGAAACACAATCCTTTTTTTTTTTTTTTTTTTCAGACGGAGTCTCACTCTGTCACCCAGGCTGGAGTGCCATGCCATGATCTCGGCTCACTGCAAGCTCTGCCTCCCGGGTTCACGCCATTCTCCTGCCTCAGCCTCCCGAGTAGCTGGGACTACAGGTGCCCACCACCACGCCCGGCTAATATTTTGTATTTTTTTTTTCTTTTTTTTTTTTTGAGACGGAGTCTCGCTCTGTGGCCCAGGCTGGAGTGCAGTGGCGGGATCTCGGCTCACTGCAAGCTCCGCCTCCCGGGTTCACGCCATTCTCCTGCCTCAGCCTCCCAAGTAGCTGGGACTACAGGCGCCCGCCACTACGCCCGGCTAATTTTTTGTATTTTTAGTAGAGACGGGGTTTCACCGTTTTAGCCGGGATGGTCTCGATCTCCTGACCTCGTGATCCGCCCGCCTCGGCCTCCCAAAGTGCTGGGATTACAGGCGTGAGCCACCGCGCCCGGCCATTTTTTTGTATTTTTTAGTAGAGACGGGGTTTCACTGTGTTAGCCAGTGTGGTCTCGATCTCCTGACCTCCTGATCCGCCTGCCTTGGCCTCCCAAAGTGCTGGGATTACAGGTGTGAGCCACCACGCTCAGCCAGGAAACACAATCTTGAATCATGGACACCACCCCTCCCTCATCCCCCAGAGGCCCTGTGGTGTGGAGAAAGAATCTAAGAACCTGGGGGAAGGAGAGTGCAGTTTCTGGGAGACTGTGCATTGAACTAAGTGTTGCTCTGTCACAGTGAAAAGCAAAACCAGGTGGAACTCAGTCAATGCCACCACAGAAGGAGAATTTAGACCAGCCCTAGCTAGAAGGGAATTCCCCATCCTAGTGGTTGGAACTTAAGTTCCTGCAAATGCTCTGGAGACGATGAACATGGGGGGCACGTGACCTAGTGAGACACCAGGTGGGACAGTTAAAGGAGTGATTGCACCACCCTTCATTCAACCCCAGTCTGGGCAGCTCACATAAACGAAAGTGACTCCTTCCTTCTGCTTGAGGAAAAAAGAGGGAAGAGTAAAGAGGACTTTGTCTTGCATCCTGGATATCAGCTCAGCCACAACAGGACAGGGCAGAGTCATGAGGTCTCCGTTCCTGACCCTAGCTCCCTGACAACTTTTCTAGACGTACCCTGGGCCAGAAGGAAACCCGCTACCTTGAAGGGAAGAACACAGTCCTGGCAAGATTCATTACCTGCTGACTAAAGAGCCCTTGGGCCCTAAATAACCATCAGCAATACCCAGGTAATATGTCATGGGCCTTGGGTGAGACTCTTAGACATGCTGGCTTCCAGTGAAACCCAGCACATCTCTAGCAATGATGGCTATGATGAGAAACTTCTGCTTGAGAAAAGCAGAAGTAAAGGAGACTTTGTCTTACACCTCAGGTACCAGCTCAGCCACAGTGGGGAAGGGCAACAAATGGGCTCTTGGGGACCTGATTCCAGGCCTTGACTCTTGAACAGCATTTCTGAAACTGTCCCAGGCCAGAGGGGAACCCACTTCTCTGAAGGGTGAGTCCCAGGCCTGGCAGCATTCAGCACAAGCTGACTGAAGAGTCCTTGGGCCTTAAATGAAAATCAGCAGTAGACTGGCAGTACACCTCATGGGCCTATGGTAGTGGTGACCATGGGGAGAGGCTCCTCTGCCTGTGGAAAGAAAGAGTGAGAAGGACTTCATCTTGTGCTTTGAGTGCAAGCTTAGCTGCAGTAGTATAGAGCACAAGGTAGATTTCTAAGGTTTCTGACTCTAGTTTCTGGCTCCTAGATGGCATCTCTGGACTTGCCCGGGGCCTGGAGGAACTTGCTGACAAACTTCACACGTTCTAACTTTTTAGTGGGAGCTAAAAATTAAAGTAATTGAACTCATAGAGATAGAGAGTAGAAGGATGATTACAGAGGCTGGGAAGGGTAGTGGGCGAGGGGGGTGGAGGGGACACTACATTAATGGGTACAAAAAAATAGAATAAATAAGATCTAATATTTGATAGCATAATAGGGTGACTATAGTCAGTAATAAGTTTACATTTTAAAATAACTAAAAGAGTATAACTGGATTGTAACAAAAAGAATAAATGCTTAAGGTGATGGATACCCCATTAGCCTGATGTGATTATTATGCACTGCATGCCTGTATCAAAATATCTCATATATACCATAAATATATATACCTACTATGTACCCATAAAAATAAAAAAAAAAAGTTTTAAAAGGCTGCCACAGAATGTATCCAATAAAATCCTTACTCAAGCCGGGCGTGGTGGCTCACGCCTGTAATCCCAGCACTTTGGGAGGCTGAGGTGGGTAGATCACGAGGTCAGGGGTTCGAGACCAGCCTGACCAACATGGTGAAACCCCGTCTCCACTAAAAATACAAAAATTAGCTGAGCATGGTGGTGGGCACCTGTAATCCCAGCTGCTTAGGAGGCTGAGGCAGGAGAATGGCTTGAACCCGGGAGGCAGAGGTTGCAGTGAGCCGAGATCGCGCCACTGCACTCCAGCCTGGGTGACAAAGCGAGACTCTGTCTCAAAAAAAAAAAAAAAAAAAAATCCTTACTCAATATGGAAGACCGTTCAGAGCTACTAAAATCAGAATATTATAGGACAGGTCTCAAAATCTGCATTTTTACCATTCTTCAATAAAGGAAACCAGAATTTCCCAGACATACTGTTGATTCCATGGCTGGGCCGAAAAAATACTAAAGGAGCATAATGTATCTTATGATGTCAGAAAGTTACAGAAGCATCAAAAGAAAGAGTGGCAAGGTATGGTGGCTCATGCCAATAATCCCAGCACTTTGAGAGGCTGAGACAGGTGGATCACTTGAGCCCAGGAGTTTGAGACCAGTAGTTCTAGACCAGCCTGGGCAACAATGGGAGACCCTGTCTCTACAAAAGATACAAAAATTTGCTGGGTGTGGTGGCAGGCACCTGTAGTCCCAGCTCCTCAGGAGGCTGACGTGGGAGAACCACCTGAGCCTGGGAAATTTAGCTGCAGTGAGTATTATTGTGCACTGCCCTCCAGCCTGGAGGACTCAGTGAGACCCTGTTTAAAAAAAAAAAAAAAAAGTGCATGTCTAAAGGACACAGGAGCTTGAAGGAGCTCCTAACAGACAAAGCTGGAACAATCTTAATAAAATTGATAAAATAGTATTGGACTGTGGCCCACAGAAGGAAAAAAAATCTTTATTGCAGAAGAATTCAAATTAATGCATATAAAAGAGAGAAAGAATGATTAGGCAAATACCACAACAATAATTGTTGCAAGCCAAGAACCACCACTGGATGCTAAAACAGGATTATTTACATAGTCTCAAAGTATTTCCCCCACAAGACAGTTATTAATTACAAAGGGAATAACAGTAATTTTACAATGAAGAAACCAAGAAGACATCATCTTAACTAAGTCAAGATTACAACACAAGTAAAAAAGGCAAAGCAACATCATCTATTCCCTGATAGGATATGCTGAGAAAGGTACAGCATCACTTCTGGATTATTGTTAGCAAATGCATAACGTCACCACATCATGAGAAAACATCAGACTTACCCAAATTGAGGGATATTCTACAAAATATCTGGCACCTACACTTCAAAAGCATCAAGGTCATGGAAAACAAGAAAAAAGAGGAAGCGGCCGGGCACAGTGGCTCACACCTGTAATCCCAGCACTTTGGGAGGCCGGGGCGGGTGGATCACGAGGTCAGGAGCTCGAGACCAGCCTGGCCAACATAGTGAAACCTTGTCTCTACTAAAAATACAAAAAATTAGCCGGGCATGGTGGCGGGTGACTGTAATCCCAGCTACTCAGGAGGCTGAGGCAGGAGAATAGCTTGAACCTGGGAGGTGGAGGTTGCAGTGAGCCGAGATCATGCCATTGCACTCCAGCCCGGGCAACAGTGCGAGACTTCGTCTCAAAAAAAAAAAAAAAAGAAAAAAGAGGAACCATCACAGATTAGAAGGGACTAAGAAGCCATGACAACACAATGTGAGATCACAGACTGAACCCTGGAGCAGAAAAGTACATCAGTGGGAAAACTGGCAAAATTCAGACAAGATCTGCAGATTAGTTACTGGTATAGCAATGCTAATTTTCTGGCTTTGATAATTTTATTATGGTTATATGATACGTTAACATTAGGGGAAGACGGGAGAGGACCAAACGAAGACTTCTATTTTTGCAATTTTTCTGGCAATCTAAAGTTATTTCCAAACAAAACTTTAAAAAACTGAAAACAGTAACAACTTTTAAAAATCATTTTACTATTTAAAAATATCCTGTATTTTTAACAGGTTTTAGGGATTCTTATGCACACTGCAGTCTGAAAACTACTAACTTAAAGAAACTCCTGGGCTGGGCATAGTAGCTCACGCCTGAAATCCCAGCACTTTGGGAGGCTGAGGCCGGCAGATCACCTGAGGTCAGGAGTTGGAGACCAGCTGGCCAACATGGTGAAACCCCGTGTCTACTAAAAATACAAAAATTAGCCAGGCGTGGTGATGGACGCCTGTAATCCCAGCTACTCGGGAGGGTGAGGCAAGAGAATCGCTTGAATCCAGGAGGCGGAGGTTGCAGTGAGCCAAGGTCATGCCATTCCACTCCAGCCTGGGTAACAAGAGCAAAACTCCGTCAAAAAAAAAAAAAAGAGAAAGAAAGAAAGGAAAGGAGAGGAAAGGAGGGGAACGTAAGGTAAGGGGAAGGGAACAGGGAGGAGGAAGGGGAGGGGAGGGGGAGGAGAACAGAGGAGAAAGGGGAGGGGAGGGGAGGGGAGGGGAGTCCTGCAACCACTGAAAAAAAGCTAGGCAGGTTGTAGGAAATGTTGTAGTTCTCATGTTAAACTAGATAAATACCAAAATGGAAAACTGATCTGGCCCCATATAAAAGTTCTTATTATTTGGATTATTCATTTATGTTTTTTGTTTTTTGCTTTCTTTTTTTTTTTTTTTTTTTTTGAGACGGAGCCTCGCTCTGTCGCCCAGGCTGGAGTGCAGTGGCTAGATCTTGGCTCATTGCAAGCTCCGCCTCCCGAGTTCACGCCATTCTCCTGCCTCAGCCTCCTGAGTAGCTGGGACTACAGGTGCCCACCACCACGCCCGGTTAATTTTTTGTATTTTTGGTAGACACCGGGTTTCACCGTGTTAACCAGGATGGTCTGGATCTCCTGACCTTGTGATCCGCCCACCTTGGCCTCCCAGAGTGCTGGGATTACGGGTCTTGCTCTGTCACCAAGGCTGCAGCACAGTGGCAATCATAGCTAACTGCAGCCTCCATCTCCTAAGCTCAAGCAATCTTCCTGACTCAGCCTCTGGAGTAGCTGGGACTACAGATGTGTGCCACCATGCTCACTATTTTTTTAATTTTTTGTAGAGATAGGTCTCACCATGTTGCCCAGGCTGGTCTGGAATTCCTGGCCTCAAGTGATCCTCCCATCTCCACCTCCCAAAGCACTAGGATTACAGGTATGACTCACTGCACCTGGCCAAAAGCTTTATTTTCTTAACTGTAATAAATGGAAAAACATTTTACTTACCTTTATATCACTACCTGGTGTGGCACTTAGAGCCAAGATTCTAAAGTGATTTGTATATTTGACTAGTTCTCTTACAACCTTAAGAAAAAAAAAGTTCTTTAGTTTCATCTGTTCAATGCAAAAATAACAGTGGTTCTGTTAAACAACCTATTATACATGGTCCCTTATCATTATTCCTTCATCAGTATATTGATGGTCTAGTGAGTGAACTACCACCAGTTATATTATCTGAAGAGCAAATGATTTAGGTTTATTCTCTATGCTGATCAAGAACACAGTAGGGCTTCTTCTACAGAAAAAACTGCAACATCAAAATACTCAAAGGGCAAATCAAAATACTCAAAGGTGCTGGGCACAGTGGCTCACGCTTGTAATCTCAACACTTTTGGGAGGCCAAGGTGGGTGGTTCACTTTAGCTCAAGAGTTCAAGACCAGCCTGGGCAACATGGTGAAACCTGGTCTCTACAAAAGAAAAAAAAAAACTCAAAAGGACTGCTTTAAGGTCAAATGGAAGAGGAAGAAAGTTCAGTTTCCATTGTCTGGGCCACAGTTCAGCCTTACGGCTATACCCATATGCACACTTGACAGATTAAGAGAAATCTTAACAGATAAAACTGCACAGAATTTTAAATAGCAATACGAAATTATATTTGAAATTTTGGGAAAGATTTTTTTTTAAGTTACATTTTATGTGGAAAGCTCACAAAAAATTTTTTTTTTAGAAACAGGGTCTTACTCTGTCACCCAGGCTGGAGCACAGTGATGCCATCCATCATAGCTCACTGTAGCCTCAACCTCTGGGGCTCAAGTGATCCTCCTGCCTTGGCCTCCCAAGCAGCTGGGGCTACAGGTATGCGCCAGCATACCTGTAATGTAGTGAAAGCTAATTTTTTCACTTTCTGTAGAGGCAGAGTCACCCTGCCCAGGCCAGTCTTGAACTCCTGGCCTCAAGTGATCCCTGGCATTGGCCTTCCAAAGTGCTGGAATTACAGGTTCAAGCCACTGCGCCCAGCTCACAATATATAAATTAAGTGTATTCATTAAAAAATATAGTCATTTGAGGTAATCTTTAAAATCTAAATTTCCTTTTAAATCCTAAAACATTTCCTCGGTAGCACCAAACCACCATCTGCACTTTCTGGTTTGAACTCGACACCCATTCTAGTATGATTAATACTGGGATAATTTGCCAGATTCCCATATACCACTTCATTTCCCAATACAGAGGAAAATGCACTTCCAAGTAGACTGATTTGCAGGAACAGCTCTCAGTATACCATAGTTCCCAAATTAAACACAGGATTAAACAATAAAACCAGATTATCCAAAAATCACTCCAATTTCAACCCAAGACAAAAACAAATCCAATGAGACTAACACTGAATCTTGATTAATACTGAAAAAATATTTATCGAGCTTTTAAAAATATGGTACAGATTGCATATGAAGACATAACATTATACTTATTATTCTTCAGAAACAAGTAAAATTATAATTAAAAACTGATGCAAGATAAAATATCCCTAGTGACCATTTTCAGTTTAGCTTAATGCTAGAAGTGATGGTCCTTACATATAATAGAAGGATTTTTGAAAAGTCATGAGTGCAGTAAGGAAGACAAAAAGATTGCTTACTGGATTGATGCTTTTAAAAATGTTTTGTATGATAGCCAAAATTCAAAGTGTTCTTTCAGATTGTGAGGCAGTTTTGAGTGAAATCATTTTGTTGTTATATGGCACATGTATCAATATGCCTTCCAGAACTATTACATATGAAAAGTAAGCCAAATACATTACTTCTTTTCACGAAGAATTCTCAAGCATCTTGTAGAAGAGGAAATGGTGGTGTGTGCCTCATGGAGCAGGTGTACCTATTGGAATGTATATCTGGAATATTCAATGCGGTGTAAGCTGTCAGGGCTGTCTGGTTATTAATGAAGTCAATGCATGTTTCATTATATTCATAAAGCCTTGCTGTTAAAAAAAAATCTAATGCCTAGAAATGTTTTGAAAATAAAATAATTACCAGCTAAATCTTCAAAACGTATTCCATACAGTTTGAATTTTAAAAAATTTTTAAGTGTTTTATTATTTCATTTCATTTTTGTAGACACAGGGTCTCACTATGTTGCCCAAGCTGATCTCAAACTCCTGGCCTCAAGCTAAAATTTTTTAAATGCCCCTCTCAGATGGAAATTTTTAACATGCTATGTATTAATTTAATTTGGAATGATATCAATAAGTGGAAAAATATATTATATTCATTTCCTGAATATAATTAGGAAGATCAATTATTAAAAAAGATGACAATTATCCCTAATACAGAGATATAATACAATAACGTTTACAGTCCCCAAAGAAATGACTATACAAATTCAAAAACTGGCAGAGAAATTCATGTCTTTGCCCTAAATGAAATTAACTTTCCCTACCTTTCCCTCTTTTATTCTTGCTCTATAATCTCCTCCTATCATCACCAACTACTATAGTTTTAACTACCATCTATATGTTTATAATTTCCAAATCTGTATCTCTATCTACCTCAGAACTCTCCAGCAAGATCCATACTTCTATCAAGTATCGCCTAATGAATATCTACAGCTGAATTCCTCATAGACACCTCAAACTCAACACATCTAAATCATCTTTCCACGTTCCCCCTAAACCTGCTCTCCACCCAGAACTCACAATCTTCACAGTTTTCCAAGTCAGAAATCTGGAAGTCATCCTACATCCCTTCTACCCCTCATTAGATACTCTGTCTTTAGCCTTCTTCTCTCTAATCTCTTTCAAATCTTAAGTGTTATCCCAGCCAAACATTTTTTAATGAGTCCCCACCACCTTTATCCCCTATGGCCTACAAAGGCTTTCAAACTATTAAGCATAAAATATTAATGACCTGGACCTTGAGTAGAAGAGGCAAAATCCCCCTTAGGAGAAGAGGGAAACAGAAAGTCAACTTCATTCAGTGCAAAGATATGAATGATGTTTGCAACCACATCCCACTACTTCATCTTATTTTATATTCCTGGAGTACTCAACTGGAAGGCACTGTGTTAGGTATGTGGCATACATTATGTCATTATTTTACCTAGCCGCCAAGAAGAGACACCGCATATCCACTACCAATCTTTATTAATTTCAAAACTCCTTTCATACCCTATTTTAGATCACTGTCCCAACCATGACTAGGCTCTCATGATCTACATCTGACACTAATTATCTGGTTAGTCTTAAAATAGAAGAAAAGAAAAAGAAAACAACAATAACAGCAAAAGGCAGTGAAGACACTGATTTGAATGGATGACAGAAAGTACAGATATTCTTTATCACCATCTGTTCTGAGATAATAGACGTAAAGGCTTTTTATAATAATATTGTCAATAACTTCCATCACTAGTAACTATTCGCCAAAATTCTCTTTAACAGTACAGTTACAATACAAAATACCGTTTAACAAAATTATTACCTGGCAATAAGCATAGTTTCCGAGAGCTTTATGAGCTTCATCAATAACTAAACACTTTATTTCAGCAGCGGGACAAGCTCCTCTAGAAAGGTCATTTACCATGACCTGAGGTGTAAGAAAAAGCACTCTCTTACTGCACCATATTTCCTTCCTGGTGGA
Organism: Homo sapiens; assembly: GCF_000001405.40. Classification (NCBI taxonomy): domain Eukaryota; kingdom Metazoa; phylum Chordata; class Mammalia; order Primates; family Hominidae; genus Homo; species Homo sapiens. The sequence goes on along the minus strand of NC_000014.9, from coordinate 45,137,082 downwards.
AGCTTGTGTAGACCCTGAAAATAAAAGTGACATTCTACATTCTAAACTTCAGACTGTTATCTATAAAATATAAATAGTCTGGCTTTTTCAGAATGCAAACATGCTTTGGTAACATTAAGAGAAAAACAATTTGACAATTCATCGGAATGCTACATTTTAAAGTTCTGGTGTGGTCCAAATATCAAAGCTGGCACTTATCTAGGACTACAACCAAATTGTCTTTAGAAAATTCCTACAAAATGGCATATTTGAAGAGAGGCAAATTCTTCAACTGAGAAATCTTTTTCAGGAAGAATGCCAGGAAATATCATGTTCAGTTACCCATGGGGTATACGCACATAATAGCTTCAAAATACTATGACAAGCTGCAGATATTCTCTGAAGATTGAATAAAGCAACCCTATTCATCAGTTTTGGGCTTGCTGCAAGTAGAGAATGTTTTAAGAGGGAGGGCGTAAGATGCACATGTTGTAGCTTGGGAACTATTCCACATGGGTCAGGAATTCCCAGCTCTTACTTCAAAATTAGTCCAGTCTAAGATACCTGTCATTTCGGCCATGTGGGATTGCGGGATACCCATCACCTGGTAGCAAGCCTCGATCTGCTGTGTCACCAAGGGTTTCGTTGGGGCCATGAAGACCACCTTTCCTGAAGGGAACCAGCGGTAGAAATTGTACATGACCACGGCGGCAATAAAGGTCTTTCCCAGTCCGGTAGGCAGACACACCAGCGTATTGCAAAACAGAGCAGCCCGGGAAATGTGCAGCTGGTAGTCCCGCACTGGGCAATTGGTAGGGTAAATCCACAGGGCGCCCGCGGAGGTGCAGAACCCGCCATTCTCTAGACACAACTGCCGCTCAGCCTCGTACGCCGCGACAAGCAACACATCATCGTCCGACTCCAGCTGAGCCTCCGCTGCTGCTGGCAAAGGCGCCTTGGAGCTGCCAGGGCTCTGAGGTCGCTCAGTTCCGGAGCTGCAACCCGGAGTCCCAGATGATCGGGAGATACTTGAGCCCCACGTCTGAAAAAGCGTTCTTTGCCGTCCGCTCATTAGGCCGACAACCACCGAAGGCTTCTGTCAGATATCCGTAGCAGCAGCAGCTCAACCGCTACGGTTCCGATCCCCATCGGTTTCCTTCGCACAAAACTCTGGAACGAGAAGGCGGGACTAAGGCCAGTTTATCCAGTTGAAAATGCCGCTACTGAGTTTCCGTTGGGAATGATTGGCTGGCTTCCCGGAAACCTTCACAGCCCTGCCGGAGACTCATGCGCATTATTAAGGCGTTACTCTAAATATGGTCCCCGGTGCGGTTCCGGTGTTTTGTTTTAACAAACTCTAAATTTAAGTTCCGTTTCCAATGATTAGATGGCTGGGCGTCATTGCTAACGTGATAAATCACTTAAAATGTTATAATAGAGATTTATTGTAAAATATTACATACCCGGGGACAATGGAATAGCCACCAGTTTGGGAACTTAATGTTATTGAGCGTCTAACGTGCCTCATTCCTTGTACTTTTAAATCAGAATATAAAGTGAAAAGCAAAAATGTGTAGATGGAATAATTTGTCTTATATCTCTATCTGGGCTGAGAAAACAAAATGCCAAGTCTCTTTTTCACCGCGCTGGGAGTGGCAACCCATTATTTTAATATTTTCATTGTTTAAAGGGAAGTGAACGTGGTCTGGTCCAGCTATTCGTCAGAATTTTTTTTTTTAATGCTCCTTGCAAAGCAGAGCTAACTCATAGGCAACATGCCCAGAGTCAGCCTACATTTTTTTAAGTAAGGAGTCCTGATGTTCAACTATTAAATCTTTATTATAGGTAAGAGCATTATAATAAACGTCGGTGTGCAATTATTCCACTCTAACGAAGATTTCTGTCTCAAATAATTCCTGACTTCTCTCTAAACCTGACTTTGAGTAACCTCTGTAAATTTGTTTCCTCGTGTACTGAGAAAAAAATATACATCACAGAGTTACGAGCATTAATAATGTCATTCTCATCAGCAAGTGGCATCCTGAGTGCGGCTTCTTTATAAATTGTTTTATTTGTTAAAGTTTCTGAACTTCGTTTTGGACAAACTTTCTCGTATTTGTATGGGGGGAAGGGGATGGGCAGTTTGTATTTAAGTTTCGGTTGTGTGATCTTTAAAAGGGAAATGGTGGGATATGGGTTTTCGGATCGACAAGGACTGAAGCACTTCAGGTGTGACTTTTTAGGCTAGAACTAGATAAAACGAGATAAGGAGCCTGAATGCTGTTTTCTTTTAACAGGTTATAGACTGGACTTTAAAGGCATAGCTGCCTTAAATGTGGGTAATGGTTGATAAATGTCGCTACCATCAGAGGTCGCTTCACAAGGTGTCTAATTCAGAATCGAAGATCTCTAGCGGTCTTCTACTCAGTCGACTGCAGAGACGACCGCGGTAGGTTTTTCAACCCGGACTCAACAAAGAAGCCCTCATAGCACAGCCTTGACGTCACTCAAAGACAGGCCCCAATCCCGACTGCTAGAGCAGAGGCCCGCCCCTCGACCTCCGTGAGTGGCCCCGCCCCGCCCTAGGGGGCGGGGCGATGCCGAACTGCGGCGGGCTGGCTCAGTAAAGCGGAGGCAGCGGGGGAAGATGGCGGCGGCCGTTCCACAGCGGGCGTGGACCGTGGAGCAGCTGCGCAGTGAGCAGCTGCCCAAGAAGGACATTATCAAGTTTCTGCAGGAACACGGTTCAGATTCGGTACCAGAGGCGTAGGGGCGGCCGGGCTGGTGCGGCTGAGGGACGCCTCACCCCCCTGGAGATGCCCATACATTCCGTATTCCTCTGTGCCCCCGCCCTCGTCTTCCCGCGGCCGGTGGCCTGGAAGGCCGGAGAGGCCCAGCTTGTGCTTTGGTGCCTCGCTCCCGCCTCTCGGGCGTTCTCTACTGGGGCAGGGGAGCAGCTTTATTTCTTGGGGCACACAGGCTGCAATTGTAGAGTTAGAACCTCATTGGGATCCTTGAGTGGGGGTGGAGGCCAGAAAAATAGGAACCCGAGGATATTGGGGGCTAGGGCGGAGAGGCCGAGGAATAGTGGTGTGGATGAGACTCCTGGGAGCGGGGCGCCGGCTACTAGGGAAATGGGAAGGGATGTGAAGATTTCTGTGGGAACGGTGTATCCAACTTGCTTTTCTCAACAGTTTACTAAATACTGAACATTAATGCGTGTGATTTTTAAAAAATCCGTAGGTTGTGGTTTAAGTTTTGATTTAACATATCGACCCTTTAAATGACCTTTTCACCTTTATACTTTAAGGGAGCTACATGCACATTTCTCTTGTGCAGTGGTCTGTCATTGTTATAAACAGACTAAGAAATTTATTTGAAATGCTTTATACTGTAGGCTCTCCATTTGTCAGCATAGTCTCCATCTTAACCATCCGTCTATAGTCAAGTTATTTTTGTTACACTTGTTTTTCCTTTGGAAAATAAGTTCATTCATGCACCTGTTAAATTGCTGAAATAGTTGTGCACGCAGCATTCTCTTACAAGCGGCAGCCTGCTTGTGTTTTCTATACAATTTTTAAAATTCTAAACTTTTCATTTAGAAAAACTGTTTCTGGGTTTTTTTGTTTGTTTGTTTGAGACGGAGTCTCTCTCTGTTGCCCAGGCTGGAGTGCAGTGGCGCGATCTCGGCTCACTGCAACCTCCGCCTCCCGGGTTCAAACGATTCTCCTGCCTCTGCCTCTCGAGTAGCTAGGACTACAGGCGCGTGCCACCACGCCAGGTTAATTTTTTGTATTTTTAATAGAGACGGGATTTCACCGTGTTAGTCAGGATGGTCTCGATCTCCTGACCTCGTGATCCGCCCGCCTCGGCCTCCCAAAGTGCTGGGATTACAGGCGTGAGCCACTATTTCTGGGTTATTTTGAGAAGCTTATATTTTATTTTCATTTTGGGCGGGCGTCATGACAGGGAGATAGAAGAACTCTCCAACTTCCAGTGCCTTCTTCCTTAATTATTATCCTGGCATCCGCATCTTAGATTAATTTAGCAGATATTAATACAACATCTGTAACAAGAACTATTCTCAGTGTTTGGAGGTACAAGGGTGAAAAAGAACATGTGTCGGGGATCTTACCCCATTTTAATGGAACTATTTTCTCTTAAGCCAATTCGTATTTCATCTGAAACAATAGAATAGACATCATTAACATTTAATAATACCTCAGTCATGTACTTCATCCATCATATTCTTATGAAACAAATCATGCCATGTGGAATCGTATGTAAAACTGGGCCACGTGGAAGAATTTCAACAGACTTGGATTATCAAAATGTTTTTATAACATTAATCTTTTAAATGCATAGTCTCGGTCGGTCGTGGTGGCTCATTCCTGTAATCCTAGCACTTTCGGAGGCCAAAGCGGGCGGATCACGAGGTCAGGAGATCGAGACCATCCTGACTAACAGTTGAGGCCAGGCATTGAGGACCAGCCTGGCCAACGTAGCGAAACCTCATTTCTACTAAAAATACAAAAAAAATTAGCTGGGCCTGGTGGTGGGCGCCTCTAATCCCAGCTGTTCGGGAGGCTGAGGCAGGAGAATCGTTTCAACCCAAGAGGGGGAGGTTGCAGTGGGCCGAGATTGGGCCACTGCACTCCAGCCTGGGCGACAGAGCTAGACTCTGTCTCAAAAATTAATAATAATAATCTCCGGTGATCATTAACACTTAGACCTATACTTGACAATAATTATTTTATTAATCATAAGATATCAAAGAGATGTTTATGCTTTTATGCTTTGGGTATTTTCTGGAATCTTTAACAAGAAACCACCAGCATGCTAAAGGTAACTGATTACTTCCGTTTAGTCAACTTTGTCTCCTTTCCCCATCAGCTGTTATTTAGAACATATCTTTGAAAGAAAAAGCAAAAGAAAAAAATACAATAGTGATAGTGTTAGCTGTTAACTGCTAATAATGTTAACTGCTTTATCAAAAGCTTAGAAGATGCCAAAGGACAACTTTGAGAATGTAACAAAATTAGGAATTAAGCAAGGACCACAAGGCAGAAAAAGAAGCAGAATAAAATAAGGAAACAAAGAAGTTATGGAAATCCTCACAATTACGTGATTTTCAGATAAAGTTATACTACGACTTGCTATTTCAGCAGTAGTATTTTAGTGTCCATCTGCCATCTTAGCAGTCTTATATTTGAAAGAAAAGCAATTCCGCTGTTACCTTGAGTTATTAAATACAGTATTAATCATAATCCCAATATTTATTAAGTTCTTACTGTGTGACAGGCTCTATGCTAAATGCATTAAATGGATTTTTGCATTTTATCCTTATATCAACTCTTTGACGTAGACGCTGTTATTAATCTTCCACTACAGATATGGAGGCTGAGTCTTTAGACAAGCTTAGTCCCCTGTCTAGTGTCAGACAGCTAGGATTTTTTTTTTTTTTTTTTTTTTTTTGAGACAGAGTCTTGCTCTGTCACCTAGGCTGGAATGCAGTGGTGCGATCTCGGCTCACTGCAACCTCCACCTCCCAGGTTCACGCCATTCTCCTGCTTCAGCCTCCCGAGCTGGGACTACAGGCATGCGCCACCATGGCCAGCTAAATTTTGTATTTTTAGTAGAGATGGGGTTTTGTCACGTTGGCCAGGCTGGTCTCAAACTCCTGACCTCAGGTGATCCGCCTGCCTCAGCCTCCCAAAATGCTGAGATTACAGGCATGAGCCACCGCGCCCGGCCCACACAGCTAGGATTTTAACCTAGATAATATGACTCCACAGCCCATATACTTAGCAATTATATATATAATGTTAAGCATAGCAATCTCAACATATGTATGTTACATGCTTGTGTAACAGTGACTCTTCCTAGTCGGCTAAGAATGGGTTACAAATGCCTCAGGATAGCTATGTCCAACCTGGCTGGAGGCTCTCAAGGGCTGCACCCAAGTATCCTCCTGCAGTGAGCAGCTGACTCAAGTCACCACAGTGTGCTTGCTGTATAAATGTTATTTTTTGTGAGTGTTGACAGGAAAAAGTTTAGGATGAAACACTGTGTTCAGTACATAACACTACAGTTGCAGTCTTGTCACTAATTCTTGTAAATACCGAATTTTTAAAAAATCTCTTACTTTTTTTGTAACAAAGAGTATAAACTATAGGCTTTATTTCTTCTTCAGTACTAGTACTACTGAAAACACAACTGCTAACATAAAAGGATCGTTTTCTAATTTTAGACACTTCTTACTCGGGAGAAGTTATCTTGATTACCCAGCTTTTTTCCTTATAGTTTCTTGCAGAACATAAATTATTAGGAAACATTAAAAATGTGGCCAAGACAGCTAACAAGGACCACTTGGTTACAGCCTATAACCATCTTTTTGAAACTAAGGTGAGTATTGTTAGATTCTGTTAGCAGAACATCACTTTTGAAATTTTATTTCCAAAAAAGATGTTTAAAATGCATTGATTTGTTGAATGTGTTGGAGCTTTTCCACCTGTAATTTTTCTGAACTGTTATCATAAGTGGACTAGCTGTCAAATCTAGCAAGGCTAATCTGCAGTATGGCAGAATGTTTCAGTATTTTCAAAGGGTCTGGATTTTGTAGCTTAAATTGAGACAACAAATTCTTAAGTCCACTGAAGTTATAAATTCATTAGGTCAGTGGTATTACCGTATTACTTTAGCATATGGTGTATATTAAATGTATTTTGTTGTTGTTTTATTATATATGTTAAATGTTATATTGAAAATAAGTTTCCATTTCACTAATGAATTTAAAGTCTGGTTTAGATTTAGGCTGAGCTTTACAAAAATACATTTTAAGACATTCTCCCACATTTGTTTACTATGAAATGAATATCTTCCACAGGAAAGAAATCTTTATTTAGGAGTTATTTGAATAGTGCTTATATCTCTGGGTATGAGTTGGCCTTTCTAAGGTCATGGTTCTCATTTCAGAATTTATATTGTAAGCTGGTTTGAGGGTAATCATTTATTGTTTAAAAATAAATTATGAGCAAAATTCTTTCTTTGCTCTTCGTTTCCTTAGACCATTTATTCACAATTGTGTTATACAACCTATATTTATTATGCAGATGTTCATTTAATTGAGAGGCTGAAAATCTTGATGTTGCTTCTTGGTTTTAGCCTGTCCTGGGTATGATGTTACAACATTTTCCTTACAGCGTTTTAAGGGTACTGAAAGTATAAGTAAAGTGTCTGAGCAAGTAAAAAATGTGAAGCTTAATGAAGATAAACCCAAAGAAACCAAGTCTGAAGAGACCCTGGATGAGGTCTGTATATAATTATTTTTTTATTTTATCATGTGGAGTCTAGAAATTGTATTTATTTCTTTATTATTTGCACTAACTTCTCATAGTGAAGGGTGGTTGAATACGACCACTTTCAATGAGCCAAACACTTAATGTAGTGGGCCATTTCCCTTAGGTGTACTGGGACAGAAATAATCCTAAGAACTAGTGCTTTACAGTTATTAGCCTATTCTGTGAAACACTTCTGATATTGTATTTAATATCGCCTCCACATCTGTCCAGACCTTCTGAGCTTTCAAAGCTATTTTAAGGCCTTGATTCTATAGCCAAGTTGGACTAAGTGAAATACATTTTCTTTTGATTATTTTTAGCTTTTTCTAATGTACATGGTGTCCCTGGCAATAGAAATAATCCAGGCTTGGCTGCAGGATGTGGGTTCATCTGTCTCAGTTTTCCCAACTCAGGTTTTATACTTTGGTACAAAGGTTTGAAGAACCAGATTAATTCATTCCTGCAAATTGACAGCCTTAGTAGAGCTAAGATCAGCTACTAAGAACTGACTTAGCAGAGCTGAATTGATTATAATCTTGTCATTTCTGATAATACCTTACTATCTAAGCTCACTCATTGCCAGCAGTCTTAGTATCAGTGATAATAATCTATTTTTAGTTCTTGTAAAGAGGTGAGGCTATTGATGACAGTGTAGCTTTTGGGTATTTGTGGAAAGTGTAAGTTCAGTTATACAATTATAGATGTTTATTTGATTAAAGCTAGTTAATTTTGCATGATCTTTTCCTATTGGCTAAAAAGCACAAATTAATGTTTATAGGTATATGTGCACACAAAGCAGTTTTAAAGTTTATCACAATTAATATTTAATAAATGTTATATCTATTGAGTAGCTACTAAGGTAAATGGAGCAATTATTATTGAAGGGTTTCAGAAGCAACTGGCAACATAGTTCACCCTCCAGGAAATTAGAATGAGGATGGTTTTAGGAGACAGATAATATTTCATTAAGGAGTTAAGAAAATAAAAGGTAAATTCATAAGAGCTAGAGACAATCTAGAGCAAGCTTATGAGGGTCCTAAACTCTATCATTTTATTTAAAACCTCTTCGTTTAACTGGCCAGCTTGAGCCCATTTATGTACTGTGACTGTTTTCCTAGCGTCCTACATTCAAAAGCCTCTTGTCCATTTCCTTGCTAACCCTCGTTGTCTACTCTCTGTCTTCATGCTTTGGGACTGGAGAGCAGGCATTATAAACATATAATCATAAAACCTTTTATTGAGCCTGGTATAAATTCATGCTTAATATTAGCCAAGCATGTTTTCTAGTTTCATTGCTACTCAACAACATTTATACTATCCTTTGCCCAGTTCTCCATCACATTGCTCATTGCTCACATAAAGTATTTGACATTTTCTCACAAATTCTCAGTCCCTTCTTACTCCTTTCTCTTTTTTTGTTTTTGTTTTTGTCTTTGAGACAAAGTCTCACCCAGGCTGGAGTGCAGTGGTGCCATCTTGGTTCACAGCAACCTCCCCCTCCTGGGTTCAAGTGATTCTCCTGCCTCAGCCTCCCCAGTAGCTGGGACTCCAGGCAGGCGCCACCATGCCCAGCTGATTTTTGTATTTTTAATAGAGACGCAGTTTCTCCATGTTGGCTGGGCTGGTCTTGAACTCCTGACCTCAAGTTATCCGCCCACCTAGGCCTTCCAAAGTGTTGGGATTACAGGCGTGAGCCACTGCCCCTGGACTCCCTTCTCATTATATGCTCCTGTGTTCTGTAGTGCCAAAATGTGAATGTCTAGCCATTGCCATTCCCTTCTTCTGAGCTTAAAATTTCTCTGAATCTTTGCGTCCCTTTTTCTTTCTCATGTCTCCTTCAGGACTAATGCTCTCAAACATCTTCCTTTTATTTTAAACGTTCATTCCTTTTCCATTTTCAAGCATTCGAAGCAAGGCCTCATACCCAGAATGTTAAAAACGTTGTTCATTTCTTGCCTCCCTTCTCTTTCTTTATCCAGTCAGCAACAAAATGGGTATTCTAATAAGATTTCTAAAACAATACTTTGCAAACCACACCCTGCTGAAAAATCTTCAGTAATTGAGTGTTGTCTAGAATTGCCCCGTTCAGTATGGTAGTTACTAACAATATGTGGCTACAGAGTGCTTTAGCTACTTTGAACTGAAATGTGCTTTAAGAATAAAATATATACTCAGTTTCAAAGGTGTAATTTAGACGTTTCTTTTTTAAAAAAGAATGTAAAATATCTCAGTATTTTTTATATTGATTACTTATTGAAATGATGGTATTTGGGATGTTTTAGTTTAAATAAGAAAATTTTTCATTTAAAAATTTTTTATTTTATTTTTTTAAGACAGGGTCGGTTGGGAGGCCAGGCATGGTGGCTCATGCCTGTAATCCCAGCACTTTGGGAGGCCGAGGCAGGCGGATCACCTGAGGTTGGGAGTTCGAGACCAGCCTGGCCAACATGGTTAAACCCTGTCTCTACTAAAAATACAAAAAATTAGCCAGATGTGGTGGTGCACACCTGTAATCCCAGCTACTCGGAAGGTTGAGGTGGGAGAATCGCCTGAACCCCAGAGGCGGAGGTTGCAGTGAGCTGAGATCGCACCATTGTACTCCAGCCTGGGCAACAAGAGTGAAACTCTGTCTCAAAAAAAAAAAAAAAGACAGGGTCAGTCAGGTACAGTGGCTGGTGCCTGTAATCCCAGCACTTTGGGAGGCCAAGAGGAGCAGATCACTTGAGGTCAGGAGTTTGAGACCAACATGGTGAAACCCCGTCTCTACTAAAAATACAAAAATTAGCTGGGCATGGTGGCATGCATCTGTAATTCCAGCCACATGGGAGACTGAGGCAGGAGAATCACTTGAACCCAGGAGGCAGAGGTTGCAGGGAGCCAAGATTGCGCCACTGCACTCCAGCCTGGGCAATAGAAGGAGACTCAGTCTCAAAAAAAAGAAAAAAAGAGACAGGGTCATGCTGTGTTGCCCAGGCTGGACTCAAACTCGTGGGCTCCAGTGATCCTCCTGCCTCAGAATACTCAGAATAACTGGGACTACAGGCATACCACTGCCTGGCATAGACATACTTCATCTCTTTCTTTTTACATTTTTAAGTGCAGCTATTAGACAACTCAAAATTACATTTGTGACTCCCATTTTTATTGGTCACCACTGGTCTTCAATATATATCCAAATTTCTTATTCTTGGCATTCAAAACTTCCAAAATGTGGCTGCTGCTAAGCTCCATATTCCATGTTTCTATAGACGTATTCTTTTTTTTTCTTTGTTTTTTGAGACGGGGTCACGCTCTGTTGCCTAGGCTGGAATGCAGTGGTGTGATCTCGGCTCACTGCAACCTCCGCCTCCCGGGTTCAAGCAGTTCTCCTGCCTTAGCCTCCTGAGTAGCTGGGATTACAGGCGCACACCACAACGCCCGGTTAATTTTTGTATTTTTAGTAGAGACAGGGTTTCACCATGTTGGTCAGGCTATTGTCGAATTCCTGACCTCGTGATCCACCCACCTCGGCCTCCCAAAGTGCTGGGATTACAGGCGTGAGCCACTGTGCCCGGCCTGTATAGACATGTTATTGGCCAGGTGCAGTGGCTCACGCCTATTATCCCAGCACTTTGGGAGGCCAAGGAAGGTGGATCACTTGAGCCCAGGAGTTCAAGACCAGCCTGGGCAACATGGCGAAACCTGTCTCTACCAAAAAAGTAGCCAGGCGTGGTGGTGTGTGCCTGTAGTCCCAACTACTCAGGAGGCTGAGCAGGGAGGATCCTTTGAGCCTGGGAGCCAGAGATTGTAGTGAGACAAGATTGTGTGCCACTGCACTGCCTAGGTGGCAGAGTAAGACCTTGTCTCAAAAAAAAAAAAAATTTTTTTTCTTTGACCACAAATGTCTGCTCATTGTCTACTACATCATGCCCTTTCCTACCTCCATATTTTATTTCTTCCTTAGAGTGTCCTTTTACTATCCCTATTTGTCACTTCTGTGCTCCCTTTAAGACCCAGCTCCTGGGCTCATTGCTTCCTCTGGAATTTTTACCATGTGAGACTTTGCTGTATACATACACAACTGCATACATTCCTAAGCACATTTGTATTATTTATTTCTACCTTTATTTTAATATAAAGACTTGTCTAATAGCTCTTATGGGATTTTAAATCAGTCATTGTCAATATATTTATTGTCTATTATATATTAAATAGCATTGAGGAAAATTTTCATGGTATGAATGAGTATTGTACAGGAAAGAAAATATAAGTTACGACAGAAACTCACACTTAGCAATTAGAAGTCAGTATAAAAGTACTCAAACGAAAAATTTGATAACTTCATCTTTGATAACTGCTTCATATGTAGTTATTACCAACTTCTGGTGATTCTGCCTCCAAAATATATCCCAAAGCCATTCATGTTTTGTCATCCTCACTGTTAGCACCCTGGTCTAAACCTAAACTACTATAGTAACTTTTTTCCTAACAAGTCTCTCCACTTCTACTTTTGCTTCCCAAGTCATTTTTTATATTTCAGTCACAGTGATCTATTTAAAACACAAATCTGGCTGGGCACTGTGGCTCACGCCTGTAATCCCAACACTTTGGGAGGCTGAAGCAGGCAGATCACCTGAGGTCAGGAATTCGAGACCAGCCTGGCCAACATGTGAAACTCCACCTGCACTAAAAATACAAAAATTAGCCAAGTGTGGTGGTTCATGCCTGTAGTCCCAGCTGCTGGGGAGGCTGAGGCAGGAGAATTGCTTGAACTCGGGAAACAGAGGTTGCAGTGAGCCGAGATCACACCACTGCACTCCAGCCTGGGCAACAGAGTGAGACTCGGTCTCAGAAATAAATAAATAAAATAAACACAGATCCGATTCTGTAACTTCTCTTATTTAAAACTCTAAATTGGCTAATGTCCTAAAGATAAAAACCCAGATTCTAACATGTCCTACGTATTTTTCTAGCCGTATTTCATGCCATTCTCCCTTTCATTGCTCCCTTACAGACAGTAATATTTTTATACTTTTGAAATATTATTAAGCAGGCACAGTGGCTCCTGCCTGTAATCCAGCACTTTGGGAGACTGAGGCAGGTGGACTGCTAGAGCCTATAAGTGAGCCGTGATCACACTACTGTAAAATATCTCAGTATTTTACAGTGGTATGATCACTCCAGCCTCAGCAACACTGAAACCCTGTCTCTTAAAAAAAGAAAAAAAAATATATATATATAATTTTTTTTTTAAGACAGAGTTTTACTCTTGTCACCCAGGCTGGAATTCAGTGGCACAATTTTGGCTCACTGCAACCTCTGCCTCCTGGATTCAAGTGATTCTCCTGCTTCAGCCCCCTAAATAGCTGGGATTTCAGGCGCCTGCCACCATGCCCAGCTAATTTTTGTATTTTTAGTAGAGATGAGGGTTTCACCATGTTGGCCAGGTTGGTCCCGAACTCCTGACCTCAGGTGATCAACCCTTCTGGGCCTCCCAAAGTGCTGGGTTTACAGGTGTGAGTAACTGCGCCCAGCTGATTGAAAGATTTCTATGCTGTATGCACCTGCTCTACTGAGAAGGTCATGGAAAAGACAAGAGTTCAAAGGCTGATAGAATTCTGGAACTTCAGGGAGGGATAGATTAAGATCCTGCATGGTTTAGGCCTTTGGACACAAAACTATAAGCAGTAATTGTTAATATCACTCTAGCAGTTGAGTAGAGGACTGACTCAAGGTGTCAGAGATAAACACAATCGGACATTAAAGTGGTGAAAACAGATTTTATTCAGCCTACTGACAGTAGGGGAAAGAGCTAAACTCCAGTCTGATTTGTGGAGGGGTAACTGGGCCTTTTAAAAGAATGAGGGGGCTGGGCCTGGTGGCTCACGCTTGTAATCCCAGCACTTTGGGAGGCCGAGGCGGGCAGATCACGAGGTCAGGAGATGGAGACCATCCTGGCTAACATGGTGAAACCCCGTCTCTACTAAAAATACAAACAAAAATTAGCTGGGTGTGGTGGCGGGCGCCTGTACTCCCAGCTACTTTGGGAGGCTGAGGCGGGAGAATGGCGTGAACCCGGGAGGCAGAGCTTGCAATGAGCCGAGATCATGCCACTGCACTCCAGCCTAGGTGACACAGCAAGACTCCATCTGAAAAAAAAAAAAAAAAAAAAAAAAAAAAAAGGAGTAGAGAGGGATTTAAGCAGAGTTAGAGAAGTGAAAAATTACATAAAGTAGGAAGTGGGGTTGGTCCATATGAAACCCATCTGAGTTTGCCAACTGGCGCTTATCAAAATCAGGCTCCCACAGAGACAGAGACAGGGGTCCTATCTTCATCTTGAGGCGTTGGCTGGAACAAACAGTAAATTTTTTTTGGCAGCCTTAAGTTTTCTTAGGCGGACACTTTAAGGAGGGATCAGGTCCTCCTAGGAATAAGGCCTTGAGCTATTTGAAACTTGTGTTTGTTCAAATCTTTATAGTCCAAGGTTGAAGGCTTGTGAAGAAGAGGTCTCAGAGGACCCTAGCTAGGGTTTGGTCAGGGAGAGAATCTTTTGCCCAAGAGGTAGACTATTTGCAAGGAGATCAGACTTTTTTTTTTTTTTTTTTAGATGGAGCCTTGCTCTGTCGCCCAGTGGTGCCATCTTGGCTCACTGCAACCTCCGCCTCCTGGATTCAAGTGATTCTCCTGACTCTACCTCCCGAGTAGCTGGGATTACAGGCACACGCCACCACATCCACCTAATTTTTGTATTTTTAATAGAGATGGGGTTTTACCATGTTGGCCAGGCTGATCTCAAACTCTTGACCTCAAGTGATCCACCCACCTTGGCCTCCCAAAGTGCTGAGATTACAGGTGTGAGCCACCGCACCCAGCACAGATATTTTTACTTACAAGTTTTGGAAAAGGATAAAACCTTCAGCTAGGGAAATGAAAGTGAATAAAAATTTGCATAACTTGACCAATTAGAAATAGATCAGGAATAGGCCAGGCGCGGTGGCTCACACTTGTAATCCCAACACTTTGGGAGGCCGAGGCGGGCGGATCACGAGGTCTGGAGTTCGAGACCATCCTGGCCAACATGGTGAAACCGTGTCTCTACTAAAAATCCAAAAAATGAGCTGGGCGTGGTGGCAGGCGCCTGTAGTCCCAGCTACTCGGGAGACTGAGGCAGGAGAATCACTTGAACCCAGGAGGCAGAGGTTGTTGCAGTGAGCCGAGATCACACCGCTGCACTCCAGCCTGGCGACAGAGTGAGACTCCATCTCAGAAAAAAAAAGAAATAGGTCAGGAATAAAGAAAACACTTTTCTCTTGCTTTTCAAACTCAGGAACTAATAGATATGAATTATTGGATATCCAAGCACACCTTTGTTATTTATTTTATGAAATTTAGAAACCAAATATAGATTTGGATAATGCAGATCCCTCTGAATTTGGTCTGAATTCAGAAACCAAATAGATTTAGGTAAGGATACTTTTAAATTCGGTACACTTCTTCTTTTTTTTAATTAACTCCCTAAGATTCTTGACAGTTCCTCTGTCTGCTTTCCTCTCATATATGAATTGCTATTGATTAGATTAATATGTAACCTTTTTTGTAGAAGACCCTGATAATCCTACTTTGTTCTAGGAAATATGCCTGTTATAGCAATTTCTTTAGGTAATTTCATCCATTGTGTGAATTTATTTTCCAAATCGGGGACAGAGGCAATATCACTGTATTCATTCTAATTGGTTATTATAAAAACACCTAGTAATATCAATTATTGCTGCTAAAACAGTTCAAATCTTTGTGGGGGGGAAGTCACCATCCCTTATTTTAATGCCTTATGATTTCATAGGAATTAAATAGTAATGATTTTTTTTAACTTTAGGAAATAACTGAAATCATGTTATGGTTTGGTGAATTATTAACAGAATCTTATTAGAAGAATTTAGGCTTCCAAAGAAGCTGGAAGTTATTTGAAATTAAATTATAGATGTGTAAGTTACTAATAGTCACATCACAGCCTTGAAATTAGATACTGAGGGTTTTGTTTGTTTATTTATTACCAAATCCATCAAACTCTTTAAACTGACTTTGGTCATTGTTGGCTATTGTTTGTCATTCTTTTAAAGGACACAAATTAATAACTCTGTGTGTGTGTGTTGTTTTTTGTTTTTAGGGTCCACCAAAATATACTAAATCTGTTCTGAAAAAGGGAGATAAAACCAACTTTCCCAAAAAGGGAGATGTTGTTCACTGCTGGTATACAGGAACACTACAAGATGGGACTGTTTTTGATACTAATATTCAAACAAGTAAGTCTAAATGGAATCTTATGTTTTTGGCTTAAAGAGATTCTAAATACTTGGGTGGCAGACAGATGAGTAGTTAGCAGTACCTTTTTCCTGACTGTCACCTACTTTCATCCAGACATACTTTCCCCCAAGATCTACTTGGAAGAGGTCTTCAGTTCACTGATTATTGGCTGGCTAAAGACCTCTTGTTCTTTGGAAAGCAAAAGATAAGGAATCTCAGTCTAAACCTGGTTAATGTCCCAAAGTAAGGCATTAGTATTTGAATAGAAAAGGCAGGATAGTATGCTGTTTTGTGATATAAGTATAGGTCCTACCCCTCTACCCTTTGTTAAGAATGTAATTATTTTTACAGCCAGAATTTTATTGATGGATGATCTTTGTAAATTTTTTCCTTCTTTTAAAATACATAGTATTGTAATTCTGAAATCAAACCACTATATTTTTCCACTGGAATTTAATAATTTCCAATGGAAATTTCTTAATAATAAATTAGAGTATATCATTAATGATAAGGAAAATCTGTTTTACAGGTGCAAAGAAGAAGAAAAATGCCAAGCCTTTAAGTTTTAAGGTCGGAGTAGGCAAAGTTATCAGAGGAGTAAGTAAAGAATGCCAATGAATCAGTAGATATTCTGGCATATGCTGCTTCTGGTATGGTGCTGTAAAGAATTAGGTTTGGGGATATAATACAAAGGAAACAGACTTTGGAGTCTGACAGATTGGGTATAATCATTGTTAGCTGATCTTGCACAAGTTATCTCGGTCTCAGTTTCGCTACATATAAAATGAGGACAGTACTGCCTACCTCAAGGTTTTTAGAAGATTAAATGAGCATAACTTGAAGTACCTAATACAGTAGGGGCTTAAATATTAGTCCCTTCCATGTGTACCCATTTTATTATTTTTCTTCATAAAGTAAGTCTTTGTCAGAATGTTTGGCCCTCTAAATTTAAGGTTCCTGTAAAATGTCTTATAACTGTTGTACCATTTACATATAATTTGCAAAGGTAAAATATCTGTCCCACTGAAGTATTCACAGAAGCAGAGTTTGTTTCTGCAGCCTTTTCACCTCATACAACATAGGCTGCAATACCAGAAAATCATTCAAACATGAGCATGCTTTAACCTACACTTATATGTGAGAGATAACAGAAAGAAACTTTGAGAAAAGAGGAAGTTAGGCTTGACCCGTACTGACCATTATACTGTACAAAAGAAGATAAAAGAGTAGGGCAGACTGTCACCTTCTATGAATCAGGTTTTCATGCTAAGGCCTGCCCATTGTGCCCATTGTTTGTTTTAAATTGTTATTCTCAGAACATCAGACATCAATAACTGAAATGCCTATTTAAATGCAGTTATAGGAACCTTCAATATATTACTCTCTGTACAATCAGTAGGTCCTAAGATATGGTTCAGACAATCATATACAGAATATAAAACATCTTAAAACTAAAGGTTTAGTTGAGCATAACTTATAATTGTTACCTGCCCCAGCCAGGCGTGGTGGCTCATGCCTGTAATTGCAGCAATTTGGGAGGCCGAGGTGGGTGGATCACAAGGTCGGTCAGGAGATCGAGACCATACTGGCTAACACTGTGAAACCCGTCTCTACTAAAAATACAAAAAATTATCTGGGCATGGTGGCACTTGCCTGTAGTCCCAGCTACTTGGGAGGCTGAGGCAGGAGAATTGCTTGAACCTGGGAGGTGGAGGTTGTAGTGAGCTGAGATCACGCCACTGCACTCCAGCCTGGGCAACAGAGCAAGACTCCATCTCAAAAAAAAAAAAAAAATTGTTACCTGCCCGTACCAAGTTGATAGCAAGTATATTATCAAATTGGGCCATTTTTCTATTTCTGTAACTTATTTGCATACTGGTAAATTTCTTCTAGTCTACCGTATTCTTTTTTTTTGAGACGGAGTTTTGCTCTTGTTGTCCAGGCTGGAGTACAATGGTGCAATCTCGGCTTACTGCAACCTCTGTCTCCTGAGTTCAAGCGATTCTCCTGCCTCAGCCTCCCGAATAGCTGGGATTACAGGCATGCGCCACCACACCTAATTTTGCATTCCTAGTAGAGATGGGGTTTCATCATGTTGGTCAGGCTGGTCTTGAGTGCTGACCTCAAGTGATCGCCCTCTTCATCTTCAGCCTCCCAAAGTGCTGGGATTACAGGCACGAGCCACCTTGCCCGGCTAGTCTACCATATTCTTATTTTCCAAATGTGACCACCCTAACTTTGTCCCTTGTGCTTTATATGATTGTTGCATTTCAATACAGCATATAATATTAGGAATATTATCCCTTTGGTGATGTGGATTTAACTGTTTGTGGAAACTAGCTTTAAGATCCAAATTTGGAAAATATGGAGAGGCCAACCCAGAAGACTTTTATTGTTTCTTTGAAAAGTTAGTTTTACCTTTTGCAAAAGATCTTAGTGCCGTAACATTTTAAAAATTGTATTTCCAAAATTAGCTGGGCATGCCTGTAATCCCAACTACTAGGGAGGCTGAGGCAGGAGAATCGGTTAAACCCGGGAGGCAGAGGCTGCAGTGAGCCAAGATCACGCTATTGCACTCCAGCCAGGGCAACAAGAGCGAAACTCCATCTCAAAAGAAAAAAAGAAAAAAATGTATTTTATGTGCCAACGTGACTCCACTATTACAATCTGGTAATCTTAAAACAATTTTACAGTGAGTACTTGCCAGTGTATTCCAATAAAAATAAACTCGTTTGTCCTGTGATGTAAAAGTGTTGCAGGTTTATGATGGTGCTAATAACTAACTGGTTTTCATAATGTATGGCATGTTACAGTTTACAAAAAGTTTTTTTTTTGTTTTTTGTTTGTTTGTTTGAGAAGGAGTCTCACTCTGTTGCCCAGACTGGAGTGCAGTGGCTCAATCCTGGCTCACTGCAACCTCCACCTTCTGGGTTCAAGTGATTCCCCTGCCTCAGCCTCCCGAGTAGCTGGGATTACAGGCACCCACCACCGCACCCAGCTAATTTTTTTATTTTTAGTAGAAGATGGGGTTTCACTATGTTAGCTAGGCTGGTCTCAAACTCCTGACCTTAAGTGATCTGCCCACCTCGGCCTCCCAAAGTGCTGGGATTATAGGTATGAGCCCCAAAAGGTTCTTTTCACATTAAAAAAGCCCTGCTTAAAATACCCTTTTTTTTCTATTGAAGAAATGGAAGACAAAGATTTAGGGACTCACTGAAGTACATTATCTTAGAATATAGTGAAATCTATAGTAATAGATTCTGTGTTTGTTTTAACATACAATCTTGTCTTGACTGTCCTGGTATTGCATGTGCTTTTTGCAAAATACCATTAGTTTTTATTTTGTTCTTGCCTTTAGTGGGATGAAGCTCTCTTGACTATGAGTAAAGGAGAAAAGGCTCGACTGGAGATTGAACCAGAATGGGCTTACGGAAAGAAAGGACAGCCTGATGCCAAGTATCCTTTTTTCCCCTTCATAATTAAAGTTGAAAAAAAAAAAACGTCTAGATCACCTTTGAGGATGTGAAAGATGCTGTCTAGGCAAACTTCTGGATCAAGAATCCTGTCCAGACTAGTCTTCCTGATCTTTAGATGCTTATGTGTCAGCACCTCCAATAGGCAATAGTATTTTCTATTGATATAAAGTTCAAACCTCAGCTAGAATTTTTGTTTCTCTTATTCAAATTCTTAACTTTCAAGACCTTAACTGTGAAGTTTAAGCTTAAACAGCAATTCTTAATGTTTTTAAGAGTTTAAGAAAAGTTACCATGCCCAGTACAAACTGTAGCAAACTACGATGCAAATATGGCTCATGGTAATTTTATGGTACAGTATAATTTCAGGCAATTAAATTCAAAGCTTAGAAATGGAATAGATGTGGGAGATTACCAGTTGTGAACTGAAGGAGACCACAGAATCAACAGTGTTAGTGTAAGCATTTATTATTACTACTAATGACAATACTCACTGATAAGTCCAGTTTGTGAACATTTAAAAAAAAAATAAGGAATGACTCCAGACCATTAAGACCAGACCAATCCAATAGGTAAGAGGGAAGGTAAGTTTATGGCTTTTGTTGGTTCCATTCCTCTTGGACCCATCAGATTAAGTTTGAAAAAACAAGTCCTTTGGGAGGCAGCTTTCTGTAGTCTTAGCAGATAAACATATTTGGGAATATAATAGCTCTCTTAGCTTTTCAAAATCAAATGAACAGGCTGGGCACCATGGCTAATGCCTGTAATCCCAGCACTTTGGGAGGCCAAGGAGGGCAGATCACCTGAGGTCAGGAGTTCAAAACCAGCCTGGCCAACATGGTGAAACCCTACCTCTACTAAAAATACACAAATTAGCCAGGCGTGGTGTTGCAGGCCTGTAATCCCAGCTACCCTGGAGGCTGTGGCAGGAGAATCACTTGAACCTGGGAAGCAGACGTTGCAGTGAGCTGTGATCATGCCACTGCACTCCAGCCTGGAGGAAAGAGTGAGGCTCTGTCTCGGTGGGGGGGGCGGGGAAATCAAATGGTCAGCTGCAGCTCCCTCTCCCATGTGAAGAAGCATCTCAAGACCAATCTGATGCACATATAAATTATATAACTCTTAAGTTAGCATATTTTGTTTTGGTTTTTTTTTGAGACAGGGTCTCGCTCTGTCACCCAGGCTGGAGTGCAGCAGCGTGATCTCAGCTTGCTGCAACCTCTGCCTCCCGGGCTCAAGCAATTCTCCTGCCTCACCCTCCCTGGTAGCTGGAACTACAGGTGCGCACCACTACGCCTGGCTAATTTTTGTATTTTTAGTAGAGACAGGGTTTCACTGTGTTGGCCAGGCTGGTCACAAACTCCTGACCTCAGGTGATCCACCTGCCTCAGCCTCCTAAAGTGGTGGGATTACAGGTGTGAGCTACCGTACCTGGCCTTGAACTTAGCATCTTAAAATGCACAGTAAATATTATGTACTACCTCATAAAAACTTTAATACTCTCTCTCTATATGTATATATATTTTTTTTGTTCCACCCCCCCCCAGCTAGAATGACATTACTTTTGTTTTGGAGTACTTAATAGTCTTCATTAAGTGGTGGCTAATTTAGGAGTACTTGTAAAGCATCCAGGTAAGGAGGATCCTAGTCCAAGCTCAATTTATCTAGTGAGCCTATCTAGTCAGCCTATCCTACACTAAGGTTATGGGGGTAGGGGAGAGGCACTTTTTATCAAATGTACCTTGACTTCTTCAACAGAATTCCACCAAATGCAAAACTCACTTTTGAAGTGGAATTAGTGGATATTGATTGAAATAGCAGTGCTTCAGCTCTAAGGATATTAGCAACAATGATAAAACTTGGCCTTGAAGAAATTTACACAACTAGTTAGAACTTGTTACTATTGTAAAGGAAGAGTCAACTGGAAAATTCAAGGAGTTAATAAAATTTGTTTACTTGGTCCCAGCTTTTGAGAGATAAATCCCTTATGAATCCCTGGTCTAAAATACTTTCCTACAGCTGTGTAAAATACTGGTCAAGGAGAACTTTTTCCTTTTACCTCATGTTGTAAACTTAAGTGGCTCAATAAAAATTGATCCACTGTCTTGATCTGACTGTGATTTGTTTGGTGTTAATATATTATTGTTCTGATTAGGGAATTGGAACTAAGGACCTCATCAAACCAGGGAGTAACTCCCAGTAAAATTATCTGGACAGATTGCCTGTATAATGAGAAGGCAAAAGCATAAGGCTTGAGGGGAAACAAAATGCTAAAAGCAGAAAAATCTTGGCAGGAAGATCAAGACCTGAATTTAGAAAAGGTGTACTTCAAAACCAATGAGCCACTAATAAAGGTGAACATAAGGTTAATATTACTAATTGATCCCCCCAAAATAAATTCATAAACAATTACTGGATGAGTCTTCCGTTTTATTACAAAAATGAAGATCAGTTTGATCAAAATGAAAGCTTGTTCACAAGTTTTACATGAATATTCTAAATACAAAGTCTCCTGAAACAACATACTTTTGATATGATTTTCATTTTTAAAGGGATGCAAACATTCCATTTTCTCATTTATAATCTATTCCAAGGCAAAGTATTTTAATAATGTATCCTTTCTGCAGTTAGATCACAATTCACAAGTATAACTGAAACAGACAAAACCTTGTCAGCAAAGGTTAAAAGTCCTTTTTTCTTTAAAAAAAAAAAAAAAAAAGGAGGTAAATAACCAGCCCTTATGTGTTTTCAGAATTTTGTACTACACTGACATGATTTGCAGTCAGGTTTTTCTTCCTACCCCTTAAGGCTACAAAATTCTGTTGCAAATGCATTGCAAAAGAATTCTAGACCACTTAATGCAAAAATCAAAAAATAGTTTTTCAATAAAAAGTAAATTTTATAAATGGTAGGAAACAGTATCTGTGGTAAGCTACTAATTGACATTTTCCCCCTATTACTAAACAAATCATGTTACACAGAAACAAGGAAGACAGGTTATCAAATACAACAAGCTTATACTGTTTACATCCCTCATTAAAAAAAATAATAATTTCATACTTTTCACACACTGCATTTGAAATTTACATTTTTCCCATCAGGTTGGAGGGGGAGGATAATATTGTCCATAATTCCAAGGATTCTGATAATTGTACTGAAAGGAAAAAGTAAGTATGTTAGCATATTAGAACTGTGGCAGAGTTCCATATGTAAAAGTATAATTAAAGCAGCTATGTTTAAGAAAACAAGCAAGTGTTCACTGCTAAAATTCTAGTACTTAACCACCAAAGAATGTATTACACAATTGGAACAAAAACTTTTTTTAAAAAAAAAGAAACTATCCTAATTTATGCTAATAACATCTATGAACAAAGAATTATAATTATGCAGACTCACTTGATACCACGCACTATAATTATATACAGCTTGGTTTGCCTGTAAATCACCATCAATCATCTGTGTAGATGATGAAGTTGTATCTTCTGTATGTGCTTTCTTTTCCTCTGGTTCTTCTGATCTATATAAAACGTCAGAATGGAAACTTTCAAAACTCCCACAGGTAAGAACTTTAACGAATAGATGAATGTTATCTGTATATTTGTTTTACTGAAGTTCTGAATCACTCAAGACTTTTTCAAATCATGAAAATAAAGTATGTAAATTACAACATAAAAGTAACACTTAAAAACATTTGTCTTTGAAGGCATTTCCATAATGAAGCACGCCTTCTTGACTTAGCAAAAAGTGACATACCCATTTTCTGCTTTCCTTTTTAAAGAATCCTGTTCTTTCAGGAGTGTTTGATGTTCATCATAAGCATTCAGAAGCCTGAAAGGAAAGAAAAAAATATCCTCTGGAATATACAAAAAACAAACTTTATTAAATATTTAAAGTTGTTTTTACTTAGGAAACTGCCTAAGAAAATTTCTAAGCGGCTCCTTTATTTTTAAAATTTCTACTACTAAAATCATAGTCCTGATACTCAGACACTCCATTCCCTATACTTATAATGGACTAAATGACACTTGTGTTGAATCTCCGATTTGTCTGCCTGTTTTTACCAAATTAAAATAATGTCATTTAACATCACTGGTCAAAATTCCAATAGCTTACTACTGTCAGCTACCTACTGCATGTGCTATCAATTCAGTCTAGCTTTCAATGCACAACACAGTCAAGATCACGCTTCCACTACTTCACAAAAACCTCCAATCAAGCAGATGTTACTTTTAGATGAGATTCAACTTGCTTCCGCCACTGTGTCCTCTGCTCAGTTTATCAGAATCCAGTAATAACTAAATGAAGCCCAACCTCCTCTATGAAGCATGACAAATCCATTCTGATCGAGAGACATCACAGCCCTCCTAGCAGTTATTTGCTACCTCATACACTTACTTCCTGTTAATCATATCATTCAACCAGACTAGAAGCTAGAATTACATATCTCATCTTTTGTGTACCTTCTTCAGTGTAAACATAAGACACTAAATACACAGCACACAAGCAGTTAAGAGCAGAAACTCTGAAGTAGGTTCAGTCCTCGCTCCACAATGTGATAATAGCTACATGACCTCAGAAAAAATGCCTAATCTCTGTTTAATCCTCTCATCTATTAAGAGAACAGAACCCTACACCCTCATTCTACTGCTATGAATTTTCTGCAAGATAGCTAATATAAAACATTTGGCATCATGCCAAGCACGCAAATATATACATTAATACATTAAAATACACTAATATAAACATTAGCTGTTATATTAGTTGCACTGAAATTTTACACAGCCATCAAAAATATATACACACATATACAAACACCCAGACACAACTAATTCTCAGTTTATCTACAGTGGTTTCAACAGAAATCTAAATGCGAATAATCATAAAAGGCACATGCCTAACAGGAACTGGTGTATTTGCTTACTACAATCAGATAAGACTGGAACTTCAGCAATGCTCTAGCCAATATTTGTACTCTTAGTAAATTTAATCTTAAACTTGTCCTTTTCCCAAATCCACTGGAG
This sequence comes from Homo sapiens, assembly GCF_000001405.40. Taxonomy (NCBI): domain Eukaryota; kingdom Metazoa; phylum Chordata; class Mammalia; order Primates; family Hominidae; genus Homo; species Homo sapiens. The sequence goes on along the minus strand of NC_000014.9, from coordinate 45,112,989 downwards.
CATTCTCTTCAACCATCCTCAACTTTCGGCTTTTACAATGAAGGAAGATGAGGCCACTAGGCATGTTCTGTGGGACCATATCCATCCTCTTCTCCAATCTCAGAAAATAGCACTCCTACTGGAGATTAATCCCATCCATCTTTATTGACCTATATATTAAATATTTGGGTTTCAGGGTTCAATCCTTATCCCATTTCCCTTTTCACAGGATTGCTCCTTCCTGCCTTCTCTCATTCAGTCATGGTTTAAATTGTCATTCTAAAATTGGGAAAACAGTTTTGAAGGAAAGACAAACCTTATGCCTTCCTGTTAAGTACATATACATTTACAAAATTGAATTTACCCCCATATATATCTGAGGAAAAAGTAAACTAAGCGAACATTTTAAAATTTAACAATGTATTAATCTATACTAATCATCAAATCCCCATACAAAAATATCAATGCTCATTTATCATTCAAATAGGTAATATAACTAATATCTTACTTATTAACATCGGAACCAAAATCTTCAAGAAATTCCACTTTTCTCTGAGAAAATGTAATTCTCATTTTAATAGGTAATGAACCATGTACAGCTTTGTCAAAACAATTTAGGATATTTTCTTCATTTTGTTTGAGGTCACCACTATATTCCATTTCAAGTAAATTGAGGTATAACTTTGTGTTCTCCTGTGTAAAAAGCAGCATCAATGAATATTTCTAAAATATTTTTATTAGAGCACAGATATTTAAAATGCCTTAGTTTTTATGTCTCAATTTGAAAAAATATTGAAAATTGTATTAAAATACAACTCATGCTAAATGTTTTCAGCATATATCTAAAGGGGTGAAAAAATTCATTAACACACTGATGAATTTTTCAATCAGTTGATCATCCTAGTACCTCCTAAACAATGCAAATTGTTCAATGACAGTAAATTAAAACTCTATAGCCTATCTTGTATTTAGTATGACATGACCTACCATGACAATTAGAAAACAAAACATAAAAAAAAATCTCTATGCTTCAAATAATTTAAATCTTTACTACAACTATAGATAAACATCTTAACCGGGCGTGGTGGCTCATGCCTATAATCCCACCACTTTGGGAGGCCAAGGCAGGAGGATCACTTGAGGTCTGGAGTTTGAGACCAGCCTGGCCAACATGGTAAAACCCCATCTCTACTAAAAATACAAAAATTAACTGGCGTGGTGGTGCACACCTTTAATCCCAGCTACTTGGGAGCCTGAGGCAAGAGAATGGCTTGAACCCAGGAGGTGGAAGCTGCAGTGAGCTGAGATCACGCTACTGCACTCCAGCCTCAATGACAATGAAACTCTGTCTCAAAAAAAAAAAAAAAAAAAAAAAAAAAGCCCAGGTGCAGTGGCTTACGCCTGTAATCCCAGCACTTTGGGAGGCCGAGGCAGGCAAATCATCTGAGGTCAGGAATTCAAGATCAGCCTGACCAACATAGTAAACTGTGTCTACTAAAAATACAAAAATCAGCCGGACGCGGTGATGCATGCCTGTAATCCCAGCTACTCGGGAGGCTGAGGCTGGAGAATCACTTGAACCCAGGAGGCAGAGGTTGAAGTGAGCCAAGATGGCACCACTGCACTCCAGCTTAGGCGACAGACTCAAAAAAAAAAAGATAAACATCTTAAACTGCAGCTAGAAGCAAACTGCTATAAATCTGTATCTTAAACAGACCTGGCAATAACTAAAATCCTAAAACTTGAGAAATTACCTATTACCTATACACTGCCTTTTTCAATTGATATATAAAAAATATAAAAAGTACTCTATGGAGAAGCAAAATCATCTCACTTCTAAATGTGCTTACAACATAGGCAACGCCTATGCTTTTGTTTATGAAGTATTCTCCCAAGTCCTCTGTTCTACTTAGTAATCAGTAAATTTGTTGATAATTTCTAAAGGGAAAATATAAAGTATCACAATGTCTACAACAATTTTAACCCAATAATCTTAATGTCTAAAACTTTTAATTCAAAACAATTTGAAAAAAATTTTTAAATGGCAACATCAGTTTAGAGGGACTGTTGTCCTCATTTAGTAATAAAATCTATTACATACAGACCAAATCTTTCATCACAGTTGCCACAGTGAAAATACACTGACCACTGGTTTTTTTAATAGAAGATACTCTTAAAAATACAAATGCATACTTTGTCTCTTTCGATTGCTTCCAAAAGCACCTTTCTTGATTTTGGAAGGTTTTTCTGTATTTTGAAAAGATGCCGGGCTAGTTTGACAGCATAAAATGAAGATTCATTATTTGATTTGGCATTCTTAATGGCATCCTGAAGCAAATGTTCAGCTTCTTCCAGATTTCCATGCCGTCGTTCTAAACTTACTCTTCGTAAACGAACCATTGCCAATCCTAGAACACATTCTTCAAATGTTTTCAAGATATTCCTGGCTTCATTAATATTACCTAGAAACAGTAATTAAATGTTTATGCTTTGGTTTAAACAACCAAAATAACGTTTATAACCAGATACTGGCAACAATCACCCATGGGCTAAATCCAGCAACTAATAATGGGAAACAGCCATGCATATTTACACACTGCCTATGGCTGTTTCGGGGCTACAATGGCTTACAAAGCCTGAAAGTCAGAACACGTGGCTTTTACTATCTGGCCCTTTAGAGAAAAAGTTTGCCAAACTCTGCTTTACACCATCCCTTACCACTCAATTTGTCACTGTTTCCTGAAATAACTTAAAATCTCAAAAATGTCAACTGAATTTCTCCACTCTTACCCTGCTGTTCCTCAAAAGCTGCCCAAAGCATATGCACCATGGGTTTCTTTGGGAGATGTATAGTACAAGCTCTGCTGAAGACATGCCTCACTCCTTCAATGCTATGGTTTTCCATGTACTTGGCATACTACATACAGAAAAGAGGAAATACTGAATAATTTACAGTTGAACAAGCCATTAAATTTGTGACAGAACGATAAAATTCTATTTTTAAACCCATTCAGCACCTTTATTGAACCACTAGACTAGTTTCTGTAAGGAAGGACGAAGAGAGGCAACGAGGTTGGCATATGCAGCAGTCAAATCTGGTTGCAAGCAGACCATCTCCTAATGCAACAGATATAGTTATATGAACAACATTCAACAGAAGTACAAAAAAGGTTAGTCACTAGATCAATGTTTATAATATATTCAAGTTTAAGAGCACATGATTTTCTTACCTTAATCCAAAACTCCTCATAGAGGGCACATGATATGACACATCTTTCAAAGAGAACCACAACTCGTTCATGAGTCCCATTTTCAATTTCAAATTCTAAGTATTCTTTCCAGTTTTTTAGTTGTGCCTTTTCCAAAGGTTTCACATGAAAGTAAGGTCTTTTAATCTGAAATGAAATTGTAACATGCCAATGAAAGTAAACCAATATCACCAAAATATGCACATGTACAGTGTTAATACAAATAATTTTAAATATAATTGATGATTAAAATTTTTAATCATATTTCATAATTTAAAAAACTTTTAAAATTAACCCTTAAATTCCTTAAGCTTTACAAACAAATGAAATAATACATTTTCTCTCTATTCTGCCATTTTGCCAATTACATGCTTTTTAATGTACAGAACATTTTATACTTTGTTGAATATTTTAAAATTGAACAACCATAGTGACAGAAAGCAGATCAATGGCTGCCTAGTGCTAGGAGTGGAGAGGGGAACTCTGGCTGGAAAGGGGCCAAGGGGACCTTTGGAGTGCTAAAAGAGTTCTGTATCTTGATTGCTGTGATGACTACAATGTATATACATATATCTGTGAAATGATTCCATATTCTAAGATTCCATTCATATGAAAGGCCATTATAGGGAAATCTACAGAAACAAAAAGCAGTTGGTGGTATCTTAGCACTGGGGGTAGAGGGTCGCAGCTGAGGAGGTAGGGGTAGTGACAACTAAAAGTTAAGGTGTTATTTTTTGAGGTGGTGATTATGTTTTAAAATTGACTGTGGTGATGGTTGTACATATCTGTGAATATACTAAGAACTATTGAACTGTATACTTTAAATGGGTGAATTATATGGCATGTGAATTATATCTCAGTAAAGCAGTCAAAAAAAACCAAAGAATTAAAACTGTGGGAAATTACCTCATTTTACTATATATCTAAAATGGGTGAATTGTAATGTATGTAAAGTATAACCCCAAGAAGTTGACTTTTAAAAATTGAACAATTAGAATAAAATTGTTCAGATTAAGCAGATATCTTGCAATTCAAGTAAATCTGGATTCAAACATTCTAAAACTCATCAGGGAAAATGGAAAAACTGATAATGATTACAATAAATGAGACAAACATCTGAAGTTATGGCTTAAATATGCAAAAATAAAGTTACAACAGAGATAGTACTATCAAAATTGAAAGAAAAATAAATTATTCCTACTTTGTATTTTAAAGACTATTACAAAACAAAAACACTTACACCTTCTTCAAATGTCCACCTTTTACTAACTTCATGCTCATTATAATTAAACATTTCTTGATGAATCTCAATGATTCTATGTCTCATGTTTTCTATTTCTGTAATTAGCTTGGGAAGAAAAAGGGAAAAAAATAAATCTCACAAACTGTATACTGAAAATTTTCAATATCACTGCTTATATTTAAGTATTATTCACAGATATTTTAGTCTTAGAATAGTGGTAGATTTTTAACTGTTGGCAATTATGTGCAAAATCCAATTAACAACACTAAAACTTATCACACAACTTCCTAATTAACCACTTTCATATTTTTTCTTTTTTTCTTAAATTGGGCTAGTAGATACACAACCTAGGCAAAATATTCCTTCTAAGCTAAGTTTTTTTTGGGGTGTCTTGTAGTAAAATAGATTCTCTACCTTAAATCTATACATACAAGCTACTGAATCCCCACTTGCCTTAATCAGAAATTAACTTCAAACAAGCTACAAGTCACTGGGTAAATGGCCAGTTATATAAGTGATCACTGTGCCACTCATGGAGTCAAGGGATAACAGGTCCAGTTTCTTCTGCACTAAAGACCTTTTTTTCCCCCCGAGATGGAGTCTTGCTCTTTGGCCCAGGCTGGAGTGCAGTGGTGCCATCTTAGCTCACTGCAACCTCCGCCTTCCAGGTTCAAGCAATCTTCCCACCTCAGCCTCCCAAGTAGATGGGACTACAGTCATGTGCCACCACACCTGGCTAATTTTTGTATGTTTAGTATAGACAGGGTTTCACCATGTTGCCTACATGGGTCTCAAACTCCGGACCTCAGGTGACCCGCCTACCTTGGCCTCCCAAAGTGCTGCGATTACAGGCATAAGCCACCATACCTGGCCACTGACGAACTTTAGAATAAGACTGGTTACCTTTGCAGGATCGGTTATGTCTTCAATTCCCGATGGTAGATCATCACCAGGAGGACCATCATCACCACTATGACCATTTACAGAAGCTAATTCCCTTCGCAACTGAATAAACTGTTCACCAGTTAAAAGATCTCTAGGCAAATTATTCTGTACATGTTCTTTAAATCTAAAGGAAGACAATAAAAATATATGTATTTGAATCATAATTTTAGATCTCATATTGAGATTCCTACTATATACTACTCTTTCAAAGGATTTGATTTAAAAAAGAAACCAAAATATCATACCTTTTCTCCTTCTTTTCTATAGTAAAATCCTACCATATATGATAAAACACTACCATATGATAAAACAGTCTATAGACATCTTCAATTTCTTCCTACCTTTACAGTGGAATGGAGAAGGCATGGACGGGCATAAATTCAAACCTCAGTTCTGTCTGTTACTGGTTATCTGACTAGGGAAGGTTTTCTTTTCTCTAAATCTTAGTTTCCTCAATTGTAAAATAAGATGATAATACCTATTCGTGTGTCATAGAATCTATTTTACTACAAAGACATAAAAGTTACAGTAAAATTAAATACTGTAATCCATATTTAAATTCTAAATGATCACTTGTAAATAACCAACAAATATAGCATTTCCTTCCCACCTCCCAAATACTCCTCATCCACATGTGAGTACGCAAAAATCCAATGAAACTGCCCAATTAAGATTATCAATTACCTCATATATAAAATTAAATGGACACTTGTTTTGTAGTATGGTCCTCCAAGCCTCTGACTGCTGCTCTATGTCTTATTCCCCTTCTTACCTGCCCTAAATGCTACTATACCCAAGTATTCCACTCTCCATTTGGTTCTCATCTATTTTTATTAATACATACTTCTGGCCAATCTCATTCATACAGCTTGAAATAAGTATACCATGATGACTCTCAAAACTACAACACAAGTCCAAACCTTTCTCCTAATCACATTAGCATATACAACTGCCAATACTCTGCACAAAGAAATGTGGATTAGTTTTAAGCTAATCTATAAAAAGATTTTTGAAAAAAATATCATTTCACTATTTTATAAAAACATGCAATAATTTGTATACATACAAATTGTAATCAAAAATACCAGGTTGAGGAGCTAAAATATCTACACTATCACAATTTGAATATACCTTTGGAACCTCAAATATGAAATATTTTAAAATAAGTATGGCATCTTCATCTGAAAATGAATACCCTCAGTATTTCTTTCTTTATTTTCTTGTGTGAGATGGAGTCCTGCTCTGTTGCCCAGGCTAGAGTGCAATCGTTCTATCTTGGCTCACTGCAAGCTCCACCTCCCGGGTTCAAGCAATTCTCCTGCCTCAGCCTCCCAAGTAGCTGGGATTACAGGTGCGCACCACCACGCCCAGCTAATTTTTCTAATTTTAGTAGAGACGGGGTTTCACCTTGTTGGCAGCCTGGTCTCGAACTCCTGACCTCAGGTGATCCACCCGCCTCAGCCTCCCAAAGTGCTGGGATTACAGGTGTGAGCCACCGTGCCCCGCCACCCTCAGCATTTCTAATATTGATTAATGGTACTGTCAACCACTACATCTCTCAATCTCTTCCACCTAGCTTTTCATTTACATTAGATACCAGGTCCTACTGACTGTACCTTTTAAATACATGTTCATCACCTCGGGACTTTTAAGCTGGATAAACATAAAATGACCTTGCAGCCTCTAGTCTCACAACTCCCATTCCCACCTCTATACTACTATCAGAAATGTTACTAAAAAGTAAGCAAACAGGTCAGGCGCCTGCTGACGCCTGTAATCCCAGCACTTTGGGAGGCTGAGGTGGGCGGATCACCTGAGGTCAGGAGTTTGAGACCAGCCTGGCAAACACGCTGAAACCCATCTGTACCAAAAATACAAAAATTAGCTCCGTGTCGGGGCGGGCACCTGTAATCCCAGCTACTCGGGAGGCTGAGGCAGGAGAATCACTTGAACCTGGGAGGTGGAGGCTGCAGTGAGCCAAGACTGCACCACTGCAATCCAGCCTGGGCAACAGAGCGAGATTTCACCTCAAAAAAAAAAAAAAAAAAAGTATATAAATAACATTGGAATCTAATTTAAATTTTGCAAAGTCAATGGATACAGAGGCTAACGGCCCATTTCAGCACCAGGTGGAAAAAAATTAACAAAGATTGCCTTATGTTAAAAAATTAAAAATAAGGAAGTAACTCTCAAATATGTAGTATGAAAAAACAGATTTAATTACAGATGAATATTAAAACTCAGAATGGTCAACAAATGAATTAAAAACTTAAGGTAAAATTTCAAAATAACTACATACAGTACATAAATCTAAAATGACTTATTGCTACATCATGTAACAACTTCTTTAAAACAGTGACAAAATGTGCATAATATTAAGCAGTATTTTTTCAGCAGTTTTTTGTATTATAAAGCTAACATTTATTCAGTAAAGACTGGCTGACTGCCTAATATATATTGAGCTCTATTCCTAAATATTAGAGATACAAAGAATTAAGCCTCAGAAACTGACAGGCATGTTGAGGATATAAGAGACATAAATTCAAAGCAGTGTTACTGGTGCTAATATAAATGTAAATAAATGTAGGTAAAGTCATGGCACAAATAACAGACTAGGTATCTCAGTATAGGAGAACCAGAGAAAATTTCACAGAGAAGACACAAAACTGTGTGGTCTCAGGGAATATAAGTCCACTAGACAAGTGGAAAGAGGAAAAGGTATTACAGTCATAAAGATATAAAACAACACTGCCCTTTGGGAAGTTATCAGACTTAGGTGTGTCTAGAGCTCAGGAACCACCAGGGATTGGACCTGGATGTTAGACCAGATCACAAAGTCCTCATGCTAAAGAAGGATTTAAATTAGACATTATCTCAGAGATAATGTGCAGGGTACATCCAATGGTACAAGCCTAATGCACAAGCACAATAAAAATATTTCCATTATTACTGTATACCACTTAGAATATCTTTTTTAACACACGCCTCCTCCTCTATCCTTCTGACCAACTCACAGGCAACGCTATTTACACATGGCTTCTTTGGGCCTTCATTCCTACAACTTAAATAGCCTATCAACAGGTACACAGCAAATGCTAAATAAATGACTTTAAGAAAGAGGCATGTGTTATGGAAAAAAAAAACAAAACATTCAGTGGTTCTCAAAGCAGTTAGTCATGTGAATTAACTTATATAAACTATAAGAACTGCATAAAGATTACTTGTGAGTTCACTATAACTGATAAGGAAAGTGGTTCTAAATGCATTAAGTGAAAAATATCAGATTATAGATCAGTATGTGTAATATAATCCCACTAATATCTATTGTAAGTATATATGCATTTTTAAAAGCCTAGGGTAACTGACAACTTAAAGAAAAATAAATAAATAAAAGCCTAGTGGGATATTTATTTAGAAATAAAAAAGATTTGTAGGAGAACATATCAAAAACTTCAGGGCCATACTGTCTAAGTTCCAAGTAGCTTCCAATCACTTACAAACTCTGTGGCCTTAGATAAATATGCTAATCTCCCTGTGTCTCCCCTTTCATAAAATGGGAACAATAGTACTTGCCTCACTGGGTTACTGGGAGGATTAAGTGAGTTACAAAGCACTCAGCACAGTGTCTGGGATATAGAAAATGCTATGTGTGTTTCCTACAAATATTTTTTTTCCATCATCAGTAAAGTTCTTGTAGTCATAGATTTTTCCTATACTTTAAATCACAGAAGAACTAGTCTATGAAAAGACACCCTCTTTGGCCCATCAGGTAATTTAAGTACTTTTGTACTTATGTGTTTGGTAACTATTTACCAAGCATTTCCATATGCCAATTCTTACTTGTGTTAACATCTTTCAGCAAGTGTCTTCCTAGGTCGTTATACCTTAGAAACCTGCCTGCTTCCTCTATTTCATCAAGAGCAGAGAGAATATTCCTATCTATATGCTTCCTATTTCTAACCTGAGTCTGTATAACTTCTACCTTTAGCACATTGATCCTTAGTACTTTACAAATGCTTCATAAAAGTCTTCTACTTTTGGTACTAAAAAAAAAATTTAGAAAATCACTCACTTAAAAAGTACCTAAGTTTATACAATACTACTCATAAAAATTATAACAAAAAATAGAAAATACTAAGTTTATACAATACTACTCATAAAAATTATAACAAAAAATAGAAAACATGCCAATTTAAAAGCAAAGACACAGTCCTCATACTCGTTCAGAAAGACTTTCTGGATCCTTATTTATGGGATACTCTGAATAAAGCAGAAAACAGAACACAAAAATAATGACACAGAATTAGTTGTTTTAACAGTAATCATTAAAATAAAAGGATACCAATTGTAACAGAAAAATCATTTTAGAAAATTAAAATGGAATGATACCTGAGTGTTTGAAAATAGATACTACTTACTATATAAAATGCATCCTTCACTGTTTTGGATATAAGGTGTTATAGCAATCACAATAATGTATATTTAGCAAATCATTAAGTTTCAAAAAAAATAAGCATCTATCATGTGCCAGGCACTGTGTCAATTTAATGCCATAAATAAATAACTCAACTTAGGTACTATTTTCTCATTCCTTCATTACTCTGAACTACCTTAGACAAGACAGAATTCCTGTTTCTCTTTATCCATTAAAATGAATAAGGAGAAACTTCTATCTAAAAACAGTAAAATTTCTAAACATTTCATAAGGCATATGAAAAAATGTCAAAAGCAAGCATGTAGGTTGTGATTAGCAACAAAATTTATTCCTCTTTCCACATAATAAAAGCTTACATAACATTCCAAGATAATTATAATACTTAATATTACCAACTATCTGAGTAATCAAAGATGTTTCAATGATCAGAATTTCCCACCTACCTCTGAAAATGATGACTATACAGCTGTGTTGGAATACCAAGAATACGATCATATATAGCTGTAACTTCTCTCAGGTTTCCCTGCTCATTTTCCCAGTTTATATACATTTCCCACAGTCTGTCAGAACGGAAATCTGTTCCTGCAGCTAGAACAGCATGCTCAAAAGTTCTGAAAAATTAAATTACTCTTAAGTTATCTTTCCAAGATAAAATCACTTTTAAAATATTATTTCTAAATTTAGAAGATAATGCTAACTTCAAAAATTATATTCAACTGCTTCCTATGCAAGTAGGGATTAAAGGGTAGACAGAATAACAGAAAGCATACAACAGCTGCTTAAAAAGAGTGAGAAAACAAAGAGAATAGATAAATGTACTTTTTATGTAACTTTATCAAATAGAAAATTAAATACAAAATGTACACATTGCAAATAGGTAAGAGTAGACATGTAAGTATTTGTTAAATCTGAAATGTCTATTGTATAGATTGATTTATGACAGAAGACAAAATTAAAACAAGTAGGAAGTTAAAGAGAGGCAAATTTTATCTCAATTTAAGAATATTTTCATGAGGCATGGTGAAATGGTTACAGGCGTGATTACAGGCTCATGCCTGTAATCGCAGCACTTAGGGAGGCTGAGGCGGGAGGATCACCTTAGGTCAGGAGTTCAAGATCAACATGGCCAACATGGTGAAACCCCATCTCTACAAAAATACAAAAAATTAGCCAGGCATGGTGGCACATGCCTGTAGTCCCAGCTACTTGGGAGGCTGAGGCAGGAGAATTGCTTGAACCCGGCAGGCGGAGGTTGCAATGAGCCAAGATTGCACCACTGCACTCCAGACTGGGCGACAGAGCGCGACTCTGTCTCAAAAAAAAAAAAAAAGTATACATATACTTTAAACCTCTCAAAAGCCCCTCTCAATTCTAAAATTCTATCATTAAAGTTTTATCACAGGCTGGGCACGATGGCTCACACCTGTAATTCCAGCACATGAGGCCAGGAGTTTGAGACCAGCCTTGCCAACACGGCGAAACCCCATCTCTACTAAAAATACAAAAATTAGCCAGGCGTTGTGGTGCACATCTGTAATCCGAGCTACTCGGGAGTCTGAGGCATGAGAATCACTTGAACCTGGGAGGCGAAAGTGGCAGTGAGCTGAAATTGCACCACTCAACACTGCACTCCAGCCTGGATGACAGAGCAAGACTCTGTCTCCAAAGAAAAAAAAAAAGTTTGTTACAAAGTATTTTAAAATACCTAGTCATGTCAAGAGATTTCTGTAAGCAATTTTAATCACTGGATTTAATACTCCAATGGGATAAAGCTTTTAGATACATACTTTCAAGATAAGTATCTTAGAATCAAGAGAGATTTTTAAAAAGTATAAAACTACACTCCCCTAAGTTAAACCACAATTTTAACACAATTTCAATAAAGCGCTAAAAAATGTTTAGTGGAACAAGAAAAAATCAAATTCTACTATTCATCTAGAATACAAAAATGCAAAATGACTTTGTAAAAGGATAATGCAGCAGGCATTTTCCTGAAAGATAATATAAGAAACTAGGAAGCTATAGTAATTACACGTTTGGCACTGGCCAGGTAACAGAAAAATGGATGAACAGTACAGAGCCAAGAAAACAAAAAAGAGATCAATGTGTGTGAGTATTTGGTGTATGATATAGGAGATACTTTAATTCAACAGTGGGAGTATATAAAAGGCTAATGTCTATCTCACGACAGATAGAAATTAAATTCAGATAAATGAATAAGCAAAAAACTATAGAAAAGTTAGAACAAAATACAGGATTTATATATTTTTGGTAAAATAGGCACAAAACTCAGGAACCAGTAAGAATTAAAACAGAAGCACATTAAGGAAAAATAAAACTCCATATGATAAAAGACACCATAAACAAAGTTAAAAACATACCAACATTGGAGGAAATATGTTTAATATAGAAATAAAAGATTGAAGAGCATGTGTGTCTGTGCATGCATGCATGTGCATATTTGGTGTAAGGTTTTCAAAAGAATAAAATAGATGTTACTGTCCCTACAGAACCCCAAATGATTCAGAAAATTAACCAGACACTGAAAAAAGTATGGAGAAAAGGGGAAGAAGACAAGAAGGTAATGAAATGAAGACAGAACGTTTAGAAGAAGGTATACTTAATGAATCGTGAGAAATCTTCAACTTTCCCGCCCAGCTATGGGGATTTCAGAAGCTAGGTGTCCATTCCCCAAGTAAATAAAATTATCCTTTTCTAAACAAACTGCTTGGCTCAGGAATAAGATATAAGGTTACTATCACTGGGAATCCACCAGCAAAAAGAGTGGCCACATGATTACACTACTGTGAAACACCATAGGCCAACTGACAATGCCCCATACAAAACACACAGTGCTTCCATATGCTTGTGTTTTGTTTTGTTTGTTTGTTTGTTTGTTTGTTTGTTTTTGAGACAGGGTCTCGCTCTGTCACCCAGGCTGGAGTGCAATGTCACGATCTCAGCTAACTGCAACTTCTGCCTTCCAGGTTCAAGCAATTCTCCTACCTCAGCCTCCTGAGAAGCTGGGATTACAGACTCCTGCCAGCATGCCCAGCTAATTTTTTTGTATTTTAAGTAGAGACAGGGTTTCACCATGTTGGCCAGACTGGTCTCGAACTCCTGACCTCAAGTGATCCACTGTGCCTGGCTCATATAGCTTGTTAATATCTAATCTGTAATAGGAACAAAAATCCAGAGATCACATATCTCAGAGATGAAAATGGGTAAACAGAAAAATTTGAGAGGAAACCGTCCTGGGAACAGAGGAAAATCTCAACTATCCTTAGTATCATCAAAGAAATAACAAAAAGATATGCAGCCATGAAACAAGAATTGGAGAGTATAAAAAAAGGAACACTCAGAGAACAAGAAAGATTCTTGGATATTAAGAATCTGGGCCGGGCGTGGTGGCTCACGCCTGTAATCCCAGCACTTTGGGAGGCCAAGACGGGCGGATCACGAGGTCAGGAGATGCAGATCATCCTGGCTAACACGGTGAAACCCTGTCTCTACTAAAAATACAAAAAATTAGTCAGGCGTGGTGGCAGGTGCCTGTAGTCCCAGCTACTCAGGAGGCTGGTGCAGAAGAATGGCGTGAACCCAGGAGGTGGAGCTTGCAGTGAGCCGAGATCGAGCCACTGCACTCCACCCTGGGGGAGAGAGGGAGACTCTGTCTCAAAAAAAAAAATAATAATAATCTGATGGAAGATGTTAAAAATCCAATACAAGGGTCAAGGAAATACCTCAAAAAGCCAGACAAAGTCTAAGATATGAAAAATAGGAAGAAGAAAAGAAAAACTCAGTAATTAAAAGAAGAGGTCCAACATCCAACTATTAAAAACAACAGAGAAAATCAAGGCAAGGAAACTGTCAAAATAAGAATATCCATAATAATAACATTTCTAAGAATAGAAGGACATTAGAATCTCAGAATGAAAAGACTCACCCAATCACCCAATAATCACAATAAGAAAAAGAAAATCCACATCAAAGCTCATTTTTATAAAACTTCATTTACATCAGACCCAAAGAGAACATCCTAACAGCTTCCACAGAGGAAAAACACATTATAGAAAGAGAATCTATTCTGCAAGAATGGTATTGGACTTCTCAAAAGCAATAGCAGAAGCTATAAAGGAATAAATAATGCCTTCAAAGCTCTATGGAGAAAATAATTTTCAACTCCAAATTCTACAGCTTACCAAACCTTAAAATTATTTTTTCATCCAAGCATCCTTTAACAAGAAGTTATAGGACACACTCTTCTAAAAGTTGGACATGAAATCAAGAAAAGAGTGAGATCTAATAATAAACTCACCCAGAAGTGAGGTAAAGACATCTCCTAGAACCATGATGATAAGAAAATCCCAAGACAACTCTTGTACAGCAGAACTAGAAGACCAGTCCAGATTATAGTAGGAAGGTTTCCAGGAGACAGCTCAAAGGAGAGGAAAAAATGGGACTTACACATTTTTTAACAGATCTGATTGTATAGAAAGCTATATTTAAAGCCTTCTACAAAGCTGCTGGAGAGTATGAAAAAACCTTAAATGTTCAAAGAAAATTAGACAAACGGGAAAAATGAGGGGCAGGGGAGGAGCAATTAAAAACCAAAAAGGTTATAAAATGAAAAGACAGTATGATGAAAAATATTTATAGGTTTTTGATCTCTCTCTCTTTTTTTTTTTTTTTTGAGACAGGGTCTTGCTCTGTCATCCAGGCTGGAGTGCAGTGGCACGATCGATCTTGGCTCACTGCAACCTCCACCTCCCAGGTTCAAGCGATTCTCTTGCCTCAGCCTCCCGAGTAGCTAGAACTACAGGCATGCGCCACCATGCCCAGCTAATGTTTTTTGTTTTTGAGACAAGGTCTCACTCTGTCACTCAGGCTAGAGTGCAGTGGTGCAATCACAGCTCACTGCAGCCTCAACCTCCCAGGCTCAAGCGCTCCTCCCACTTCAGCCTCCCAAAGTGCTGGGATTACAGGTATAAGCCACTGTGCCCATCCTTATTTATGGATTTACAATGATTAAAAAAAAATACTGAAGCTGATTATTGAAACCTATTCTGTAGCTATATTGGAAAGATAAGGAATGAGAAAACAAAGTGTAAGTGGGTTAAAATTCTCACTTACCGTAACAGATACATAATGTCTACAGCTAACAGAGAAAGAAAGAAAGCAACATAGATCTACTGTTAAACACATGGTGGAAAATACCAGAAGAAAGAGCTAAAATATTTGAAGGGAGGTGGAGGTGGTACTTTTTGTTACAAGCAGTTTAACATTAGCTAACTTCTTAAGCAATATGCACATGCTTTTTTTTGAAAACCAAAAACAAGTACATTAGCAAACTACTGTAATCAAGAAAAAGATAATGTAATAGAAAAATGAGCAAATAATATCAACAGGTAATTTAAAAAATGGCTTATATAAGCATATGAGAACATGGTAAACCAGGATGAGCAATCAAGACATAAACAAATTAAAAGAGATGCCACTGGAGGTAAAACAAACAAAAAATGTGGCACAGCTGTGGGAAAATGATTATTTTCATACACTGTGGGAGTTTAGAATCGATACCATTTTTGAAGGAACATTTGATAAAACTGAGCTGTGTGTTCCCTTTGACAGAAGTTCCATTTCTAGTGCATTCTACAAAAAATATTGACTTGTACAGAGATGTTCACTGTAGCACTGATTATTTCCTATAAATAAGGATTTGGTGAAATAGAGTACTTTGGCTTATAAGATACTTTTTATAAAGTATTATAAAATACTTTTTGTAATTGTTAAAAAATATGGCAGGAAGAGATTCCCAAACATTATTAAAAAAAAAAAGTCAAAGAGCAGTATGAAAGCATACGCATAAACATGTACTTATACATATATCTGAAAGAACACACACCAAGCTATTAACCTTGAGGAGTGGAATTGGGGACATAAGAGGCATGGACTGTAGGAGGGCTTTATTATCTGCATTTTCAAATCATAAAGCTTAAGTTTATTACATGTATCATTTTTTTAACAATGGAATAGAAGTTAAACTTCCAGCTTAGCTTTCATGAGCTCTATTATCAACATCAGAATAATTATTTATATCATAAAAAACATTTCAGTATCAATGTTCCACATACCCTCTTATTGTATTGTTTGTCTCAGGATCACCAGGGTCCAATGTTTCTTTTAAGAAGTTTATATAATGTATCCAAAGGTCAACACTAAGAGGTATTGCCTGAAGCCCCCGCCGATAAACCTAAGAAGAAAACAGCAAACTGTACTTCAAATATTTAATTATTTCTTAACAGAGAGGCAACACTGTGTTATCCGGTGAACCTTAGAAATACTAATTACTGGAATTTTGTTTAAATAATCTACCATTACCATTTGGGTGGAGGTTGGATAGAACATGGCAATGTTCTGATCCCCACGTGCAGAGTCTTGATCTTCAAAGCGCAGCAGTCCCTGCATTCTGACCGGGTTGTGTGGGCAGGCTTTGGGTTACAGACCATAGGGCACAGACCCATTAGAGCATCAATGACAGCGTCTGACCAAAAATGCAATAAGACGTAGCAAATGTGACTAGCAAACCAACTATATTGTTTGGAAAATGAGAAATAAATGTAAGTGAGAGAAAAGCCCTGCCCTACTTGTTAAGCTGCAGTGTAATACAGAGGCTTGCACTGCAAAGCTTGACAAACTGTAGAGGTTTAACGCACCTGCCAACAAAGAGAGAAAATATTAGCTACAAATGCCACAAGAGTGACAAATGCAAATAAATACCCTATA
This sequence comes from Homo sapiens, assembly GCF_000001405.40. Classification (NCBI taxonomy): domain Eukaryota; kingdom Metazoa; phylum Chordata; class Mammalia; order Primates; family Hominidae; genus Homo; species Homo sapiens. The sequence continues at coordinate 45,096,353 of NC_000014.9, read as the reverse complement.
AAAATTGTTTGACCATAAATGGTAGGTACTGCCAGCCAAAAAAAAAAAAAAAAAAAAATCTTTGTTTTGTTATTAATTGGCTTACAGTACCTATTGGAGATAAGTTTATTCAGTGATGTACGCACCTCATCTGATGGTTTAATGTTGTCGTGCCGCTTTTCAAGGTCTGCATACTTTTTCCAGTAACCATAGCAATACGGATAGTGTATGAAAAATCTGTCAAATGCCTTCCTGGCAGCCATCAAGTGATTCTGATAAAAATAAAACAGTATTTAAATATTGTGGAAATTTCTGTCAAAAAAATATTTATTATTCCTTTCAAACGTTATTATCTAAAAAAATAATAATAAATGGCAGGCTTAAAAACTCCACATGCAGGCTGCTCTGCCGATGGAGCAGCCCTTCTTTTATTCCTTTACTTTCTTAATAAACTTGCTTTCACTTAAAAAAAAAAAAAAAAAAAACCTACACAGGCAGCAGCCCCCTTTTTCTTCTAAACGCAATTGAAACAGAAGGAACTAATTTTGCCAACTTTTTATTTCAGCAATTTTACACACACATTTACACCTCAATTATTACAAAACATTAAGCTTTGACACTACTGACTCTCTACAACATACAAAAGCTGTAAGCTATTTTCAAAGCTAAAAATGTAGCTACCTAATGTTATTCAACTTCATTTGAAAATTATGAGTCAATTTTAATCATAAACAATAAGGTCTACTGTTTCATTATAAATTAATGACTTGATTAATTTGTCCCTTCTGATACCATTTTAATAGTTACTAACCTCCTGTTCTACATATTGAAGCAAATATACCCAGCCTGTAAAATCCTGAGGATTATTTTCTACAGTTTTCCAAAATTTTTCATATTCTGGAGGGAAATTTGCTTCTGTTTCTGTCAGCGTCACTGGAAGGTCCACAGCACTTGCCATTTCAGTTTCTTCTGTAGATGCATTCACATTGGGAGAGTCATCAGGTGACTGTTCCATTTCTGTAACGTTCATAATCTCAGTACTGAAATCAGTAGGATGTTCTACCACTACCTCTGAACTGTTGCCTGTGCTGCCATTACTAGAATTTCTGTATTCATCCATGTGAGAATTTTGCATATTGTCTTCAGTTAACGATCTGTGGAAACACGAAAAAAAGAGAAATATCTTCCAAATGCCAATAAAATTATTTGGCCTCAACAACACCTTTTAAAAAGCCCTAATTTAGCTATTAAAGAAATATTAATGTGAGTCTTAATCCCCTACAAGTCAGAATCAGAAGGTTCATTAGTTTTTATATTGTAAATAAAATTATAAATTCTTCACAAAACTGCCATTTTGTTGTTGGTATTTGAATGAAAACCAAATAACTGTGGATTTGTTACCTCATTCAAACAACAAATAAGTACACTGCCTGCTACCCAATGAAGAAATACTATTTAAAATTCAATGTTTCTTATTTAGGTAAGAATCTGATTCGGTGCCTGAATGTTACCTTGCTATCAATCACTGGAAAACGGCATATCTTTAACAACTGTTCTGGAGGCTAAAAGTAAAACTGACAAAAATTCTGGTCATGGGTATAAACATTTCAAAAGGAAGCTCATCACTTGGCTCAGGATAAAGTTTTAGAAAAGATAAAATCATATTGCTTAAATATATCTATATACTTACGATTTATAAATCCTGACAGCTAGGTTTCAACTTTATTATATAAGATATAAATTATGGCTTTAAAAAATTAAACAGTAATTTTTAAAGTGAATAAATGTTACTTAAAACACATTTAAGGGGCCAGGCATGGTGGCACACAGCTGCAGTCCCAGCTACTCAGGAGATGCTGTGGCAGGAGGATCACCTGAGCCCAGAAGTTCAAGGCTGCTGTAAGCATTGACCCTGCTACGATACTCCAGCCTGGGCAACAGAGCACGACCCTACCTCTAAAAAACATATTTGAGAAAGGCTTACAGTCTGGATAATAACTACATAATATACTTAAAATTATGTCATCTAATTTTTAAGGCTATAAGGTAATAAGCAATTACCCCTTTAAGGTAATACCACATTATATTTTCATAATTACCTTCATCTCTTCCACTAACAGCTTAAATGGAAACCAAATCATTAAATTATAGGGCATGTCTCATTTTTTTTAAAATGAGGAATTATTCTCAAAATTAAGCAGACCATAAAACTGATTTACTCTTAAAATATACTTAGAATATACTACTACTTAATATATTAATAGTAGTTAATTAAAAAGATGACTAAAACTTTAAAGACAATAATGCAAAGGAAGAAATGCAAATGACCAATAAACATAAAAAAGACCTATATCTTTACTAATAAAGACATAAATCAAAATAATGAGTGTACCAAATAGCAACTGTACATATTTTATACTATGGAAATAATCAGAAAAAACATGTATTTGTTTAAGGGCATTCATTACCAGCACTGTTGTACAGCAAAACTGGAGGGTGTATTAAGAAAAAGACTGCTTTGGCCGGGCGTGGTGGCTCATGCCTGTAATCCCAGCACTTTGGGAGGCTGAGGCAGGCGGATCACCTGAGGTTGGGAGTTCGAGACCAGCCTCACCAACAAGGAGAAACCCTGTCTCTACTAAAAATACCAAATTAGCCGGGCGTGGTGGCACATGCCTGTAATCCCAGCTACTCAGGAGGCTGAGGCAGGAGACTCTCTTGAACCTGGGAGGAGGAGGGTACAGTGAGCCGAGATCATGCCATTGCACTCCAGCCTGGGCAACAAGAGTGAAACTCCGTCTCAAAAAAAAAAAAAGAAAAGAAAAAGACTGCTTTAATAAATAGTATACTCGGCCAGGCACGGTGGCTCATGCCCGTAATCCCAGCACTTTGGGAGGCCGAGGAGGGTAGACCACCTGAGGTCAGGAGTTCAAGACCAGCCTGTCCAACATGGTGAAACCCCATCTCTACTAAAAATACAAAAAATTAGCAGGGTGTGGTGGCACACGTCTGTAGTTCCAGCTACTCGGGAGGCTGAGGCAGGAGTATCACTTGAACCCGGGAGGTGAAGGTTGCAGTGAGCCAAGATCGTGCCACTGCACTCCAGCCTGGGCAATACAGTGAGATTCCGTCTCAAAAAAAAAAAAATAAATCATATATAATGGAATAATAAGAATTAAAAAGGAAATATGTACATCTGTATTGATACAGAAAAATATCCATTATAGATTTTTTAAATACATATATATGCATACACACATGCACTCACAGATTTGTAAGGATTTACACCAAATAAAATAAAATACAAAACTGGCAGCTGGTGTTAACAATTGTTCTCCATACAAAAGAGAGATGTGTGCTTTATTCTTTTTGCCTATCTGCAATTACTTAACTGAATGGGGGGAGAAGTTTTTTGTTATTTTTTTAAAAAGCCAGCTATAAGTTGACTGGATACATTTTTTTTTTAACAATTTTATGACTACCATACTATAAAAATCTGAGTTTCACTACCGTCTATGCAGAAATTTGCAAATCTGGCTCCAAACAAGTCAACTAGTAAGCTGTTTAAAACTAATATAGATTCCTTACCGACTACAATGATTCTGAGGTCTAGGGAAGGGCCAAGAAAGTTATACTTCTACCAAGTTCTCTAAATAATTCAGAAAAACAGAAACTTGTTTGTGGGTAAACTCTGGAGAGTATAACTTTTGGATTGAAGAATAATACTAAATTTGGAAAGATGCTGACGACTTTTTTTTTTTTTTTTTTTTTTTTGAGACAGAGTCTCGATCTGTCACCCAGGCGGGAGTGCAGTGGCGCAATCTCGGCTCACTGCAGCCCTCGCCTTCCGGGTTCAAGCGATTCTCCTGCCTCAGCCTCCTGAGTAGCTGGGACTACAGGCACGCACCACCATGCCCAGCTAATTTTTGTATTTTTAGGAGAGACGAGGTTTCACCATGTTGGCCAGAATGGTCTTGATCTCCTGACCTCATGATCCGCCTGCCTCGGCCTCCCAAAGCGCTGGGATTATAGGCGTGAGCCACCGTGCACAGCCGATGCTGACAATTTCTCTCTGGAAAAGTTGCACTAGTCATCTGGCAGACACTGTTAGTTGCCTACCCAATATCCCTTCTCACTATTAGTAATTTCCTTACTAATAAAATACTGATTTCATTCAAAGCAGCAATATAGTTAATCTCATGTAAGTGACCACAAAACTGAAAAGAACATCAGCTGCAGAGCTCTGAGAAAGCTTCTGCTTTTTTGATAAAAAGGGACAATCACAACTAGTGTGGTCCTTCCTTCTACCAATTTATTCTTACCTTGGATTTGACCATATCTGAAACGATTCATGTCCATGAAGTAGTCTATAAGGGATTGGCCAAGAAAATTAAGAAATACCAACCTTGACATCATCAAGCTCTAACAAAATGCCACCTTCCTATTGTGTAAGGAAATAAATTCCTATTTGTTTAAACTACTATCAATATACAAGTTTTCTATTACTTTGAGACAAAATGAATTCCTAACCAATTAAGTCATCAACAGTGCATGAGACTGTCCATTGCTTTATATCCCCGGCAACAATAGCTATCATTTGCTCATCTAATTTTTTTTTAACAAAGTAGCACCTCATTTTGATTTTCATTTCCTTAACTATGAGTAAGTAAAATTTTTATTTCTTTTTTTCATAAATGCCTTTTCACATCTTTTGCCCATATTTTCTGTTCATTACTAATTTTTTTCTTATTGGTTTGTATACACTCTTCGTAAACTAAGAAAGCCAGATCTCTGCAAAATTGTAAAATATTATTATAAGTTTGTCATATTAGTTTTGCATTCGGGGTCATGTGTCTATGTGTGACCCTTTAAAATTGTCACACGGATACAAAACCCAGATTCTAAAACATTTCCATCATTTCAAAATGTAGCATGGCCAGGAAAGGTGGCTCACACCTATATCCCAACACTTCGGGAAGCCAAGGTGGGTGGATCGCTTGAAGCCAGATGTTCCAGACCAGCCTGGGGAACAAAGTGAGATTCCATCACTACAAAAAAATCTAAAAATTAGCTGGGCACAGTGGTGTGTGCCTATAGTCCTAGCTACTGAGGAGGCTGGGGTGGGAGAATCACTTGATCATCCAGTAGTTCAAGGCTGCAGTGAACTACGATCACACTACTGCACTCCAGCCTGGGAGACAGAGCAAGATTCTATTAAAAACAAGGAAAAAAGAAAAAGAAAGAACAAATAGTATGAAACCATTTTTTTCCTAAGCCTGGGAGACAGAGCAAGATTCTATTAAAAACAAGGAAAAAGAAAAAGAAAGAACAAATAGTATGAAACTATTTTTTTCCTAAGAAAGAATAAATTTTAAATGTTAAAAGACCTTCTGAGTCTGAATGCCATTGAAAGAATTAGCTATAACCAGGTAAATCTAGGGAATACACAAAAATTTGAAAGGAAAAAATGGGACATGTGGGGATGGGGGAAGGGGACAAAAAATTTTCAATGCCTGATGGATGTCCAGCACTGTATTACATTCCTCGTAGTGACATATAAGTGTAAGATAAGGTCCTTACTCACTAATGTCTATTAACCAGGTAGAGAAAGAGCTAACACACAACACATACACACACACACAAACACATACACACACACATTTGGAGATAAGCTCTCAAATGAAACAAAGTGAAAGATTATTGAAAAAATCATTTGAAAACAATAGCAATCTATAGATGAAAACATGAAATATAATTAACTTTGAAAAATTATGGAATAATAGAAAAAGAATGGTAAACTATTCTAGAATGTGGAACAACCCATTAAACAACTCTCCTTGACAGCAGACAAGAAGGTAGAAATGATGACTGAAAAGATAAGAGAGACACAGAATGACCAGAATGAAGAGGTTGGTATTGAGAAGTAGAAGGGTAAAAGCAAAGTAGCATGGAGCCATATTATGGACAAAAGAATTTGAGAAAAAATTACAGAAAAAGCAAATCTAGCCAATGCATAATAAAAGAGAGTCCAAAGTAGTAGACTACCAGAAAAAATAAGTTCCCTTCTAGTTCAATGTATGATTAATGTCATCAACTTTTCCAAGTTTAATCACTTCAGGCCCTAGGAAAAGGCAAAGTAACTTGTAAATTTATTTTGTTCTTTTTCCCTCTTCCTTTAAAGAAAAAGATACGTTTGAAGATTAATTTTCCAAATGCAAATTAGTCACTAGTTTGTGGTTTTGTATTTCAGAGCTCAGTCTAAAAACAAAATACAAAAAAGACTGTAGGCTGATACATTCTGAGTCATTAACTAGCTACCCTATTCTAATTTCACACTTAGGTGAGACATAAGGGTTTCTTCTGGAATCAGCAAATTTACCACACCCCTGCATCTTCAGAGCCTGTCAATTACTCCACACCCTGCAATCACAGTGTTGTAAAAAGATTTAAGAACATCAACCTTATGCTTATAGAGATCATTTTGATGATTACTTCACAAATCACAGAGTCAAAAGAATACACTAAAGTTATTTTTTAATGAGTTACTCCAACATATTATTTATATGTCAATTATTATCAGTTTATTCTTAACAACAACCAATAATTTTCAACTAGCAACATAAAATGGGAAAGGGTACAGAATAGCTATCAAAAGAAAGAAATAAAACGGGCCAGGCATAGTGGCTCCTGTCTGTAATCTCAGCACTTTGGGAGGCCAAGTAGGCCGATCACCCATGAGTTCCAGACCAGCCCAGGCAACATAGCAAAAACCATTCTCTACAAAAAAATACAAAAATTAGCCGGAGGCTGAAGTGGGAGTCAAGGCTGCAGTGAGTCGTGATCGTGCCACTGCACTCCAGCCTGGGTGACAGAGCCAGACCCTGCCTCAAAAAAAAGAAAGAAATCAAGTGTGATACTGACATAAAAACAGTCAAATAGGCCAATGAAATAAAGAACACAGAAATAAACTCCCTTCTCAAATGGCCCTCAACAAAGTGCTAAGACTGCTCATTGAGGAAGGGATCGTCTCTTCAAATGGTGCTTGGAAAACTGGATATCCACGTGCAAAAGAATGAAGTTGGACCCTGGTCTTATACTACATGTAAAAATTAACTTAAAATGAAGTAAAGACCTAAATGTAAAACCTAAAACTATAAAATTCCTAGAAGAAAACGTAGGGGAAAGCTTAATGATACTGGACTTGGCAGTGAACTCTTGGATAATGCCAAAAGCACAGGCAAACAAAAGCAAAAACAGACAAATAGGACTACATCAAATTTAAAAGCTTTTGTGCATAAAAGGACACAATCAGTGGAGTGAAAAGGCAACCTACAGAATGGGAGAAAATATTTGCATATCATATCTGTAATAAGGGGCTAAGTAATCATCTCTTCACTGTATCAGTAATTTTCAAACTGTAGATTGCTTCACACCAGTTTCTTGAACCTTTCTTCAAATGGAAAATAGAATAGAAAAAAATTTTAGCACAGTGCTTTGCATAGTAAAAGTATATGGTTTTATGACACTTTAATGTAATAATACATATACATGTGTAATTCAACTACTGTGTATCGAGTTGCCTGGCACACAAAGACACTCATTATTTCTGAAGAATGAATGAATGAAAGCATGTCATCTGCACTGCTATAACTTCAATTACTAGCTATTAATGATAATAAGATATGCTATTTATTGAGCAAATATTTTGTTAAATGCTACTTTCCCTTTTAAAGATGACAAAACCAAAATTCATTAACGTTAAATAACTTGTCTAAATGTACATGAATAGTAAGAAACAGAGCTAAGATTCAACCTCATCCTAACACCAAAACTCTTGCCTCTTCTCTACTAACTTGTACAGCCCAGACATTCTATTTCTGTTGAGTTTTGCTTTCTGTTTTTTCCAATTCTGTTCCTTTCAGCTTAGGAACCTTAGTACATGCAGTTTCTTCTACCTGAATGCTTCCTCATCCCTTTACCTGACACCACACTCTGACTCAGTGCCTTCAAACTAACTAAAGCCTAATCTTCTGGGCAAAGTTTGCTTTTTAATTTTTTTTTCAACAATTGCTCAGAGAGTAGTTGTTTTCATAATTAATCCAAAATTGTCCTAAGAAATGCCATCATCACAGTGGGCAAAGTTTAACATCATTTCCTGAAAAGTGTTATCATACCCCCCAAATAAATTAGGTTGCCCTCAATCATGCCCCAACAGCATTCTTTTTCTCCATAGCACATAACACATTTGTGATACTTGTTCAATGTGTATCTTCTCTACCAGATTACACAATTCTTGAGAGTAAGGACCATATCTACCAATACACAGGGATACAGTACACCTGGAGGCCTAGTATACACTCAATTCATTGAACAATAAACAAGTAACATTAGTCTTCAGTAACCCATACTAAAACCCAGTATATTGCTTTCATAACCAAATGGGAAGTGATAAGTACTTGGGTTTTAGAGGCCAGAAGAACACTTATGAGGCCGGGCGCAGTGGCTCACGCCTGTAATCCCAGCACTTTGGGAGGCTGAGGCGGGCGGATCATGAGGTCAGGAGATAGAGACCATCCTGTCTAACACGGTGAAATCCCGTCTCTACTAAAAATACAAAAAAAAAAAAAAAAAAAATTAGCCGGGCATGGTGACGGGCGCCTGTAGTCCCAGCTTCTCAGGAGGCTGAGGTAGGAGAATGGTGTGAACCCAGGAGGCGGAGGTTGCAGTGAGCCGAGATAGCGCCACTGCACTCCAGCCTGGGTGACAGAGCAAGGCTCCATCTCAAAAAAAACAAAACAAAACAAAAAAAAAACAGTCTTCTGGCTACTCATTAGGGAACTCTGAGCCAATTACTTAACCTCTCTAAGCCTCATTCACAAAATATTCAAACATACCTCGGTATAAAAATGAATGATCCCCTATCCCACGATGTATACAATTAAGATCTGTCCATCAAAAAAAATAATACACTCTGGGCCACCCATGCAGTGGCTCAAACCTGTAATCCCAGCACTTTGGAAGTCGAGGTGAGAGGACTGCTTGAGTCCAGGAGTTCGAGACCAGTCTGGGCAACATAGGGAAATGCTGTCTCTACAAAAAAATTTAAAAATTAGCTGGGTGTGGTGGCACGCACCTGTAGTCCCAGCAACTTGGGAAGCTGAGGCAGGAGGATCACCCAAGCCCCAGGAGGTGGAGGTTGCAGTGGGCTGACCATGTCAGTGCACTTCAACCTGGGCGACAGAGCGAAATAATACACCTTAAAAAATTAACTATCCCCTTCTTTCCATTCACACTACTAGTGTTATAATTTAAGTATTTATTTTCTCCCCTCTGGATCAATGTTTTCAAATGCAGATTGCTTCAAACCAGTTTCTCATTTTTTAAATGTAGAAAAACAGATATACCACAGTGAATGCACACATTAAGGGCACACTGTTGAAGCACACACAATTGAACTGTTTATTGAGTTAGTGATGTCCATGTACATCTTATTGTGGGCTGCAGTAAAAAAAAAAAAAAAAAAAAAAACTGAGAAACACTGCTGCACTACTGCAAACTAATATTACTCGAATATTAAATTTCCTGATCACAGCTCAACAAGAGTAAAAGGAAAAAAAAATTAAATTGGGTGAGAATGAGGCCTTATCAGTTTTGTTCACCGCTGTCCCCCTTGAACCTGAAATAATACTTGCCGTGTAACAGCACAACAAATATCTCTGAATGATATATCCAGTCTCAACTTAACTTTCCAAAAGTATTAATCTTACAATACTCCTCCTCATTGCCATTTCCAGAGTCCCTTAGATTTTTCCTTTCTGAGCCTTGACAAAAGCTGTTCCCCCAGACTAATAAAAGTCCTCCCTTTTTCAACTCACCAAACCAGTCGATTCCTTTTCACTACATTACACTTTATTATAAAATCATATGATAGGCACAAAGGACACAAGTATAAAATGAAACATAACATAAAGTGAATAGGCAATATATAAAAAATACATTTATCATACCTTTCACTTTTAGTATAATTATGACGTACATTAAGTATTTCAGTGACAATTATGCCATCTTAAAATTTAAAAGGTCTTTTGGAGGATGACTTCAATTACTAACACTTAATTAAAAATGGGACATTTGGGCCGGGCACGGTGGCTCATGCCTGTCATCTCAGCACTTTGGGAGGCCGAGGCAGGCAGATCACCTGAAGTCAGGAGTTCTAGACCAGCCTGGCTAACATGGTGAAACCCCGTTTCTACTAAAAATACAAAAAATTAGGCGTGGTGGCGCGCATCTGTAATCCCAGCTACTGGGGAGGCTGAGGCAGAAGAATGACTTGAACCCGGGAGGCGGAGGTTGCGGTGAGCCAATAGCGCCATTGCACTCCAGCCTGGGCAACGAGAGTGAAATGCCATCTTTTGACCTAATACCTTTTTTTTTTTTTCTGTATGCCTCTTATTCCTGTAGAGGTACTTAAAAATTATACCATTGACTATTCTTTTTCATAAACACAGCAATATATAAAAATCTGAAGTCATCACTAAAGACTGAAAGGAGTTTTGGGTAGAGCAAAACAAGTAGCTTTGCAATAAGCAAATCTCATCCACAAGGCAATCTGGAGATTTGGGATGTAAGAAGAAAAGAGACTATCATAACCACTGGTTTTGGCAGCTGTTTTTAAGGGCTAAGTAGTCACACGCCGACTTTTTAAAGTCTCTACATATTAAACACTGTGTTCCAGAAACTAGATTTTGTATATGTATTTACATAAACGTCTACATCAATCTTCGGCTTTTTGGAAAACGTACCATTTGGCTGGAACTACACTACCTTCTTCCTCCTTCGGCTATTTTTAATTTTTTTTGAAGTCCTATCTTCCATGTAGATTTGTTAAAACATACCACAGAAAACAGCACATACAATTTTTATCATTTGACTTTTAAACATCTTCTTTCTTATTCAATTATAAGCAAGGAAAAATATTCTGAGACTTTACACAAATAGTGTCTCATACCACCTATGAGCCATCTATGCTCAACCCCTACTTCAAAGTTCACAATCTAAGTACTAGTCCTCTTTAACAGAACTCCTTTCCATCACTTTATCCCTACTAGAGAGTGAACAGTGGAAAGTTCCAACTTTTGCAACTCTAGAATGAGGTTATAAATCTAGAGGGAGGAGGAAAACCTGACAGTAGACGCTTGTTCTTTTCACTCCATTCAAGCTCCCATACAGCCTAAAACACTTAAGTTTCAACATGAGCTTCATACGTCCCTGTCCAAAACTTGCTTTCTCAAGCCTCACGCTTTCCAGCTGTAGCAAAGTTTATTTCTGAACAGATTAAATCAGTTGCTAAATAATCTGAAGTCCTCAAACAGAAGGCCATATGAGTATCAAACGAAAAAAACAACATTTGAATCAGCATAAATTCACATGGTATTATGGCATCATTACTAATACACTGAGCAGTATTATTTATTAACTTCAAGTATTAATTAACTTAAAGATGTGATTTTGGAGAAAAACACCAGTGGTGGTCTCTGATTACCAAAGTTAAACATTCTTAAGCACAATCCCTTAAAAAATCCTGCCAGGATCAATGATGTGTTTTTTCTGTTTTAAAGTATCCTGCCAAAAGCTGTGGGTGCTGTGACTTAGGGTCGCAAAAGTGTTGCTTATGTAGTCAGAAGACAGAACGTGCCCTACAAGGCGCTCACATGCCTTAGTAATAGAACGTATATTATCTTCCCAATCCTCTGGCGGCTGCAAATGTGCTCCTTCCACTTCCAGCCACCCCAGCCGTGTTCCAGCTCCGGGAGAAGCAAGGGCTTTAGAATTACCCCCAAATATCTTCCTAAATCCAGGCGAAGGAGGCCCACACTTCTCCACCCTACCTAACGCACCCCTCAAGTGAAACGTTTGGTCTAAGAAAAAAATACCTTGCACCGCTCCACCCAACAGGTGGGAAGGAGAAAGGAATGGACAGCTGAGCGCTGAATCCGAGCCAGGCCTCAAACAGGGCGGGAGAGGGAGGCCGCGGCCAGAGCGCGGCCTGAAACCCGGCAGGCCCCTTTCAGTACCAAGTACCACCCTCTGCCCCAGCTAATTTCAAGGAGCCCGCCCCAGCAGACCTTATGATGGATGCCACTTGATGCCATGAGCCGGAGCCTGTGACGACCTAGCCGAAGATGGCACTTCACCGCCTCCGTCCCCACAGCCAGCACAGCAGCCGCCACCCGCGCCACGGCCGCCTGGTCCAGGGCACGATGCGCATGCGTCAGTGTCCCTGGAGGCGAAAAAGTCACGTGGGTTCGCAGCGCGCAGGCCTGGCCCTCCCAGGGATCCTCGCTGCCCGTGCGGCCCCAGCCCCGCCCCCGCAGCCCCGCCCCGCCCCGCCGCGAGCGAGGGCGGGGACCGCTGCGCCTACCTGCCTTTCCCTCCATAGGGACTTCCCAAAGGAAAGGAGGGCGTTTAGGGGCTTTCACACGCCTGATCTTAAACACAGCGCCCTGACCCCTCCCCACCAAAAACGGCAAAATGTCATTTTTGGGGGCAAATCTAAGGTTTTCCCTACAATTGTTCAAGCTTTCACACTAAAACATTTACCTAAAAACGGGCAGAAATTCAGCCTTAAACCCACAAATCTCACGATGGTATAGACCCTGGGCCCACTCAGGTTTCCTGAAAACTAAACAGTTCTGGAGTTAGGGGTTTGGAGAACGGGCTATTGTTAAAGAAAAAAGTATTTAGTGACACTTGTTAAAGCACAAAAAGAGGGCTTTATTCAGGACCATCGCAACAGGTATAGGGACCACTGACTGCAATGGAGACTTGCAGTAGGGAAAGAGATATTGGGCTCAACTCCTCATACAGCATGGGCAAGTGGAGATTTATAGCCAAGGAGCGGTGGTAAGTGAATGTATAATTACTAAGAGGAAACATCAGGGTAAGGGGGATTTTGGCTAAACCCACCTAATAGGATTTTTGCTGAAGACAGGCCAAGATAATGAGGCATCACCTGGGGGATGGTGGAGACTGAAGAACCTGATCAGATATTGAGGATGATCAGCTATCAAGGATGGGGGTTTATTGCTAATCTGACTTAGCAAAGTTCTTTGCTTAAACTGGATTTTACAAAGAAAGTGTACAGAAGAGCCTAGCAGAAGATTCAGAAACCTGACTAAAGTTGGCCAAGCAAAAAAAAAAATCTTTGTATCTGAAGGGATATGTTATCCTCTGGACAAATTGAGGGGGACTGTGCGTTAACAATCTTAGCAGTCCTCTTCAGTTGTACCACCATCTCCACTTTAATAAAAAAAAATTTTCTTTCAAATCTGGCCTCTCTCCCTTTAAGATTCTGTTACATTGGTGCCCCCGCATTCACCTGTCACTTACCATGTAATCTGTTGTTCCAGGTGCATTAGTATTACTACTGGGCTCCAAGTTCCTCATCTGAAATCTGTCTCCTCTGGAAATACTTATTTACAAGACGACGTTTCTTGTCACAACGCAGGTTAATCATAAATCCTCTCACCAGCACCTTTCGTTCGAAATACCAAATTCAGTCTTTTTTCCTACCTTTTACTTGCATCACACTGCACCTAGTAGTAGCTTTCCCTTTCCATTTGCCTCTTCTACTTTCCAAGCTAACTTTTTTGGATTCTCTGACAGTGTGGCCATGTTTTTTGTTTGTTTGTTTCACAGGTTTAAACAGCAGCTTTTAAATGTTTACTGTGGGAAGAATAGTCAAGGGAGTGGTGCGTTGGGAAGACAGACCAGAGTTTGCTGCTGGCACTGTTACGCAGGGACTGTTTGGCATGACCTTCACTCCTTTTCTGGTTCTTTGGTCTTTCTAAGGTGGCCTCAATTTCTTTATCAGTAAATAAGATTATCTCTGAGATGTCATTCACTCAAATAGCCATTTTATAAAAATCTACTTGCATCTTCAACTTCATTCACTGTGGATTCGTTGTTTTCCTTTATCTAGTTTTTACATTTTACCTTTCAAGCCGGTGCTATTGCTCTCACTCCCCCGCTTAAAAACCTCCACTGGTTTCCTCCTCCACTTTTTTTTTTTTTTTAAAGAAATCCTAAACTTTTAGAATGGAAAATACGGTGTTTTCATAATCATGCCAGCCTTCTCACTGTTTCTGCCTCCCCGTAACTCCACAGAACCTACTGTTCCCACAGCCCTTTTATGCGTGGAAACCTTTAAGTGGGCTCTTCTCTTTGCCTAAAATGTGATCCCCGCTGGCAGAAACATACATTATCTTAAAAACTGATTTAGCCGGCAGGGCGTGGTGGCTCATGCCTGTAATCCCAGCGCACTTTGGGAGGTCGAGGCGGGGAGATCATGAGGTCAGTAGTTCGAGACCAGCATGACCAACATGGTGAAACCCCATCTCTACTAAAAATACAAAAATTAGCTGGGTGTGGTGGCGCACGCCTGTAATCCCAGCTACTCAGGAGGCTGAGGGAGGAGAATTAATTGAACCCGGGAGGCAGAGGTTGGAGTGAGCCAAGATGGTGCCACTGCACTCCAGCCTGGGAGACAGAGTGAGACTCCATCTCAAAACAAAAACAAAAGACAAAAAAAAAAAAAATTGATTTACCCTTAGTTGACTTTTTTAAAATTGTGTATCACAATTATAAACTTTGGGAAGAAAAAAGATATTATACCAAATAATGTAGTTTAGAGGGTAGTGGTGTGTCCAGAATTGGTGGGTTCTTGGTCTCACTGACTTCAAGAATGAAGCCGCGGACCCTCGCGGTGAGTGTTGCAGCTCTTAAGGTGGCGTGTCTGGACTTGTTCATTCCTCCCGGTGGGCCCGTGGTCTCGCTGGCTTCAGGAGTGAGGCTGCACACCTTTGCAGTGAGTATTACAGCTCATAAAAGCAGTGTGGACCCAAAGAGTGAGCAGTAGCAAGATTTATTGCAAAGAGCAAAAGAACAAAGCTTCCACAGTGTGGAAGGGGACCCAATCAGGTTGCCACTACTGGCCCAGGCGACCTGCTTTTTATTCTCTTATCTGGCCACACCCACATCCTGCTGATTGGTAGAGCCAAGTGGTCTGTTTTGACAGGGCACTTATTGGTGTGTTTACAATCCCTGAGCTAGACACAAAGGTTCTCCACCTCCCCACTAGATTAGCGAGATACAGAGTGTGGACACAAAGGTTCTTCTCCAAGTCCCCACCAGAGTAGCTAGATACAGAGTGTCGACTGGTGCATTCACAAACCCTGAGTTAGACACAGGGTGCTGATTGGTGTGTTTACAAACCTTGAGCTAGATACAGAGTGCCGATTGGTGTATTTACAATCCCTGAGCTAGACATAAAGGTTCTCCAAGGCCCCACCAGAGTAGCTAGATACAGAGTGTCGATTGGTGCATTCACAAACCCTGAGCTAGACACAGAGTGCTGATTGGTGTATTTACAATCCCTGAGCTAGACATAAAGGTTCTCCAAGTTCCCACCAGACTCAGGAGCCCAGCTGGCTTCACCCAGTGGATCCCGCTCTGGGGCTGCAGGTGGAGCTGCCCGCCAGTCCCGCGCCCTGCGCCCGCACTCCTCAGCCGACGGGTGGTCGATGGGACTGGGCGCCGTGGAGCAGGGGGCGTCGCTCATCTGGGAGGCTCGGCCGCACAGGAGCCCAGGAAGGGGGTGGGAGGCTCAGGCATGGCGGGCTGCAGGTCCTGAGCCCTGCCCCGAGGGAAGGCAGCTAAGGCCCGGCGAGAAATCGAGCGCAGCGCCGGTGGGCTGGCACTGCTGGGGAACCCAGTACACCCTCCGCAGCCGCTGGCCCAGGTGCTAAGCCCCTCATTGCCCGGGGCCGGCAGGGCCGGTCGGCTGCTCCGAGTGCGGGGCCCGCCAAGCCCACGCCCACCCGGAACTCCAGCTGGCCCGCAAGCGCCGGGCGCAGCCCCGCTTCCCGCTGGCTCCTCTCCCTCTGCACCTCCCTGCAAGCTGAGAGAGCCGGCTCCGGCCTTGGCCAGTCCAGAAAGGGGCTCCCACAGTGCAGCGGTGGGCTGAAGGGCTCCTCAAGTGCCGCCAAAGTGGGAGCCCAGGCAGAGGAGGCGCCGAGAGCGAGCGAGGGCTGTGAGGACTGCCAGCACGCTGTCACCTCTCAGTGGGTTCTAAAAAACAATATTTAAAGTCATGTGATCTCAGAAACAGAACAAAGAAGTCAGACAAATGGGAAATGATATTATTTATTAATGCAGTTCTTCCATTTGCCCCTCCAGATCAACAGATCATCCACCCTGCTCCATTATTTGGAGATTGACCCTTATAGACCGTATCAATAGGTTCTCTTGCTTCCTGGTTTCTGGTTGAGTATGGCCAAGAAAAAGTCCTGGCAGAGTGGAATTGAGGAGTGAGGTCAGGGTATTTATTCCTCCAGCTCCCTCCATGTGGGTGATCTCAGCTCTGATGAAGGTAACCCTCTCAATATAACTTCATTCTAGGTTCCAGGTTTCCCTAAGCCATGCCTTTATAAATACTCCCTTATTAACCACTTCCCAAATTATGCCGATTTTGATTTGCTGTCTATTTCCTTCTGGGTCCTGATTGATATAAGAGCAAAATGTATCTTGTGATACCCAGTGTTAATCACAATTTCTGAGCTGTTCAGTATGATTCCTGTTTATTCTCTTCAAAACGTTAACATGCCATGAAAAAGTGCGTAAAATACTTTGTGGATCATTTAATTTACAGAATATATTGCTCTAGGGAATGAACTTTGTTTACATTATAAATAATCCATCACTAAATAAATTGTGGTGACTCTTCTGTTGGAAACATTCAGACTCCTGTATTTAGTGTTTCTCCTTACTGGTAAAGCAAGTAAAGTTAAAACTGTAGCTCCAGGAGATTTAAATCCAAACACAACATGAAGCTTGTTTCCTCTTTACTATTTGGTCTTTCATATTTAGTTCAAATGGTATTAATATCTCCTCAATTCAGTCTTCCTGAGAGTTATCATTGTTACTCCTGTTTCCGGATAACCTTAAAGAAGAGCGCCATAGTAATACCACTCTGCACATTCCTCTTATTCCCTCAGAGACTTATGGCTACTTATTAGGGTAACTTCACACCAGGAAACAGAAAACATGCTGGCTTCTTGGAATTTATTAAACATTGGACCTGAATTAATACCAATTCCTGGGGCATAGAATGCCACTGTGTTTCATCAGAGTGGGGCTTATGGAATATGGCAGATGTTGTAGGTCAGCTTAGAAATATCCATGCCCACTATCTTCTCTATTATCTTCCTGTACTATTGAGACTGGGAAACGAAATACTCAATTTCCTAGCCTCCTTTGAACCTAAGGGTGGCCAATGAGATGTAGGTAGAAGTACATAGGAAGGGCCTTCTTTCCTAAATAAAAAAGCGAAGCCTCACTAGAGAAATACCTGTGCTTGTTATCCATTTTACTTTTTTTTTCTGTCTGAAGCACAATTATGATATTTGGAGAGGAAGCTGCCGTCTTATAATCAGCTCTGATATCATCAAGCCATTGGCATAATGCTTAGCCAGTGCTTTTACACTTCTTGTAGTATGAGACAAATAACATACCAATTGGTTTAAGCTACTGTTAGTTTGGTTTGCTATTCAGTCAAAAGCATTCCAACTGATACAACAGCCTTAGAAGCTATAATAAAACTTAGGGAACCTTTCTTATCAAATATCTCTTATGAAAATATGAAACAAAAGGCAACACAATTCCTTGAGGGAATCATAGAGATGAGTGCCTCAAAGTCTTGATCAAGTGTTCATCAGTGGATGAATGAATAAAGAAAATGCCGTATATAGACACTGTGAAATACTAGTCTTAAAAAAGGAAATCCCATCATTTGCAACAACATGAATAAACCTGGAGGACATTATGTTAAGTGAAATAAGCCAGGCACAGAAAGAAAAATAATACATGATCTCACTTACATGTGGAATCTAAGAAAGTTGAACTCCAAGAAGTAGAAAATAGGATGGTGGTTTGCAGGAGCTGGCAGGCTTGGGGTGGGGAAGTGGAAAAAAGGATGGGTAAAGGGTCCAAAGTTTCATTTAGAAAGGAAGAATTATGGCCGGGCAAGGTGGATCATGCCTGTAATCTCAGCAGTTTTGGTAGGCTGAGGTGGGAGGATCCCTTGAGCCCAAGGGTTCAAGTCCAACCTGAGCAACATAGCAAGATCCCATCTCTAAGACTATTTTTAAAAATAAAAAAAAGAAGCCCAGGCATGGTAGCTCACGCCTCTAATCTCAGCAATTCGGGAGGCTGAGTTGGGCAGATCACCTGAGGTCAGGAGTTCGAGACCAGCCTGGCCAACGTGGTGAAACCCCATCTCTACTAAAAATACAAAAAGTTAGCCAGGTGTGGTGGCACTTGCCTGTAGTCCCAGCTACTTGGGAGGCTGAGGCAAGAGAATCGCTTGAACCCAGAGGCAGAGGTTGCAGTGAGCCGAGATTGCACCACTGCACTCCAGCCTGGGTGACAGAGTGAGACTCTGTCTCAAAAAATAATTTAAAAATAAAATAAAGAGGAAAAATAAAATAAAGGTTTTCAGAACCTACTGTATAACAAGATGACTATAGTTTATAATAATGTGTATTTGAAAATTGCTATGAGAGTGGATTTTAATGTGATCACCACAAAAAAAAAGTTAGGTCTGTAAGGTGATGGATATGTTAATTAACTTTATGATCCACAATGTATAAAAACATTAAGTTGTACCTCATAAATATACACAATAAAATAATTCCTTTTTGCTCATGCCAGTTGGGTCTTCCTTCTGTTGGGAATGTTACCTTTATATAGCATTTGAGGTTTACAAATGCTTTTTTTTTTTTTGAGACGGAGTCTCGCTTGTCACCCAGGCTGCAGTGCAATGGCGCGGTCTTGGCTCACTGCAACCTCCACCTCCTGGGTTCAAGCAATTCTCCTGCCTCAGTCTCCCAAGTAGCTGGGATTACAGGTGTCCGCCACCATGCCTGGCTAATTTTTGTATTTTTAGTAGAGATGCAGTTTCACCATGTTGCCCAGGCTGGTTTCGAACTCCTGAACTCAGGTGATCTGCCTGCCTTGGCCTCCCAAAGCGTTGGGATTACAGGCATGAGCCACCGTGCCCGGCCCTACAAATGCTTTCTTATACATAATCCTTTTTAAATTTTGGACTTCACAATAATCCCAGGATGTATGTAAGGTTTAGCAGGTAATTATAAAACTGGGTTTCCAAATTCATGCTTTCTGAATCAAAGTCTTATGCTTTTTATCTGAATAATACTTGCCTCCCTCGGTCATCTCCCTTTGAGTCACATCACTGTGTACCTCCCTTAGCACTTTTGTGATGTTCACTGCTCTCTTCTTTGCTATATATTTTTTCCTCTCCAAATTACTTTTCAGATTCTCTTCAGATTCTCTTCACTTATTGTAATTTAAATTTTACTATAAGCAATATGTCTTGTTCATTTCTGAAAAAATAGAAATTACAGAAGAGTACATTGAAAAAAATTAAAATAACTTCACTGCCCACAGATTACCACCATTAAGATGTTGGTATATATATACTACTACTTCTGTTTTCTAAGTGCACATATATTAATGGAGACACTGTACTTATTTTGTAGTCACATTTTTCCTTTAACATGTATTTGGCATCGTTTTTAATGACTATATGATATGCATTCCATTGGGTAAATACATCATTTAACATTTTTTGTTGTTGCATTGGTGGGTGACGTTAGGCTTTTATCATTACCATTGCTAGTAAACGACATTCCTTTATTCCAAGTAAATGCGTTTGTTTATTCGGGACTTCAGCTTTTCTTTAGTTATTTCAATCAGTGATCAGTCTGTTTCTTTGTTGACCTCTGGGTTGATAATGGTTCTCGATAAGAGTGCTAGACTTCTGAGTGCTCAATTATCAAGCAGTTACTAAAATACAGAAACTCTTTAGGCTTGAGACTCTTTTGTTACATTAATGGCTATTTTCTTTATAATAAAAGGTAGCTCACATATTATGTAAAATAAAGTTGCCACATTATTGATTATATTTACTGTATTTTTTTCTCCCTAGACTGATCAGAATATTGTACTTTTCAGTGCAAAATTCAAACTAAGGAATTAGGCTTATACATGAAGTAATGGTCTTCTTTATCCTTTAAAATGTAAAATCTACCTTCAATATATCTAACAATCTATTGATGCAAATTTAGCTAGCACAAGTGCAGTGATACAAAGGCAGAAGTCATAATTAATAAAACTTAAAATCTGTAACTATTGTATCAATGATGCATATCAAGTAGGGTTGAAGCAAAATGTAATGATTTCAGAGTTTACAACTGAGATCAAATGAGTCTAACAGAGGCCTATTTTTCTATGACCTGAGCTAAGAATATTTTTTTACATTTTTTAAGTGTAAAAAATAGGCCAGGCACAGTGGCTCACGCCTGTAATCCCAGCACTTTGGGAGGCCGAGGCGGGCAGATCACCTGAGGTCAGGAGTTTGAGACCAGCCTGGACAACATGGCGAAACCCCGTCTCTACTAAAAGTACAAAAATTAGCTGGGCATGGTGACGGGCGCCTTTAATCCCAGCTACTCAGGAGGCTGAGGCAGGAGAATTGCCTGAACCTGGGAGGGGGAGGTTAAAGTGAGCCGAGATTGCGCCATTGCAGTCCAGCCTGGGTGTCAAGAGCAAGACTCCATCTCAAAATAGATACATAAATAAAATACGGGCTTACAAATCCGAAAATATTTACTCTATGGCCCTATACATAAAGTACACCAAACTAGAGGACTGTAATAAAATACACTTAGAAGAAAATATAAGGTATTTTAAAAGTATATAATTATATAAAAGTTTATATAAATAGAAAAAGTAGCCAATTCTTTACTCTTATTTTAGCTTAGCTTGAAATAGAAGCAACCCCCTTACCCTTTTTTTTTTTTTCTCAGAAGCTAAGGATAAATTTTTCTTTTTTTTTTTTGGAGGTGGAGTTTTGCTCTTGTACCCCAGGCTGGAGTACAATGGTGCAGTCTCAGCTCACCACAACCGCCGCCTCCCGGTTTCAAGCGATTCTCCTGCCTCAGCCTCCGAGTAGCCGGGATTACAGGCATGCGCCACCATGCCCGGCTAATTTTTCTATTTTTAGTAGAGATGGGGTTTCACCATGTTGGTCAGGCTGGTCTTGAACTCCCGAACTCAGATGATCCACCCACCTTGGCCTCCCAAAGTGCTGGGATTACAGGCGCGAGCCACCACGCCTGGCTTTTTTTTTTTTTGAGACAGAGTCTCACTCTGTCGCCCAGGTTGGAGTGCAATGGTACGATCTCTGGCTCAATACGACCTCGCCTCCCAGGTTCAAGCAATTCTCCTGCCTCAGCCTCCCGAGTAGCTGGGATTACAGGTGCCCGCCACCACACCTGGCTATTTTTGTGTTTTTAGTAGAGACAGGGTTTCACCATATTGGCCAGGCTGGTCTCAAACTCCTGACCTCGTGATCTGCCCACCTCAGCCTCCCAAAGTGCTGGGATTACAGGCTTGAGCCACCACGCCCGGCCAGGATAAATTTTTTTAAATCACAATTTTAAAAACAGCCAAATACATTAGAAAACTGGTCAGTGACTCAGAAGTACAAAAGAATGAACATAGAATTATAGAATTTTAGAACAGGATAGGACCTTTAAAATCTTCTAGTCTAGCTCTTACATTTTAGACATGAGGAAACTGAGGCCCAGACCTGGTAAGTGACTTGTCCGAGGTCAGACAGCTAATTTCCTACAAAGTTAGAATGATAACCCACGTCTATTTGTAGGTCAATAGTGATAGGTCAGTATCATAATAAGTAGATCAAGTGAAAGTGATAGGTCGATACTACTGTATATATATATATATTTTTTTTTCCATTTTAACATGTATGGAAGTTGGAAAAACAGGACACCTCTCACACATCTAAAGAAATAAATCCTTTTATTTTATAACATTCCTTTTCTTTTTAAAGATGCATACAGTACTTGTAAGCCCATGAATTCTGAAAAAAGCTATAGAAGACCTGGCACTATTTTTGAGAATTACAAAACTGGGCAGCAGAATAACACCTTTATAAAGGTCAAAACATAAAGCAATAAAATTTAGTGTTTGCACACAAAAATAGGGGGGTTACATTCAACACGTTTTTTAAACGTGCATTTAAAATGTTTAATGTTTTCTAAAACTTTGGTTGTCATGCTTTATTATAACTTGTTAAATTTCACAATTATGTAGATAATTGAACCCAAAAGGTAAGCAAATATATGACATTAACACAGCAGCAAAAGCAAGCTAATACTGCACAATCATATTAGCGGACTGATTCAGAAATACATGTTTTTCACAAATAATATACAAACTTAGTTTCTGATAACATAGTTCAATGACTTCCACGTT
Organism: Homo sapiens; assembly: GCF_000001405.40. Classification (NCBI taxonomy): domain Eukaryota; kingdom Metazoa; phylum Chordata; class Mammalia; order Primates; family Hominidae; genus Homo; species Homo sapiens. The sequence goes on along the minus strand of NC_000014.9, from coordinate 45,073,958 downwards.
ATAAAATAAGGCTGAGAAATGAGACATACCAGAACATGATTACATAATAAAATGTGTATTTTTAATTACAATTCTAATTTTACATATAGGGCAACAAATTGTAGTTTCTATAGAATAGTGCAAATGAGCAGGACTTTTCTCAAAAATATTAAAATTGAATTCATCCCATGTGACTCAGATTTCATGAATTATTCATGAATATTTTAGGTTTTTATGTGATGAATATAAGTGGTAAGGTTGATATAGGACAGATGTGTACTCATAGGCTGCAAATAAAAATAGCCATTGACTTAATTTGCTGGATGTGAAGTGCAGGCACTGATAACATAACTTTTAGAAAGTTCCATTTGTCATCATGTAAACACTTTTGTTCATCATACAGTATTTTATCGAAGATTCATAATTCATTTAAAATTGTCATATCGAGTAATTCCTCCAAACTCTTTTTGATATGTGGTGGTTGAGATGCAGCCTGATTTAACAGATTCTGACCCATCTGTGCAAAGAGTGCTTTTGATAATTTAGCTGTGGCTGTTCGTATATTTCCTCCAGCTCCAGGCAGAGAGCCACTATTTGTCATATTTCCTAAGAGATGCCATAAAACAACCAACACTTTCTGCTCTGTGGCATGCGGCTTCCTTTGATAAAGTTCCGTAACAATATCTGAAACATAAAAATATAAAAAACAGGGTTTTTTCTTAATAAATAAGCCCAAGCTCTGCTAAATAAAAAGCAACTAAAATATACTAAGCTTCTTCCTTATGTAATTTGTCCTAAAAAGTTAGGCTTCTTAAAAGAAGCAATGTAAGAAACCTTTCTCTCAAAGATTGGGATCTTCAAATATGGTATTAGAATCCCATATAGAACAATTAGTTCATGCAAAAGTGGTAAGGAGAGAAAATGAACCCAAATTCATCTCGATGTTTTCCAAATGTAGTGAAACAAAAATGTACACAGTTTTAACCCATGGACCTTTTATCAAACATGACTTTGAAATAGCAGTTTTCTGTAAGAACCAAAATTTGATTTTAATGTCTTTTTACTTTTCCCGTATTATTTCTACTAATGTAACCAAGTACCCTATTTTTAAGGGCTTTTTTTCTTCTCCTTTTATGGCCCTTTGTATTCACGTTTTACTAATGAAATAATAAATTTTGCTTTCCTTCTTTCTACTAGATACTCCTTTGCATTGCTAACCTATCTAATTATGTTTGCTTAGAAGTTCCAGAGACTGGGCTGGGTGCAGTGGCTCACGCCTGAAATTCTAGCACTTTGAGAGGCCGAGGTGGGTGGATCACTTGAGGTCAGAAGTTCAAGACCAGCCTGGCCAACATGGTGAAGCCCCATCTCTACTAAAAATAAAAAAACTAGCCAGGCGTGGTAGCAGGCACCTGTAGTCCCAGCTACTCAGGAGGCTGAGGCAGGAATCACTTGAACCCAGGAGGCGGAGGTTGCAATTAGCCGATATTGCGCCACTGCACTCCAGCCTAGGCAACAGAGCGAGACTCTGTCTCAAACATTAAAAAAAAAAAAAAGTTCCAGAGACTCCGTCTTGAGACAATTCAGATATCTATGGAATTCTCTCTAACCAGGAGATTACTTCAAGGCTGTGGTGCTAATTTACAACCCAGTCCGGCCTGAGACAGCACTGGACCATTCACCATATGGGGCAATAACTCAAGATAAGTCATAGGAACAAATCATGTAGAACTGTACTGCCTGGCCCACTGCATGTCCTCTATGCAAACCTGCTCCTTCTTAAACCCTAGCATTTTGCCTGAGAATTTTGAAGCAGTTTTGTTAAGGCAGGAGCCTGAACCACCTGCCAACTGCTAACTTTGGAAAATAAAGTCACTTTCCTTCCACTGCACCTCATCCTTGTTACTCAATTTTCCAAGTGGTGACTGGCTGAACCTGCACTGCATTTGGCTACACTAATAGGGGACTGAACATTTACTGGAAAAAAAAGGATAAAATTCTTTTGACAATAATGTATGGGGTAAAAGTCTTAAAAGGTTCTCTTGTGGATCATTACACAATTTATTTCTACTTTGTGGGTAGCTATATTAAGTTGGTAGCTATCCTAAAATTAAATTGAAACAGTTTATCAGTTTATCCTTAGTTAATAAAATATTTCTTTAGAAATTACAAAGTATTTACCAGCAAGCTTTTCCGTCATGTCCTGTTTTGCTTTTCCATTTAAAAACTGAGCTTTTGTGCAAAATGGCTGTAGAAGTAAGTAATTGTCTAAACAAAAAGAACACAGAGACACATGTTTAAAGAGTAATGAGCTCTTAGTTACTTTCCATTACATAGCATTGAAAAGAAAAAAAAAATCACTTCTAGGATGCAAATGTATAACACTTTAAAAATCTACATAATCACTATTTAAAATTTTCTATAAAACCTTGCATGGTGGCTAGCACCTGTAATTCCAGCTACTTGGGAGGCTGAGGTGAGAGGATCATTTGAGCCCAGGAGTCTGAGGCTGCAGTGAGCTATGATTGTGCCACTGCACCCCAACCTGGGTGAGAGTGACACTCTGTCTCTAAAAACCAACAAACCAAACAAAAGCTTAACAGAGTAATATTCTTAAAGCAAATGAGAACTAAAAATACCTCACACAGTTTTAAAGGAGCTATCATGTGGTATTTAAAAAAAAAAAAAAAAAAACTGCCTGAATCTCCTAGGCATCTTATTTCAAACGATAACATAGTTTTATCAAAAAACAGAAAAAGCAGCCGGGTGTGGTGGCTCATGCCTGTAATCCCAGAACTTTGGGAGGCCAAGGTGGGCAGATCACAAGGTCAGGAGTTTGAGACCATCCTGGCCAGCACAGTGAAATCCTGTCTCTACTAAAAATACAAAAATTAGCTGGGCGTGGTGGTGCGTGCCTGTAATCCCAGCTACTTGGGAGGCTGAGGCAGGAGAATCGCTTGAACCAGGGAGTCGGAAGTTGCAGTGAGCTGAGATCATGCCATTGCACTCCAGCCTGGTGATAGAGTGAGACTCCGTCTCAAAACAACAACAACAACAACAACAACAACAGAAAAAGGGAAGCAGTTTTTACATTTACTGAATTTTTTTCTTAAGTTTTAATTTTGAAATAATAATAGAAACAGAGAAATTTACAAAGATTATATACAGGTCCTGTGTACCTTCCACCCAAAGGTTTCATCTTAAATAACTACAATTGACCCTTGGACAACACAGGGGTTAGGGGAGCCAACCTCTGTACAATTGAAAATTCGTGTTTAACTTTTCACACTCCCCAAACTTAACTACTAATAACTTACTGTTGATCAGAAACCTTACCAATAACATAAACTGTCAATGAACACATATTTTGGATGTTATATGTATTATATACTGTATTCTTACAAAAAAGTAAGCTAGAGAAAAGAAAATATTAGGAGAGAGAAGAAAAATAAATTTACAGTATTGTATTTGTCAATAATGCAAATTTATGTCATCTGTTTACAAGATTAGTCATCTGTCTGAAATGGTGAGCAACCACAGCTGCAGACCTCAAGCTACTCAGATATCAAGCAATTCAAATTTATCATGTCATGACTTTCCCCTGCTTATTGGGAGCACTTCCAGCATCACTAGTGGCACTTCATATAGGTCTGATGGTGTCACTCAAGTTTTATGGTATTATAGTAAACCTGATGAAAAATACTTAAGAACCATCCATTTGCATATGTTGAACCATCCTTGCATCCCTGGGATAAATTCCACGTGGACATGACGGATAATCTTTTTTTTCTTTTTTTTGAGATGGAGTCTCACTCTGTCATCCAGGCTGAAGTGCAGTGGCGTGATCTTGGTTCACTGCAAGCTCCACCTCCCGGGTTCATGCCATTCTCCTGCCTCAGCCTCCCAAGTAGCTGGGACTACAGGCACCTGCCACCACGCCCGGCTAATTTTTTGTATTTTTAGTAGAGACGGGGTTTCACCATGTTAGCCAGGATGGTCTCGATCTCCTGACCTCGTGATCTGCCTGCCTCGGCCTCCCAAAGTGCTGCAATTACAGGTGTGAGCCACTGTGCCTGGCCGAATAATCTTTTTATACAAATTTGTTTCATGTTCCTAATATTTTGTTCTTTTTTATTAAGTAGTATTCCATGGTATATTTAGATTTTAAAGAAACTGCCAAACCTAGAGTGGCTGTACCATTTTATTTACATTCTCACCAGCTGTGTATGAGATGTAGTTTCTCTGTAATCTTGTCAGCATTTTGTATTGTCACTATTTTTTATTTTGGATGTTCTAATACTTGTGTGGTGATCATGGCCTTAACTTGCATATGCATTTCCCGGATGGCTAGTGATGTTGAACATCTTTTCACTTGCTTATTTGACCAGTCACACATCCTCCCTTATTTGCCATCCGTATAGCCTCATGGTTTAAATATTTTTTCAGGTCTTTTGTCTATTTTTTTATTTGAGTTTTTTTTTATGTTGAGCTTTGAGATTTCTTTACATATTCTAGGTATGAGTTCTTTGTCAAATATGCGGTTTGAAAATATTTTTCCCAGTCTGTAGCTTGTCCCTTTATCTATTTTTTTTTAATTTTTTAAAATTTTTTGATACAGAGTCTCACTCTGCTGCCCAGGCTGCAGTGCAGTGGTACAATCTTGGCTCACTGCAACCTCCACCTCCTGGGTTCAAGCGATTCTCCTGCCTCAGCTTCCAGGGTAGCTGGGATTACAGGCACGCACCACCACACCCAGCTAATTTTTGTATTTATAGTAGAGATGGGGTTTCACTATATTAGCCAGGATGGTCTTGAACTCCCAACCTCAGGTGATCTGCCCACCTTGGCAGATCAACCCCAAAGGGCTGAGATTATAGGATCATGCTTTTAGTGCCATATGTAAAACTTTTCACCAAGTCCTAAGATTTTCTCATGTTATCTTCTAAAAGTTTTACATTTAAGTTGTACATTTAACTCTACGATCCATTTTGAGTTAGTTTATTTATTATTATTTTCTTATTTTTATATTTTTTTCTTTATTTTATTTCTGGATCATCTCATGCCGAAGTATTGAGTTAGTTTTGTTAGCAGATGTGAGGTTGAGGCAGAAAAAGAAATAAAAGTCACAGATAAGGGAAAAGAAAGTCAATTTAATGGGACAGAATTTAATCACTAAAAATAATTTTAAAACCATTGAGAATAGAAAGTTTTATGATAATATTAAGTTTAAAAAACTGAATAACTAGGATTTCAGCATTACAAAAAAAGTATGGATGGAATCAGAAAACATGAAAAGAAAGTGAAAATAATTTGAGTGCCGAAGTAAGATTTCTTACCTACATGCTGACTCAGTGCCTGAACAACATTTGTAGCAGCCGCATAGATGCCTGGATTCTTGGAATTCAGATTGTTATCCACTATTGCTGGAATTAGCATGTTGATTATAGGAGATAAGTGGTCTCTAAGTAGAGGAATCATTTTGTGCATTGTTTCCAGAGCCACCAGATTTACTTTACTATTAGAATCATGAAGTCGAGATTTAAAAGCATCAAAAATCTGAAAATAAATTGGTAAATTATTTAAAGTAAAATGATTTTTATAGCTATTGTATTTATAAGTATCTTGGCATGTCATAATATTTCTCCTACTTTACTCAGTTTAAATATATACACAACATCCTATTTTGCCTGAACTTGGATAACAGGAACTTTATAAAAATTTGGGTACTAAATCTAAGTGTCAAATCTTCTTGTAACAAAAAGAGAAGGCCTCAAAAATCACCCCAAAAGACATCCTAATAAAGGCTGAAAAATGTGGCTCAGTAGGCAGATGACTGACTGACTGACTGTAAATATGATAAACATCTTGTTTTCTGGAAGATGGAGGTTAGCTTAGCTAACTCTAAGAACTTAGAAAAGTTTCTGTTTTTATCTCTTTTCACACTAGAAGTAGACTTGTAAGTTTTACTGTGGAGATTTAACCTAGTTTCAGTTTAGGTTTATTATGAAAATTTTAGATGCAATTTCAGAGTTAAATTTGTATTATTATCTCTTAACCTGAAAACTTTTAACAATAATTCCTTGCTCTTCAGAATCCTTAACTTTCATAAACTCAAGATATAATAAAGTGAATGCTAAACAATCCTTTAGTCATGTCAGGTGAGTGAAGAGCTACTCTATGAGCTGAGACTATTCACTAATAATTTCTAATACTTATTTATTATTTTTCATGTTAAGAATAATCTTCCCAAGAGATTTATTTTTACTCAATAGATATCAGAAAATATAACTTTCTGGCTCCCATGACATGGTAATATGGTTCTTTTCTTCAGAAAACTGAGACAATACCATGAGAAGTAAAGAGTACTTATGGTATGTTTGCCAAGTATAATGCACATTACACAAATTTAAAATGAAATTTAATTAATAAATTATTAATAGAATTAACTGAACTAAATTCTGATCAAGCAAAAATAATCTATGCTCTGACATGATGAATATTTATTAATATTTCCCTTTCTTTTGCTTATTGTCTTCCTAAAGATAGGTACACAGGAGTCAGTATATAGAGATTTCTAACCCACATATGGAAAGTTTTATTATCTGTTCTAAAGCAATATCAAGTCTCTTATCTGTCTTTGCTTTTTAAAAATATGTATTGATTAATTCAACATATATTTACTAGATGCCAGGTTCTGAGAGCTCTGAGAATATAGCAGTTTCAAGGAGCTTACCATCTTGTGGCAGGATTCAGACTAATAAATAGCTATCCTCTTACTTTGTTTCAGTGACTTTGAGTTGTTCTAGTATGCTTTTAACCTAGAAAAACCTAGAAAATCCATTCTTTTCACTAAGCTTATTTTCACACTTGAGAATTATATATCTATATATGATATGTATATAAGTAATTTATTAGTTACATTCCATTTTAAATTTGTGTAATTTGTATATAGATATAGAGAGAAGGTATATAAAACACTAAGATTTAGGGCAATGTTTTAAACTGATAAACTTCATTTGACATAGATTTCAAATGAAAATAAATTTTTATTTTCTTTTTTGTAGAGACAGGGTCTTGCTATGTTGCCCAGGTTGGGCTTGAACTTTGAACTCCTAGCCTCAAGAGATCCTTCTACCTTGGCTTCCCAAAGTGCTTGGATTACAGGCGTGAGCCACCATACCCACATTAAAATTAATTCTGACAAGTCCTTACCTTCACAATGTTTCCAACAACAAGGTCTTGATTATTTTCTGTATCTGATAAAAGCTGCTTAATCCCATTAATACGATCACGAAAGTCTTTTGCATTTAATAAGCCAGTTATGAGTTTAAGGTACTCAGCACTTTCTAAGGAATTACGAGGGACTGATTTTCTGGTGACTTCACGAACTTCAGTTACAGCTCTAAAGTGAAAGAAAGGTGAAGGTAATTTCATTTGTACTTTCCTATAAAAACTATTATACAAACATAATTTAAAAATCTCATTATGCATTCATTTTCCAAAATGCATAAAATGCAAAAAACTGTGGCTAACCCATAGCCACAGTATCTCTCCTGGGGGTCCCCAGGATCTCCCCTGGATTTGGATATTTGCTAGGAAGACTCGTAAGAGTTAGCCTATACTTTTACTCATGGCTAAAATTTATTACAGCAGAAGGATACCAAACAAAATCAGCTGAGGGAACAGGTGCACAAGTCAAAGACCAGAGGAAACCAGATCTAAGCTTTTAAGAGTCCTTTCCCAGTAGAGTCGCACAGAACACAATTCCTTCAGCAATGAGTTATGACAACATATGTGAAATGTTGTCTACTAAGTAAGCTTATTAGAGGCCTCATGTCTAGAGTTTTCACTGGGAGCTGGTAATGTAGGGACTGTCTGCCTAGGACATACCAAAATTCCAGACTCCCAGAAGGAAACCAGGCCTCCAGCATAAACCATATTGTTTGCCCAAACAATTTAGGCGCAGTAAACTATCTTATCAGTTAGGGCATAGTGGGAATCCTCTTGAAATCCTAGTTTCCCATGTCAGCGAAGAGCTAACCTTGCAAGCAGCCTTTTTTAGGGATAGCAGTCTCAGGACTGCAATGTTAACTTTTTTCTGAACAGCTTCCTTGCCCGTTGAGATCTAGATAAATTACCTTGAACCTCTTTCAAAAAACTCATCCTCCAGAGAAGATTAAGTGAACCACTCTTATGAGGAATAGTTGAAATCTTTCCAAAACCTAAGTTCCCAGATGTCAACCAATGGGCAATCTCTCTAAGCAGGCCTTTCTAAGAATAGCAGTCTTGGGCCCTGTTATGTTAACTCTTTCCTGCAAAGTATCCGTGAGAACACTCATGGGACAATGAGAAACTAGAGACCAGCAGGAATTATTATGGCAATGACAGTATTCATAGCATAATATTTTTCGTGGCTATAAAGGGGTAACTCAATGTGGTAGATCCAGCTTGTCCATCCCATGGTCTGCAGGTCGCATGCAGCCCAGGACAGCTTTAAATGCAGCCTAACACAAATTCATAAATTTTCTTAAAACATTATGAGATTTTTGTGTATATGTGAATGTTTTTTCTTTTGTTTTTTTGTTTTTAGCTCATCAGCCATCATTAGTGTTGGTGTATTTTATGTGTGGCCAAGACAATTCTTCTGCAGTGTGGCAAGGGAAGCAAAAGATTGGACACCCCTGTTTAGATGATCATCCTTTTGAAACTAAAGAGTCATGCAAAGTGACAGGTAGGTTGGTTGGTCAATCTGTCTATCTATTTTAGATGCAGAGTCTCACTCTATCTTTCTATCTATTTTATTTTTTTAATTTTTAATTTATTTTTGAGAAAGAGTCTCACTTTGTCACCCAGGCTGCAGTGCAGTGGCATGATCTTGGCTCACTGCAAGTAAGCTCAATGTAAGTATATTGTAAGGTTCTTACATTATACTTAAAGTGGTCTAATACTATTTGAAAGTATACTGTGAGACAGTAAAGATGCACATTATAATATTATAAAGTCTAGATCAACCACTTTAAAAAAGGAACAAAAAGATACAGCTAATGAAGGAAATACATGAAATACCAAAATGCACACAAACGCACTCACACCCCCTACCTCTCAATCAATCTTATACCAAGCACAAAAAGAAGAAAAAGAAACAGAAAACATAAGACAAATAGAAAAACACTATCAAAATGAGAGGCTTAAATTCAACCATGCGAATAACTACTTTAAACCTAAATGGTCAAATACCCTGATTAAAAAGCAGAGACTGTTACATTGGTAATAAGACAAGACTCCAACCTGGGCAACAAATTGAGACCTCATCTGTACAAAAAATACAAAAAACTAGCTGAGTGACAGGGTAGGGGTGGCATGGGCTTGTAGTCCCAGGTACTCGGGAGGCTAAGGTGGGAGGACACTTGAGCCCTGGGAGGTCGAGGCTGCAGTGAGCCATGATCACGTCATTGCACTCCAGCCTGGATGACAGAGCAAGACCCTGCCCTCAAAAAAGACAAGACTGAGTCACGTACTGCCCAGAAAAATGCTCTTTAAAAAGACATAAGCTGGGCATGGTGGCTTACACCTATAATCCCAGCACTTTGGAAGACCGAGGCTGGAGGATTACTTGAGCCCAGGAGTCAACACCAGCCTGGGCAACATAGCAAGACCCCATCTCTTTTTATTAAAAATTAATAAAAAATATATTTTTTAATTAAGAAGACATACCAGGAAATACAAGCAAAAACCACAATGCATTAAAGAAAAATTATTTTCACACTTGTTAAAATGGTAAGAAAGACTTTATTCAAGAGGGATCATGACTACTACAATAAGGGAGAACAACTGTTCTTAACTCTGACTATAGTAAAGACAGATAGGGATTTATGGCCCACAACCAGAGCGGGGGGTGGGGGTCAGTGGATAGAAAATTACTAAGAGGAGACATTAAAAAGTAGGAAGTTTCTTGCAAAACTGGCCTAATAAGATGTGTGCTAAAGGAAGTCCAAAGACTTATACATCAAAGGTGGTGGGGGTGAGGAACTTGATCAGATATCAAGGGTGATAACATATCAAAGGAAGGAGAGATGAGCTAGCAGGATACCTTGCTAAGACTGGGTTAGGCAGGTCAAGGACAGGGCCCAAGGTCAAGGCCGAATTGAAAATAGGGCTTAGAGAAGCAAGTCTACAGTTTGGTCCAGAAGAATCTTTGTCGGGCGAGAAGCCAGTGGCTCACGCCTGTAATCCCAGCACTTTGGGAGGCCGAGGTGGGTGGATCACAAGGTCAAGAGATGGAGACCATCCTGGCCAACATCGTGAAACCCTGTCTCTACTAAAAATACAAAAATTAGCTGGGCATGGTGGCACGCGCCTATAGTCCCAGCTACTCAGGAGGCTGAGGCAGGAGAACTGCTTGAACCTGGGAGGCAGAGGTTGCAGTGAGATCACGCCACTGTACTCCACCTTGGGCGACAGTGCGAGACTCTGTCTCCAAAAAAAAAAAAAAAAAAAAAACTTTGTCAAATGAGATACTAGTTTATAGCCACTGAAATAATCACAAGTATTGGTGAGGATGTGAAAAAATTGAACCCTTTTACACTACTGGTGAGATGTAAAATGGTGGCACTTTGGAAAAACTTTCTGCTGGTTCTTCAAAAGATTAAACATAGAGTTATCATATGATCCAGCAATTCCACTCCTACACATCCAAGAGAACTGAAAACATATGTCCACAACAAAACCAAACTGATGAATAGATAAACAATGTGTGCTATATCCATATACGGATGAATGGAATAGTATTTGCCCATAAAAAGGAATGAAGTATTGATAAATGCTATAACATGGAAGAGCCCTTGATATTTTGATTAAAAAAAATGGATAAGCCTTAATATAAACGTAAGTATAAGAAGCCAGTCACAAAAGACCACATATCATATGATTTCCTTTATATGAAATGTCCAGAATAAACAAATCCATAGAAACAGAAGACAAACTGCCTAGGGCTGGGGAAGGGAAGATTGTTGAGAAATGGGGCATGACTGCTAATAAGTATGAGATTTCTTTTAAGGTGACAACAATATTCTAAAATTATGATGGCAGTTACACAACTCAATGAATATACTCATGCTCCTCGATTTGCAATGGAGTTACATCCCGATAAACCCACTGTATGTTGAAAATATTTTAAATCAAAAATGCATTCAATACGTCTAGCCTACCTTAAACATGTTCAGAACACTTACATTATCCTATACTGGGGCAAATAATCTACCACAAAGCCTATTTTATAATGAATAATTTATTGAATATTATACTGAAAGTGAAAAACAGAATGATTGTATGAATACTCAAAGTACAGTTTCTACTGTACTAAATGCATACTGCTTTTGCACCATTGTAAGGTTGAAAAATCGTAAGTTGAACGATCCTAAGTTGGACACCATGTGTACTAAAAAACATTGAATTGCATGTCTTAAATAGATGAATTATATAGTAGGTGAATTACGTCTCCGTAACACTGTAATTTAAAGAAAGACATACCATGCAAATCTTCTATCAAAAGAAAACTAAAATAGTCTACTAACATAGACTTCAGGACAAAGAATATTACCAGCGATAAAGGTACTTAATAATGACAAAAGGACCAATTTATCAGAAATCACAACTATCCTCAATGTATTTAAACGTAATCACAGTGGATCAAAATACATGAAGCAAAAAGTGATACAACAGAAAGCATAAATAAATCCACAAATACATTGGGGATGTCAATACTCCTATCTCAGCAATTGATAGAACAAGTAGAAAAAAATCAGTAAGATTATAGAACACTTGAATAACAACCGACTTAACCTAACTGACATTTTATAGAATACTACATTCAACAAGAGCAGAATGTACATTCTTTCAAGTAGATATAAAATAGTCAGTAATATAGAACACATGCTGGGCCATAAAACAAGTCTCAAGAAGTTTAAAAGAACTAGAATCCTATGGAGCATGTTCAATGACAGAGCAGAACTAAATTTAAAATCATTAACAAAACGATATTTAGAAAATCTCCAAATATTTGAAAATTAAATACACTTCTAAATAGCACCTGTATTAAAGAAGAAACCACAAGGGATTATTCAGCATTATCCCAATACCAAATCCAAAGACATTCTAAGACAAGGAAACTAAAGACCTCATGATTATAGATACAAAAATACTTAAATAATTTTAGTAAATAAAACCCAGTAATATATTAAAAATATCACACATCATCATCACCAAGTGGGGCTAATCCAAGGAATACAAGTTATCATTTTTAATAACATAATTCACAATAGTAACAAAATAAACAAAAAATATAATTATCTTAATAGATGCTGGAAGGGCATTTGAGAAAAATTCAACACTCATTCATGATTAAAAACTCACAAACTAGAAGGAAACTTCATTAATTTGATAAAGAGCTTTCTATGAAACCTACAGCTAATATCATACACAGTGGTGAAATGCTAAACATTTTGTCCCAAAGATCAGGAATAAGGTAAAGATGTCTGTTATTACTTCTATTTAACATTATATTTGATATTCTAACCAGCACAGTATTAAGGTAGGAAAAATAAATTAGATGCATACAGATTTGAAAGGAGGAAATGAAATACAAGAAGATGCTGGAGAATCATTTGCTGACAGAAAGTAAATGGATGGGGCATGTTGTAAAAGCACAGCAGCCAACCCGAGGGAGCTCCTAAAGCTAGAACCATTTGAAGAGGGAAATAATGGCAGTATTCGATTGATTATACCCCACAGAATAAAATAGAAATCCATTAGTCTTCACGAATATAAATGAATATTTGCATAAATAAACATATGAAGGAAATGGAACAGTTTTTCTGTAAAGAAAAAAATCAACCAATGAATATAGAAGAAATCAAGAAAATAGATCATTATTAGGCAAAAAACCATGTACTAATTGCTGTAGGCAAAATCTCTCAGTGGTGGATAAAATTAGTGGGCATATGTATGGTGAGAAATAGGATATTTACACAGTCTCAAAGTTTCCAAAGATATCTATTAACTATAAATGGAAAAATAGTACAGTGCCTAGCAGAAACCACCATAAGCTAATGATCAAAGTTATCAGTAGTAAGACATAACAACATCATGTACCTTGTGATGTAATACAGTGAGAAGGGTACAACATCACTTCTGTGGTGTTCTTGCATAACTTCTTTTAATTGTGAGAAAATATCAGATAAACCCAACTTGAGAAATATCTATGAAATAAGTTAAGTGTTTGGAAAAGGCCTCCCACACAGTATGCTCTGAATAGATGTTAAGAAAGCATTTTTTAATGGGTTCCAAAAAACATTTTTTGACCAAGATATCTGATCCAGGATCTTATGAGATTATATAATATCAAGGTAGAAAAATTACCAATTCTTATTTAGTAGGTCTGGAAGGAGAATAACATTTTGCATTTCTGGCTGGGTGTGGTGGCTCATGTCTGTAATCCTAGCACCTCTGGAGGCCAAGATGGGTGGATCACCTGAGGTCAGGGGTTCAAGACCAGTCTGGCCAACATGGTGAAATCCTGTCTCTACTAAAAATACAAAAATTAGCGGGGTGTGGTGGCACACGCCTGTAGTCCCGGCTACTTAGGAGGCCAAGGCAGGAGAATCACTGGAACCCAAAAGGTGGAGGTTGCAGTGAGCCAAGATCCTGCCACTGCACTCCAGTCTGGGTGACAGAGTAAGACTCCATCTCAAAAAAAAAAAAAAAAGGCCGGGTGCAGTGTCTCATGCCTGTAATCCCAGCACTTTGGGAGGCTGAGATGGGCAGATCACAAGGTCAGGAGATCGAGACCATCCTGGCTAACACGGTGAAACCCCATCTCTACTAAAAATACAAAAAAAAAAAATTAGCTGGTTGTGGTGGCGGGTGCCTGTAGTCCCAGCTACTCAGGAGGCTGGGAAAGGCGAATGGCATGAACCTGGGAGACGGAGCTTGCAGTGAGCCGAGATCACGCCACTGCACTCCAGCCTGGGCGACAGAGCGAGACTCCATCTCAAAAAAAAAAAAAAAAATTGCATTTCTAAAAAGCTCCTAGGTGATGTCAATGTGGCTGTTTTGTGGGCTGTACTTAAAATATCAAGGTCCCAAAGCATATATTTTCACATACAGCTTTATTTTTTATGTCATTACTTTAGTTTATGAAATATTTCAAAGATAAACAAATACAGAAAATATGAGAGATACCTATGTATACTATGAATATGATGTATTCGTATAATTTTTCAATAGTGTTTGTTTTTTGTTTTGTTTTGTTTTGTTTTGTTTTTTTTGAGACAGAGTCTCGCTCTGTCGCCCAGGTTGGAGTGCAATGGAGCAATCTCAGCTCACTGCAACTTCCGCCTCTGCCTCCTGGGTTCAAAGGATTCTCCTTGCCTCAGCCTCCTGAGTAGCTGGGATTACAGGCGTGCGCCATCACGTCCAGCTAATATTTTGTATTTTTAGTAGAAACGGGGTTTCTCCATGTTGCCTAGGCTGGTCTTGAACTTCTGAGCTCAGGCAATCCATCCACCTCAGCCTCCCAAAGTGCTAGGATTACAGGTGCATACCACTGCACCCAGCCAATAGTGTTTAAAATATATTTAAAGCCAGATGTGGTGGCTCATGCTTGTAATCTCAGCAGTTTGGAAAGCTAACGTGGGAGGATCCCTGAAGCCCAGGAGTTTGAGTCCATCCTGGGCAACATATTAGCCAGGCATGGTGGTGTGCACCTGTAGTCCCAGGTACTCCAGTGGCTAAAACAGGATTGCTTGAACCCAGGAGGTCGAGGCTGTGGTGAGATGTGATCACACCACTGCACTCCAGACCTTGTCTCAAAATGAAGTAAAATAAAATAAAAATAAAATATATTTAAAAACAGAACAAAGAGGTCATAGTAATAATTTTGAAATAAGCAAATGTTAATAGACTTTGTCATCACTATACTGGCCCTATAAGAAATACCCAAATGGGCCCTAAACATGGAAACAAAGGTCGATATTTGCTATCATAAGAACATAAGAAAGTATAAAACTCATAGGTCATATAAAGCAATCATAAAAAGGAAGAGAAAGGAATCAAATGGCAACATGACAGAATTCCACCAAACCACGAAAACAGAGAAAAAGAAACAAATAATTTATAAAACAGGGAGATAACACTTAACAATATGACAGGAACAAAATCTCACATATCAATATTAACCTTGAATGCAAATGGGTTAAATGCTCTACTTAAAAGTTACAGATTGGCAAACTGGATAAAAAACATGATCCAACTATATGCTGCTTATAAAAAACTCACTCTAGCTGAAAAGACACATAGACTAAAATTAAAGGGGTAGAAAAAGATATTCTAGGCTGGGCATGGTGGCTCACGCCTGTAATCCAAGCACTTTGGGAGGCCAACGCAGATGGATCATGAGGTCAGGAGTTTAATACCAGCCTGGCCAACATAGTGAAACCCCGTCTCTACTAAAAGTACAAAAATTAGCCGGGCATGATGGTGTGTGCCTATAGTCCCAGCTACTAGGGATGCTGAGGCAGGAGAATCCCTTGAACCTGGGACGGGGAGGTTGCAGTGAACTGAGATTGTGCCACTGCACTCCAGCTTGGGCAATTGTGTGAGACACTGTCTCAAAAAAAAAAAAAAAGACACTCTACATAAATGGAAGCCAAAAGTGATCAGGTGTAGCTATGTTTACATCAGATAACACAACCTTCAAATCAAAAACAGTAAAAAAAAAGACAAAGAAGGGATGATAATGATAAGGGATGAATTCAGCAAGAAGCTATAACAATCCCAAATATATATGCACCCAACACTGGATCACCCAGATTCATAAAACAAATATTTACTAGACCTAAAGAAAGAGACAGCAAAACAATCCTGTTTTGAGTGTGGACTTCAACATTCCACTCACAGTACTAGGCAGATTATTGAGACAGAAAATTAACAAAGAAACACTGAACTTAAATTGAACTTTAGACCAAATGGACTTAACAAACATTTACAGAACATTTGACCCCAAAACTGCAGAATATACATCTTTCTCATCAGCACATGGAACATTCTTCAACACAGACCATATATTAGGTCACATAATAAGTCCCAACAAATTTTTAAAAACTGAAATCAAATCAAGTATCTTCTTAGAGCACAACAGAATAAAACTAGAAATCAATACCAAGATGAAATTTAGGAACTATACAAATACATGGAAATTAAACAACATACTCCTGAACGACCACAGAGTCAATGACAAAAATTTAAAACATTTTTTGAAGTAAATGAAAAGGGAAACACAAAATACCAAAACCTGTGGGATACAGCAAAAGCAGTGTTAAGAGGGAAATTTATAGCATTAAATGCCTACATGAAAAAAGTAGAAAGCACTTCGTGAGGCTGAGGCAGGAGGATTGCTTGAGCCCAAGAATTTGAGGCTGCAATGGGCTATGATGATGCCACTACACTTCACCCTAGGCAACAGAGTGAGACCCTGTCTCTATAAAAAAAAATAAACAACAAAAAAGTAAAAAGATCACAACTTAACATCACACTTCAAGGAACTAGAAAAAACATAATAAAACAAACCCCCAAGGTTAGCCAAACAAAATAAGTAACAAAGATCAGATGAGAACTAAATGAAATAACCCCCATACCCCGCAAGATTCATCAATGGTTCTTCAAAAAGATAAAATTAATAAATCGCTACCTAGCTTAAGACAGAAGATCCAAATAAACAAAATCAGAAAGGAGACATTAGGACTGATTCGACAGAATAAACAAGGGATCATCAGAGACTATTATGAGCAACTACATTTCAATTCCTGGAAACATACAACCTCCCAAGATTGAACTAGGAAGAAACAGAAATCCTGAACAGACCAGTGAGTAGTGAGAATGAATCAGTAAGCAAAAAAACCCCACAGGACAAGATGGGTTCACAGTCGAATTCTACCAAATGTACAATAAACAAACAAACAAATAAATAAATAAATAAATAAAACAAAAACTTATACCAATCATCCTGAAACTTTCCAAAAATTGCAGAGGGGGAATCTGCCCTAAATTATTCTATGAGGCCAATATCACCCTGATACCAAAACAAGGCAAAGACACAACAAAAGACGAAAGCTACAGACTAACATCCCCTAAAAATATAGATGTAAAAATCCTCAACAAAATACTAGCAACAACAGCACGTCAAAAAGATAAAATATCAGGATCAATTGGGTTTTATACCAGGGATGCAAGGATGGTTTAACACACGGAATTAAAAAAATATGATACATCACACAAACATAGCTAAGGACAAAAACCATATGATTATCTCAAAGGAAGCAGAAAAAGCATTTGATAAAATTCATCATCACTTCATGATAAAAATCCTCAACAAAATAGGCACAGAAGGAACATACCTCAACATAATAAAGGCCATATACAATAAACCCACAGCCAACATCATACTAAATAGGAAAAAGCTGAAAGCATTCCAAGAACTGGAACAAGTCAAAGATGCCCACTTTCACCACTTCTATTCAACACAGTACTATAAGTCCTAGATAAAGTAATCATGCAAGAGAAAAAAATAAAAGGCACCCAACTGCAAAAGTCAAATTATCCCTGTTTGCTGATGATATGATCTTATATCTAGAAAACCCCAAAGACTCCACCAAAAGACTCTTAGATTTGATAAGCGAATTCAGTAAAATGTCAAGATACAAAATCAACTTAAAAAAATCAATAGCATTTCTATATACCAATAAGGAGTAAGCTGAGAAACAAATCAAGAAGACAATCCCACTTATAATAACTAAAAAAGAAATAAAATACCTAGGAGTATATTTTTAACCAAGGAGGTAAAAGATCTCTACAAGGAAAACTAAAAAACGCTGACAAAAGAAGTTGTAGATGACACAAACAAATGGAAAAACATCCCAGGTTCATGGATCAGAATAATTAAAACGACCATACTGCCAAAAGCAGTCTACAGTCTGAATGCAATCCCTATCAAAATACCAATATCATTTATCACAGACTTAGAAAAAACAATCCTAAAATTCGTGGCTCACTGAACCTTTTTTTGGAAAAAAAAAAAAAAAAAAGAGCCCAAGTAGCCAAAGCAATCTTTTTTTTTTTTTTTTTTTGAGATGGAGTCTCACTCTGCCCAGGCTGGAATCCAATGGCGTGATCTCAGCTCACTGCAACCTCCGCCTCCTGGATTCAAGCAATTCTCCTGCCTCAGCCTCCCAAGTAGCTGGGATTACAGGCACCCTCCACCATGCCCGGCTAATTTTTTGTAGTTTTACTAGAGACGGGGTTTCACTACGTTGGCCAGGCTGGTCTTGAACTCCTGACCTCGTGATCCACCCGCCTCAGCATCCCAAAGTGCTGGGATTACAGGTGTGAGCCATGGCGCCCAGCCAGCCAAAGCAACCTTAAGCAAAACCAACAATGCTAGAGGCATCACATTACCTGGCTTCAAATTACACGATAAGGCTATAAAACCCAAACAACATGGTACTGGTCTAAAAACAGATACATACATTAATGGAACAGAATAGAGAACCCAGAAATAAAGCCACATATCTACAACCAACTGATCTTTGACAAAGCTGACAAGAACATACATGGAGGAAAGAGCACTCTTTTCAATAAATGATGCTGAAAAAATTAGATTGCCATATGCAGAATGAAACAGTATCTCTCACCTTATATAAAAATCAACTAAATGGATTAAAGACTTAAATTTGGGACCTACATTTATAAAAATACAAGAAGAAAATCTAGGCAGTACTCTTCTGGACATTGGTCTATGTAAATAATTCAAGACTAAGACCTCAAAATCACAGGTAACAAAAACCACCAGGCCCGGCTAATTTTTGTATTTTTTTGGTAGAGACAGGGTTTTGCCATGTTGCCCAGGCTGATCTCGAACTCCTGAGCTCAAACAATTCTGCCTGCCTCAGCCTCCCAAAGTGCTTGGATTACAGGTGTAAGCCACCACTTCTGGCCTTCCAAATCCTTGTAATGCTTTCATTTTCTAAAGGTTTTTTTTTCCCCTTTAACCATAATTATGTATTACTTTACAATCGGGGGAAAAATAAAGGCTATAAATTTTTAAAAAATTAATCAGAGTTGTCCAAAATAGGCCTAACATCGACCAGTTCAATAACACTAAAGCATTGCTAATGTCCAGTGCAAATAAAAGCAAGTTGCTGTAAATATATAATTGCCTTATTAAATCTAATTACCTCACACTTTCTGGATCCTAAGCAAACTTTTAAAACTCCATTAAATTTTGGCAAATACCCCTGGGGTAGTTTATGAAAACATCCAAATGAGACTACTATCACAAGGGAGTAATTTCTCTGATGAGGACTATTACATCATCTTACCTTTCAGCTGAATTGAAAGCATCTCTAGAAACAGATGATGATCTTGTATTTCCAACACTGCCAGTATGAGATCGTCTTCCTTTTGCTGAAGGAGTATCTAATGGTATCTCCCCCAAACCCTGCAAGTAAATATAAAATTAGTATAATACAAATTTTAAAACTAGTAGTGAAATAATTTACACAATGTAATTTTCAAAGTAGGCATCATTGATTTTTTAAGATGGAAAGTATTTTAATAATCTGATATGCTTTAAAGAGTATGAGATACATAAAACACCTTGTAGTTAGCAGTAAATTAACAAAATACGTGACTAATGGGAAAATATATATTGACTTGTAAAAACGAGTTAAAAACTAAAAATTAATATGCTGTATTTTGGGCTGGGTGTGGTGGCTCACACCTGTAATCCCAGCACTTTGGGAGGCTGAGGCAGGTGGATCATCTGAGGTCAGGAGTTTGATACCAGCCTGGCCAACATGGGGAAACCCTGTCTCAACTAAAAGCACAAAAACTAGCTGGGCATGGTGGTGTAATCCTAGCTATTTGGGAGGCTGAGGCAGGAGAATTCCTTGAACCCAGAGGCAGAGGTTGCAGTGAGCTAAGATCATGCCACTGCACTCCAGCCTGAGCGACAGAGCATGACTCTGTTTCAAAATAATAATAATAATAATAATAATATGCTGTATTTCGTAACTACTCTTCTTAAAGCTTAAAATCTATGTAGAATATATGAACACAGTCCATAAACACTGAACACTGTTGTTCCTATGCAACATTAGGAGTGTGAGAATAAACATTTTGATGAGAACTATTTAAAACTTTTCCTGTACTGGAAAGACTCACAGATGCAATCTGCTTCATTTTAGTCAGATTATTTTTTTTTGCATGGTTATATTAATAAGTTCTAATATGAACTAAGCTGAAACCTTCAGGCTCAACGGGCAGAAAAAAATGCTCTAAAATGTCTATTGCTACATTATTTTTGTAATATTATTCCTTCACAAGTGAGTCCTTATCCCAAGGTCATCAGAGAGAAATGACATAAATTACAATAGAAAAATTTTACTTTATTAAATTAAACATATTTTTAAATTAATATGTAAATAGATTACTTTTCATATTTTATTTCACTTGGTATTCTCTCAGTCACTCATTTATCAGACATTACTGAATTCCCATTATCTACCAGGACAAATAAGACATGGCATGGCTGGGCGCATTGGCTCTCGCCTGTAATCCCAGCACTTTGGGAGGCCGAGTCAGGCGGATCACCTGAGGTCAGGAGTTCAAGACAAGCCTGGCCAACATGGTGAAACCCCGTCTCTACTAAAAAATACAAAAAATTAGTTGGGCGTGGTGGTGGGCACCTGTAATCCCAGCTACTCGAGAGGCTGAGGCAGGAGAATCGCTTGAACCCAAGAGGTGGAGGTTGTAGTGAGCCGAGATCACACCACTGCACTCTAGCCTAGTGGCACAGCAAGACTCTGTCTCAAAAGAAAAAAAAAAAAAAAAAAAAGACATTGCACTTACCCTCAAGGAGCTCCCTAAAAATGTTCTGCAGTGTGGTAATAGCTCTAATAGTGGGACATGCAAGGTAAATAAAGCAGGGACTAAACATGGTAAACATTATTATCCTCATTTTATAAAGTGAGAATTCTAGTTAGAGAAATGAAGAGGCATGTGTAAGTTACACAGTTGCTAACTGTTAGAGCTGCAATTCAAACCCATGTCTTGTTAACTCCAATAAGCCAAACTATATTCTACCAAACATCAAGCTTCTGTGCAATAAACATTTACTTCCAAGGCTTGACAATATGTATGTCTACTTAGTATTGTAATTGTTGAAATGCTATTGCAGATATAGTCCAATAGTCCAAATGATTAACAGAGAAATAATCAAATAAATAATTATTCCTATCCTTTACCTGGATGTAAAAACAAGCTTTGCTTATAAAGCTGTTTATAAAACAAACTTTTCCCACATACCTTTTGCTGTAAGTTTCTAACAGAGTCCTTAATATATGGCAAATCTTTAGATGGGACATACTTTTCAAGCATTTTTTCAAAGTTAGGATGACACATCATGAAGAACAGCATCTTTCGACCATAATACCTGTGAGTATTTGAAAAACAGGTATATTACTTTTTAGACATTAATAAGCTCAGTTGCTGACCTTAGATGCATTGTTTCAATAGAAAAAAAACACCTATCAAACATCAAGATTACCATCCCTATATTAAATAACCATGAAAATATAGATATCCTAACTGTATAGGATACCCTAGAGGGTACAGATGGTCTCCGACTTACAACGGTTTGACTTATAATTTTTCAACTTTATAATAGTGTGAAAGAGATATGATTCTGTGGAAACCATACTTTGAATTTTGACTTTTTCCATGGCTAGTCATATGCAGTATGACACTCTTTTAAGATGCTGGGCAGCAGCAGCGAGCCACAGCTCCCACTCAGCCATATGATCACCATACTCTACAATGTACTGTGTTGCCAGATGATTCTGTCTAAGCGTAGGCTAATGTAAGTGTTCTCAGCATGTTTAAGGTAAGGCTTGGCTACATTATGATGTTTGGTAGGTTAGGTGTTTAAATGCACTTTTGGCTTATGATAATTCCTATTCATGATGGGTTTATTGGGATATAACCTCATTGTAAGTTAAGAAGCATCTGTGGCCAGGTACAGTGGCTCACGCCTGTAATCCCAGCACTTTGGGAGGCCAAGGCAGGTGGATCACAAGGTCAGGAGTTCGAGATCAGCCTGGCCAACATGATGAAACCCCGTCTCTCCTAAAAAAATACAAAAATTAGCCAGATGTGTTGGCGTGCTCAGGTAATCCCAGTTATTCAGGAGACTGAGGCAGGAAAATCATTTGAATCCAGGAGGTGGAGGTTGCAGTGAGCCGAGATCACACCATTGCACTCCAGCCTGGGCAACAGAGTGAGACTGCGTCTCAAAAAAAAAAAAAAAAAAAAAAAAGCATCTGTTGGGATGCTCCCATAATCCCCCTTTAAAGTCACTGTCTTCAAATCCTTCTGCCATGTGCCAGATGGAGAGACAAAAGCTTTGATTCTATTTTTCAGGCACCCCAAGGTCCATATCAATGCTGGCATTTGGGAGAATTGTGAAGTTTTCCTCCATCCTGGGCTCCTTGCCCATTGACCATTTGCTGTCCACCTAAGGGCCAGATGTTCTGGCCTGAGTCAACCCTCCCTAGGTCCTGTATTTCTCATTCTCTGTTTTTCCCTAGCCAAAACTTACCAGGGTTCTGATTCTTCAGAATCCTATTCTTTACTACCTAAAATACACCCAAGGTTAGTTGATAAAATTGTGACTGATATGTTAATACAGGTAATAATCTCAAAAACTAGGTTTTCTTATTTATATGAATTATAAAATAATCATCTTAGCATAATACTTTAAGCCCAATGATTCTAATGGTGGAAATTCAGATATCATGGAAGTGCATACTGGAGATATTTTAGCACACAGATGTCTTATACTACTTCAAAATAGTACCACACTATTCATCTTCAATGAGGCCGGGCCCTAAAATAAATCACAGTTACACTTTTACTCACAACTTGGAATATATGGCACAAAAAGAACCAGAGAAGAGGCTGGGCGTGGTGGCTCACACCTGTAATCCCAGCACTTTGGGAGGCCAAGGCAGGTGGATCACCTGAGGCCAGGAGTTAGAGACTAGCCTGGCCAACATGGTGAAACCCAGTGTCTACTAAAAATACAAAAATCAGCCAGGCATGGTGGCACATGCCTGTAATCCCAGCAACTCAGGAGGCTGAGGCATGAGAATCGCTTGAACCTGGGAGGTGGAGGTTGCAGTGAACTGAGATTGCACCACTGCCCTCTAGCCTGGGTGACAGAGTCTTGGGGGAAAAAAAAAGGAACGAGAAAAAGGCAGGCTTTTGTGGGTTTTGTGGATTGGGGGGATACAGGATGATCTTAAGACCACCCGTCTTGACCAGGCGCAGTGGCTCACACCTATAATCCCAGCACTTTGAGAGGACAAGGTAGGTGGACTGCTTGAGCCCAAGAGTTCAAGACCAGCTTCAGCAACATGGCAACACCCCATCTCTACAAAAAATACAAAACTTAGCCAGGCATGGTGACACACGCCTGTAGTCCCAGCTACTCGGGAGGCTGAGGTGGGAGGATCACTTGAGCTCAGGAGGCGGAGGTAGCAGTGAGCCGAGATTATACCACTGTACTCCAGCCTGGGCTAAAGAGCAAGACCCTGTCTCCAAAAAGAAAAAGATCACATATCTCAACGTGACCCCTTCAAATGTAATGAAATTGCAGGAAGAGAAGTGATGTCAGAGAATAAATATTACCTTTCTCCACAACCAGAATAAGGTCTATATCCAGATAAGTAGCTCCTAATCAGTTATATTTCCAAGGGCAATTCTAATGTTTAGCCTGGAATGTTAAGGACTCTAGGTCTATTACAGGGGACCCAATGATATGAGAAAGGCTAAAACAAACAAGTCAGCAGAGAGCAGGGACACAAAATGTGAGAAATACAAAACTCGAAAATTAATTGTAACCATTTTATAATTTTATAACTTTAAATAAGAATCTAAGAAATGACAAAATGGGCTAGAAAGAATTACTATGCCATCAAGGAAAGGTTAAGTAAAGAAGCACATGAGATGGCCATTAAGAAATCTTTTTTTTTTTAACAAGGTGATAGAGAGGGAGAAAAGAACATCCTTTATTCCTAACTAGCCTATAATGATCTAACCCTCTTGAATTTTTTTGAACATTAACGTGATATGTAGAACTTTAAAATGGTTCCCCAAAGATGTCCTGCTCCAATCCCTAAAATTTGTGAATATAATAAGATATCACTCCCAAGATTATGTTATATCATATAGTACAGTTAACCTTAAAGTAATGACATGATCTGGTGGAATTAATCTAATCAAACGAGCGCTTAAAAGAAGAGAACTTTCTGGCCGGGTGCGGTGGCTCACACCTATAATCCCAGCACTTTGGGAGGCCGAGGCAGGCGGATCACAAGGTCAGGAGATCGAGGTGATCCTGGCTAACACAGTGAAACCCCATCTCTACCAAAAATACAAAAAATTAGCCGGGTGTGGTGGCAGGCGCTTGTAGTCCCAGCTACTCAGGAGGCTGAGGCAGAATCGCTTGAACCCGGAAGGCGGAGCTTGCAGTGAGCCGAGATGGCGCCACTGCACTTCAACCTGGGTGACAGAGCAAGACTCTGTCTCCAAAAAAAAAAAGCAGAGCGCTTTCTGTGACTGGTACAAAAAGAGGAAGTCTGAAAGATCCTATGAAGGGGAGCTCAACATGTTATTGCTGGCTTAAAAACAGAGGAGGGTTGCATGCAAAGAAATGTGAGTGGTGTTAAGGAGCTGAGCAAGGACCCTCACTGACAGCCAGCAAGGAAATGCAGACCTCAGTCTTTTTTTTTTTTTTTTTTTTTTTTTTTTTGAGAAGTTTGTCTCTGTCCTGGGCTCCTTACCCATTGACCATTTGCTGTCCACCTACTGGGCGGATGTTCTGGCCTGAGTCAACCCTCTGTCCCACTCTGTCACCCAGGTTGGAATGCAATAGTGTGATCTCGACTCACTGCAACCTCCACTTCCTAGGTTCAAGCAATTCTCCTGCTTCAGCCTCCTGAGTAGCTGGGATTATAGGCACACGCCACCACGCCCAGCTAATTTTTGTATTTTTAATAGAGACGGGGTTTCATCATGTTGTTTAGGCTGGTCTTGAACTCCTGACCTCAGGTGATCCACCCGCCTCCAACTCCCAAAGTGCTGGGATTATAGGTGTGAGCCACCACGCCCAGCTGACCTCAGTCTTATAACCACAAGGAATTGAATTTGGCAAAGCCCAGCACTGCTATCACCCTGATTTTGGCCTTCTGAAACCATAGGCAGTGAACTGAGGTGAGCCATGCCAGACTTCTGACCTAAAGAACTCTAAGCCAAAAAATGTGGTTGCCTTAAGCTCCTACATTTGTGTTAAACTTTACACAGCAATGAAAAACTAATATATTTACTTTCTGTATTATCTTTAGGTATAATGAGTTCCATAATATTAACTCCAGATACCTAAAGTAATGAACATCTTTGTCTTAAAATAATAAACATTTTATATACTTCTTTACTTTAATCTTTATGACTCAGATTCTTTTAAAAAATTATCCTTTTTTTTTTTTTTTTTTTTTTGAGATGGAGTCTTGCTCTGTCTCTAGGCTGGAGTGCAGTGGCTGAAGAGATTCTCCTGCCTCAGCCTCCCGAGTAGCTGGAACTACAGGCGCATGCCGCCATGCCCGGCTAATTTTTGTATTTTTAGTAGAGATGGGGTTTCACCATGTTGGCCAGAATGGTCTCAATCTCTTGATCTTGTGAGCCGCCCGCCTCAGCCTCCCAAAGTGCTGGGATTACAGGTGTAAGCCACCACAACCAGCCTTTTTTTTTTTTTTTTGAGATGGAGTCTCGCTCTGTTTCTCAGTCTGGAGTGCAGTGGCACAATCTCAGCTCACTGCAACCTCTGCCTCCCAGGTTGGTGTGATTCTCCTGCTTCAGCCTCCTGGGTAGCTGGGATTACAGGCATGTGCCACCATGCCTGGCTAATTTTTATATTTTGAGTAGAGGCGGGGTTTTAACCATGTTCGCAGGCTGGTCTCAAACTCCTGACCTCAGGTGATCTACCTGCCTCCACCTCCCAAAGTGCTGGGATTACAGGTGTGAGCCACCACACCCGGCCATATATCATTACTATAAAAATTTTAGATTTTATATGGGACATTACTGGTCACCTAGTCCACCCTTCCTAATTTTATAGACAAGGAAACAGAGACTAACAGAAATTAAGTAACTTGCTTAAGGACAAACAATGACGGGGACTAGAAATTTAACATAAGCATCTGACTACATTGAAAATTTCTGTCACCACCACAGCCATTATATCATCCACATCTTAATTATTGTGTTGTTTTTCTCTGACTGTTCTTAAACTTCATAAAATTGTTTTTCCAGTAAAAGCATCAGAAATTTGTGTAGTTTTCACACTGCAGATATCTCATGTTTTGTAGGATAATATATTGTTATGCATTATTCCTGTATTTTTCTTTCTTTTTTTTTTTTTTGAGACAGAGTCTCGCTCTGTCACCCAGGCTGGAGTGCAATGGCGCAATCTCGGCTCACTGCAACCTCCGCCTCCCGGGTTCAAGCGATTCTCCTGCCTCAGCCTCCAGAGTAGCTGAGATTACAGGCGCCTGCCACCATGCCCGGCTAATTTTATTGTATTTTTAGTAGAGACGGGGTTTCACCATGTTGGCCAGGCTTGTCTCGAACTCCTGATCTCGTGATCCACCTGCCTCAGCCTCCCAAAGTGCTGGGATTACAGGCGTGAGCCACCACGACCCGCCTTATTCCTGTATTTTTCATGTGTACCTATTTCCTTATTTTACCTGATTGCTTGGAAAATATATCATTTTCCCCTAAATGCATTAC
Source organism: Homo sapiens (assembly GCF_000001405.40). Taxonomy (NCBI): domain Eukaryota; kingdom Metazoa; phylum Chordata; class Mammalia; order Primates; family Hominidae; genus Homo; species Homo sapiens. The sequence goes on along the minus strand of NC_000014.9, from coordinate 45,047,024 downwards.
CTTACATTTGCCCATAATGAAGTTCTTCTGCCACTTTTCTGCCCACTCACACAGTCTTGTGCCGTTTTCATGAAGTTCATCCCTGTGACTTGGCATCTCACTACCCAGAAGTATGTAGTGTCATCTGTAAATTTGGAGAATTCACTGTGCACTCCCTCAAGAATATTTACAAACTGGTTAAATAAGACCATCCCCCAGCACCAATCCCTGGGACCCCACTTCTCCATTTAGAAAATGTTCATTCTTCTTTAAACTTTCTTTCTTTTCCTACTTTTAAGCCCTTATTAATAATAGATTTAGCAAACATTAGCAGATATTCACCTGGTTTCTTGTGAACTGTCTTGAGCAAACTTAGCAGCAGCTGGTAATATGCGTTCAGCCATATCCTTTGCTGCAGATAAAATACGTTCTGGTTCCATAAATTCCAATACATCTGATAAATGCTGGGCTGTACACCTTCTTACAGCAATGTGTAAATGGCTACAAGGAGACATGATCAATTAAAACAGAGTTGTTATATAAACTATTCTCCAAAGATCTATGGATCTATGGGTTGTTTTTGTTTGTTTGTATTTTGGTTTTGTTTTTTGGGACAGGGTCTTGCTCTGTCACTGAGGCTGGAATGCAGTGATGCAATCATGGCTTACTGCAGCTTTGACCTCCTGGGTTCAAGTGATCCTCCTGCCTTAGCCTCCCAAGTAGCTGAGGCCACAGGCATGTGCCACCACACCCAGGTAATTTGATTTTATTTTTAGTACAGACGAGGTCTTACTATGTTGCCCAGGCTGGTCTCGAACTCCTGGACTCAAGGGATCTTCTCACCTTGGCCTCCCAAAGTGCTGGGATTACAGGTATGAGCCACCACGTGAGGCTAAGATCTATCTTAAAGTTAAATGATTTAACAGCTCCTCAACAATCATCCTGTGAGTCTAAAATGTCAAATTATTTGCATTACTTATCCCTTCCCCAAAAGTTAAAAGCAAAACAAAACTGACATTTAGTTATAGATCTATGAATGTAAATAACATTATTGGAATAACAATAGGGTAACGTTATTACAATAACTTTTATTGAGCTAAAAGTAGATCTACCATTTGATCTAGCAATCCTACTACTTGGAATCTACCCAAATGAAAAGTCATTATGTGAAAAAGATACTTGCACATGTATGTTTATAGCAACAAAATTCAAAATTACAAAGATGTGGAACCAACCTAAGTGCCCACTGACTAATCAGTGGATAAAGAAAATGTTTTATATATATATGTGTATATATATACATATGTGTATATATATGTGTATATATGTGTATATATATACACATATATATGTGTATATATGTGTATATATATACACATATATATGTGTGTATATATGTATATATATGTATATATATACATATATATACACACACACACACACACACACACACACACACACATATATATATATATATATATATATATATATATATATATATACACACACAGACCATGGAATACTACTCTGCCATTAAAATGAATTAAATAGTGTCTTTTGCAGCAAACTTGGATAGAGCTGGAGGCCACTATTCTAATAATGGATTGAAACACCAAAAACCATATGTTCTCACCTATAAGTGGCAGCTAAGTTATGAGTATGCAAAGTCATACAGGGTGATATATATAATGAACTTTATATAATGAACTTTAGAGAAAGAAGGAGAGCAGGAGGGGGGCGAGGGATAAAAACTACACATTAGGTACAATGTTCACTACTCAAGTGATGGGTGCACAAAAATCTCAGAATTCACTATTATACAATTCACCCATGTAACAAAAAACCACTTGTACCCTAAAAGCTATTGAAATAAAAATTAATAAAAAAATAATAATTGTAAGGCTCCTAAAGCCAAATTGCCTAGATGATTTTGTGTGGCAGACATTTTGCAAGGTGCCCGAGGGACAAAAGAAGTATACATATTCTATGAGAAAAATAATAAAAAATTATTCTTTTCATATTCGGCATGTAGTATAATGTTTATCTCATAGGAACTTTTTAATAAATGTTTTTTGACTGATATACTACTAAGATTTGCTTGTTTCTTTTCTACAGTCCCGATTGCAACATTTCATTTTTTGTTTAAAGACATTTCAAGGTTATTTTGAACATTACCTTTGTCCACCATTGATAAGAGAAACAACTGCACGTGCAGGAGTTACATTATTAACCATAGCTCTCAATGCTTTGTCAACATCTTCTCTTATAAATGTATTTGATTCACCAGCCTTGTGCAACAAAACTTTTACTGTGGTATCTAGCTCTTGATCCATGCTCTTTTTCAAATAAGTGAAAAGATCACTTAAACAGACCACAGCAGCACGAGAAACTCCAGAACGTAAATTTTTCACCTAAAAAAAAATTCAAAATGTACATTTTGCTGATATTCTGCAAGAAAATCACTAATAATAACTTGGAAAGGAATTTTACAATGTTTTTTTTTTTGAGTTAGGGTCTCGCTCTGTCGACCAGGCTGGAGTGCAGTAGCATGATTTCGGCTCACTGTAACCTCTGCCTCCCAGGTCCAAGCAATTCTCTTGCCTCAGCCACCTGAGTAGCTAGGATTACAGATGCACACCACCATGCCTGGCTAATTTTTGTATTTTTAGTCAAAATGGGGTTTTGCCATGTTGGGCCGACTGGTCTCAAACTCCTGGCTTCAAGTAACGTATCTTAAACCGGGCGTGGTGGCTTACACCTATAATCCCAGCACTTTGGGAGGCCGAGGTGGGTGGATCACCTGAGGTCAGGAGTTCAAGACCAGCCTGGCCAATATGGTCAAAGCCTGTCTCTACTCAAAATACAAAAATTAGCCAGGTGTGGTGGTGTGTGCCTGTAATCCCAGCTACTTGGGAGACTGAGGCAGGAGAGTCTCTTGAACCTAGGAGGAGAAGGTTGCAGTGACCCGAGATCCCACCACTGCACTCCAGCCTGGGCAACAGAGCAAGACTCCGTTTCAAAAACAAACAAACAAAACCCCACATCTTAATATATATTATCTTTTGTCCTAAGAATCAACATCTATTAAGTTTCTCTTAATGTTGCAAATTAAGACATGGACTACTTTAATTAAATACAAGCCTTTTATATCATATGGTACAGAGTTGTTTAAAAATTTTAAAGGTCAAATAAACATAGCATATTTATCCTTTGTTATTCTAACAATCCTTAACTCATCTGAAAAATAAGTTTACCTCTTGAACAACTGCAAAATTTGTTTCATGCAACTTTGTGTTCAGTATCTCAGAATGAAAAGCAGCTAAGCATCTAATAAAATTCAGTCCCTCAATTTTCTTCTCCCTATGAGAAAAAGAAATGACAAGATCATTCGTTAAATGGGACTCAACTGGAACAGGATCACAAATGTCTTATTTTCTGTGTATGGAATATTGCCAAGGAAGAGGTTCAGAAAGGTGAGAAAGGCTCAGAAGAAAAGTTTTGAGTTTAGCAGAGGTTGGTTCATGAGGTTGAGGGAAAGAAGCCATCTCCATAACATAAAAGTGCAATGTGGGCTGGGTGCAGTGAATCATATCTGTAATACCAGCACTTTGGGAGGCCGAGGCAGGTGGATCAAGAGGTCAGGAGTTTGAGACCAGCCAGGCCAACATGGTGAAACGCTGTCTCTACTGAAAATACAAAAATCAGCTGGGCATGGTGGTGGACACCTGTAATCCCAGCTACTCGGGAGGCTGAGGCAGGAGAATCACTTAAACCTGGGAGGTGGAGGTTGCAGTGAGCCAAGATCGCACCACTGCACTCCAGCCTGGATGACAAAGCAAGACTCCGTCTCAAAGAGAAAAAAAAAAATAAAAGTGCAATGTGAAGCAGTAGGTGCTAATGTAGAAGCTGCAGCAAGTTATCCATAAGATCTAGGTAAGGTAATAGATACAAGTAGCTACACGAAACAGCAGATATTCAGTGTAAATGAAACAGCCTCCTATTAGAAGATGCCATCTAGGACTTTCAAAACCAGTATGATTCTTAGGTGCTAAATTTTCAGAATTGAAGTTATGTTAGCATGCATGAAAACAACATTAATCTCCTTGTACATCTCCATCAGAGCTCCTGAGTGACCGGGTACACTGTCAATGAGCAGTAATATTTACTGTGATTGCTAAAATTACCACAGCCAGCCACTACCACCCTGATCAGTCAGCAGCCATCAACATCAGGGTAAGATCCTCCACTAGCAAAAAGATTACAACTCACTGAGGGTTCAGGTGATCAGTAGTATTTTTTAGCAATTAAGTATTTTTTAATTAAGGCATATTGATTTTTTTAGGCACAATACTACTGTGCACTTATTAGACTACATTATAGTGTAAAGATAACTTTTATATCTTTTAGATTTAAAAGATTATAATTATATTAACTTACACAATCTATAATTGTGTACCTTATACAATTATAATATAGATATAATTGTAGATTTGTGTATTTCTCCTTAAATTTCTATTAGTTGTTTTCTTCATGTATTCTGAAGCATTCATGCATGCTCTCTCTATATGTATTTATGTGTATGTGTATGTGTGTGTGTGTGTGTTAGGACTGATACATCTTCTTGATGCATAGACCCTTTTATGATTTAACAATAGGCCTGGTTAGCTGATCCTTCATTATCTGTCCCTTGGTAATAAAGAGTTACAATTTTTGGTAAGGATTTAAAATTTTTTCCCTAGTGTTCCAGAGAGCTACCAAAGTGCTTTCTGTGAGGAAGTCCCATGGTCTGGTTTATATCTTAACAGCATCAATGGCTGTTATATGAGATGGAGTAATAATGCAAGCATGGAAACCGGTGATGAAACTACAATAGCCATGTGGGAGATAATTACGGCATGAACTAGAGGGATGGCAGCAGAGACTGCAGTAGGTAATTGGTTTCAGGATATGTTCTGAAAATATAAGAATTGATGGAATGTAAAGAAATGAGAGGCCAGGTGCAGTGGCTCACGCCTATAATCCTAACATTTTGGGAGGCTGAGGTGGGCAGATTGCTTGAGCCCAGTATTTCAAGACTAGCTTGGGTGAAACTCTGTCTCTACAAAAAATATAAAAATTAGCCAGGCGTAGTAGTGTGCACCTGTAGTCACAGCTACTTGTGTGGCTGAAGTGGGAGGATCACCTGAGCCCACAGAGGTCGAGGCTGCAGTAAGCTGTGATCGTGCCACTGCACTTCAGCCTGGGTGACACAGTGAGACTCTGTCTCAAACAAACAAAGACAAAAAAAAGTCAACCCTGACTTGGAATGAACAACCAAATGTGTAAGGCAGGGCTATTAACTAAGACAGTGAACACTGAGCGAGAAGTATATTTCAGATTAGGAAGAGGGGAAATAAGAAGTTCTGTGTTAAGAATTTTTATCTCTATGTTCTTGTGCTATATTAAGAATCAGTCTGTAGTCTTCCTGTCTTTGTATGGTTTTAGTATCAGAGTAATGGTAGCCTCAATCAATGAGATGAGAAGAACTCCATCTTATTCAACGTTCTAGAAGCATATGTAGAATTGGTATCTTCGTAAAAACTTTGGGATAAACTATCAGAAACTGAAGTTTTCTTTGTGGAAACTTTTTTGTTTTGTTTTGTTTTGAGAGGGAGTCTTGCTCTGTCGCCCAGGCTGGAGTGCAGTGGCGTGATCTCAGCTCACTGCAACCACCACCTCCTGGGTTCATGTGATTCTCCTGCCTCAGCCTCTGGAGTAGCTGGGATTACAGGCATGTGCCACCATGGCCGGCTAATTATTGTATTTTTAGGAGAGATGAGGTTTCACATGTTGGCCAGGTGATCTCGAACTCCTGACCTCAAGTGATCTGCCCGCCTTGGCCTCCCAAAGTGCTAAGATTACAGGCGTGAGCCACCACTCCTGGCCTCTTTGTGGGAAAATTTAAACAAAAATTCAATTTCATGAATAGATACTGGGTTATACAAGTTATTATTATTATTACTTTTTTGAGACAGAGTCTCGCTCTGTTGCCCAGGCTGGAGTGCAGTGGTGCGATCTCATCTCACTGCAACCTTCTGCTCCTGGGTTCAAGCGATTCTTGTGCCTTAGCCTCCTGAATAGCTGGGATTACAGGCATGGGCCGCCACACCTGGCCAATTTTTGTATTTTTAGTAGAGATGGGGTTTCACCATGTTAGCCATGCTGGTCTTGAACTCCTGGCCTCAAGTGATCTGCCTGCCTTGGCCTCCCAAAGTGCTGGAATTACAGGCATGAGCCACCATGCCCGGTCACAAGTTATCTATTTCTTTATGAATGAGTTTTGGTAGTTTGTGTCTTTTAAATAATTTGTCCATTTCACCTAAGTTGTTGAATTTTGGGGCATCATGCTGTTTATCATATTTCTATATTATCTGTTTAACAGCTGTATGATCAGTAGTGATGTTTCTTCTCTCATTCTTCATGTTTGTAATTTTTCTCTTCTTTTTCTTGGTCAATCTGACTAGAGGCTTATCCGTTTTATTGATCTTCTTCCAAGAACCTGCTTTTGCTTTCATTGATTTTCTCTATTGTTTTCCACTGCAATGATTTCCATATGGATCTTTATTATTTCCTTTCTTTGCTTACTTTGGGCTTCATGTGCTCTTCTGTTTCTAGTTTAAGGTGAAAGCTGATTTCCTTGATATAGAACTTTTCTTCTTTTCTAATATAGGTGTTATACTGTGACATATTCCTCTTTAATTTGGCTACATCCCATAAATTTTGATGTTTCATTCTTTATTTCATCAAATTCAAAATAGTTTGTAATTTTCCTTTTGATTTCTTATTTCTTCTTAGATCCATAGGTTACACATATAAGTGTGTTACTTAGTTTCTAAATATTTGAGCATTTTCCAAATACCTGTCATTAATTTCCAATTTAATTCCAGAGAACAAAATTTATAAAATCTGAATCCTTTTAAATTACTTGTTTTATAGCCTAGAATAAGGTCTTTCTTGGTAAATATATCTTGTGGACTTGAACAGAATGTGAATTCTGCTGCTGTAGGTGGAATGTGTTATAAATGTTAATTGGGTCACATTGATGGCAGTGGCAGCCCCTCTGGAGTGGCTGCTGTGAAGACACCAGCTGTGGCAGGGGAAGTGCGCTGGGACTGTGTGCTCCCTGGAGCCAGCGGGAGCCAGGAACAGGTGGGAGCCATGCCCCCGTCTGAGTAGAAGGGGTAGGAGCCCTGACCTCCTGGGTGCAGCTGCAGCCACTCAGCCACAGCTGCAGACCTGGGCATTCCTGTGTTCTCAGGGGCCCTGGAAACCCCCCTGCCCCCCACAGGCTCAGAAGTGCCTTCTCCCACTGCCTGGTTCTCCCCACTATCAGCACAACCTCCAATTTTGGAGCAAAGTTGTGGCTGATCCTGGATGCTGTCAGGAACTAGCCGGGTGTGCACACACTTGGGGCAGTGCTGACATGGTCCCCTCTGGACTTTGGGCACCAACAAGCATGGGAAGGAAGCCAGGAGGGTGCTAAGAGCAGCTTGGTGTGGGCCTGCAGGCACCCCTCAGCACAAACAGCCTGGGCACTATGGACAGCAGGTTGATGGTGGCAGGAGGCAGACAGGATCCTGGGCAGAAAGGGGCAGGTGAAGCCGTACCTTCAAGCCAGGGACAGACTGAAGCTTGTGGGAGTGGGCTGCTAGTTCCACAGACTGGAGTGAGAACTTATGGTGCTTTTTCCAGGCCTGCCCACGGACCAATCAATATGCACGTCCTCCCCTCTGAAGCCCATAAAAATCCTGGACTCAGCCAGAGTCTGGAAGATGGGATGACCTGCCTGTGGAGAAAAGCTACCCTCTAAGGGTCTCCTCTCTGCTGAGAGCTGTACACTCATCAGCACAACCTGCCTACAGATAGAAGCTACCCACTCTGGGTCTCCTCTCCGCTGAGGGCTGCAGAGACACCAAAACGACCTGCCTGTGGATAGGAGCTACCCACTCCGGGTCTCCTCTCCACTTAGGGCTGCACAGACATCAGGATGACCCGCCTGTGGATAGGAGCTACCCACTCTGGGTCTCCCCTCCACTGAGGGTTGCACAGATGTCAGGACAACTTGCGTGCAGAAAGGAGCTACCCACTTCAGGTCTTCTGAGAGGTATACTGTTACTCAATAAAGCACCTCTTCACCTTGCTCCACAACTGGAGGTTTGCTCCAGTTGTCCACATACCTAATTCTTCTTGGACTCAGGACAAGAATTCGGGACTGAAACATCTGTAACACAAACATGGATGAAATCTCCCCCAACCCCAATCACTTTGCCACCGCTCATGACATTGTGGGCAACGAGAAGGTGAGAAGAAAGAAGGAGAAAAGAGCTGTGGCCCTATGGGGAACCCAGACTTAGGAGCTTCCCAAGCAAGGGCTGTGATACTCTCTTTGGGGTTCTGCAGTTGCTGGCATCTCCAAGCTTCTGGGTGCCACCACATTCCCTGGTGCCCACAGTGGAAGCTGCTTGTGGTATGTCTGGTCCCGCTGTAGCAGGAAGCCAGCAGCTGTTCCAGTGCATGGAGTTGCTTATCCTGCCACAACCAGCATATGCCTGGCTGTGTGCAGTGGCCGGACCCCATGCTCATGCACCCCTCGCCGCTCTGTGCCTGGCTCACCCTTTGTAGGCATGGGATCTGGGCTGGTAGCAAAAGCCAAGCACAGCCTGGGAGGCCAAGTGGGCGGAAAGAGCCCAAGTGGGCCTGAGCAAAACTTGGGCAAAGGCAGCACTGGCCACAGAGGTTTCTGGCTGGCATAGTAACACCTTAAGGATCCCATGACAAAATTGGTCAATACTGTTGTTCAGGCCAGGTGCAGTGACCTAAGCCTGTAATCCTAACACTTTGGAAGGCTGAGGTGGATGGATTGCTTGAGCCCAGGTATTTGAAACCAGCCCGAGTAACATAGAAAAACCCCATCTCTACTAAAAATACATACAAAGAAGTGTTGTCCAAGTCTTCTACATCTTTACTTTTTTCTTTTTTCTTTTTTTTTGAGATGGAGTCTCGCTCTGTCACCCAGGCTGGGGTGCAGTGGCCCGATCTAGGCTCACTATAACCTCTGACTCCTGGGTTCAAGCGATTCTCCTGTCTCAGCCTCCCCAGTAGCTGGGACTACAGGCATGCCCGGCTCATTTTTTTTTTTTTTTAGTAGAGATGGGGTTTCACCGTGTTAACCAGGATGGTCTCAATCTCCTGACCTCGTGATCCGCCCGCCTCAGCCTCCCAAAGTGTTGAGATTACAGGCATGAGCCACCACACCTGGCCATCTTTACTGATTTTCTTTCAACTTGTTCTATTAATTAATGAGAGAGGATTATTGAAGTTCCAATTATAATTAGAGATTTATTTCTCCTTGCAGTTCTATTAGTTTTTGCTTAATGTATTTTCAAGCAATATTATATGGTAAATAAACATCAGGACTGCCATGTCCTCTTGATGAATTAATTCCTTTATAACTATAAAATGACCCTCTTTATTCTGGATGTGGTATACAGAATCCTAAGATGGCATCCATAATTCCTACCCCTGATTTACACAGACTGTATTACACCCTCTCCATGAATGTGTTGCGATATCACTCCCTGTGATTGATACGTGAATGTGTTGGGATATCACTCCCTGTGATCATATTGAGTGTGACAGCAAAAGAGATTTGCAGATTTAATTATGGTCCCTAATCAGTTGACTTCAAGTTAATCAAAAGGGAGATTATCCTGGGGAGGCTTTACCTCCCTTAAAAGAGATAACCAGCAGCAGCAGAGATTCTCCTCCTGACTTTGAAGAAGTAAGCTACATGTTGAGAGGAACTATATCTGTGTGTGTGGCACATAATAAGGACACAAGGTTGACCTCTAGAAGATGAGAGGGTCCCTGGCTGACAGCTAGTAAGATAATTGATAGGGTTTGGCTATGTCCCAGGATTCAGGAGGGAACCACAGGGAGGTAACTGAATCATGGGGGCCAGTCTTTCCCATGCTATTCTCATGATAGTGAATAAGTCTCACAAGATCTGATGAGTTTATCAGGGGTTTCCGCTTTTGCTTCATTTTCTCTTGCTGCCACCATATAAGAAGTGCCTTTTGTCTCCCGCCATGATTCTGAGGCCTCCCCAGTCATGTGGAACTGTTAAATCCAATTAAACCTATTTTTCTTCTCCTCTTGGATATGTCTTTATCAGCAGCATGAAAACGGACTAATACAAAAATGAAAACCACAGTTGCACATCTACAAGGAAGACAATTCTTCCAAACAATGAGCTTCTAAGAAAATTGAAAGAAGAGATCACATCCCTGGCTGATACTTTGATTTCAGCCTAGTGGTATTTTGAGCAAAGAGCTGAGTTAACTTATATCTGATCTCTTGACCCAGAAAACTGAGAGTTAATCAATTTGTGTGGTTTGAATCCACTGAGTTTGTGGCAATTTGTTACATAACAATATAAAATAAATACTCTCATTAATATTCTTTGCTTTGAAATATACTTTGATATTAATATGGCCATGTAATCTATCTTTTGATTAGTGTTAGCATGGTATACATCTTTTTGAATCTCTACTTTTAACTTATTTGTATCTATATATTTAAACAGAATTTCTTATAGGTAGCATATAGTTGGGTCTTGCTTTTTAATCTAATCTCACTAGGGTGTTTAGTTCATCTACATTTAATGTGATTAGATGATTGGGTTTAAGTCTATCATCTTGCTGTTTGTTTTCTATTTGTCCCATCTTTTCTTTATAATTATTTTTATAGTTATATTTTATCTCCTTTGTTGCCTTGGTAAAGCAATACTGCCATGTCTTCCCTTTGGGCCTTTGTATCAAACTGTCAGACATTTTGCTTCTTTTAAAACTTTTTTTTTTTTTTTTTTTTTTTTTTTAGAGACAAGGTCTTGTTCTGTTGCTCAGGCTGCAGTGTAGTGGCACAATCACAGCTCACTGCAGCCTCGAACCCCTGGATTCAGGCAATCCTTCTGCCTCAGCCTCCTGATTAGCTGGGACTACAGAAACACATCACTGCATCCAGATTTTAAATTTTTTTTCTTTCTTTTTTTTTTTTTTTCTAGAGATGAGGTCTTGCTATATTGCAAAGGCTGGTCTTTAACTTCTGGGCTCAAGCAATCTTCCTGGCTTGGCCTCATAAAGTGCTGGGATTACAAGTGTGAGCCACCATGCCTGGCCCACTACTTTTATTTTTGAAAGATATTTTCATTGGATATAGAATTCTAGATTGACAGTTTGTTTTTCCTTTCAGTACTTTAAAGATCTCACTGAACTGTTTTTTGGTTTGCAGTGTATTTGATGAGTAGTCTGATCTTTGTTCTATATGTAATGTCTTGCCCCTAGCTATTTTTAAGATTTTCTCCATCCCTAATTTTAGGCCTTTTGATTATATCTCCTTTGAAATATTTCTTTTCATGTTTCTTGTGTTTGGTGTTCACTGAACTTCTTAGATCTTTGGGTTTATAGTTTTCATCCAATTTGAACAAATTTTGTCCATTTTTTTCTACAAATATTCTTTTCTGTCTCCTTCTCTGTCTGGTAACTCCAATTACACATAACTTGAAGTTGTCCCACAATTGACAGATTTTTTGGACTTTTTTTTCAGTCTTGTTTCTCTCATTGTTTCATTTTGATTTTTTTTTTTTACTTGAGACAGAGTCTCACCCTGTTGCCCAGGCTGGGTGCAGTGGTACGATCTCAGCTCACTGCAACCTCCGCCTCCCGGGTTTAAGCGATTCTCCTGCCCCAGTCGCCCCAGTAGCTGGGACTACAGGTGTGCATCACCACACCCAGCTAATTTTTGTATTTTTGGTAGACACAGGATTTTGCCTTATTGGTCAGGCTTCATTGTTTCATTTTGAATAGTTTCAATGGTTACGTCTTCAACTTCACTAATCTTTTCTTCTGGAATGTCTAACCTATTAATCTCATCCAGTGTATTTCCTATCTCAGACATTATAGCTTTCATCTGTAGATATTAGTTTTGGGTTTCTTATATATATTATATCTCTTTACTTGCTCAACCTTTCCTCCAGCCTCTTTAATGCATGCAGTAGTTACAGTTACAATGTCTTTGTCTACTAATTCTATCACCTGTGTCATTTTTGCATTGGTTTCACTTGGCTTTTTTTCTTCTCACTATTGGTTATATTTTCCTGCTTCTCTGCATGCCTGGTAATTTCACTTTAGCTATTTTTGTATTCCTATAAATATTCTTCAGCTTTGTTCTGGGATATAGTTATTTGAAAATGTATTTCAAATAAGGATCAAATGTTTGATCATCTTAGGCCTTGCTTTTAAACTTCATTGGGTAGGAACCAAACTAACATTCAGTCTATGGTTTATTTTACTACACTATGGAGCAAAACTCTGAGTATTCTACCCAATGCCCTGTGAATTATGAACTTTTCCACTCTGCTGGTGGGAACAGGAAGTATTATTAACATTGTATATGCTCCTGACATTGTTCCTTGTAACTTTTTTGAGTGGTTCTTGTTCTGGCCTCAGGAAATGTATTTACATGCATGCCCCGACCAGTTGTCTGCTAAACATTTGAGTAAAATCCTCTTATGATCTCTGGAGCTCTCTGTGGAGCTCTATCTGGCATTCTGTCCTGCAAAGTCTAGTCACCATGGCCTCCTCAAACTCTCAGCACCATGTCCATCTCTGATGCTATCTGCCTGTTTTCCCTCCCTTTAGCTGCAACCTGGAAACTCTCTCCAGAAAGCAAGCTGGGTAATTGTAGGGCTCACCTGGTTTGTTTCCTGTCTCTCAGAGATCAACATCTTTCCATAGCCTGGTGAACAGTGTCTTGAAAACTATTGTTTTTTTGTTGTTGTTTCTTTGTTTTTGAGATGGAGTCTCACTCTGTCACCCAGGCTGGAGTGCAGTGACATGATCTCGGTTCACTGCAACCTCTGCCTCCCAGGTTCAAGCGATTCTTGTGCCTCAGCCTCCCAAGTGGCTGGTACTACAGACGTGTGCCACCATGCACCAGCTGATTTTTTGCGTTTTTTAGTACAGACAAGGTTTTACCATGTTGGCCAGGCTGGTCTCGAACTCCTGACCTCAAGTCATCTGGCCTCCCAAAGTGCTGAGATTACAGGCATGAGCCACTGTGCCCACCCCTTGAAAACTATTGTTTCATATATTTTGTATAATTTTGTTAGATCTTTCACGTTATGAGGGCAAATACAGTCCTGTTAATCCATGTTGGCAGGAAGAAGTTCAGGATTTCTTTTCTGGATATGTTAAATTTAAGATGTCTAATGGCATCTAAGTAAAAGGGCCAAGTTAGGCTGTTGGATTACTTCTTTTTGAGTCTAGAGCTCAAAATGATACCAGGGATACAGATATACATTTATGAAAAATCAGAGTTTAGATGGAATTTAAAGCTGTGAGACTGAATGAAATAATTTAAGAAGGGATTGGCAAACTATGGCTCATGGGCCAAATGTGGCTCTATCAGATTTTTTTAATGAGTAAAGTTTTCATATAATGTTTTATAAGTAAAGTTTTATAGAAACACAGCTATGCCCATTTGTTTAGATACCGTTTTAAGGCTGCTTTTGTGCAACAACAGAGTTCAGTATTTGCAACAGAGGCATCTGCCCTGCAAAGTCTAAAACGCCTATTACCTGGATCTTTACAGAAAAAGATTGCCAGAAAGACTGCCCTTGAGCTACAAAATGAATGTAGAAAGAGAATGCCAGTGGATTAAATTCTGCAGAACTTCTATTTTTTTTTTTTTTTTTTGAGACAGAGTTTCACTCTGTTGCCCAGGCTGGAGTGCAGTTGCCCAATCTCAGCTCACTGCAACCTCCACCTCCCGGGTTCAAGCAATTCTCCTGCCTCAGTCTCCCAAGTAGCTGGGACTGCAGGTGCCTGCCACCATGCCTGGCTAATTTTTTTTGTATTTTTAGTAGAGATGGGGTTTCACTATGTTGGCCAGGCTAGTCTTGAACTCCTGACCTTGTGATCTGCCCACCTCACCCTCCCAAAGTGCTGGGATTACAGGCGTAAGCCACTGCACCCGGCCTGGAGGTTTTTAAAAAATAAGAGATATTATGGCATATTTTAAAGTTGATGAATATGCTCTAGAACACAGGCAAAACTGATGAAGAGGTATAAGATGGGTATAATGAGAGATAGTGAAGGAACAAGGGAGGAAATGGGACAAAGGCAGTAAGTGGATGCTCCCGCTGAAACACGTGGGATGCACATTGCCACTGTCTTTTGTCTCCCTTGAGTTACTGGCTGGGCTGGTTGGTTGGCTGCTATCACTACAATAGGAGCAGGTAAGTATTTCCAGGACTATTAATAATTATATTTCACAGAGAAATACTTTGAGAAATGGTGAAATTTGTATCTCATTATCAAAGGGTTTACATAATCCATTATAAAGCTAAATTATATGTTTATGGCATGTAAGCTATAATACAACTGGTAATAAAGTACTATTAGGGCCAGAGTTCAGCTACATTAATGAGCTGAAAAGACTCTGATGCCTAAGAACTAAATAATCATTTCTAAGATTATTTTAATAGAAAATGTGTTTCAAGATTTTTAATTAAATATTTACAGAAAGCTTTTGAACTCTGCTTAGTTTTAAGTTAAGGATGGTGAACTTACCAATCCTCATCAGCCAAAAGCCTCAGGGCTTCTGTCAGTGCTATTTCTGGTTTAGAGAATGGTCGTAGTTCTGACAGATCCATTATTTCTGGACTATGAGTGACAGAAGGCATCCTTTCTTTATACTGTGAAATAGCTCCAGTAGGTGTTTCACCTAAAACAAAATACATTAAATAAACTATGAGAGAACCTTTTTAAAAAAAATTTTTATCTTTTTGAGATGGAGTCTCGCTGTGTTGCCCAGGCTAGGGTGCAGTAGTACGATCTTAGCTCACTGCAACCTCCACTTCCCTGCTTCAAGCAATTCTCCTGCCTCAACCTCGCAAGTAGCTGGGACTACAGGTGCGCACCACAATGCCCAGCTAATTTTTGTATTTTTAGTAGAGACAGGGTTTCATCATGTTGGTCAAGCTGGTCTTGAACTTCTGACCTCAAGCAATCCATCCGCCTCAGCCTCCCAAAGTGATGGGATTACAGGCATGAGCCACCATGCCTGGCCAAGAGTCCTTCATACAAAGGGTACAAACATTATTCTGACTACAGTTGTGATGAATATTTATTATGGAAACTTAGTACTATTAGTTTAGTCTTGAGGAAAATTACAGTACCCAGAAACCAAAACTATTGAAAACTTTACTTTTTATATGCAAAACTATTGAAAACTTTACTTTTTATATGCAAAATTATTAACAAATTATATTTAATAAAACTACAAGTAATTTTTCAGTCATGAGTCATAACAAAGTCTAGCTTTATTTTAACAGCTAAAAGCAAAAGAAGTAGTACGATCCCATTTTGTAAAAATGTGGATATATACCTGTTTTATAACTGAGAAGTGAAGATGAAGGTTCATGGCATCTGTATGTAGAATTCTAGTTGATTTTCTCTATCGATATAGAATTAGTGGCCTATTACAAATTCTAAGACCATGTGTAGTAATAAGAATGATGTTTCCTCTATAATAAGACATTGACCAAGCATTTTCCAGATGTAAGGCACTGTACTATAAGCTGAGAAAACAAATCATCCTCTTTGAGTGCTCAGGATAATATCCTTGAGAGCACTATATAATGCGAGACACGTGCAGTGGAGATATTAAAAAGAAAAGGGTCAAATAGAATGGGCTTTTATAAGTAGGTAAAGATTTACTGGCTATTTTTCCATATTAAGAGATATTTTTAGAAAGGAAATATTAGTCACTAGAAACTATCATCAAAAATTGTTTATTAACCATGTTATCTGTGAGAAAATGTTACCTGAAATCACAAATATAAGAGATTTCACTTGATGTTGCATACTAATTACATATTCAGAGTTGGTCATTTAAAATCCAAAGGCAACAAGGTGTTAATGATATTAGCTAGCATTTATTAAATACTATACACCAGACCTTGGGATAAATGCTTTGCAAACTTTACTGCATTTAATTATCTCAACAAAGCTGAGGTAGGTATTCTAACTATCTTTATTTTGCAGCTGAGAAAATAATTGCATTTTACAGAGACTAAGAAATTTACTTAAGGTTCCATTGCTAATGAGTGGGAGAGGCAGGACTTAGATCTACGGCCACCATTACCTGTGATCTTATATAAAGAGGTATAAGACAGAATCTCTGCTTTCAAAAAATTCATCATATATCTAACAAAAAATGTAAAAAGGTAAAATATGATGCCTTAAATTACTATAGTGATAAATCAGTACCAGTTTTTGTTATGTGAGGAAGATGATATACCAATTAAAGAATATAATAGACCCCTTTCACTTTTTTTTGATGGTTCAGATGGACCCTCATTAGGCTTCATATCTAAGACTAACATGTATAAATAAAATCCTCCAGCTTTGGAATATCCCAATCCTGAAAGAATAGCAAATAAAAAAAAGCACTATTATCATTTATTATCTTCCCTAGTATTGTGCTAAGTCCATCATTCATACTATCTAATTTAATTCATTCAACAACCCTACATAGTAATTATTAGTAGTATATTACAGATGAAGAAACCAATGTGGAAGTTTTAAGAATTCCCTTAATATATCTAATCCATTCCCACGTTCATGAAACAATAACTCATTAGAAAGAGATATAGATAAACACCAAATTTTCAACCTTGAGATTATAACAATACAAAGTACTATCACCTATCTTTATTTTGTTTTCACCTGAAGAATGTTATTTTGAAAAAGGAGGTGTATAGAATATCAATTGAAAGTAGTGATGCTCAAATGAAGATTTTTTTTTTTAAAAACTTCCACTGTTGGCTGGGCATGGTGGCTCACACCTGTAATCCCAGCATTCTGGGAGGCTGAGGTGAGCAGATCACGAGGTCAGGAGTTCGAGACCAGCCTGTCCAACATGGTGAAACCCCGTCTTGACTAAAAATACAAAAATTAGCCTGACATGGTGGTGCACACCTGTAGTCCCAGCTACTCGGGAAGCTGAGGCAGAAGAATCGCTTGAACCGAAGAGGTGGAGGTTGCAGTGAGCCGAGATCGTGCCGCTGCACTCCAGCCTGGGCGACAGAGCAAAACTCCATCTCAAAAAAAAACCAACAAAAAACAACAAAACTTCCACTATGTTGCAGACTGATACTTTTATAAAGTACAATAAAAGTGTTGTGGCATTGTCAAATTGTTAAAATAGTTTCTAGAAGCTAAATATTGTCTGTATGTATGTTATCATAGATGAGTAATAAACAGTTCACACAGTCTATGAAACACACTTTGAGTAGCAGTGATCTAACTGATAGAAAGTTTCTTAACTGGAGGCATATCCAATTAGAATTTAGCTATTAAAAATTATTTCTGCTAATATGTTCATAACCATAAACAGAGCTAAACAACTACACTTTGAGCTGATCAAGATAATAATTGTGTAAGCATATTCTTATTTTCAAATAATATAAGGGTAACTTCAAAGCAGTACTCTCCTTATACTTCTCAGAAACCTAATCTTTAAAGCCTACATTGTAGGCAAAAATCACAAAATTAGTTGATCCATCAAGAATTAATACCCCAAATTTATGATTTATTACTATTTGTAATCTTGTACTTCTATTTCTACTCTTCACACTGGCTAAGTTAGGTAGGAAGTTTCGTGGGTTTTTCTCTCCCTGAATTTTATGACAATAACAAATAGTGAATTATCTGAGAATGCTAAGAGGCTTAAATTTCACAAACACCTACATTTAATGGGTTTTAGGGACATCTTCAGCCACAATTGTACAGGCTAACACCTCTCATCAGGCATACTCTCAACAGTGATTAGCTTTGAAAATACAGTTTTCTCCACTTGTTGCATTATAATGGAAATAAAAGCTAGGAAAAACCTCAGACATTAATTTAGGTTAAATCTTTTTTATTTTTACTTTCAAAAGAAGTATATTGTCTATTAAATTTAGAGTATTTTTGTAACCTTCTTGAGTATTTTGTTGCTATCTAGACTTCAGATACAACATAAATTTAATAGTGTTTATATTTCAGTTTATTTCTTAATAATATTTAACAAAACAGTAATTAAGCAATAATACTTAATGTTTATTATAGTTCACATGATTTTTCATTTCAACCTCTGATTTTTCCTAGTTGCTACTATACCTAACATGTATTCAATATTTTAAAAAACAACACCAGGAAACATAGAGCCTACTCTTGACCAAGCACAAAACATAGTAGGTACTCAAGGATAGACTGAATAAATGACAAATGCAATGGCCTTTTTGGATCATGATGTAATATAAACCAGAATCACCATCTCAGTTATCTACTATAAAATGGGATACCACTCCTCAGTAAAACAGGAATATTTCCAGGAGTATAGAAGAGATCCTTGAGATAATCTGGACCTTTGAGATAATCAAGATATTCACAGGGGCAGAAAACTGAGGGCTGCTTCCAGGTCACAAAGCTAATTAAAGGCAGAACTTGCAAATTTCGGTGTTATATAAGATATTTCATTCTTAGTCATATATTACCCTCAGTGAAACCTCATTTCACCAGCTTTAGACAATTACTAGAAAAAAAAAATACCAAAACTTAAATTCCACTTACTTTCAGATGCCATTTTCTCAGTTCCTGTATGTCTCATTCGTTCCCAGGAATTTTTTTCCTTCTTTTCACAATCTTTATTGTGAAACAGTTCTTTCTCTTCTTTTCTCTTTTGTCTCATCTTGTTATAAGTAGATTTAGAAATAGAAACTTTAGCCTGCATGAAAAAGTTGAAAGTCTGAAAATATTCAGGGACTTTGATATTTAAAATATCTTCATCTCAGATAACTAATTTGTGTCTGAGGATATTAGTCTGTCACTACTTAAGTGTGTCCTAGAAAACAGAATATACCCATACATATATATGTATATATAGTACATGTAAAATATAAAGTACATGGAGAATACAAAGTATATTACATACTTTATCCCCAGGATAAGAATGCCTTTATTAAGTGGGAAGGACGAATAATCTATATTTAAATGATTAAGAATCAAAATTTCTTTTTTTTTTTTTTCTTGAGACAGTTTCACTGTATTGCCCAGGCTGGAGTACAGTGGCGTAATCACGGTTTACTGCAGCTCAAGTCCGACCGTCCGAGCTCAAGTGATCCTCCTACCTCAGCCTCCCAAGTAGCTGGGCCCATAGGCACGCATGGCTGTAGCTACATTTTTGTATTTTTCCTAGAGAAAATAGGCTCTCTACTTTCTCGGGCTAATTTTTGTATTTTTCCTGGCTAATTTTTGTATTTTTCCTAGAGACAGGGCTTTGCCACATTGCCAAGGCTCAAAATTTCAACTGTACTAAGATTTTTTAAATTTTAATTGAAATACTTTCACCACCCCACATCTGATATACACAAAACAATGACATACTGTAAGCTTAAATTTATTCTAATAATTAGCAAATAACCTTACATCTTTTTCATTCTCAACATCAAGATATGATGAAATATTTTGCTGGACTGATCTTCCATAAATCCCTGATGGTGGTTCAATACTTTGTTTAATTGAAAATGTATCCCCATTTTCCACAGAAGATATCACTGATTGGCTGCAGGTTGCTGGTGCTGAACTTAAACTTCCAAATACGCCTGAAATCAACCAACCACCAAATAGTCATTAACTAATTATGTGATGGTACTCTAGACAACAAAGTTTAAGGCAAGGCTCTTGCCTTCAAGAATCAAACAACACAGTTAGTAAGAAAAACATGCTAAATAATTATAAAATATAAAAACAAATACCCTAATAGGGCATTAATATAAGAGGTGGCAGAATGCAGTTCATGATAATAAGTGAGAGCTGCATATTATAAGTGGTAAGCACACATAAAGAAAAGGTTGCTGTGAGCTGTTTTTTGTTTGTTTGTTTGTTTGTTTGTTTTGAGATAGTCTCTCTCTGTCACCCAGGCTGGAGTGCAATGGCACAATCTCGGCTCATTGCAACCTCCACCTCCCAAGCTGAAGCAATTTTCCCACCTCAGCCTCCTGCGTAGCTAGGACTACAGACGCACAGCACCAGGCCTGCCCAATTTTTTGTATTTTTTTTTTTTTTGGTAGAGATGGGGTTTTGCCATGTTGTCCAGGCTGGTCTTGAACTCTTGAGTTCAAGTGATCTGCCCGCCTGGGCCTCCCAAAGAATGGGATTACAGGAGTGAGCCACTGCACCTGGCAGAGCTGGGTGTTTAAGATGGTTTCAAGGAGCAAGGATTTGAGCTGGGATTTGAAGACAGGAAGGATCTGTATAAAGTAAAGAAGGAGAGGGGGAAATCTATGAGATGGGGATGTTTACATGCAGAGTTGAAAGTTTCTAAAGCATTTATGTGGAGCGAATAAATGAGCTTGGCCGGGCAAATAAAGGAATAACAGAAAATAAGTTTACAAGAGTAAGCTGTAGCCAATCTGAGGAGGGTTTTAAAATAACCTAATGAGACTATCAAGCAAAGAAGTTAGGACAAATTTTTCAAAACGTTTATTCTATTTCATTATATTGAACAAAAATAAGATGCATACCCTCAATGTATATTACCACATTCTAGTTTTCAATTAAAATAGAAAATAGCTTTAAAGGATACTTGCAATAATTTTGTTCAAGGTCCCTTAGCCCCCTTAAAATATATAACAGGAGTTTAATTTTCACTTGTCTAGATCTTGTATGGGAGATAATTATATTAATTTATATTGATTATTACGCTGATAAATAAGGGCTACTTGAATTTAAACTATGCTAAAACTAAGTAAGCTATCCTAAAATAGTCTTAGAAGTACCTAAACTGCAGCTGTCACATAATACATCTCTCTGAAAATTAATGACATGAATTTACTATAGTTTCATTAGAAGATAGAAATGTGAAGGTAAGTATTCACTTCTAATTATTTTAATGAAGATAATGTAATACATTTTTAAAAAGAAGTTCCACTCAACACTTGAATCACATTCTTTTCTATTCCTTATTGATAGGCTTTGCTTCTATATGATGAATACATATAATTAAGAAGCGAAATAACTTTGAAATACCTTTTCCAACAACTACTACTGAGTCTTCTGATAAAGCCTTTGTGGTTGTGAAGTCAAAACTGGAAATTTGCTGTGGATTTGATGATGACCCTGTAAATCCCCCAAAAAACAAAACAAATACTTAAACATATTTGCTTATTATGTAGTATCTTAGGATATTGTAACATAGTCTTTTAAAACTGAAAATTTATTTCATACAAAGAATTTACAATTTATTCACACGTTCATTAAGTCATTATAAATGTTTGTAACTGCAATACTAGAATGGACTAGGCACTTAAACCTTCCTTTCCTTTTTTTTTTTTTTTTGAGATGGAGTCTCGCTCTGTCGCCCAGGCTGGAATGCAGTGGTGTGATCTTGGCTCACTGCTACCTCCACCTCCTGGGTTCAAGCGATTCTCCTGCCTCAGCCTCCTGAGTAGCTGGGATTACAGGTACGCACCACCATGCTCAGCTCATTTTTGTATTTTTAGTAGAGATGGGGTTTCACCATTTTGGTCAGGCTGATCTCGACCTCCTGACCTCATGATCCGCCTGCCTCGGCCTCCCAAAGTGCTGGTATTACAGGCATGAGCCACCATGCCTGGCCCCTTCCTTTCCTTAAGGAGTTTACATGTCAGGGTGAGGTGTGAGAGGCATACAAGCGACTTATCACAGCATGATAATCAGGCAACAAAAGGGTCATCAAAAAGAAAATCCTCTGACATCAGAAAACAGATCAGGTCAATGTCACAGCAATCTGTGCTTTTCTAGGTTAACTTTTATCTTAGTTTCTGATTCTTTATTTACAATCCTACTAGACTGTAAGTTCCATGGGGATAGGATCTATGTCTAGTTTTGATGATTATTCTTTCCCAGAGCCTAATATAGTGTTTGGCACATACCAGGTATTCCATAAATATATGTTAGATGAATGTATCAAGGCAAAAAAAGAAAAGAGAAATATGTATTGCTTTAGGTTTTATGAAAGAAAAGCAGTTAAACAGTGATAAAGTCAATCAAATAATTGATTTTTAAAAATTAAGCAGCAGATAGATTGTTTTGTCAACTGCTAATGCTAATAGTAACCTGGCTTTATGTGAAAATGGCAAAGATTAAAGAAAGAAATCCATGTAAGTGATCATTTTTCATGTATTTCTTCTTTAGTATGCAATCAAAATTAGTACACACATCAACTAACAGAAACACGGGTTAGCCCAAAAACGTGTTCTGTGACAAAGAGAAAAAAATCTCAGTAAATGGAATAATTTGCTCAACAGTCCACATAAACATAAAATCTATACATAAACTATCAAGAGACGAATGATCAGACAAATCTCATCAAAAAAATATAAAAGACATGTTATCTCCAATGAGTTTAACTTCATTTATAAGAGAAGCTGTCATTAATCATTTTTAATATATTTTTATGTTTTACACTATATTTTTCTTAAAGAAATGTTGAAAGAAATATTGTTCATTAAGTCTCAATTCTAAAATATATAGAAAATATGTTTAAAGGCTTCTTCACACACAAATATCATTATATATTTTTTCTTTGTTATAATACTTCCATCTAATTCAAATATCAAAAGAGTAAATAGTAAATCATGGAATCTAGTTTGCTAATACTTCAAGCACCCTCCACTTTCTCAAGTTATTAATTGAGACAGCAGACATGATATGGACCATTACAACTAGGAAAGGGCACCTAGGTCCTTCACATACAAACTAAAAAAACTAGTATTAAAAGTGCAAGAGCACAGTGCATGAAGAGAAAAATAGTAAGAGGTAATATAAAAATAAATTAAGCTGATGCAAGATTATTAAGGGTCTTAAAAGTTATGCTATGGGGCCAGGCATGGTGGCTCACGCCTGTAATCCCAGCACTTTGTGGGGCCGAGGTGGGCAGATCACCTGAGGTCAGGAGTTCGAGACCAGCCTGGCCAACATGGTGAAACCCCTTCTCTACCAAAAATACAAAAATTAGCCATGCATGGTGGCGCATGCCTGTATTCTCAGCTACTCATGAGGCTGAGGCAGGAGAATCGCTTGAACCTGAAAGGCAGAGGTTGCAGTCAGCCGAGATTGCACCACTGCACTACAGCCTGGGCGACAAGAGTGAGACTCTGTCTTAAAAAAAAAAAAGTTATGCCATGGAGTAGGAACTCTGTTCTGTAGAAAACAGAGAATCACTCATGTTAAGCTTGCCAACGGGGCAAGACTTTTCTTTATATGTCACAGAAAAAATGGGAATAGCTCTAGGGGTCCTTACACAGGTCTGAGGGACGAGCTTGCAACCCCTGGCATACCTGAGTAAGGAAATTGATGTAGTGGCAAAGGGTTGGCCTCATTGTTTACGGGTAGTGGTGGCAGTAGCAGTCTTAGTATCTGAAGCATTAAAATAATACAGGGAAGAGATCTTACTGTGTGGACATCTCATGATGTGAACAGCATTCTCACTGCTAAAGGAGACTTGTGACTGTCAGACAACAATATCAGGTATCAATATCAATATCAGATATCAATATAAATATCAGGCTCTATTACTTGAAGGGCCAGTGCTGCGACTGCACACTTGTGCAACTCAACCCAGCCACATTTCTTCCAGACAATGAAGAAAATATAGAACATAACTGTCAACAAGTAATTGCTCAAACCTATGCCGCTCGAGGGGACCTTCTAGAGGTTCCCTTGACTGATCCCAGCCTCAACTTGTATACTGATGGAAGTTCCTTTGTAGAAAAAGGACTTCGAAAAGTGGGGTATGCAGTGGTCAGTGATAATGGAATACTTGAAAGTAATTCCTTCACTCCAGGAACTAGTGCTCAGCTGGCAGAACTAATAGCCCTCAGTCAGGCACTAGAATTAGGAGAAGGAAAAGGGTAAATATATATATACAGACTCTAAGTATGCTTACCTAGTCCTCCATGCCCACGCAGCAATATGGAGAGAAAGGGAATTCCTAACTTCCGAGGGAACACCTATCAAACATCAGGAAGTCATTAGGAGATTATTATTGGTGGTACAGAAACCTAAAGAAGTGGCAGTCTTACACTGCCGGGGTCATCAGAAAGGAAAGGAAAGGGAAATAGAAGGGAATCACCAAGCAGATATTGAAGCAAAAAGAGCTGCAAGACAGGACCCTCCATTAGAAATGCTTACAGAAGGACCCTGAGTATGGGGTAATCCCCTCCAGGAAACCAAGCCACAGTACTCAGAAGAAGAAATGAATGGGGAACCTCATGAGGACATAGTTTCCTCCCCTCAGGATGGCTAGCCACCGAAGAAGGAAAAATACTTTTGCCTGCAGCTAACCAATGGAAATTACTTAAAACCCTTCACCAAACTTTCACTTAGGCATTGATAGCACCTATCAGATGGCCAAATCATTATTTACTGGACCAGGCCTTTTCAAAACTATCAAGCAGATAGTCAGGGCCTGTGAAGTGTGCCAAAGAAATAATCCCCTGCCTTATCGCCAAGCTCCTTCAGGAGAACAAAGAACAGGCCATTACCTAGGAGAAGACTGGCAACTAGATTTTACCCACATACCCAAATCTCAGGGATTTCAGTATCTACTAGTTTCGGTAGATACTTTCACTGGTTGGGCAGAGGCCTTCCTCTGCAGGACAGAAAAGGCCCAAGAGGTAATAAAGGCACTAGTTCATGAAATAATTCCCAGATGCGGACTTCCCCGAGGCTTACAGAGTGACAATGGCCCTGCTTTCAAGGCAACAGTAACCCAGGGACTATCGCAGATGTCAGGTATACAATATCACTTACACTGCACCTGGAGGCCACAATCCTCGGGGAAGGTCGAGAAAATGAACGAAACACTCAAACAACATCTAAAAAAGCTAACCCAGGAAACCCACCTCACATGGCCTGCTCTGTTGCCTATAGCCTTACTAAGAATCCGAAACTCTCCCCAAAAAGCAGGACTTAGCCCATACGAAATGCTGTATGGACGGCCCTTCCTAACCAATGACCTTGTGCTTGACCGAGAGACGGCCAACTTAGTTGCAGATATCACCTCCTTAGCCAAATATCAGCAAGTTCTTAAAACATGACAAGAAGCCTGTCCCTGAGAAGAGGGAAAGGAATTATTCCACCCTGGTGACATGGTATTAGTCAAGCCCCTTCCTTCTGATTCCCCATCCCTAGATACATCCTGGGAAGGACGCTACCCGGTCATTTTATCTACCCCAACCGCGGTTAAAGTGGCTGGAGTGGAGTCTAGGATACATCACACTCGAGTCAAACCCTGGCTACTGCCAAAAGAACCCGGAAATCCAGGAGACAACGCTAGCTATTCCTGTGAACCTCTAGAGGATCTGGGCCTGCTCTTCAAGCAACAACCGTGAGGAAAGTAACTAAAATCGTAAATCCCCATGGCCCTCCCTTATCATATTTTTCTCTTTACTGTTCTCTTACCCCCTTTCATTCTCACTGCACCCCCTCCATGCCACTGTATGACCAGTAGCTCCCGTTACCAAGAGTTTCTATGGAGAATGCGGCTTCCCGGAAATATTGATGCCCCATCATATAGGAGTTTATCTAAGGGAAACCCCACCTTCACTGCCCCATACCCATATGCCCCGCAACTGCTGTAACTCTGCCACTCTTTGCATGCATGCAAATACTCATTATTGGACAGGGAAAATTTTTAATCCTAGTTGTCCGGGAGGACTTGGAGCCACTGTCTGTTGGACTTACTTCACCCATACCAGTATGTCTGATGGGCGTGGAGTTCAAGATCAGGCAGGAGAAAAACACATAAAGGAAGTAATCTCCCAACTGACCCGGGTACATAGCACCCCTAACCCCTACAAAGGACTAGATCTCTCAAAACTACATGAAACCCTCCATACCCATACTCACCAGGTAAGCCTATTTAATACCACCCTCACTGGGCTCCATGAGGCCTTGGCCCAAAACCCTACTAACTGTTGAATGTGCCTCCCCCTGCACTACAGGCCACATATTTCAATCCCTGTACCTGAACAATGGAACAACTTCAGCACAGAAATAAACACCACTTCCATTTTAGTAGGACCTCTTGTTTCCAATCTGGAAATAACCCATACCTCAAACCTCACCCGTGTAAAATTTAGCAATACTATAGACACAACCAACTCCCAGTGCATCAGATGGGTAACTCCTCCCACACAAATAGTCTGCCTACCCTCAGGAATATTTTTTGTCTGTGGTACCTCAGCCTATCACTGTTTGAATGGCTTTTCGGAATCTATGTGCTTCCTCTCATTCTTAGTGCACCCTATGACCATCTACACTGAACAAGATTTATACAATTATGTCGTACCTAAGCCCCGCAACAAAAGAGTACCCATTCTTCCTTTTGTTATCCGAGCAGGAATGCTAGGCAGATTAGGTACTGGCATGGGCAGTATCACAACCTCTACTCAGTTCTACTACAAACTATCTCAAGAACTAAATGGTGACATGGAACGGGTTGCCGACTCCCTGGTCACCTTGCAAGATCAACTTAACTCCCTAGCAGCAGTAGTACTTCAAAATCGAAGAGCTTTAGACTTGCTAACTGCAGAAAGAGGGGGAACCTGTTTATTTTTAGGGGAAGAATGCTGTTATTATGTTAATCAATCTGGAATCATCACTGAGAAAGTTAAAGAAATTCGAGATGGAATACAACGCAGAGCATAGGAGCTTCAAAGCACCAGACCCTGGGGCCTCCTCAGCCAGTGGATGCCCTGGATTCTCCCCTTCTTAGGACCTCTAGCAGCTATAATATTGTTACTCTTCTTTGGACCCTGTATCTTTAACCTCCTTATTAAATTGGTCTCTTCCAGAATCGAAGCGGTAAAGCTACAAATGGCTCTTCAAATGGAGCCCCAGATGCAGTCCATGACTAAAATCTACCACAGACCCCTGGACCAGCCTGCTAGCCCATGCTCTGATGTTGATGACACTGAAGTCACCCCTCCCGAGGAAATCTCAACTGCATGACCCCTACTATGCCCCAATTCAGCAGGAAGCAGTTAGAGCAGTCATCAGCCAACCACCCCAACAGCACTTGAGTTTTCCTGTTGAGAGGGCGGACTGAGAGAAAGGACTAGCTGGATTTCCTAGGCCGACAGCGAGTCCCTAAGCCTAGCTGGGAAGGTGACCGCATCCACCTTTAAACACGGGGCTTGCAACTTAGCTCACACTCGACCAATCAGGTAGTAAAGAGAGCTCACTAAAATGCTAATTAGGCAAAAACAGGAGGTAAAGAAATAGCCAATCATCTATCGCCTGAGAGCACAGCAGGAGGGGACATTGATTGGGATATAAACCCAGGCATTCGAGCTGGCAACGGCTACCCTCCTTGGGTCCCCTCCCTTTGTATGGGAGCTCTATTTTCACTCTATTAAATCTTGCAACTGCAAAAAAAAGAAAACAGAGAACCACTCAAGGTTTTTGTTTTTTTTTTCCAGGTGTTAGTTTTATGTGTCAATCAAGGTTCTGAGTATGGAAGAGATAATGACTGTATTTTAGAAAGACAATTCTGGAAGACTATGCAGCCTGGATTTAAGAGGAATGAAAATAAGAGGGAAGCCTTACCAGAAAGATTTGTAATTACCCAGGGAAGTGGTAAAGAGGGCCCAAATTACAACTATGGCAGCAGATACATTAAGTTAGACTGAGAGTAAATGATAGGATAAGCCACCTCCTAAACTTGGAAGGTAAAGAGACAAAAATGACTGTAAAGCTTTAAGCCTCCATAACTGGGAAAATGGTAATGCTACCAATAAAAATGGACATCAAAGGAAGAGAAATGGGTATAGGAAGAAAGCTAAATTTGGTTTTCAACGTGTTTGTTCTTGTTGCCAAGACAGATTTAGTAAATACCTGGTTCAGATTTGGATGTGCGAATGTGATGTAATTTTATGGAGTAGAATTAACTTCTGGCTAAAAGATGTAAATATGTTTATGATTCTGCCATCTAAAAAAGGAAGCCACTAGCAGTGAATGAACATATTCAACAGTTATTTCAAAGCAATTAAAAGAAATAAAAAATTACATGAGGGTATGAGTTACTTTTAAGAAGAAAAGCATTTTTTGTCCTTGATTTTCTTTACATGGGAAATAAAACATGTAAATAAATATGGAAAAATCGTATTCTCTTTTGTAAAACAATAACAACTTATTGCTGCCAAACAGAACAGTACTAAACTATATTATAGACTAAATGTTAAGAAATTTACCAAAAAAAGTTTCTAATCAAGCTCCATCTTACTCAATTTGAGTTATGTCCACAAAAAATATTCATGTCCTAAAATGCCTGATTGTGTGCTCATACATAATTTAAGATAATCAGAAATGGCAGGCTAGGTGTGGTGGCTCACACCTGTAGTCCCAGCACTTTGGGATGCCAAGGCAGGTAGATCACTTGAGGCCAGGAGTTCGAGACTAGTCTAGCCAACATGGTGAAACCCTGTCTCTACTGAAAAATACAAAATAAATTACCCAGGCGTGGTGGCATGCACCTGTAATCCCAGTTACTAGGGTGGCTGAGGCACGAGAATCACTTGAACCCATGAGGTGGAGGTTGCAGTGAGCCAAGACTGCACCACTGCTCTCTAGCCTGAGCAACAGACGAGACTGTTTCAAAAAAGAAAAAAAAAAATCAGAAATAACATAGTACAGAAGTTGACCTTATAATGACCACAGCTGCTATTCACATGAAAATAACAGCTTTTTATTTACTTACATATTTTAGATTATAGGTGCATCTTCTAATTATTAGGTTGGTGCAAAAGGAGTATGCAGTTAAAAATGGCAAAAGCCACAATTACTTTTGCACCAACCTAACATTTATTTAAATATTTATACCCTTCAAAACCACTTTTTTTTATTGTAAGGGAAATTTTTAAAATGCAGCTGTAATAGGATCTCTTAAGCAATGGACAGAGTAGTCACAGAGGTACTACTTGCTACTAAGTTTAAAAAAACCATTCTTAACAATGGTTCTTTTTTTCCTTTTTTGTTTGAGACAGAGTTTCACTTGTCACCCAGGAGTGCAGTGGCGCCATCTCGGCTCACTGCAACCTCCGCCTCCCGGGTTCAAGCAGTTCTCCTGCCTCAGCCTCCTGAGCAGCTGGGATTACAGGTGCCTGCCACCACGCTCAGCTAAGTTTTTGTATTTTTAGTAGAGATGGGGTTTCGCCATGTTGGGCAGGCTGGTCTCGAACTCCTGACCTCAGGTGATCCACCCACCTCAGCCTCCCAAAGTGCTGGGATTACAGGCGTGAGCCACCACGCCTGGCCAAGAATGGTTAATGATAACAGCAAAGCTTTCTCAGGTTCTACCACAGGAAAATTATATTCCTGTTGCCCCAACTTTACTCCAGGGCTACAACCTAACTGGGCATCTGGGAGTTATTAATCCACATGATCTTCCATTCCATTTTAGTGGCAAAATGTCTTCTAAAAACGTGTGTGTGTGTGTGTGTGTGTGTGTGTTTTGTGTGCATGTATCTGGTGCATTTCCTGGGGGCAGAAGTCAGCAGAAATTCCCTAGTGTTTAACCTCATGAGCAGTTGCTTCCTTGCAGTGGCTCCTCAGGGAAGCCCAAAAATCATATACAAAGCCTTGAGTTCTCCTATTTGGCAAAATTATTTGAGCAACAACAGATCAGCAGCAGAGTAAGATGAAAAACCTCAAAACTGAGAATTCTCACTAATTTTTCTTTATCAGTATGCTTAGGGAGGATTCTGATTTAGATATTCAACCTTAAAAATTAACTTGTCATGAAATTTACTAACCTTGTGTAGGCTTACAATGTCTTGGGTATTGTTCATTTTGTATTTCTAACGCGCTAGATGAAATATCAAGTGACCTATCGTCTTCAAAATCACCACATCCAAACCTATGGTTCATATGTTGACCAATTATGCTTACACTGGATGTTGTAAACCCTATAAAATATCTGAATGATTCAAGCAATATTATACATAAGGTATATATCTCCCCTCTAAACCTATCTCAACTTCTAACCTTTTAAAAAGATAAGTAACATAATATTAGGAACTATAACATTATAGTACTTTTTGAAGTTTTATCCTATTTTAAATTATTTAATACTTTTCCCTTTCCTTGTTCTTAGCAGGTAAGAACATTTATTATATGCTATACTACAACATTTCATAAAATAGGCTTTAAAATTACAATGAGGCCAGGTATGGTGAATCGCATCTGTAATCCCAGCATTTCAGGAGGCCGAGGCAGGAGAATTCTTTGGGCCCAGGAGTTCAAGGCCAGCCTGGGCAACAAAGCAAGCCCCCACCTCCATCAAAAATTAAAATTAAAAAATTCACTGGGTGTGGGCCGGGTGTGGTGGCTCACTCCTGTAATTGAGCACGGTGTTTCACCATGTTGGTCAGGTTGGTCTGGAACTCCTGACCTCGTGATCCGCCCGCCTTGGCCTCCCAAAGTGCCAGGATTACAGGCGTGAGCCACTGCACCCGGCTTCTTTTTTCTTTTAAGACAGAGTCTCCCCAGGCTGGAGTGCAGTGGCATGATCCCAGATCACTGCAACCTCTGCCTCTCAGGCTCAAGCAATCTTCCCACTTCTGCCTCCCTAGTAGCTGGGACCAAAGGTGCACACCACCACCTCCAGCTTATTTTTGTACTTTTTGTAGACATACAGTCTTGCCATGTTGCTCAGGCTGGTCTCAAACCCCTGAGCTCAAGTGATCTGCCTACCTCAGCCTACTAAAGTCCTGGGATTACAGGTGTCAGCCACTGTGCCTGGCCTGACAAGTATTTTTTTAAATTGACACCTTTAACTTTACACTAAAAAAAAAAAATTTTTTTTAATCCAGAATTTACAAACTGTGACCTAAGAGATAGCTATTTCCCCATTTCTCTCTTTTCTCCTATTCCCATGAAAAACGAAAAAACTGAAAACTGAGAATACTCAGTAATTTTTCTTTATTGGTATGCTTAGGGAAGATTCTGATTTAGAGATATTAAATCTTAAAAGTTAACTCACCATGAAATTTAACCTTCTGTACTGGCTTCACTGATGAGGCAGTAAACTACATAGGGATAAAGAGCTCAGTATCTGGAATCATGCTTCCTGGCTTTAAATTACAGCACTGCCACTCAAACTGCTGAGAAGACCTGGACAAGTCACTCAACCTTATTTGTAAAATAGAGATAATAGTACCTCTTCTACATCTGTTGTTAGGATTAAATGAAGAAAATGCATATAA
Organism: Homo sapiens; assembly: GCF_000001405.40. Taxonomy (NCBI): domain Eukaryota; kingdom Metazoa; phylum Chordata; class Mammalia; order Primates; family Hominidae; genus Homo; species Homo sapiens. Next base: position 45,015,652 of record NC_000014.9, on the reverse strand, counting down.
AGGGCTCCGCACAGTGCCTAACACATTTTAAGTACCCAAATGTTATTATATCCGTAATTTAAAAAAAAAAAAAAGCAAAACCCTAATGTAGGTCTCCTTCTAATGAATAACAAAAATTTTAATTTACATTTGAATGTTTAAACTCATCACTCTTTATGAATACTCTGCAGCTATTACAACCATAAAACATATACTAAATGCAAAATCTAGGCATTATATATTTGAGTCATTGTCCATTTTTATATATACTTCCAATGTAAACTATTAAGCAATAATGATGTGTGTATATATGTATAAATATATTTATTTATTTATTTATTTATTTATTTATTTATTTATTTATTTTTTGAGATAGGCTCTTGCTCTGTCATCCAGGCTGGAATACATTGGCACTATCTTGGCTCTCTGCAGCTTCAACCTCCTGGGCTCTCCTGATTCTCCTGCCTCAGCCTCCTGAATAGCTGGGACTACAGGCGCACGCCACCATTCTCCGCTACTTTTTAATTTTTTTGATAGAGATTAGGTTTTGCTATGTTGCTCAGGCTGGTCCCAAACTCTCGGGCTCAAGTGATTCACCTGCCTCAGCCTCCCAAAGTGCTGGGATTAGAGGTGTGAGCCACTGTGCCCAGTGAAATAGACTTTTAAAAAATAATGTTGTATTTGAATAAAAACAGGAAGGTAGGAAGAGGAGGTAGCTGGGGCAACAAGCTAGAAAGGACTGTAGAATAAAGGGCACTAAGTAAGTTCACAGAGAAAAGTTTCAAGAATATCCAATATTAAATCATAGAGAATTTGTAGAAAACACAGATTATCTTTATAAATTCTGTCTTGATAGTTAATTCATAAAATAAGACTCATAAACATACTGGCTTTGGGTGGAAATGTTTTCTATTAATAGGCAACACTAATCTAATATACTAGAAGAAGTTTACTGTAATATCATTCAGAAAATTTAGCACAATTTGCTTTAATAGGTAGTGGCAGAACATAGGTGGAATTTTAAAATAATTGTTATTTTTGTGTTTATCATCCAATAGTCTTTATTCTGAGCGTTATCATTTTTATGTTTTACCAATTAAGCCACAATAAATTTGTAGGAATCACTTGTTTACTGAAAACAAAGCAAACCCAAATATATAAAATCCGAAACATTAGCAACTTATTTTGAGAAAAGGTTAAATTTAATATAATGAATTCAATAATAGTAGTATTTCTAAAACTTGATCCTAGAAATACCTAATTTACTTATTAAAAATACAGATTTCTAACCAGAAAGATGAATTCATGAGGCATGAGATGAGGCCCCAGAATTAACAGATGTTACATGCACTCAAGGGTGATTCCTAAAATTAGGCAACTTTGTTGGGAGGCCGAGGTGGGTGGATCATGACCATCCTGGCTAACATGGTGAAATCCTGTCTCTACTAAAAACACAAAAAATTAGCCAGGCGTAGTGGCAGGCGCCTGTAGTCCCAGCTACCTGGGAGGCTGAGGAAGGAAAATGGCATGAACCTGGGAGGCGGAGCTTGCAGTGAGCTGAGATTACGCCACTGCACTCTAGCCTCAGCGACAGAGCGAGACTCTTGTCTCAAAAAAAAAAAAAAAAAAAGATTACGCAACTTTGGAAAACACTAAATATTGCATATATAAGTATGTATTATACTATTATGAGATCACTCTGCTAAAACTTAAATGACTCCCAAGGTCACACGACTAGGGTCACAAGGGAACTCAAATCCAGGTTTTTAAAATCTATTATTTTCCATTTCCAAAGATACTCTTCCAAAAGTGGGTTCCATTTTTACAAAGTAGATACAATCTAGTAATCAGATGTCTCTTCAATTTTACAGAAATACTTGAAAAATTATAGATTAGGATGATCAGCCTGAAAAAGGATTAAGGATAAGTTTATGTATTTCTTTGGGTCACTCTCTCCCCTTAGAGGACAAATACATATTGAGTGCCTACTATGCACTAGTTGCTTTATATATGTCATGAACTTAGATTTTCACTACCCTTCTCAAGGTTTATGTTGTCAGATGAGGGAACTAAGTTCCAAAGCAGTTAAGTAAGTTGTGTAATGTATGAATACTATTATTAAACATCAAACTGGGGTGTCAGCTCATCTTTTGGACTCCAAAGCACTTATATACTGTCTTTGTATGCCTAGAAGTGCAGCTATCTCTTTGTTAACACTAGTTTTATGCAAGGCAGTATACTAAACACACCTGGTTAAGTCACACATTCCCGATTATGATAAGCCTTGATAGGTAATCAGTGGGAAATAATCTTTGGGGATCAAGAATCTGAGAGTTAAAGAAAAGTAAAGCAATTGTAGTATCATTATAAAAGGTGTCAGTGCAAGATGTAATGGTATAACAAAAGAGGTAATAATCTTGTTTGTGAATTAAGGAAGGCTTCCCAGAGAAAGCAACTGAGCTCTTTTCACAGCTAAATAGGGTGTGGTATGGATTCTAGATTTCATCCAGAAAAAACAGTATGTGCATTTGCAAAGAGATAGGAAATGGTACTGATGGTGGTCTGATTTAACTGGATACAAACAGGGAAAGTACAAGATACAAAGAGGGCAGTGAAAAATGAGGCTGGAGAGGTAGGCTGGGACCAGATCATGAAAGCATGTCCAGAATGAATTCAGGCTGGCCAGTATAGTCAGATTTGCACTGTGGGGAACAGTTTCAAAGTAAGTGAGATTGAAGCAGGGAGAAAATTTAGGCGGCTAAGTAGGTAATAAATGAGGAAAAGTGTGAACTAAAGCCATGGTAGTGGGGATTACAAAGAGGGGTTGAGATTAAGACACATTTAAGAGCAAGAAATTTAAAATCTTAGCAAATAATCAAATACATATACAGTTTTTTAGGAAGGTGATTATAATATAAAGCAGCTTAAAGTTGTTAGGACTTTTACATTAGATCATGTGAAACTAAACATCATATACCAATTTGTTACAGTTTATTCACAATTCAACGTAGTTTTACTAATCATAATGAAGAATCACATGCAGTTCTCACCCTAAATAGATCATAGTGCAAATCTTTTTCTAATTGACTACTAATTACTAAATCTATTTTCTGAGAAGTGATGTTATAAAACTAAAGACTTACAGGTTAGTTCACAAAAATTCTTAACACAAGATACACATGAATTTAACTACTATTAACAGTTAATATTGTTTTTAAAGAAAATTGTCTTTCGGGATGTCCAGTGGTTCCCAAACTATGCTGCACATTAGAATCATCTGAGGAGTTTTCAAAATTCTGACAGCCAACACCAGCTAAATAACACTCCACACCAACTACATAAAAAATCTAGGTGTAGGAGCCAGCCATAGGTATGCCAATTGAGCTTTAAAAGAGATTGATGATTCAGGTAAATAAATATTTTTTTCTTCCAAAACAATATCATATTCCTGTCAAAAGGACCTTTTAAGGAGTAAAAAAATGATTAGTCTTAACCAGTATGCACAACAACATGAAATCTGAAATGCACTTGCTATCATTTTTTACATCATTTGAAAATCATATTTTATAAATTATTTTTATAAACAGACATAGAATACCTGCACTGGGGCTTTGTTCAGCAATATGAGAAATTTTTTTCTTTGCAGAAGAAAGTCTTGTTGGACAAGGTTTTGACCCAAATGTTGGAAATATGTCTGACCTGCAATGAAACAAAGTAATTTCAATAAACATTAAGATTTAGTGCTGTTCAATACTCACATCACATATTGTCTATTCTCCTTATTAACTCACAGACCTTTTAGATAATAAGGGAGCAATAAGTATGACACTTGAAAAACTATGGCTAACAGTGTGTGTGTATACACACACACACACACACACACACACATATATATTTTGCTATTCTTAGTTCACCTTTTGGACTACCAACCTTTTTAACATATGGCCAATTCTTAATTACTCAAGACAGGATTGCCACAGAAAATGACTCTGACTTATACTGTATAATCCCTAAGGAAAAAAAAAAATGATCCAAGAATCCATTCTAAAACCAAATCAAGGCCAAGTGTGGTGACTCATGCCTGTAATCCTAGCATTTTGGGAGGCCAAGACAGGAGGATCACTTGAGCCCAGGAAGTTCAAGGCCAGCCTGGGCACCATCGCAAAACTCCATCTCTACAAAAAAACTAAAAAATTAACCAGGCATGGCGGTGCACACCTGTAGTCCCAGCTACTACAGAGGCCGAGGTGGGAGGATCACCTGAGCCCAGGAGGCAGGGGTTGCAGTGAGCTGAGATTGAACTACTACACTCCAGCCTGAGTGACACAGTGAGACCTTGTCTCAAAAAAATGAAAATAAATATAACAAGTCAAATCATTCTTAATTATCTAACTACTACCTATCCTTATATATGATAACACAAAAATACAGACTTGGCTATATTATAAGTAAGAGATCAGCAATGAGTAAGTTTGGTAAATGCCACTTTCTGCTTAGACTATTCTTTCCTGTACTTTCCTGACATTATAAATACCTATAGGCCTTTTTTCATTAAGAAAGCCAACTGAAGAATGTTAAATCTGAGCTTAAGGGAACTGTTTTAAATCAGTAAGTGTTACAATGTCAGTAAGTTAGTAATGAATATTAAAAAGAATAGATTTTACAAAGAAGTACAATTCTCAGTAAATGGAGAGAAATATATTTGTCAGTGGACCTAGTGAGAAATCAGTGTTAAATATTTTGAAAGAGCAATTTCTCTATAACAGATTATTATGAATCTACATTTATATTAAGTGTAGTTGACTTGGATGAAAGAAGAAATTTCAGTCTCTAGGAGGGTGGTTTTCAACAATTTTTCCTCCCCAACCCACCTAAGGACAAAATCTTTAAATCAGGTAGTAGTAGTGGCTTTCTTTGGCCATGAATCTTAAGGCAGTATGCAAGCTGGATAAGAATAATTGTTCTAAAGCCACTAATCTTAAATGTGGAAATCTTAAATTCATTAAAGGCATTTCAGTCCATAAATGAGGGTGTGCTGAACTACCTTCTAACAGAATTCAGTATCTGAAGAGAATAACTCAGTGAGAAAATACAGGACATCATGTATCCAAATCATATAAAATGAAATTTTCTTCTTAAGTAGGTTTCAAATTATTTACACAACCTTGCAACTGTAGGATTATAGAACATAAATTTTCATCTTCATGGAAGATCATAAAAGGACTTTAGCTCTAAAAGCTAAAAATATATTTTGTGTCTTATAACATTATGTAAACACCAGACCATGCTGTCATTCCAAATTCATTTTGCTAATATACCTATTATTCTACCTAGGTAATTACAACAAAGGAACTGTTGGAAGATAAAACTTCCAAGTACAAAACAAGCTGCTAAAAATGTATAGGAAAAAATAAGGGGCTGAAACAAACTTCTAAGAATGGAACACAAAAATTCAGTTTAATTCTATGAACTGCTGGAATAAAACATTATGATCTATTTAGAACACTACCTCTCCTTTGATTATGCAATCTCTATTTACGTATATTTCTTAGAAGTTCCAATTCACTAAAGTGAAATTAATTTTAATTTTAAATATTTACTTCTGGTTCAGGATTAAATCAAAGGAAAAAAAATTTAAGAATGACACCACCAAATGTTAGCAAGAATGTGAAACAAGGATAACTCTCACACATAGCTGGTAGGAGTGTAAAAGTTACACAATCATTTTGGAAAACTGTTTTAGCAGTTACTTAAAAAGTTAAATATACATCTATTCTATGCCCTATCAATTCTATTACTAGGTTTTTGTCTAAAATAAAAGAGGAAGGGATTCTCCAAAATCCTACAGTAGGGTCACAGAGCTGTCCAGAAAGCAGTTTGAGATCACTCACCAGTTAAGTGAGGTTAAGGTTTAAGACGTAGAGGTTACAGAAGTAATCTGAAAAAGTTAGTCCAACTGCTATGCTGAAAAATAATTTTCTATTGATGTGGGGTGGCCAGGACTTTAAGTCCAGCACTACTGCTGTAGGGAGACTCCTAACAAGGCTATGAGAGCTATGGCATGAAGTCCTGAGCTTCTACAAGATAATGGAAATAAGATATAAGAAAATAATGGCTGGGTGAAACTTATTCATAAATTAGAGGAAACTGGTGCTGAGCTTAAAATGAAAGCAGTAATATTAGCTATAGATCAACTGGCAAAGGAGTCAATAATCCAGAAAAGAGCTAAAGGTCAAAAAGCATTAGGATAAATCCTAGACAAAAAGAACAACTAGGGCTTTAGGAACAGGGTTTATACTAATTTAGGTGCTCTGGTTTACAGTTGGGGTTGTGTTCTCTTTCCACTCACACCAGAAACCAAAGCCAAGCAAGGTAATATCTGTAAACATTTCCAATGTCTTTTAAATATATTTTAACATTTTAAAAACTAAAACATAAATGGTTTTAAGTTTTTACAAATATGATATTAGGGCTCTAAATCACTAATTACAGAGGAACATTCATTTATCACGTCAAAAAATAAAATACATTATTCTCTTCCCCTGGGGAGTTGTAGACAGAGAAGAAGTCAATGATTCTTGGCTGTAAACTCCACTTTCACTGTAAGAATTGATGTTTGGTGAGGAAGACAGAGACGGGGAGTCCATCGTCAAGTCGAGCTTCATTGCAGAATCAGGGCTTTCAAGATCTGAAGTACTGCCACTCAGTTTTGCTCTTTTCTTAGCTGCACTATTACGAAGGGACCTAAGAGAGCTATGCATCTAAGAAAAAATGAAAACAATAAACTTTATAACATAAATTCCTTATATTGGTAAAAGTTATCCTTAAATTTTAAACTCCATTAGCTATACCTAGCTAACCACTTCCCAATCCTGTACTAAAACAAGATGAATACTAATATATATGTATATAGTATCAATACACAGATTTTTATCACTTGGGTATTTATAAACAACCTACTGGGTTGAAAGCTCCTTGAGAGGAAGAATCTCAGCTATTGTTCATCATGGTATCTTCAGCACTGGGCACAATGACTAAATATATGGCATTAATTCAATTATTTAATAAATGAATCATTGAATCAGATGGTAGATATCAGAGTTGATGTCACAGAGGTACACCTGGTGTGCTAATGTGGCTTAGAAGCTAGCTCTGGGAGGTGATTCATGAAAATCAGTTTTCAAAAATTTGATGTTTACATCAAGCTTGCAAGTATTAAAATTACAGATCACTGTACGTAACTTCTGAAGCCAAATATTTTTAGAAATGCAGCTGGGCATGGTGGTGGACACGTGCAGTCTTAGCTATTTGTGAGGCTGAGGCACAAGAATCGCTTGAACCTGGGAGGCAAAGGTTGCAATGAGCCGAGATTGCACCATTGCACTCCAGTCTAGGCAACACAGCGAGACTCTGTTTCAAAAAAAAAAAAAAAAAGGAAATCCAGAATACAAATTGTTATGGCAAAATATATTAAGACTAGCAACAAAACTTTGAACAAATTAAGGAAAATAGAAACATACATAAACTGTTTTGTTTACATTTGATTCATAAGATTAATCATTTAATGAAAGTATCTGTTTTCAGTTAAAGCAAACATCCATAAATTTCTTAAGTCTTCATAGTTGGAAGGCAAACTCAACAACAACAAAAAACCCTTTAATGGATTTAGGGCAGTGTAGTACAGTGAAAAACTTAATGAACATAAAGTTAGGTGAACAGTGCTTGAATCCTAGTCCTACCACATACTTTCTGACCCTGAGCAAGACACATAACATCACTGAGCCTCTTCTGTAAAAACAAACACACACACAAACAAAAAACATAATAGATGTTGACTTGCTTCTTAACTCAGGGAGTTACTGTAAAGATTAAATGAACTAATGAAAATGAAAGTGTTTGATACATTATTAAGCACATTAAGCACATGAAAACTTATGCTTTTGTCAAAAGTCAACTCACACCAAAGAATATAAACAGTGACCCATTCAAAATAATAAATAGGAAGTGTCATATTAGCAACTATAAGGGAGGATAAGTAATTTTCAACAACTCTACTAGTTGATTTAATACTAGGGCCACTTCTCTATTAAAAGCGTGAAAAGTTGAATATCTAAAAGCAATGGTATCCTCCTGTATTTACTAATAATTATATAACAGAAACTCACCTTTCAATTACCCACTAAAAAAAGAACTATATTTAAGTTATTATAAAAACAAAGCAAAATTATGTAGGATCAGGTGAAATTTATAAGTTATGTAGGAAAATGTCTTTTCTATATGTTTCTTCCCTTCAAATGAATTCCCTTCCTAGCACTAGTAAAATACAAATGAGTTGGGAAAAAAAAAAAAGGAAAGATTTCACAAGCAGAAGTTGGGGTGATTACTTTAAATCATTAACAACCAACTTTGGTACTTTATAGGTTAGTTTTACATGTGTTTAACATAAAGACATATGTTAAAAATGAATATACAGTAATATTAACTCTATTTTATTGAGCAAATTATCATTACATGATTGATGCTTATACCTTAAAAACAGACTAAGACCATAAAATATCATAATTAAGTATTTGCATTTATATATGTAATATAAAACTTTTTTTTTAACCTGACTTGAAGCAAACTGAAATGATAAAAAGGAGGCATCTATGGAAATAGTACTCTGAAACCAAAGTAATACAGCAACCGCATTCCTTGTCTGATATAATAATTATGTACAGTTATCATACTGGTAACATTTTTATAGCACAAAGTGATCTAGGATTCAAAGATGAGTGTACAATATGATCTCAATTTCATAAAGATAAGTAAGCTTGCACAGAAACACAAAGGACAGGTTCAAATATGTTCATTGCAGTTCACTGTATGCAATTGCAAAAGACTGATCATAAGCCAAAATCAATGGTATAAACACACCGTAAGTAAATACACAAAAATAATATTAATATAAAAAGTACAAAAATACATAAGACATATATAAATGGTAATAGTGATTGCCTCTGGTGAAGAAGGAAGAGATGTTGAACTGGGGAGAGAACTATGCTATGTTTCATTTATTTAAATATAGGAAACAAATATGACAAACTGTTCACTGGAAGGGTCAGTACATGAGTGTATTGCTATATTATTATTCATACTTTTAATTTAAAAAGGAATAATGTATGCATAGAAAAAATACTTGAAGAAAATACAGTAGAGTGTTAACAGTAAATTATTCTGGTAGTGGGAACTGGCGTGATAAATTCCCTTCCTACTAATTCATGGTATTTTCCACATTTTCTATAATGAACATATTTTTAGAAATAAGATATTATAGGATAAAAAGAACTTGATTTTTCCTTAAATAGCAACTATATTATAGAAAATTGCAAATATTTTTAAGTCATTAAAAATATTTGGTTCTAACCTCTTCTTGATCCAAATCTTTATCCTTGAAATTTAATTCTGAAAGATCAATTGGAAGACTATCTTTTTCACACTTCCAAATATCATCAGGCTCTTTCTTTTTGTGTCCCACTGTGCTTAAATCAGCTTTATCAGGCAAAAGGCTTATTCCCCTTGGTATGGGAGGAACAGGCTTTGTCCCATTTAGACCTCGTCGGGAAGATGGCGATCTCACCAAGGCAGGTGTAAGCTGAACTGGAGGTTTTTCTTGAGAATTTTCTCCTGCATGAAAAATAGATATTTTACTTTTTCTTTTTCTAATTTTAGAGAAGAGGGAGTTATAGTCACAAGTGCTTAAAATACAATGTTTTAAAATAAAAAAAGCACATTATAGCTGGTCACTGGGGAGAACAAGCTGAATAAAGCCTCGGCTTTCGATACAATATTTGATCTTGTACAATAAACAAATACAGAAAGGAATTAATAGAAGAGAATCAAAGTATAGTGCTAAGAGAAAGTGATAAAATTGACTGAATATGCCATAAATTGAACACTGGACTTGTAGGGTAGTTTAAAGGTGAAACATCTTACATCAATGGCTGGGGAAAGAAAATCATGAGGGACGCAGAGGATTCCTTCAACATCTTTTTATTTTTATTTATTTATTTATTTTTTGAGACAGAGTCTCACTCTTGTAGCCCAGGCTGGAGTGCAGTGGTGCCACCTCAGCTCACTGCAACCTCCGCTTCCTGGGTTCAAGCGATTCTCCCGCCTCAGCCTCCCAAGTAGCTGGGATTACAGGCACGTGCCATCAGCCCGGCTAATTTTTGTATTTTTGGTAGAGATGGTGTTTCACCATACTGGCCAGGCTGGTCTCAAACTCCTGACCTCAAGGGATCCAACCACCTCGGCCTCCCAAAGTGCTACAGGCATGACCCACTACGCTCAGTCGACTTTTTATTTTAAGACTGAATTTGTCCTGAATGAACTTATATATGCTAATTTCATGATTTTTGGAGTGGGTTATTGTTAAGAAAAGAATATTTTAGTTTATAACAAATAATAAAAAATGTTTCAGCCAGGTGCAGTAGCTCACGCCTGTAATCCCAGCACTTTGGAGGTTGAGGCGGGTTGATCACCTGAGGTCGGGAGTTTGAGACCAGCCTCACCAACATGGAGAAACACCATCTCTACTAAAAATACAAAATTAGCCGGGCATGGTGGCGCATGCCTATAACCCCAGCTACTCAAGAGGCTGAGGCAGGAGAATCACTTGGAGGTGGAGGATGCCGTGAGCCAAGATCGCACCATTGCACTCCAGTCTGGGCAACAAGAGCGAAACTCCGTCTCAAAAAAAAAAAGTTTCAAATTAATTTTAACATACAATAAAAATTCAATAAATATTGAATAAATGAATATTAGGCATTAATTGCAATAAGCATATGAATGACATTTTATATTTGTAAAGCTAAAATTTGTTAGTAGGCTCTCAAACAACATATGTTGTTCATGTTCATTATAAAACATTACTATTTTCTGGCCCAGCACAGTGGCTCAAGCCTGTAATCCCAGCACTTTGGGAAGACAGGATGGGAGAAATCACTTGAGACCAGGAGTTTGAGAACAGCCTGGTCAACATAGTAGGACCCTATCTCTATTTACAAACAAACAAACAAAGAAAAGCATCATTATTTTCCTGGTTCTGAAAAGGATTTTTAAGTGACAATGTAAGAAATGAGAATTTCAATTGAATTTTATACATTTGATTTATTTAACACACTATTAAATATTTTCCTAAATATTTACTAAATTCAGACAGATAAAATGTAGTTTACTAGCTTTTAAAGATCTAACAGCCCTATGCATTAACTTCAAAGTACTAATTCAAACACAAATAAATTTGAACAAAGTATTGACTTTTACCATGATTTCTACCCGTAGGATCAGACGATTTTTGGCTGACAAGCTTCTTCTGTGGACTTGGCTTTGATAGTCCTTCGAAGCTTTTAAGAGGCCAGGAATTTGAGAAATTAACAGAATTATCTTGAGACTTCTTTGGAGATATAATAAGAGGAGATGTATGCTTTGGACTAGTTCGAGGTGATGAGACAGGATAGGATGGAAGGATGTAAGCTCCTGGACTTGGATTTTGACCATTTGAGGAAGTACACTCTGTTTGACTACCAAATGTTTGCTGTGTCTTACTGCCAAAATTGAGGCTAGCATACACTGTAATAAAACAAAAGATAATATATTATTTATGTATACACAGTTTAACAGTTAAAAGCTTTTTTGCTTTTTGCTTTTCCCATTCAGGTTTTCATCCCAATTGGCATGTATATTTTTGTATGGTATGAGGTAAAGGACTAATTTAATTTGTGTTATTCAAATATTCTGTATCTTCTAATTCAAAACTTCTTTATCCCATTAAAATATTGTACTAACATTTATAAATTAACTTTCTCCTTGTAATTTTATCAATTACATACATACATGCATGTATATGTATACATATACACACATGTCAGAGAAGTCTTGTTTCTTTAGTGAATTATTCTTTTTCTCATTACAATGATCCTCTCTAGAACTAAAAATGTTTTTAGTTTTGGTGTGCATATTTTCCCTATCATCAACATGTTTCTATTTGCTTTTCTCTGAACATTTGCCTAGTGTATCTTTTCCATGCTTTACTTTCTCTCAACCTATCTTGATGTATTTTAGGTAATGCTCTTAAAAAGATCACTTCAATGAAAAACTAAAAAAACAAGATCTGATCACCTCTGTCATTTAAGTTGTAAGTTCTGCCAATTTATACTTACGGAAACTATTCATACATTTGATTTTAATTCTACCATCTTATTTTGTACTATTTATTATTTTTTTCTTTATTACTTCTTCCTTGCCTTTTATTGATCTTTTTATTCTTCAACGAATATAAAAAGTCTATTTGTAATCTTTTAGGGGTTCCCTTAAGTTTTCCTTTAATATTTTAAAAAATGTTTTCCGTGACAAAATACCTAGCGTACGTATATTAATAAAGCAAACATTCTTCTGAGGACTTAAACAACTGTATATATTATATATCCTTTATTTTTTTAATTCATATCTGACATGGTTAAAATCTCTACTTATACCAAAATCTTATCTAGGTAGAGAGATATAGGAGATTTAGTCACAGATTTACATATAGAATTAAAACTTTCAGTTTCCTCATTTCAATTACAGTGCTCTATTAACAGGTTCTGATGCTTTCATGACAATGTCTCATATATTCCTAGAGATTTAAAAATATTTCCTTTCTATTTTTTTTTGAGATGGAGTCTCGCTCTGTCGCCCAGGCTGGAGTGCAGTGGCACGATCTCAGCTCACTGCAAGCTCTGCCTCCCGGGTTCACACCATTCTCCTGCTTCAGCCTCCCGAGTAGCTGGGATGATAGGTGCCCGCCACCATGTCCGGCTAGTTTTTTTGTAATTTTTAGTAGAGACGGGGTTTCACCGTGTTAGCCAGGATGGTCTCAATCTCTTGACCTCATGATCCACCCACCTTGGCCTCCCAAAGCACTAGGATTACAGGCGTGAGCCACCGCACACAGCCGAGATTTAAAAATATTTCTTATGAAGAAATCAAACATCCTATCATACTATGCATATACATAAAAACAATGCAATGCAACATACACCAAAATTTCCAACACCTGGTGTGGATCACTACAATATGTAAATTGGGATGCAAACATCTATATTGTTTTGCATCCATACCATAGGTCCTTCAAAGATCACAAGGGGAATATTAATTGAGATGGTAGTGGTTTTAATGTATAACCAAGTATTAAGTTAAATTCTAGAAAAACGTGGTATCCCTTTATACCAGCTTCTCTAATAACTATTCCAATAGAAAACCAGAGAGCCACTGTGCAATATGACTAAACACTAAGAGTGGATAGTCCTCAAAGGCAATGTAATTATTCAGGGATAGCCTAAACAGGAACAGGTTAAGTGGCACAGCAAGCTCTCTCTGATTATACCAATTATGAGTCCCAAAGATACTCAGGAGTCAAAATTTAGGAAATACCCACATTATTAAGAAAGATGGATTATTTTGTGATGCAGATAATACCACAAAGGATATCTTTAAGGAGTTATGTGGGTCTTTGGGGTGAGTGCAAAAAAGGGTAGTTAAAATGTTAGTGCTAAATACACGAAATCTTCTCTACTAATTTCAAATCATTATTTTTTCATAAATAAATAAGTATATCCCTATCACTCAAATTTTAGTAAAGGACATACAATAAAATTTAAAATACCTAAAGAAATACTTAATTTGATCCTACCTCTATCTAATAATTGTTAAAGCTGTTAATTAGCATGGACATTTAAGAACACCTTCAACCCCCAAATTCCTGACTGATAACCGGTCTCCAATCTTTCCTCTTCTGTATCTTATGTCTTATCTGAAAGGGTAGCTTTTAGGAAGTTACGGTTCCTAATAAGAGACATAATACATTCTAAATTGTCTTAAAATTTAAAACTGTTACGGAAAATAATTGTCATCTGCTAACACAACACTCTTTAATGGATAATGTTATTTTCAATGACTTGGTATTAAAATGCTCATCTTTCTGATGATTAGTGATGTTGAGCTTTTCATATACCTATTAGACATGTATATGTCTTCTTTGAGAAATGCCTACTCAGATCTTTTGCCCATTTTCACATTGTATTTTTGTTTTTTTGCTATTGAATTGTTTGAGTTCCTTATATATTCTGGTTATTGATCCCTCAACAGTGGAATCGTTTGCAAATATTTTCTCCCATTCTGTAAGCTGTATCTTCACTTTGTTGACTGTTTCCTTTGCCATGCAGAAGCTTTTTAGCTAAATGTGATCCCATTTGTTCATTTTTGCTTTGGTCACCTGTGCTTTTGAGGTCTTACTCAAGAAATCTTTGCCCAGACCAATGTCCTGAAGTATTTCACTAATGTTTTCTTCTAGCAGTTTTATAACGTCAGCTTACATTTAAGTCTTCAATAAATTTTGATTCGATTTTTGCATACAGTGAAAGGTAGAGGTCTAGTGCAAATCAAAACCACAATAAGATATCATGTCACTCCAGTTAAATAGCTTTTATCAAAAAGACAAAAAATAACAAATGGTGGCAAGGATGGCAACAAAAAGGAATGCTTGTACACTGCTGGTGGGAAGCTAAATTAGTACAGCCACTATAGAAAACAGCAAGGAAGTTCCTCAAAACACTAAAAATGTGCTGGGCATGGTGGCTTGCACCTGTAATCCTAGCACTCTGGGAGGCTGAGGCAGGATTGTTTGTACCCAGGAGATCGAGACTAGTCTGGGCAACATAGTAGAACCCCATCTCTGCAAAAAATTTAAAAATTAACCAGACATAGTAGTGTATATCTGTAGTCCCAGCTACTTGGGAGGCTGAGGTAGGAGGATCACTTGAGCCCGGGAGGTCGAGGCTGCAGTGAGCCATTGCACTCCAGCCTGGGCCACAGAGTGAGACCCTGCCTCAAAAAACTAAAAATACAACTACCATATGATCCAGCAATCCCACTGCTGGGCATATATCGAAAGAAGGAAATCAGTATATCAAAGAGGTATTGCACTTCCATGTTTATTGCAGCACTATTCACAATAGCCAAGTTATGGAATCAACCTAAGTGTCCATCGGCAGAAGAACAGATAAAGAAAATGTGGTACATATACACAATGGAGAACTATTGAGCCA
The DNA here is from genome assembly GCF_000001405.40 of Homo sapiens. Classification (NCBI taxonomy): domain Eukaryota; kingdom Metazoa; phylum Chordata; class Mammalia; order Primates; family Hominidae; genus Homo; species Homo sapiens. The sequence continues at coordinate 45,000,545 of NC_000014.9, read as the reverse complement.
TATAAAGAATGAAATCCTGTCATTTGCAATAACCTAGATAGAAATGGAGGACATTATCTTAAGTGAAATAAGTCAGGCACAGAAAGACAAATATTGCATGTTCTCACTGCTATGTGGGAGCTAAAAAAGAAAAAAAATTAATTCCATGGAGGTAGAGAGCAGAATGATGGTATCCAGAGGCTGGCAAGGGCAGTGAGAAGTAGGTAATAAAGAGAAGGTAGTTAATGCGTACAAAAATAAAATAAGAGGCCGGGCACAGTGGCTCATGCCTATAATCCCAGTGCTTTGGGAGGCCGAGGCAGGTGGATCACCTGAGGTCAGGAGTTTGAGACCACCCTGATCAATATGGTGAAACTCTGTCTCTACTAAAAATACAAAAATTACCTGGGCGTGGTGGCGTGTACCTGTAGTCCCAGCTAGTCAGGAGGCTGAGACAGGAGAATTGCTCAAAACCCGGGGGCAGGGGCGGAGGTCGCAGTGAGCCGAGATCCTGCCATTACACTCCAGCCTGGGCGACAGAGCAAGACTCCATCTCAAAATAAATAAATAAATAAATAAAATAAAATAAGAAGGAGTAAGATCTAGTGCTCAGTATAGCACAATAAGGTGACTATAGTTAACAATACTTTATTATGTACTTCAAAATAACCACAGGAGTAGATTTGTAATGTTCCCAACACAAAGAAATGACAAATGTTTCAGGTGATGCATATCCTAAATAGCCTAATTTGATCATTACACATTGTATATCAAAATGTCACATGTCCCCCACAAATATGTACCACTATTATGTATATATCAAAGCAAATGCAATACTCATCTCCACCATGAGTATCTAAACTCTAATTTTAATCAGTTGTATTTATATAAAGATTATGAAAACTAATACTTTAGGGTAACAATTATGAAAAAAGTTATTAAAAATATAACAAAATCCTTTTATTTTTTGTGATGAGTATGAGTACACAAAATATCATATAAGTTAGTGTTGGAATCCCCACATAATATTTATAAGTCATTTGTTTCCAAGTAAATTTGGAACTTATACCTTTTTCTTGATGACTGCTAGTTGTCCCTAGGAATTGTAAGTCAGAACCCACACTGCCAGTTTTACCACATATTTGTGAAAATCCAAGTTGTGCACATTTCCCAGAAAGATTTGTTTGATGAGTCCCAGTAGTACCTTTTGAAGAAAGGAAGGGAGAAAACATAAAAGCAAAAGTTAACTTTATTTCATGAATACATTTTATTTCATAAATGTTGGTGTAATTTAGGTGGAAATAAATATAAGTGTTTAAGTACAGTGAGGTAGGCAGGCAAGAAAGGGATACAGCTTTTGATACTAGAAAATCAGATTAGTGGCAGGAATTAAAGGACAGAAGACAGACTAGTAAAGAACAGGGAAAAGACAGGTATGTTGAAGAATATCTGCAAAAGCAGTTTCTTCCTACACTCTTTCTCTCAGCATGGAACGTTTCTCCAGACCTGGCTTGCTTTCTTCCCAGTATTTGTAGTATACGCATTACCCAAAAAGCTCTATTACCAAACTCTTTTCCTTTCTACTTTACTTTTTTTGTGCAGTGGTGTGATCTTGGCTCACTGCAACCGCTGCAACCTCTTTTATTTTCTTTTCTAATATACTTCACAGTATTCACGCAGATTCTAAGCATATCCAGATATGTTTCCTGTTTCCCCTCCTGTGTCTGGTTAAGGTTATTCCTGGGAAGATGAATAAGTCTAAAGAAAAAAAGGTGGTAATGACTCCTCTGGCGTTTAGTTTATCCATCTATTAAATGAGCCCATCCTTTGTAGTTCTGAAACTGTATGATTAAAAAAAAATTCTCTCCCTATCATATCAAGCCTCTTTATCTTTCATATTCTGGATATCTTTTTATTTTATTTTATTTTTTTTAAGACAGGGTCTCACTCTTATTGCCCAGGCTGGAATGCGGTGGCGCAAACTTGGCTCACTGCAGCCTCGACCTCCCTGAGCTCAGGTGATCTTCCTGCCTCAGTTATTTAAGGCTGGTCTCGAACTCCTGATCTCAGGTGATCCGCCTGCCTTGGCCTCCCAAAGTGCTGGGATTACAGGCGTGAGCCACAGCGCCCAGCCTCTCCCTCCTTTAAAGTCAAGCTCAATCTCTTTTCTGCAGTTTTCTGAAACCACTTCAATACCTATGTTTTCCTTTCTTGAATCCTTACAGTATTTGTAATTCATATCATCCAATCAAGCATTAGCTTACATATTGTCTTATTTTCCAGTTGTTTAGAATCTGTACAATTAGGAAATGAGCTCCTCAATGGTACAGAGAAATCAAAATCAAAATCAAAACTGCCACAAACATAACTGGACATATTCTTGCATTTCTCCTTCTCTATTAAACAATAAAATAAACTATGCAGTCATTATGCCACTTCATTTTTGTATGAAAATACTATAGAATTTCACTGCATAAAGGTCTATAAATTCTCCTAGGGAACAATGTTTACTGAATAATATATCTAAAATCAAACCCAACAAATTTTGAAAACTGTTATCATTTAGATGTTAAATACATTTTTAAATCTATAACATAGTCAAATCTTTACCTTCTAAACCATTTTCCCTTCTAATAGGTATCACTTTGTCAACACACTACAATTTTTCTTATTACCTGGGTGCTATATCTTGAAATCCTAAACTATCATTTAGAACTCAAGCTCAACCTCCTCAACCTCTTTCTTCTTCTTCTTTTTTTTTTTTGAGACGGAGTCTCACTCTTGTAGCCCAGACTGGAGTGTAGTGGTGTGATCTCGGCATGAGACACAGCGCCCGGCCTCAACCTCTTTCTAAATGATATGGTCATTTATAAAGATGGGTATGTTGAAGAATATCCACAAAGGCAGTTTCTTCCTATGCTCTCCTTTTTCTTCTAAATGTTATGGTCAATGACAATGACCATTTCCTCTAAAGTACCGTAATATTTACTTTTGTAACACTTAGTCCATGTTCTCAGTTGCTCTGGCCAAAAATCCTTACAGCATTATTGACACTTCTTTCTCACATTCTATACCCAATCTACCAGCAAACTATATCAACTTTACCGCTGACATATAATCAGAATCCAATCACCTTTTTTTTTTTTTTTTTTTTTTTTTTTTGAGATGGAGTCTTGCTTTGTTGCCAGGCTGGAGTGCAGTGGTGCGATCTTGACTCACTGCAACCTCTGCCTCCCGGGTTGAAGAGATTCTCCTGCCTCAGCCTCTCGAGTAGTTGGGATTACAGGCATGCACCAACACGTCCAGCTAATTTTTGTATTTTTAGTAGAGACGGGGTTTCACCATGTTGGCAAGGATGGTCTCAGTCTCTTGACTGCGTGATCTGCCTGCATTGGCCCCCAAAGTGCTGGGATTACAGGCGTGAGCCACCGCGCCAAGCCAGAATCCAATCACTTCTTACCACATTCTTGCTATCCTGGTTAAAGCCTCCATCAACTCTAGCCACGATTACTACAACAGATTCTTAATCAGTCTTCCTGTTTTTGACCTTGCTCTCTGATACAGTTTGGCTTTGTGTCCCCACCCAAATCTCATGTCGAATTGGTAATCCCCAATGTTGGAGGTAGGTGAGGCCTGGTGGGAGGTGACTGGATCATGTGGCAGATTTCTCCTTTTGGAGCTGTTCTCATGATAGAGTTCTCACAAGATCTGATCGTTAAAAGCGTGTTGTACTTCCTCTTCACTCTCTTCCCCTTGCTCCCACCATGTAAGACGTGCTTGTTTCACCTTCGCCTTACGCCATGATTGTAAATTTCTTGAGGTTTCCCCAGAAGCAGAAGCCTGTGCAGCCCATAGAACCATGAGCCAATTAAACCTCTTTTCTTCATAAATTACCCAGTCTCAGGTATGTCTTTATGGCAGTGTGAAAACAGACTAATACACTTTCATCTATTTTAAAAATAAAATCCAAAATGAGCCTGGAAACAAGTGATGTCAATTCTTTCTTCAAAATGCTCCTCATTCAGAGTAAAAAGTAAAGTTCACTTATAAGTCCACTAGGCCTTAAATAAGCACCCCTATTATGTCTTTAATTTTCTACTTATTTTCCCCTCTCTTATTTCATTCCAGACATACTGGTCTCTTTGGTATTTCTCAAACATGTTCCCCACACACTTCTCTCTTAGTTACTTGTGCTGACTGTTCCCTCTTCCTGAAACTATTTATTCTCTTCTCCTGATATACAGTGGTTTGCTTCAAATATTCTTTCCTGAATATGGCCTTCTTTCGCTTTGTTTTCCTTCATAGCATTTATCACCAGATAACTTACTATGTCTTGTATTTATTTAATGTCTGTTCTCGTTCCTAAGTAGAATGCAAGCTCTATTAGGCAGACCTCCAGGACTTAGAAAAGCACCTTAATAAATATGGGTGATGTATTAAGCAAATATTGCCCTATATTAATACTTAAACGATTTCAGTGAGAAACCCTCCAGGGTTTTATGAGATAATAATGTCTAAGTGTCCATTCTTATCAGATCTTCAATAAATAACTTATTGAATCTGAACTGCCTACTAGATTAAAGTTCTATGAGTCATTGAATGCACTATGAAGTTAAGAGAAGTCTGTTAGTTCAACATGACCATCATCAGCAACTTGTACTTACCAGCAGCACATAAAGGAAGACAATCTGGGTTAAAATCCCGACTATTCTGAAATAAGTTTCTTGATACTCTTTTTCTGCTAAAACATAAATCATCATTGACTGGCATTCCTTGAGAAAGCTTTAATTTTGCAGATGGGATGAAATCATATGTTGAAAACTATAAGAACAGAATCATAAATTAGCAAATTTGTGTTAATTCTTCCTGGTAATAAATATGACAAAATAACTTAGATCCAATTATGAAATTCAGGTTAGAATAAATTTTAATTTATCAAATATATAATGATACAGATAAACATCCATATTTAGTCGGGTACACCAACAGTACTTTTCATTCCAGAAGAGAAATGCTAATTGTTTTTTCTTACTACTTCACCCCAACCCTTTACTGTTCCTTACCATCCTACAGCAGACTCTGGCAACAAGGAAGGAGAGAATACAAATGACAAAAACAATGATCTGACGGAGCAGCGTAACCCCTCAAACTATGCTATCTTTGTTTGAGTACTAGACAATAAGTGCCAGTTGAAGGTCACTGAACAAGCAAGCATTCTACTACACTGTTCTTACTGAGGCAAATCTATTATCCATATTCTGCAGCCTAAATGTCAATGTAAATAACATGGCAACCTATGTCATAGTTCCCTTAGGGTATTTTCTTACACTAGGTCTCTTAGTTAAAACCAGTAAATAATACTTTATATATGTATAGTACTTCATAGTTTCCAAGTCCTTTCTCATAAACCCCATATGATAGTTAAGGAACAAAGGTGCCAGGATACAATTTTGAAGTTGCACATAATCAGTTAAAGAACTAAATGAGAGCATGAATCAAATGTTCAAAATTCTTCAACAATGATGACCTCAATTGTCCCGGATCACTTCACATTCAACATGACTATAAAACTTTAAAAAAACTGAATGCATTGACAGGAAATTATGCTTCCTATATATTTATTTGGAGCTCATAGACACAATCAAATCTAGATGTGGTGAACTAAAAACCTTGTCAGTATATTTCTTTGTAAACTTTGCCAATTATCAAATGGCAAAATAAAATTAAAGGTAAGTCTATTATGCCTCAGGTACACGTTATTTATTATCAAATTTTGTGAAAAACCTATTACCTCCTTCAAAAACTAACCCAGAAATGATAAGTAACAAAATTAAGAATGCCCAGATGAGGCCACGTGCAGTAGCTCACACCTGTAATCACAGCACTTTGGAAGGCAGAGGCAGGTGGATCACTTGGGCCCAGGAATTCAAGATCAGCCTTGGCAACATAGTGAAATCCCATCTCTACAAAAAATACAAAAATTAGCCAGGCATGGTGGCATGTGCCTGTCGTCCCAACTAATCGGGAGGCTGAGGTAGGAGGATTACTTGAACCTGAAAGGTAGAGGCTGCAGTGGGCTGATATTGTGCCACTGCACTCCAGCCTGAGTGACTGACTGAGACCCTGTCTCAAAAAAAAGAATGCCCTCAGCTGGGCATGATGGCTCATGCCTATAATCCCAGCACTTTGAGAGGCCAAGGTGGGTGGGTCACTTGAGGTCAAGAGTTCAAGACCAGCCTGGCTAACATGGTGAAACCCCATCCATAGTAAAAATACAAAAATTAGCCAGGCATGGTAGCCTACACCTGTAGTCCTAGCTACTCGGGAGGCTGAGACAGAGGCTGAGGCAGGAGAACTGCTTGAACCCAGGAGACAGAGGTTGCGGTGAGCCAAGATCATGCCACTGCACTCCAGGCTGGGCAACAGAGTGAGACTCTGCCTCAAAAAAAACAGAAGAATGCCGTAATAAAAAAGGATTGACTTTACTGTCTCAAAACCCAGTTAACGTCCATGATTGATTATACAGTAGTCAGTATCAAAAGGATATAATGGAATAAAAACAAAACCAATTATAGTCAACTTCTGATTAGATATATTAAAAGATGATGTATTAATACAGCTAACATAGTGAGTAATCCAGAAATAATTCTACAGTATGGAATACATTTTATGTTAGATTTACTTTGTGATTAATTTCTGTTTAGCAAACAGATATTAGTATATAGGCCAGATACATACAACAACTGGTGGAGGTGGTAATGTTGATGAGGGTGGTGGTGTGTGCATATGTGAATGTGGCATTTTCAGAAATCTTCAGCAGTCAGGCAGAGATTAAGTTTTGCTATAGAAGATTGTGCATCTGAAAGCAGACTATAGGACATACCAATTAACATGAAAGTCCTCTTTAGGTCTCTCTTAAAAGTAAAAGATTTTCATTAGGGTAAGTTTTGATGGGACGAAACAATGAACGAAGAAAAAGTGGTTTAGAGTAAAAGAAAATAGAATTCATAAATTTTGAAAGAGTTGTGAGTTAACGTTACAAAATGTGAAGCAGTCTATTTAAAGCACCTGATTGATGACTCTCAGGAACATGGAACTGAATTTTCAACCTTTGCAGTTAATACCTAAAAATTTATTTAATTCCTTAGAGTTATAGTAAATTAAAACATTATAAAAAAGCAAGTTTCACATTTAATATTAATAATGGTTGGAAATTTACATAGTGTTATTTACTGTTTCAATCTTTTTTTGTTTTTGTTTTTGTTTTTGTTTTTGTTTTTGAGACAGGTTCTCACTCTGTTGCTCAGGCTGGAATGCAGTGGCATGATCATGGCTCACTGCAGCCGACCTTCCCCATCTCAGGTGATTTTCCCACCTCAGCCTCCCAAGTAGCTGGGACTATAGGCATGTGCCACCACACCCAGCTAATTTTATTTTTATTTTATTTATCTTTATTTTATTTTACTTTATTTTTTTATTTTTTGCCATGTTACCCAGGCTGAGCTCGAACCGTCAAGCTCAAATGATCTGCCTACCTTGGCCTCTCAAAGTGCTGAGATTACAGGCGTGAGCCACTACACACAGCCTATTATCTCTTAGTCTTTCTATTTGAATCCCTGCATATTTTTCATAAAAAGATTGCAAAAATTAGGCCGGGCATGGTGGCTCACGCCTGTAATCCCAGCACTTTGGGAGGCCCAGGCAGGCAGATCACGAGGTCAGGAGATCGAGACCATCCTGGCTAACACGGTGAAAACCCGTCTCTACTAAAAAATACAAAAATTAGTCGGGCGTGGTGGCAGGCGCCTGTAGTCCCAGCTACTCGGGAGGCTGAGACAGGAGAATGGCGTGAAGCCAGGAGGCGGAGCTTGCAGTGAGCCAGGATCGCGCCACTGCACTCCAGCCTGGGAGGCAGAGGGAGACTCATCTCAAAAAAAAAAAAAAAAAAAAAAAAAGATTACAAAAATTTACTCTTGTTTAATCCTCTGACCTAATGCATCCTATTGCAGCTTTTGGCAGGGAGTATTAAAGCATCTCAAAAATAGTTTTAATTCTATTTTGGTAGCAAAAAATTACCAGAAAAAGACCTTTTAATATCTAATTCTCTCAGAAATCACCTATACTCCTGGCTTTACTGAACTTGTACTAAACTTTATCTTGACCTCCAGTTTTTGAACCTTTCACCTTTTACCAGTTCTTTCTGGTTTCACCCAGACTCCACCCTTGCCCCTTAATGCTGGGCATTAAACAAGTTTATTCCCATTAACCACAGTTACCTTCTGTAAACATCACTGTATTTGTCTTTCAAATTATTTTCCTATGTACACTTTAGAAAAAATAGCTGTGATACTATATGTAAACTTTATATCCTGATTTTTGCACTTTACATTATAATAAAAGTACTTCCCATGCTGTTAAAACCCCTTATAAGTGCTATACTTTTTGGTGTTTTTTTTTTGGTTTGGTTTTTTTTTTTTTTTTTTTTTTTTTTTTTAACAGACAGGGTCTCACTATGTTCTCTTGGCTGGCCTAGAACTCATGGGCTCAAGGGTTTTGCCACTTCAGCTACCAAAGTATCTGGGACTATAGGATCACACCACCATGCCTGGCTATAAACTTTAATTACAAAAATAATAATTGCTTATTGTAAAAAATATAAAAAATACCAAAGTTATCAAAAGAAAAATTAAATTTAAAAAATGCAAACTATAGAAATAAGATATAAACTTAAATTATTCTTTGGGACCCTTCTCAGTAGAATCCTACTGATAAATCCTGTTAACAGGTCTTTTTCTATATGTAAACATTCTTCAATAAGCTATTTTAAAAAAAAAACAAAAATAAATCACATGATACTCTGGCACAGAGTAAATATGTAGACATCCTTCCATGTAAGACAATACATATCTGTTTATTTTAGACTCATAGTTCCTTACTGATGGACATTTTCTTTGCCACGACTTTTCACTATTACAATCTTGCAGTGAACATTGTTACACACATATCTTTGTGTATTATATTCCTATAGTATAAAAGTCCTAAAAACGGAACTATTGAGTCCAAGGACATAAATTATCTTTAATGGCTGCCTAATATTCCATTGACTAGATGTGCCACTCTCCTTTGATGGAACATTCAGATTGCTCCCCAGGCTTTTCTCAGATTGATAAGGAAAAAATTCCAATGAGGGAAATGGTACCTACATGGCTTAAGGTAGCAGTGCTGACAGAAGGAGACTGGCAGACTTTAGAAAGACTGTCACATATGCTACATAGCTAAAATAAAAAAAAAACAAAAACAAAAAACTAAGGCTGAGTGCAGTGGCTCATGCTTTTAATCTCAGCACTTTGAGAGGTGGAGGTGGGAGGATTATTTGAGCTCAGGAGTTTGAGACCAGCCTGGGCAACATGGCAAGACCCCATCTCTACAAAAAATAAAAAATTAACCAGGCCTGGTGTTGCATTCCGGTAGTCCCAGTAACTTAGGAGGCTGAGGTGGGAGGATCACTTGAGCCTGGGGGTCGAGGCTGCAGTGAGCCATAACTGTGCCACAGCACTCTAGCTTGGAAGACAGAGTGAGACCTTGTCTCCAAAAAAAAAAAAAAAAAAAAAAAGCCTCAGCTGGGTGTAGTGGCTCACACCTGTAATCCCTGCATTTTGGGAGGCTGAGGTGGGAGGGTCACTTGAGCCCAAGTCCAAGACCGACCTGGGCAACACAGTAAGACCCCATCTCAAAAACAAAAGAAAAAAACCCAAAGTGTTTTTTTTAAAATATCTGTAAACTGCCTACACAAAGGGAGAATACCCACACTGAACTCTCTGTAGCCGTCAGCTAACCACACCCATAAAATGTGCAAACAAAATACAGACTATTTAGCTATTTTGTGTGCAGTTTGTTTTCATACATGCTAAAAGTAAGGTAATCAGCTGAATCAAGGAAGAACCAGGACTGATCAAAGAGAGGAAAAAATATTGCAAACTGCATGCAAAATAACTAGTGTGTGAAATAACCAACTAAATGTCTCTGATTCTTTGTTTGACATTTATTTCTGTAGATTTCACTAATATATTGTCCCTCTGAGTCCAAACAGGAGAGTTAAACATGTGGCCTGAAAGTGCATCCTTTCTGAGACCTAGAGTCTTGAGTTCTCAGTTAAACTTTCCTCATATAAGTGACTGAGCAATGTGGCTCATGTGCCACAATATAATACACAAAGATATGTGTGCAACTATATTCTTGGCAAAGGCTGATTCTGACTGAGCACATGGACAATTGTGTTCACACAGACGGCAGCAGTGGGTGAAACTGGGTTTTGATTTTACGGTCTATTTGGTGATTTCTGCTGGATGATAGTATAGTCAGGTGGCACCTGGCAGGGAATCTAGAATCTGCTTTCCTTATTGTCTTTTCATTTATGTTTATGATATGGTTAAACTTTGTGTCCCTACCCAAATCTTGTCTTGAATTGTAATCCTCATAATCCCCACATATCAAGGGAGAGACTTGGTGGGAGGTGACTGGATCATGGGGACCATGTCCCCCATGCTGTTCTCATGATAGTGAATTCTCATGAGGCCTGATGGTCTTACAAGTGTCTGACAGTTCCTCTTTCACATATTCGCTCTCTCTCACCTGCTGCCATGTAAGATGTGCCTCTTCTCCTTCCACTATGATTGTAAGTTTCCTGAGGCCTCCCCAGCCATGCAAAACTGTGAGTCAATTAAACTTCTTTTCTTTATAAATTACCCAGTCTTGGGCAGTTCTTTATAGCAGTGTAAGAATGGACTATTATAGTTTATTGGTACTGAGGTAGTGAGGTACTGCTATAAAGACACTTGAAAATGTGGAAGTGACTTTGGAACTGGGTAACAGGCAGAGGCTAGAACAGTCTGGAGGGCTCAGAAGAAAACAGGAAGATGTGGAAAAGCCTGGAACTTCCTAGAGACTTGTGGTTTTGAACAAAATGCTGATTCTTTATAGTAGTATGAGAATGGACTAATACAGTTTTTTTTTTTTAATGTACTGATATAGGCTGCTCCTTTACTCTTCTCCTTCCAAAACTCAAGGCTTTTTCATGTTTGCTTATTATGGACCCTACCTGTCACTGTCTACAAAAATGGAATTCTATACCACAGAAGAAAGGAAACAAAATTTATAACATTCAATGATCAGTTTTCTTTGATTTCTACAAATAATTGAATAACTGCAAATTAACATTACTTCGGAACTCTAAAGCTAAAGAACGGATGGTGAAAACATTTATTTAATTATAAATTAGATGAAGTGAGTCAGAAAAATGTCTTCCAAAAGCCAAATAAAATAATATTTAACAGTTTTCCAAATCTTAGGCAAGTTCAGCATTTTAAAAACACAGAAAATTCAATGTCATTGTATAAGATATGGACATCGAAAAAAAGTGTCTTATCAAATTTTTGGGAATTACAACTATCATTATGTATTGCTGTTTAATGTGTTATCCCTAAATGGTAGATTAAAACAACAAACACTTGTTATCTCTTTTTCAGTGGAACAGGAATTTGGAAGCAGCTTAGCTGGTTGATTCTGGCTAAGTGGCTTAGCTGGATGTTTCAGGTTACTCTAAGGCTGCAATCAAAATGTTAGCTAGGCTGTTGTCAACTGAAGGCTTGACTGATACTTGAAAATCACTGAAGTTCACTCACGTGGTTACTGTCAGGAAGCCTCTGTTCCTTGCCATTTGGGCCTCCCAAGGGGCTACTCAAGACATGGCAGCTGGCTTCCTTCAGAGCAAGTCAAGTGAGCGAGAGCAACTGACATGGAAGCTGCAGTGCCTTTTTATGACCTAGTTTCTGAAATCACACACTATTACTTCTACTTCAGTTGTTAGAAATGAGCTATATTAAATCCAAACACACTCAGAGGGGAATTAGACTCCAACTCTTCAAAGGAAGAATCTCAAAGAATTTATGAAAACATATTTGAAACTACCACTCAACAATAATACTTCTGCTACAAGGAATATATGTTTTTGTCTCTTTAACTGATCAACATTCCTAATAGTTTGGTACCTGCTTCCATCTTAAATTCTGCTGGTTAATCAAAATTAGATTATCTATGTTATAAAAAAGAGAAAAATTTGTTATTTCATGAGAATGAAATATTTTTTGAGCACACAAATTGATATATACTGTCTACCCTATGGGCAGTATTAATAAATCAGGATAAAATTAGCTGGAACAAGCTGTTTCAATTGGCTCATAAACATCATATTAATACGTTAAGTGCTTATATCATATTGGATTAAATAAAACTCAAAAGCTTTTACGATTTTTTTTTATACTTTAAGTTCTAGGGTACATGTGCACAATGTGCAGGTTTGTTACATATGTATACATGTGCCATGTTGGTGTGCTGCACCCATTAACTCATCATTTACATTAGGTATATCTCCTAATGCTATCCCTCCCCCCTCCCCCCACCTCACAGCAGGCCCCAGTGTGTGATGTCCCCCTTCCTGTGTCCAAGTGTTCTCATTGTTCAATTGCTGCCTATGAGTGAGAACATGTGATGTTTGGTTTTTTGTCCTTGCGATAGTTTGCTGAGAATGATGGTTTCCAGCTTCATCCATGTCCCTACAAAGGACATGAACTCTTCATTTTTTATGGCTGCATAGTATTCCATGGTGTATATGTGCCACATTTTCTTAATCCAGTCTATCATTGTTGGACATTTGGGTTGGTTCCAAGTCTTTGCTATTGTGAATAGTGCCACAATAAACATACGTGTGCATGTGTCTTTATAGCAGCATGATTTATAGTCCTTTGGGTATATACCCAGTAATGGGATGGCTGGGTCAAATGGTATTTCCAGTTCTAGATCCCTGAGGAATCGCCACACTGACTTCCACAATGGTTGAACTAGTTTACAGTCCCACCAACAGTGTAAAAGTGTTCCTATTTCTCCACATCCTCTCCAGCACCTGTTGTTTCCTGACTTTTTAATGATTGCCATTCTAACTGGTGTGAGATGGTATCTCATTGTGGTTTTGATTTGCATTTCTCTGATGGCCAGTGATGAGAACATTTTTTCATGTGTCTGTGGGCTGCACAAATGTCTTCTTTTGAGAAGTGTCTGTTCATATCCTTTGCCCACTTGTTGATGGGGTTGTTTGTTTTATTCTTGTAAATTTGTTTGAGTTCTTTGTAGATTCTGGATATTAGCCCTTTGTCAGATGAGTAGATTGCAAAAATTTTCTCCATTCTGTAGGTTGCCTATTCACTCTGATAGTAGTTTCTTTTACTTTTTATGTATTTTAAATATATTGTCTCTTTAAGAAAAAAAAATGTTATGGCTGGGCACAGTGGCTCACACTTGTAATCCCAGCACTTTGGGAGGCCGAGGCGGGCAGATCACGAGGTCAGATCGAGACCATCCTGGCCAACATGGTGAAACCCCGTCTCTACTAAAAATACAAAAAATTAGCCGGGTGTGGTGGCAGGCTAAAACTAAACTGTGTTTTCACCTCAATTTACATTTTGGCAACAACATTTTTTTTTCTTTTTTCTTTCTTTTTTTTTTTTTTTGAGACAGAGTCTCGCTCTGTCGCCCAGGCTGGAGTGCAGTGGCGCAATCTCGGTTCACTGCAAGCTCGCCTCCTGGGTTCACACCATTCTTCTGCCTCAGCCTCCCGAGGAGCTAGGACTACAGGCACCCGCCACCACGCCCGGCTAATTTTTTGTATTTTTAGTAGAGATGGGGTTACACCGTGTTAGCCAGGATGTTCTCAATCTCCTGACCTCGTGATCTGCCCGCCTGGGCCTCCCAAAGTGCTGGGATTACAGGCTCGAGCCACCGCGCCCAGCCAACACAGGTTAGTTTTGAGTTTAAATACCTCAGTCACTTGGTAAAAGAACAAGAAAAAAAAAATTCTTAATAAACTTCAAAGTTTTAGTATCTGTAGTATCTGGCATATAATTGTTTAGAAAAAGTTGGGCCAGGAGTGGTGGCTCATGCCTGTAATCCCAGCACTTTGGAAGGCCAAGGAAGAAGGATCACTTGGGGCCAGCAGTTCAACACCAGCCTAGGCAACAGGCAACAGAGCAAGATCTTGTCTCTATGAAAAATTAAAAAATTAGCTGGGTATGTTGGCCCCAGCCTGTAGTCCTAGCTACTCGGGAGGCTGAGGTAGGGGGATCGCTCAAACCCAGGAGTTTGAGGTTGTAGTGAGCTATGATTATGCCACTACACTCCAGCATGAGCAACAGAGCAAGGCTCTGTCTCTAACAACAACAAAAAAGTTCACATAAGTCATCTAATTAAGATAACTCTTTGGACAAATTATACTTGCTTAAAAACAGTTATTTGTCTAGATTTTACCACCATGTAAGAATAATATTAGTATGATATAGTTGTGCAAGCTGTACCATAGGTTTTTCTCAGAAAAACCTAATTAACTTAAATTTCTTAAATTTCCTCTAATGGTTTCACAGATTGTATACATTAACAACACTACTTTCAAAATACAAAATTGTAAAATCATGTCTTCAACTAAGTTTTATAAGACAATACCTTTATAAAAATAGGTCAATTCTTATAATGCCATAAATCTTATAATGCTTAATATATCAGCTTCTATTGTAATTTTCAGACCCTTAGCTAACTTTAAGATTTTGGACTAAAATTGAATTAATGAAAACTCTTTAGATCCTGAACAATTTCTAATTAAGATAAAAATGCAAATCACTGATCATCAAACTTGTTTTTATAATTTACTCTTGTGTCTTATATTTATACATCATAGAATAACCAATGAATAGGTTAAAGCAGAGTTTCCCAACTCCTGGGCCATGGACTGCTACTGGTCCTGGCCTGTTAGGAACCCAGCCACACAGCAGGAGGTGAGCGGCGGGCAAGGGAGCAAAGCTTCAAATGTATTTACAGTAGCTCCCCATCACTGGGATTATTGCCTGAGCTCTGCCTCCTGTCAGATCAGCGGTGGTATTAGATTCTCATAGGAGCACAAACCCTATTGTGAACTGCATATGCAAGGAATCTAGGTTGCACACTCCTTCTAAGAATCTAACGTCTGATGATTTGAGGTGGAACAGGTTCATCCTGAAACCATCCCCCACCCCCTAGTCTATGGAAAAATTATCTTCCATGAAACTGGTCCCTGATTCCAAAAGGATTGGGGACTGCTGAGTTAAAGGATACATATATGCTTTGGGATGATGTTAACACACATGCTTATTTTTGCCGCTTAAAAAGGATCTGAAAGCCAGGCACAATGGCTCACGCCTGTTAATCCCAGCACTTTGGGAGGCCGAGACGGGCGGTTCACAAAGTCAGGAGTTCGAGACTAACTTGACCCACATTGTGAAACCTCGTCTCTACTAAAAATACAAAAATTAGCCAGGCGTGGTGGTCCACCCCTGTAATTCCAGCTACTCAGGAGGCTGAGGCAGGAGAATCACTTGAACCTGGGAGGCAGAGGTTGCAGTGAGCCAAGATTGCGCCACTGCACTCCAGCCTGGGTGACAGAGCGAGACTCCATCTCAGAAAAAAAAAAAGATAGTTTTGGTTACATGACTTTTGGTTTTCTCTGTGTCTGACAGGAAACAAAAGTTGGTTTATTTGGGTAAAGTTGTATTTAATACATAAAGCTGACATTTTCCTAGGTACAAAAGTTACAGGGAAATAGAAATATGTATACAAGGTAATCGATATGCTTTGCCCATTATTAAGGGAACTGGTATAGCTCTTTTTTCCATTTTCTTTTTTAATTATTATTTTTAATTATTTTTATTTTTTTTAGAGATGAGGTCTCACTTTGTCACCCAGGCTGGAGTGCAGTGGCACGATCATAGCTCACTGCACACCTGAACTCCTGGGCTCTATCGATCCTTCTACGTCAGCTTCCCAAGCAGCTGGGACTACAGGCACTCACTACCACGCCCAGCTAATTTATTTGCATTTTTTTTTTTTTAGAGACAGGGTCTCGTATATTGCCCAGGCCTCAAGTGATCCTCCAGCCTCAGCCTCACAAATTGCTGGGATTCCAGGCACAAGCCACTGCCTCTAGCTGTTACAGCTTTTTTAAGATGATAACAATAAATATAATATATACATTGTCTTATTTAATATACTTTTAAGGTTAATTATGTTTAAATTTATTTAAAATTTTTGAAATTTTAGATGTTATCTAATTCCATGTTTGTATGTGTCTAAAGATATATTAACAATCACAGAAATGGTGAGTTCACAAAAATGGATATATTTTTAATATTATTATTATTATGTACCATTAAAATATTTTCCATGTCTTTAGTCTGTTTTAAATCATTTTAACCGCTTTATTTCTTCTAAAAGATATGGATATTCTCACTTTCTTACTTTGCTTTAAATACTGTTACTCTTAATAAACATTGTAACATTTATCTGTAGACACATATCTCATAATCATATGTTAAGGTAATAACAAGTTTTGTCCTATAAACTCTTTCTTAAATTCAATTTCCACATGAAAAATAAAATAGCAATTAATATTCTTATTGTTCTCCAAATTTTAATTAGTTTACCCACTATTCATGCAAGGTGACTAAAACAAATGCCTCAAAAAACTTACATACCGGTAGTAGCTTCTACATTTTCTGCTGTAAAATATCCTGTTGCCAACAGTTCATTCTACATAGCTCTGACATAAGCAACATTTACACTAAGAGTAGATATGCTTTTGTGTCGTTTATGATTTTCACAAGCATAAAAAATAAAAGTTTTTAAAACTCTTCATGCATCACAATATAATTTTAAAAAGAAAATTAAATCTTTTCAGAAACAATCCAACATCCAAGGAAAATCTCAAGTTTTAGGATTAACCCATACCAAACACATTAGTACAATTTAATAATTTTAGTTTTTCTAATTTCTTATCAAATTTGTTATATTAACTGTTCTAAATCCCACATTCTTAAAATCTCTAATGTTCTATTTTTCATTTTTAATTGCCCCTTAGTTTAACAGAATCTGGAAGCCTTGTTCTCACAAAGTGGTTCACAGACCACCAGCATCAGCAATACCTAGGAGCTTATTTGACATATAGGCTCAGGCCCCAGTTTAGACAAACTAAATCAGAATCTGTATTTTAACAAGATCCTAAGGCAATTCATTTGCATATTAAAATTTGATAAACACTGCACTAAACTCATATCTTCCTTTCTTTTGACTTAAAACACACACCCTTTCCTGCTACCTCAAAAATTTTTAATATTTTAAGTCATCTTCTCTTTGTTTTTCCTTTAACTTCAGAGAAAAAGACTTCCTCCTCTATCCCAAAGCTAACCTCTCTCTATACTTGTGTTCTTGACCCATTTAATCTTTAGTTAGGAACATATCTCCTTTCCTTTCCCTCTCCAGTATGACTGCAGAGACTGAATCTCCTGCATTTTGCATGTTTAACACCTACCATAATAAAGACACAGAGTCGGCATGTTTAATTCACAGATGGCTCCTTTCTGACTCTTCCAAATCAGGTGTTCCTTACTTAAAAATAAAGCACAGTAATAACTTATCCTGTTATATCCCTGTGCTGTTATCTTGCTTGGTCTTTTCTTTCACTGTCAAACCCTTAAATGTTTTCTTATTTAACAGGTATTTGTTGATATTTGTGGGAAGAGCACTGTAGTTAGTGCTGTTACAAAAACAAAAACTAATTAAACAAAAAAATAAAACAGTCCCTACCATCATACTGTTTACCATCATTGAGAAGAAGGAATAAATGACTCACATGTGCTAAATACTAAATGAGGCAAAAATCCTACGGCAGTGCTATAAAGAGTAGTTTATAAACTCCCACTCAGTTTTGCACAAATTAGATGATTAAAAAGACAGATGCTGAATAACTTCTTACTGCCTGTTTCCTCATCAATTCACCTCATAAACTTTTAAATTTGGTCTCCGCCTGTAACAGTCTACTAAAACTGCCCTTTTATATGTCCCAGTGACCTTCCAATAATCAATTCCTCTACCTTGAAAAAACTACAGACCTCGTGCCCACATACACATGAAGCAAGTATACTCCTTACTTTTTAGTCTAGGTTACTGACTACTATGATTCCTACCACATTGTAGTGAAATCTGTTAGGAAAAATAAAGCTAAATGGTAGCCAGCTAATGATGTCTGATTTACTTGATGCCACTAACCCATTAAAACACTCCTAAATACATAGAAAGAGATGCAAACTTGAAATATCATAGTAATCTGGTTATCAATCTGTAATATGTCAGAGCACAAAAAGAATCCACTAAATAGCAGAAACAAAAACAGAATTAAAAGTCTAAATATTCCAAAGTAAGAGATAAGTTAAACACACCACGATATTATATAATATTAAATAGCTATCAAAAATCCCATTACAGATTATTTGATGTTAAAGAAAAAAATGTTCAGGCTAGGTGCAGTGGCTTATGCCTGTAATCCCAGTACTTTGGGAGGCAGAGGTGGGAGGATCACACTGAGGCCAGGAGTTCAAGACCAGCCTGGCCAACATAGCAAAACCCCACCTCTACTGAAAATACAAAAATTAGCTAGGCGTGGTGGCGTGCCCCTGTAATCCCAGCTATTCAGGAGGCTAGGTAGGAGAATCACTTGAACCTGAGAGGTGGAGTTTGCAGTGTGCCAAGATGGCGCCACTGCACTCCAGCCTGGACAACAGAGGGAGACTCCATCTCAAAAAAAAAAAAAAAAAAAAGTAAGTGAAAAAGGGGAAGCTTTCACTGATGGATAGAAGAATCTATACCTTGTATTCATAAACTGAAATTATACTGAAAGCATAGGAAACAAATTATTAATTGTAGACCTCTAGGAGTGAGATTAATTTTTTGAAATACAAAAAAGCACAAACTTTTCCTCTGTGCTTTCCCATATTTTTCAAATTTTCTATAATGAGCATGTATAACTTTTTTACAATCAGAAAACTTAAGAGGACATTAAGAAAGATAAAATTAAGAGAAAAGTACCTTCAAAAATCACTTTACAAGTAGTAGGCTGTAATGTATAAGAACAAATGGTGCTTTCCAATTTTCATTCTCCCCAAGCTCTGTGCCACATTTAACACTGATGACTCCTTGAAACTCCCTCACCACTTTGATTCTAAAACCTATTTCTTTCTTGGCTCTCTTCCAACTCGTGGGCACACTTCTCTTTGCTTTATTTGGTTATATCTCCTACTGCTATTCTCTAAATGGGTTTATATAACAAGATTTGATCTTACCCTCTCTCTCTCGTTCTGTATGTCATTCACTGGACAGCCCATCCATTCTCACAGTTTTAGCAATTACTTCAGCACACGACTTCCAGAATCTATATCTCCAGCTATATTCATGTCTCTTAAATAACAGTCTTCTAATTCAAGTAGAATATTCTATCTTCCTTCACCAAAAATTCATATTTCCCCCCAAATTAATTTCCTACTTCTAGACTTTCTTATCTCTTCATGGACCTATGATGAGTTTAGTTACTTTGTTCAAATTTTAGTTATTCCTCCCTCTCCTCTCCTCCAACACTTAGTCACTAAATCCTTTGAAATATCTCTTGCATCCATCCCTTTTTTCCTAATCCTGATACCCTGCTAATCCTCATAAAACTGAACAACTCACATCTAAATCAGTCTAATAAGTATCTAATTGGTTTAAACTACACATTGCTGCTTTTGTGATTAATTTTTCTAAACATTGTTTTAAAAAGAAAAGACCCCCTCCCCCAAAAGAGAAACAAACAAAAACCCTCCAGCAATCTGAAATTACTGTCAAAATAACAGGTTAAATTCCTTAGCATGGTATTCAAGAGTCTCCAATCTAGCCCCTGCCTCACTCTTGTAATCATATTTCCCACTACTACTTTTGGCAGGGTGGGGACCGAGTCTCACTCTGTTGCCATGGCTGGAGTGCAGTGGCACCATCTGGGTTCACTCCAACCTCTGCCTCCTGGGTTCAAGTGATTTTCTTGCCTCAGCCTCCTGGGTAGCTGGGATTACAGGTGCATGCCACCATGCCCAACTAATTTTTGTATTTTTACTAGAGACAAGGTTTCACTATGTTGGCCAGGCTGGTCTCAAACTCCTGACCTCAAGTGATCTGCTCCGCTTCCCTCACCCACACTGACCTCTCAAAGTGGTGCAATTACAAGTGTAAGCCACCCGCCCGGCCTGCCACTATTACATTTAAAAAATCATCCTTCCAAACAAACTGGTCTATTTATCTCCAAAATGAGCTACAGGAGTATGTAATTGAAATATTCATGATTTTTTTTCTGGAAATTTTGTATTTAATGTCACTAACCAATCCTACATGTGGACAAGATAGAAATAACAGATTAACAGTGGACTGTAAATGTTAAAGCAGAGAGCCTGGCCAAGAGCCAGTACAAATCAGGCCAGGAGCCAGACCTGTAACTGAGTATGGAGGACACATGAATATGTGACATACATAAAAGGAAGTACTGAGACCTGCTATGTGGAGTCTTAAGACTACAGAGGAGGCCAGCTTCAGCTACTAAATAAGGTTATCCATAGTCTAGATTTTTTTTTCAATATTATAACACTAATATACTTTGCTCTGAGGCTCAGTGGTTCATTAGGAGCTGAGGATTCCAAAGGAATCACATACTAAGCACACTCTTGTATCATGCCTTATGCCATCTCTTCAAGCCATCTCCCTTGCCAGGAATGCATTTTACCTTCCTGACCATTTGAAGCCTTAGCTCCTGTCAAGAAGCAGGTCACATTCACCTTTTTCAGGAACTCTCTGCTAATTTCCCAAGGTGCTCAAATGAAAAAATCTGTACAGAGAAAAGAGGTTAGTTATAGATCATTTGATAGTGAAATGGTTAAGGCACCAACTCTGGAGTCATTTTGCCTACATTCAAATCAGCTCTGCCACTCACTAGCTAAGAGACCTTAAGGAAGTTATTTAACCTTTGTGTATAGAATAATGCCTGGCATAGAGTAAGTGCTATTTAAGAGTTAGCTGCTGCAATAGTCTGAATAAGTGTCCCCTTAAAAATCATGTTGAAATCTAATCCCCAACGTGATGGTAGTAAGAGGTAGGGCCTTTGGGAGGTGATTAGGTCATGAGGGCTCCACCCTCAAGTATGGGATTAGTGCCCTTATAAAACAGGCCTGTGGGAGCTTGTTTGTCCCTTCCACCCCATAAGGACACAGCAAGAAGGTGCTGTCTATGAAGCAGAGAGCCTTAACTGGACGCTGAATTTGCCAATGCCTTGATCTTGGATTTCCCAGTCCCCAGAACTGGGAGCAATAAATGTCTATTGTTTATAAATTACCCAGTCTAAGACATTTTGTTACAGCAGCAGGAAGAAGAATAGCTGCCTTTGAAAACAGTATTATTATTATTATTATTAATGGTGACTTATAGGTAAGCAAATTAGGGATACAAAATTTATGTCAAGTCCACAATCACAAAGCTAAACTGGTACTAGAATCCAGTATTTTGACTCCTAATTGTTATATCAAAATTCATCTTACTCTAACCTTTTTTTTTTATCTGTTATTTCTATTTTGTCCACATGTAGGATTGGTTAGTGACATTAAAAAAAAAAAGAGAGAGAGATGGGATCTTGCAATGTTGACTAGTCTGGCCTTGAACTCCTGAGCTCAAATGATCCTCCTGTCTCAGCCTCCTGAGGAGCTGAGACTACAGGCCTATAGGTATATGCCACCATGCCTGGCTCTTGATCTTCTTCTTCTTTTTTTTTTCTCTTTTTTTTAATTTTTGAGACAAGGTCTCACTTTGTCTCCCAGGCTAGTGTGCAGTGACACTATGATCTCAGCTTATTACAGCCTCGACCTCCCAGGCTCAAGTGATCCTCCACCTGAGTCTCCCAAGTAGCTGGGACTATAGACATGTGCCACCATGCCTGGCTAATTTTTGTATTTTTTTAGAGTCCTACCATATTGTCCAGGCTGCTCTCAAACTCCTGGGCTCAAGCAATCCTTCTGCCTTGGCCTCCCAAAGTGTTGGGATTACAGGCATGTGCCACTGCTCCTGGTTTTGATCTTCTTTTAGTAACTACTGCTTCTATCAGTAATTTGATGTTTAAATCTCTAATTTGCTATATTATCTTTTAATCTTCACATTTTTGTCTAAGTAAATTAGAAACATTTAGGCACAAAAATCTCATTTTTATATATATGTCATACATGTATGGTTAGTATTCACTGAAAAAGACTAAATGATAATATCAGCTAAACATTTTTTTTTCTTTTTCCAAACAGCCAACTGTCCTTTGTAATCTGCTCCACCTTTTTTGGAGGGCACAGTGGAATTTGGGAGGAGAGGAGAAAACTAACTATACCTCGTATTTTGCTCCAATGAGGTAACTTAACTCTTCATGATTCTCAAACTACTTTTATCAGTGCCCTCTTTTCCAGAAAGCATATGCCCATACACATATCTTTAAAAACTTATAACGATTTTGTGAATGTTGCCATTACAGTTTTCAAGCACACAAATCACCAATTATCCTCAAAATCTCATGTTAGCAATTATAAAAACGGAAACCATTTTTATTTCCCTTAAATCAGCTCACGTGGTGCTGCCCAGTTCTTTTCAAAAAGAAGGCTAGGCCAGGCACAGTGGCTCATGCCTGTAATCCCAGCACTTTCAGAGGCAGTGGAGGGAGGATTGCTTGAGCTCAGGAGTTCGAGACCAGCCTGGCCAACATGGTGAAACCCTGTCTCTACTAAAAAATACAAAAAAAATTAGCTGGGCATGGTGGCACACGCCTGTAGTCCCAGCTACTTGGGAGGCTGAGGCAGGAGAATCGCTTGACCCTGGGAGGTGGAAGTTGCAGTGAGCTGCAAGTGCAGCTCATACGACTGCACTCCAGCCTGGGTGACAGAGTGAGACTCTGTTTCAAAAAAAGAAGTCTAAAGCATGTCATACATTTAACACCTTTAAGGCCAACATATTTAAAATTTCTCTGTGTGGGGTCTCATAGGAAGAGCTATGAATTTTTCTATTTAAAAAGTCAGTCTTGGCCGGGTGCTGTGGCTCACGCCTGTAATCCCAGCACTTTGGGTGGCCAAGGCGGGCAGATCATGAGGTCAGGAGATCAAGACCATCCCAGCTAACACGGTGAAACCCCGTCTTTACTAAAAATACAAAAAAAATTAGCTGGGCATGGTGGCGGGTGCCTGTAGTCCCAGGTACTAGGGAGGCTGAGGCAGGAGAATGGCGTGAACCCGGAAGGTGGAGCTTGCAGTGAGCTGAGATCACACTACTACACTCCAGCCTGGGCAACAGAGCAAGACTCCATCTCAAAAAAAAAAAAAAAAAAAAAGTCTGTCTAATTTTCTTCAATTTATGCTAAGGCTTCAGAAGGCCCAAATTATTTTATTTCTAGTCAATCAATCATATATATAAAGCAGAATATGAAGAGTTAGATGCATTTGATAGCTACATTGATTAATTTTACTTTGTTTTAGAAAAATATGTTTAGAAATGAAATCACATAATTTCACTCAATTACTAAAAATAAAACAATTTAACATAATTGTATACTTAATGTTCTGCTTTTAATCGTTAGCAATTTTGAGCAAAATTATTGCTTTCTGGTATTTTTAAAATACTAATTTTTAGGTTTAGAAGTAGAGAGCTAGTAAACCAATCTAGTTAGCAAGGAGAGATACTTCTGGGAGTAACTGACATCGAAACTATTTCTGAAGGAAACTGTAAGAATATAGGACCAAAGAAGCACTTTCATATTCTTAAATTTACTATTAAAAACAAAATGTTCACCACTGATTTTCACATAAGACATAAGAACCCCAGTATCATGTGCTGGTCTTATTGACTATACACATGATGACTGGTAGCTAAAAGTTTAAAACATTTAATAACATCACATTTCAGGTATTATTTTAAGAGTTTTTTTTTAAAGGTAAAGGTTGATTAAATAAATGATCTACACTTGAGATAACTTTAATTCACTGAACAAACATCTTCAAGTGCCTCCTGTGTGCCAAGCACTGTGCTAAAGATACTGGATACTAAGATTAAAATAATCTCTGTTCTCAATGTGCTCAGAGTATAGTGGGAAATAAGACTTGTGAAGAATAAATTTCAATTCACTGTAATAGTAAGCACTGTGATAGGGAAAGCTTAGGATGAGATGGGGCACGTGATGAAAGAAGACTTCAGATAAGGCAACAAAGGATTAGATGTTATCTGGAAAAAGGGGTCAGAGGATGGATATGGAAGGGCAATCTAGGCAATGACCAGCATATGTAAGGCCAGAAAATCAATAGGTTAAATGTAGATAGGCAACGAATAAGGATAGGGCAATTTTTGTGGAAGCAGTAAGGGGAAAGGGGGCTATTACTGAATTCTGTATTTTATCTTGAAGATTGTTGGAGCCAATGAAAGATGTTAATCAAAGTGAGTGTTATCGGGGTGAGATTTGAGAACTCTGAAAGGTGGGTTACAAGATCAGATTCATTCTTAGAAAGACCAATTCTGAAATCAGTATAGTTGATCTAGGAATCATTTTATCTTTACCATATCTCATAATTTTAAAAAAATCTATAAACAGGGCTAGAAAACTACTAAATGTAGTCACCAGTTGACTTCACTAAGAAGATTTTATAAATCATGGCACTCTCAATACTACCAAAATATTATATCCAATATTCTTATATTGTTAACAAGGGAGTTGTCCTAATACCAAAGCTGTGTTGTTTTGAGTCACTTGAAAAAAAAAAATGGTTCAAACCCACTTCATTAAAAAAAAAAAAAAAGGCAGGGGAAGCCGGGCATGATGGCTCACATCTGTAATCCCAGCACTTTGGGAGGCTGAGGCAGGTGGATCACCTGAGGTCAGGAGTTCAAGACCAGACTGGCCAACATGGTGAAACCCTGTCTCCACTAAAAATACAAAAATTAGCCAGAAGTGGTGACATGCACCTGTAATCCCAGTTATCCGGGAGGCTGAGGTGGGAGAATGGCTTGAACCTGGGAGACAGAGGTTGCAGTGAGCCAAGATCTCACCACTGCACTCCAGCCTGGGCAACAGAGTGAAACTCCATCCAAAACAAAACAAACAAACAAAAAAAGGGGAACGGTGGTTTAGGAAATAAAGAATATGGAATATGGAGAAAATATGGAACCTAAGTCCTTTAACAAGATGCACACTGCCCTTCAAAGACACTAAAACTAATACAATCTATTAACTTATATTAGACATAGCTATTCCCTCTAACAGAAAATAAAACTTGCTTCAACTCAGTATTTATTTTTATATTATGTTTAGGCTTTCACCTGGTGGGGGGGCATCCATTGAGTTCATTCATTCCAGTATAATGTAGTTATTGGATGTTTTCAGTTGATCTGTGTCAAAGTGGCTAATGAAAACATACACAGAAAGGGGAAAATTCTGTTTTTAATCATTTAGCAATTTGGAGCAAAATTATTGCTTTCTGGTATATAAAAAATATACACAGAGAGGGGTAAAGGAAGCAAGAATCTCTTTGTTAAAATGCTAAAGAAATTGGGAGAGCCAACCATAAAATTACACTCATCAAAAGTGTAATTAAAGCACTACAGAACACTTCCCCCCTCCCTCACCTTAATTGTACATTACTAAAGACCTATTTACCACAGTTCTTTTATTTAGTATATCACATCTACCTGTCAACAAAATTTATAAGGCACAGTGAAAGGTAAAAACAAAGTCTGAAGAGACAGAACAAGCATCAGAACCAGCATCAGATATGGCAGGAATGTTGTATTAACTTTTTTTTCCAGACACACACACCGAAAGGGGTAAAGGCATCAAGAATTCTCTTTTTTAAAATGCTAAGATATTTTATGCCAACCATAAAATTACGCTCATCAAAAGTGTAATTAAAGCACTATAGATCACTTCCCCACCTCCCACACCTTAACAGTATATTACTAAAAAACTATTTACCACAGTTCCTTTTACTTACATTATGTCTACCTATCAACAAAAAATAATAAGGCACAGTAAAAGGGAAAAACAAAGTCTGAAAAGACAGAACAAGCATCATAACTAGAATTGGATATGGCAGGAATGTTGAAGTTAACATACCAGAATTTTCTAAAACTATAATTAATATACTAAGGGCTATAATGAAAAAAGACAACATGTAAGAACAAAAGGATAATATAAGTCATGAAGCGTTACTTCTAAGAAGGAACACAAAAGAAACCTAGAAATCAAAAACACTGTAACAGAAAGAAAGAATGCCTTTAATGGGCTCATTAGTAAACTGGACATAGCTGGGGAAAGTATCTCTGAGCTTGAGGATGTGACAATAAAAACTTCCAAAACTGAAAGAAAAAAGCCTGAAAAAAAGAGAAGAGAATATACAAGAACTGTGGGAAAACTACAAAACGTGTAACATATGTATAATGGGATTACTAGGAAGAGAATATAGAAAAGAATAGAGGAAATATTTGAGGCAATAATTACTGAGAATTTCCCCCAATTAATGTCAGAAACCTAACCACAGATCTAGGAAACTCAGAGAAAAACCAGGAGAAAGGTCAGAAAAACTACACCTAGGCATATCATCTTCAAACTACAAAAAATCAAAAATAAAGAAAAATCCTGAAAGAAGATAAAGGAAAAACAAAACAAAACAGAACATTACCTATAGGGGAGCAAAGATAAGAATTACATCTAACTTCTCAGAAACCATACAAAGAAGAAGAAAGTGGATTGGAATATTTAAAGTATTGAGAGAAAAAAAAAACCCATCAATTTAGAAGTCTATACCCTGGGAAATAATCTTTCACAAGTGAAGAAAAATAAAGACATTCTCAGACAAACAGAAATTGAAAGAAGTTGTTGTTAGTAAGACCTGCCTTGTAAGAAACATTGAAGTTTTTCAGAGAAAAGGAAAATTATATAGGTCAAAAACCTGGAGAGAGATATATATATATGTATATATAGAGAGAGAGAGAGAGAGAAAGTACACTGGAGGAGAATAAGTAAAGGTTAAAAAAAAAACTTATTTTTCATATTTTTAACAGATCTAACAGAAAATCATTCAAAATAATAATAGCAACAATGTATTTGATTATGTATGCTTATGTGTGTGTCTGTGTGTTTATGTATAAATGAAATGAATGACAGCATTAAACAGGTGACAGGGAGGAAGAAATTACAAATATTCTGTTATTATAAGGTACTTGGGTTACCTGTGAAGCAGTATATTGTTACTGAAAGTGAACGTGGATTAGTTAGTTGTAAATGTGTATTACACACTCTAGGGAAACTACTAAAAAAAAGTAATTTAAAAAAAAAGGAGCAGCAGCATAACTGATATGCTAAGAAAGAAGAGAAAACTGAATCATGTTAAATTCTCAATTAAAACCACAAGGAGCCAAAAAACAGAAGACAAAAACAGGAACAAAGATCATGAGCAACAAATAGAAAACAACAATTATGGTAGATATTAATCCAACTATATCAATAAACTCTTTAAATGTCTAACAATTAAAAGACAGATTGTCAGAGTGGTCAAAAAACAAAACCCAAGTTCAGTAAGTTCTCACTTAATGTTACTGATAAGTTATTCAAGACTGCCACTTTAAGCACAACGATGTATAACAAAACCAATTTTTTTCCTCATCAACATTATAGCAAAATGATGTTGAACAAAATAACGTTATTTGAGGACTTACTGTATGTCATTTCACTGAAAGTCACGGTTTCCAAGAGCCTATCAAGGAACTTAAATGAGTAATTACTATATAGGCTGTCTACAAGAAACCCATTTTAAATATAAAGATAGATATAAATTAAAAGTAAAGAGATGGAGAAAGGTACACCATGCTAACATTAATCAAAAGAAATCAAGAGTAGCTATATTAATTTCAGACACAGCAGACTTCAGAGCAAGAAAAGTTATCAGGGATAAAGAGGGGCCTCACATAATAGCAACAGGATTAATATTCCAAGAAAACAAAACAATTCTTAATGTGTGCCCAACAACAGTGTCAAATTAAATGAGGCAAAGACTGATAGAATTACAAGAAAAAATACACAAGCCCACTATTATAGTTGGAGACTTAATTACCCCTCAATCAGAAATGGACAGATCCAGCAGGCAGAAAAATCAGTAAAGACACAGTTGAACTCAACAACATCATAATCAACTAGATGTAATTGACATCTATAGATTACTTTATCCAACAACAGACTGCACATTCTTCTTAAATTCACATGGAACACTAACAAAGAAATACCACGTTCTATCGCAAAAAAAAAACACACACACACTTTAACAAATTTAAAAGAATAGAAATCATACAATATTTGCTCTCAGGCCAAATTAAGATGGTGATATGGTTTGGGTTTGTATCCTGTCCCAAATCTCATTTCAAATTGTAATCCTCAATGTTGAAAGAGGGGTTGCTGGGGGATGACTGGATCATGGGGTTGGATATCCCCTTTCCTGTTCTCATAATAGTGAGTTATCAAGAGATCTGGTTGTTTAAAAGTGTGTAGCATCTCCTCCTGCCCTCTCTTCCTCCTTCTCCGGCCATGTAAGACGTGACTCCTTCCTCTTCACTTTCTGCCATAATTGTAAATTTCCGAGGTCTACCCAGCCATGAGGAACTATGAGTCAATGAAGTCTCTTTTCTTTATAAATTACCTTGTCTCAGTTCTTTACAGCAATGTGAGAACAGAATACAGATGGAAAACCCCAACATACTTGTAGACTAAATACACTTCTAAGTTACATACAAGTCAAAGAAATCTCAAGTGAAATTTTTAAATATTTTGAAATAAATGAAAATACAATGTATCAAGATTTGCGGTATGCAGTGAAAGCGGTGCCTAGAGGAAATTTATGGCACTGAAGGCATATATTAGAAAAGAAGAAAGATCTAAAATCGATCATCTAAGTGCACATCCTAGGAAACTAACAAAGGAAGAGCAAATTAAATCCAAAGTGAGCAGGAGAAAAATAAAAAATAAAAAATTTGCATAGAAATCAGTGAAACTGAAAAAAGGAAATCAACAGAAAATCAACAAAAACAAACTCGGGTTCTTGGAAAAGATCAATAAAATTGATAAGCTTCTGGTCAGGCTAAGAAAAACAGAGAAACAAATTACTAATATCAGAAATGAAAGACAGACTATCACTACAAATCACATAAACATTAAAAGGATAATAAAGGAATACTATTAACAACTCTATGCTTATAAATTGGGTAACCTAGATAAAATGGATCAATTCCTTGAAAGACACAATGTGTAAAAACACACACAAGAAGATATGGATAATCTGACTAGGCCTGTATCTGTAAAGAAACTGAATAATTAATAACCTTCCAAAACAGAAAGCACCAGAGTCAGATGGGTTTACTGGTGGATTCCACTGAACATTTAAAGAAAAAATTATACCAATTCTCTGCAATTACCTTCAGAATATAGAAGCAGGGAGAATACTTTCTGACTCATTCTAAAAGGCCAGCACTACCCTAATACCAAAACCAGCAAAGACCTTATAAGAAAAAAAACAAAAACAAAACAAAACAAAAACCCCACAGACCAATATCACCTATGAACAAACATGTGAAAATCCTCAACAAAATATTAGTAAATTGAATCCAACAATATACAAAATGAATAACACACCACAACCAAGTGGAATTTATCCCAGGTATGCAAGGCTGGCTCAACATTTGAAAATCAATTAATATAACCCATCACATCATCAGGTTTAAGAAGAAAAATCACATAATTATATCAATAGATGCAAAAAAGCATTAGACAAAATCTAATATCCATATATGATGAAAACTCTCAGCAAACTAGGAATACAGGGGGAACTTTCTCAACTTTATAGCGAACACTACAAGAAAGCATACAGATAACATCATATTTATGAGAAACTCAAAACTTTCCCACTAAGATTAGAAACAAGGCAAGGATGTCCTCTCTCATCACTGCTTTTCAATATCATATTGGAAGTTCAAACTAATGCAATAAGACAAGAAAAGGAATAAAAAGTATACAGATTGGGAAGAAATAAAATTGTCTTTGTTCACAGATGACATGATTGTCTGCATAGAAAGTCTCAAAGAATTAACAAAAAAAATCCTCCTGCGAATAATAAATGATTATATTATAGCAAGCTTGCAGGACACAAAGTTAATGTGCAAAAGTCAAGCATTTTCCTCTATACCAGCAATGAACAAGTGGAATTTGAAATTTAAAAAAAATTACCATTTACATTAACATACAGAAGTAGGATATTTCAATCTAAATTTAGCAAAATATGTACAGTATCTATATGAGGAAAGTATAGAACTCCAATGCAAGATATCAAAGAAGAGCTAAATAAATGAAGAGATAATCCATGTTTGTGGATAGGAAGACTCAATATTGTCAAGCTGTTAGTTTTTCTCAACTTGATCTATAGATTCAATGCAATCCCAATCAAACTCTCAGCAACTTATTTTTTGGACATCAACAAACTGATTCTAAAGTTTATACAGAGAGGCAAAAAACCCAGAAGAGTGAACTCAACATGGAAGGAAAACAACAAAGTCAGAAGACTGACACTACGGAACTTCAAGATTTACTATAAAGCTACAGTAATCAAGACAATGTGTTATGGGCAAAAATAGGCACACTAATGGAGCAGAGTAAAGAGCCCAGAAAAAGACCCACATGAATACAGTCAGCTGATCTTTGACAAAGAAGTAAAGGCAATGGAGTAAAGACAGTGTTGTCAACAAATGGTGCTGCAACAACTGAACATGCACATGTAAAAAAAAATGAATCTAGAAACAGACCTGACACCCTTCATAAAAATTAACTCCAAATGGATCATAGACTTAAATGTAAATTGTAAAACTATAAAATGCCTAGAAGATAACATAGGAGAAAACCTAGATGACCTTGGGTATGGTGATGACTTTTTAGATATGATACCAAAGGCATGATCCATGCAAGAAAAAACTGATTAACTGGACTTTATTAAAACTTTAAAACTTCTGCTCTGAGAAAGTTAATGTCAAGAGAATGAGAAGACAAGACACAAAGTGGGAGAAAATATTTTCAAAAGATACATCTGATAGGCCAGGCGTGGTAGCTTGCACCTGTAATCCCAGCACTTTAGGAGGCCAAGGTGGGCAATCGCTTGAGTCCGGGAGTTCAAGACCAGCCTGGCCAACATGGTGAAATCCCGTCTCTACTAAAAATACAAAAAATTAGCCGGGCATGATGGTGTGGGCCTGTAGTCTCAGCTACTTGGGAGCCTGAGGCAGGAGAATTACTTGATCCCGGGAGGCAGAGGTTGCAGTGAGCCGAGATCGCACTGCACTCCAGCCTGGGCTGTCTCACAAAAAAAAAAAAAGAAAAGAAAGAAAAGAAAGAAAGAAAGGAAGGAAGGAAGGAAGGAAGGAAGGAAGGAAGGAAAGAAAGAAAGAAATGAGGTATCAAACCATGAAAAGACATAAAGGAAACTTAAATGCATATTACTAAGTGAAAGAAACCAATCTGAAAATGCAAGCTACTGTATAACTCCAAGTATGTGACATTCTGGAAATGACAAAACTATGGAGACAGAAAAAAAGACCACTGGTTGCTAAGGCTTGGGAATGGGGTGAGAGAGGGAAGAATGTACATGTAGAGAACAGAGAATTTAGGGCACTGAAACTATTGTTATGATACTATAATGGTGGATACAAGACATGGATACATTTGTCAAAACCCCACAGAATGTACTGAACATAAGACATGGATACATTTGCCAAAATCCCATAGAATGTACAACACAAGAGTGAATCTTAATGTAAACTATGGGCCTTGGGTGATAATTATATGTTAATATGGGTTCACTGATTATAACAAATGTACCCCTAAAGTACCGGATGAGGTGGGTCAGGTTGTTCTTGTGTGGACAGGGGTATATGGGAACTATCTGTACTCTCTGTTGAAAGTTGCTGAGAACCTAAAACTGCTTTAAAAATTAAAGTCCAGGCCGGGCGCGGTGGCTCACGCCTGTAATCCCAGCACTTTGGGAGGCCGAGGCGGGCAGATCACGAGGTCAGGAGATCGAGACCATCCTGGCTAACACGGTGAAACCCCGTCTCTACTAAAAATACTGGGCATGGTGGCGGGTGCCTGTAGTCCCAGCTACTCGGAAGGCTGAGGCAGGAGAACGGCGTGAACCCGGGAGGCGGAGCTTGCAGTGAGCCGAGATCGCGCCACTGCACTCCAGCCTGGGCGACAGAGTGAAACTCCGTCTCAAAATAAATAAATAAAAAATAAAGTCTAATAATTTAAAATATGCATGTATATATACTTTTTTTAAACTGCACACATAAAACTGTTTAGATATTTATTCCCTGTCCTCTATTAAAATAGTTCTTCTAAGACCTTTTTTGAACAAGTAATTACAACTTGATTTCTGGGTTAAGTTTTAATTACACCACAGCATCTTTCAAAAGCAAAATATGTCTATGCTGGCATTTCAGAAATGCACTTATCTTCAGATTCTTTTTGCTTTGGCCGGCACCAGAATCTTTTTAATAATATATACACTGACATCTCAGACTTGACACATGACAAGCAGTCTTAAGAGTAATGCCTTAAAAAAAATCATCACTACCAGATAATGCTTATAATACAAGGAAATAACATATAACCAGATTATATAAATCTGAAAATTATTTCCAAAAAAATCTACAAGTTTTGGGATTGAAAGGAACCATAGAGAACACTCAATTCACCTCCTCCCATCTGAGGTCTACTGCAGAAGGTTCAAACTCATTATTTGCAAGATATTATCTCCATACTTTACCCCATCTACATCTCCAGTATCATCTGCTACTTCCCACTAGGCCCCTTGTGTTTGCTGTGCAAAAATTCCCCATTCTCTTATTAATTTGCTAAGTTCTTTCACATAATCAGTGTCTCTAAACACGCTATTCCTTTAGTCTGAAATTCACTGGGACCTATCCACACTTAGCAAGCTCCTATTCATCTTTCATCATGCTGTTTGAATAATAATTACATAGATAAAAGACTTAATTTAAGAAAAGTTTGACCACAAAATTCTGACTGTGGAATAATTCTAAATACAAAAAGAACTGTAACGAAATCTTAAACTTTACTTAGTAGGTAGTTGGTTGCTGTTGCTGGTCTAGCAATTTTGTGGGGGGAGGGGGGTTACTGTAGGATACAGCATATGAATAAATATTACTGATGTTGGGTAGCAGGGATTTTATTGTGAACGAAGGGAGATTCAAATATGGAATAAAGGAAGATGAGAAAGAACCCTGCAGTACTAGTTTTGAATTGGAGGTATTAATATAAATGCATTAAAAAACAAACAAACAAAAAACAAGTACTCCTTGGTTCTGTCCACTGAAAGGGTCAAACCACAATGGCAAGAAATAGCAATGAGCAAATCTATACTCAGACTTTTGTTTTCAAATACCACTGCCCAATAAAAAGGCAGTACTAGGACTTCTGAAAAAAATGGCTGATTCCAGGTCTGAAGCAAGAAAAAAAAAACCAAAGTAAGGCTAGGCATCATGTTACTCTTGTTTTGTTTTATTTTGTTTTTGAGTCTGGGTCTCACTCTTGAGCAGGCTGGAGTGCAGTGGCACAATCATGGCTCACTGCTGCAGTCTGGAACTCCTGGGCTCAAGCAATCCTCCCACTTCAGCCTCCGAAGTAGCTGGGACTACAGGCCTGCACCACCATGCCTGGCTAAGTTTTTTTATTTTTGTAGAGATGGGGATCTCACTATGTTGCCCAGGCTGGTCTCGAACTCCTGGCCTCAAGCAATCGTCCAAATGTTATGTTAAGGAAATAATCAAAGACTAAAGAACAGTCATGTTAAAAGGACACAGGAGCCAGCCACTAGTTAAATTTGGGACAATTTTATCATGAAAAAGTTAAAAAAAATTTAGTAACAAAAAATAATATGTAATTATTACACATACAAGAAAAAAAGAATTGCAGGTAGTAAACAGAGAAGAAATGTCACAATTTTTTAAAATTACTCTTTTTGTAATTAATTTATTTTAGTATTATTATTATTTTTGAGATGCAGTCTTGCTCTGTTGCCTAGGCTGGGGTACAGTGGTGTGATCTCAGCTCACTGCAACCTCTGCTTCCTGGGTTCAAGTGATTCTTTTGCCTCAGCCTCCCGAGTAGCTGAGATTACAGGTGTGTGCCACCACACCCAGCTAATTTTTGTATTTTTAGTAGAGACGGGGGTTTCACCATGTTGGCCAGGCTGGTCTCCAACTCCTGACCTCAGGTTATCTGCCTGCCTCAGCCTCCCAAAGTGCTGGCATTACAGGTGTGAGCCACCCTGCCTGGCCTTTGTAATTTAAAAATTACAATTTGGGCTGGGTATGGTGGCTCACGCCTGTAATCCCAGCACTTTGGGATGCCGAGGCGGGTGGGTCAGGAGTTTGAGACAGGCCTGGCCAACATGGTGAAACCCTGTCTCTACTAAAAATACAAAAATTAGCTGGGCGTGGTGGTGGGAGCCTGTAATCTCAGCTACTCAGGACACTGAGGTGGGAGAATCGTTTGACCCTGGGAGACAGAGGTTGCAGTGAGCTGAGATTGCGCCATTGCGCTCCAGCCTGGGCAACAGGGCGAGACTCCATCTCAAAAAAAAAAAAAAAAAAAAAAATTACTATTTGTAAGCCCCCAGTGTAATAAATGATACAGGTAAAGACCATTGGTGGATGCTAAACACAGTGGGTGAAAAGTTGTCGGGGTATTCTTAGGGTCTCAAAGTATCACTGTACTGATTATATGCTAATTCTAAAGAGGAAAATATACCTTTACAATGGAGAGATCTGGCTATTACCACCTTATCCAAACAGTAAAATTAAGCATCACCAGTGATGGGACAGCCTGATATCATTTGCCTCATAATGTAATGTACTGTGAAGTTCACACTACTTATCTTCTACTTAATATATATGTATCTCCTATGTAATATTTTCCTAAAAATATTTATTTTGAATCTAATCAAGTAAACATATAAATGTAAAACTTGGGACATTCTACAAAACTACCCCAAACTCTTTTTATAAAAGGCCAATGCCATGAAAAAACAAAGAAACAAACAAGTAGGATATTATTCTAGATAAAATTACAAGGGACATTAACCACATGAACCCTGACTAGATCCTGGATGATAAAAGTAAAACAAGAAATATAAAACACTTTTGGAGACAATTTGGGAAATTTAAATACAGGCTGTCTGTTACATATTATTGAATTACTACTGATAGTCTTAGGTGCAATAATGATTTATGGTTATAAAAGAAGAATGTCATTCTTAGGAGATATATGCCGAGATATTTAGGAGTGAAATCTCAAGATATCCACAATTTACTTTCAAATGGTTCAGCAAATATGGAGGAAATATGTCAAGATGTTACAACTGGTAAATATAGATGAAGTATATGGGTATTCATTGTACTCTTACCTATAGATTTGGAATTTTTTAAATAAAAGCTTTGGGGGGAAAATCTCAGTTCAAATGTTGTATCTTCTGTGGAGGCTTTTTCTTTTTCCTTTTTTTTTTTTTTTTTTTTTTACTTTTCTAGTGGAATTAGTTTTTCTGTCTTCAGTATTCCTGCAGGACTCTTTATATTTCTACTTTAGCACTTAACGAATTTGTTAACTGCTAATTCCCAGGTCTGACCTTTTTCCTATACTGTGTGAAACTGGCCTCATCTTCATTCCCAGAATTTAGCTCTTTATCTGGCACGTACTAGGTATTCAATGTTTGTTGTATGAATGAGATAAACTGACATGCTACAGTAACTAAAACTGAATCTTGGTATTGTCTATATCACATGTGTCTCAAATTTAATTAAATCTATCAAGCAGGAAGCCTATTAAATGGTCCTTTGTGATCTGTACCATTATAATGAGTACCAACATTCAGATGGATTTAAAATCAATTTAAAACAAAGCATAACATGTTTCCCTCAAGCAGGCTGACCCTTAAGTCATCACGGGCATATTTTCATTTAAATTCTTCACACTTTCGACTCAAGAAAATTAGAGAAGCATACCTGCTCTATATCCTTGGAAGTGGAGGTCTGGTTTTCTCCCATGATTCCAGGTTGCTCATTTTCCCATGGTAATTTATTTTTTCCTTTTCCTGCACTTAATACCCTTCGGGTACAGATAGTTGGGCTGTAAGATCCATAAATGTGCATGCTATCCCTCACGTGGTCACCACAGTGACAGTGTGCACTCTGAGTTCTGTTACCAGCCAAAAGCCAGTCCGTATCTGCTCCATGTGCCAAATGGTTTGACCTACCCCCGGCAGAAGATGGCATCAGTACTGCATATTCCACAAATCCCTGCTCTGTGAGCCTTGGTAAGGTTTTCCTAGCCAATCTGGCCTGCACAGCATTCATCACTCCATCTCCATTATCTTGCAGTTCAACTGTATCCACAGCTTTAAAAAGGATGCTGGTTTTACCTGAGCCCATTGATGATGCCAATACGGCAAAAGCTTCTAAAGCTGCTTGGCGTACCCTGCGTTTGCTATCTACAAGAGCTGGGGCAAGATCAAAGGACAGTTTGGGCAAGTCAAAATCCTCACTAGGATAGGTCAGCAGGGAGCAGATGCAAATGTTCACCACCTCCTCTCTCACTCTGGAATGCTTATGTTTGAGATGTTCCAGGAGTAAACAAAGCACCTGCTGAGGTCCTACTTCCTTCATTAGCTTGAGGAAGATTTTCATGTATTCTTGTTTGATCACCAACTTGTTGTCCGCCAGCACTTTGACAGAAGCTGCTATAACTGGTCCCAAGAACTGCTGTACCTGCTCTCCAAGGCGAATAACCAGTAAATGCAGGACTTCAAGTGTGCCATGCACCACTTTGAAGTTAGAATCGTCTAACAAATTATATAGCAAACTAATGAAGCCAACAAGACTAGAATGAGGAGTAGAACTAGGGTTAAATTTTCCCAGCACCTGCTTTAGTTCTTCGACGGCCTGGGTCCGGTTCTTATAGTCTTCCTGATCCAATAATCGTGAATGCAGCTCCTGAGGAATAATCCCAAATTTAAGATTGCTGTTGGAAAGAGTCACTGCACAGGGAAGGGGATCTTCAGGAAATCCAGAGGCTTCAAGTTCCAAATAATAAGGAACCTGACTTCCAAACTGGGACTCCAGGCGGCGATTGTAGTGTCTCCTCAGGGCAGAGGGCAGACGAGAAATGTAAGATTGAAACCTGTCTTGGCCAAGTCGCTCCCCAATTTGTTGAAGTGCGGAGAAAGCTGTCTCAGATTCTTCTTCTGTCTCCTGATCACCAAGCTTTCGGGCTAGGGATATTATCACCTCGGTGAGATCCAGACCAAGCAACAAGTCCTCAGTAGTAAGCAAGATGGGAAGCAGTAGTGCTGTGGAAGCTCTAAGTCGGGCATCGGTACTTTCCAGTCCTTGTTGTATAAGCGTTCTCAGCACCTCTCCAGGACTACGTTTCAGACATATATGAAGGATCTGCAGCGCATCTTTCCGCAGGGCTGGATTCTCTTCCCGTAACGAGACAACTAGTTGAGGCAAAAGTGCTAAGCTAAAGGCCTCTTCAAGCTGGCCTGCCTCCCCCTGACCCCGGAGAACGTCCGAGAGAAGTTGCAAGCAGAGCCGCTTCTCATCACTACCTCCTTCCACAAGCACTCGGCCCAGTGCCCGATACAAAGCTTCCTTGCGTCGGGGGAAGCCAAGTCGACCGCCCCGCCGCGGCAAAGCAGCTTGCAAAGCCTGGAAGGCCTCAGAAGGATCCCGGGCAGTGCGGAGGAGTTGAAGGAGCCGAGTGTCCTCTTCATCTCCCCCTGACAAACCGCCTCCAGACTCAGACCAGCTGCTTGAGACTGCCTCCGAGGGCATCAAGAGGGCCGAGGCCAGAGGCGAAGTTGTAGTGGGGCAGGAACCGTGGTCCCCCGCAGCTCCACGGAAGTAGTAGTTTTTCTCTCCTCTCATAATGCCCCCAACTCGACTATCATCGGTCTCTGGGGCGGAAGGACGACTGCGGCTCTGGAGCCGATAGGTAGAGAGGACTGGAAAGGGCGGCAGCAGAAGCAGCGCGGAGGGGGCAGCCGCCATGCAGGGTTGTCAGGTGGTGGTGGTTGGAAGAAACCATTGCCGTCTCCAAAGGGCTCGATGGAGCCCAGACTTCCAGATCCTCTCCAAGCCCCAAGCTGCAGAAGAGGCAAAAGAACAGCTTCAGCCTGCCGCCAGGCCGCCCCCAACTCCGGGAGGCAGCCTCTGGCAAAATGGCCCCCGTCTGAGCCCTAGACCCCACAGCTGCCACCGGGCGTAACCAAGGGCACCACGTGACCAAACCGATTGCTTCCATGGTGATGTACCCAGCGCGGACCTCTTGACCCGGAAATCCACTTGCCGTGATGAATGCTGGGTTATGTAGTCCACGTCAGGTGTTGAGACTAGGCCAAAGTCTCCTGGAAGAGGAAGTCAGAACGTTGTAAACGCAGCTACAGCGGAGAAGGGAGGAGGGGTGAAGCCATTTGACGGATGTGACGCTTTCCTTGCTCTGGGCGGAAGTTGCCCGCCCCACCCGTAAGAGTTAGGGTTTGACCGGAGCTAGTGAGGATCCAGCCCAGGCTCCAGTTGTCCGCGGTTCCTCCTCCTGTCGCTGCCCGTGTGATTACTGAGACTCAGGTATTTTCCTTTTGCTGTCCTCCAGCGGTGCAGGCTTTGGCAGTGTTTTGCCCGAATGCCACTGGTGCTAGAGTAAGAGGCAAAGGACTGAGCGGAGCAGGTGGAAAGAGAGGCGACATCTTCTTGTGCAGGGCTCGTCACCCTTGTAAACGCGTTACTCTCTACCACCCTGAGTAACTGCGATCCTTTCCTCTTGCCATCTGCTTATCAGGACAGAAGATCTGGACCACGGCCAAGCTCACAAATCGGGTATTTTTTTTCAATTCCTGGTCTTTGGGGCCTTTATTCGCCTCCCCCTTCTCCTTTTGTCGACTTCTCTTAACCCTCCGGCCGCAGAGGGTTAATTTTTTTTTGTTTTTGTTTGTTTGTTTTTGGCAACGTTTCCTTACCCTCATCACTTTGCGTTTTCTTTACAACGTACATAATATGGAAATAGGTCTGTTTTTTTCCCCCTGTAGCTAACCGCCTCTCCCTTAGACGTTATCAAAATCTTTCCTTCTAATGCAGTTCCTCTGTGGGACTCTCCCCTAACCTCCGCCCCCTCCGTCTGCCGCCCTAGCCTCCCTGCAGGATCCTCAAGCGTCTCTGCAGCCTTTCAGTCTCCTAGAGACAGAGATTGCGAAGACAATTTCACTTGCGGTGGAAGTTCTTGGCATCATGGTTCTAAGAGAATTCTGCCTTGTGGATTTAGGAATGATAGTAGACATTTATTTATTTTAGGCGAACTGAGAATTTTGTGTGCATTTTCTCCTCATAAGTGATACTTAAACGGACACAGTGGAAGAGCTGGAGTGTCTAGTGTGAGCCTGAATGCTTTGGAGTGTGGAAGAGATATTTTTTTTTTTTGAAGGAATAATACTATTACTTTTGAATGACTCGTGCGAAAAGTCTAAGTTATCATTTGAAGACCCAAATTTATGCACTTCAAATGCAAGTATTCCTACCCTGCTCTGTACCAGGTGGGATTTCTCTTAAATACTTTTTAAAGTCTTGGAATAAATGAGTCACATATGCCAAACAGCTTTATAAATAATGCTCCCAGCTGATGCAAGTGCAAAAATAATTTCTGGATTTTTGCCTTAAAGTACGATTTGAATATCAGTTTTGTTTTGTTTTGTTTTTGGGGGGGTGGGGGTGGGGAATAGACTATAATGTAAATGAGGCTGTGTAAATATACATCCTATGTTTTGGTTTAAATTCTAGGCTGTTACTTTGGTTTTAATGAGCCATTTTCGTGTTTAAATGAATCTGCCTAAATTAGGTTTAGCTAGCATGTTTCATTTTAGGGACAGGTTAAAGACAGGGAGGTGAAAAACAAGAAATGATTGTAGCAGTTGTCAATGAGAAAGTGTCTGGTTCTCACAGTTCCAACCTAAGAAGCTCAAATGTGTAGACTTCTAGTCATGTATTGCCCAGACTTGAGGAACCCAGTTCAAACTAACCTAGACAATGATGTACACATTACAGTGCCAGTTTATGTTGGATCAGAATTTTCAAGTTGAAAATCCAGTGCACTCTTTCTTGTATCCAAGAACTTGGGAAGCCAAGTTAATAACTAGAGGTTGTGTGGTAATCATGGAATCACAGAAAAGGAACTTCGAAAGTCTTAAATGAGAGACGTGGATACTTAAGCAGTTATCATGCCCTTTTCCTGGGAACAAAGCAAGATGAGTCTTCCTTTTGATTCTTGTTTTTTTAGATCCCTGTGGATCACTATACATTACAGATTGCAATTTATTTTTTATCTGTTACATTTTGTCTCTTTGATTGAAGACTTAGAAGAGGCATTAGTCTCCATAGTGGATATTTAGGAAATGGGACTTCATCAGCATCACGTCTTACTGATTATCTTTTAGAGTTATTTTGTGGAACATAAATCTCATTCATTGAGTGTGTATTCTTTTTATTACGAAGCAGATTTTTTTTAATCTTTGGAAATCTAGGAATTTCTCGTATATTGACTTAAAAAGCCTTTTGTATTTAATCATATATAGAGAGAGTACAAATTTGTAATCAATTTTTAGATAGTAGAATACACTATTAGGTGTTTTATTAATAGTACACCTCAGAAAGTTAAAAGGAAGTGGTTAAGGATACATTGAAAATTGCAAATTCAGCTAAAACAAGTTTAAAATTTCAATAATTTCAAGAATGTAGTTAAATTAGTGAATTATAGGAATGTGTGTGCTACATATGTTAATTTTTTTAGCTGAACTTAAGGGTAAACACAATTGCCCTAAAAACTTACTTTATTTCCAGAATCAGAGATAACACATTAGTTCCCTGGGCGAATCACTATGATTTTTCTGTGTTCTTACTCAAATTTTACAGACATCCAGGAATATTGAACGTCAGTGTGAATTCTGTAAACTATTAAGAATTTTGTGTAGTTTGAGAAGTTATTGTGAAGAAATGCTATGCAAATGAAAGTTGCTATTAATATTAACAAACAATCATAATAATACCATGTTTTGAGTATTTGCTATGTGCCATGCACCATGCTAGGTACTTAGTAAATATTAACTCATTTAATCCTCACAAGAATTTTTTGAGGTTACATCTTCTACATTTGGACTATGGAACATTTTATGGGTGTTTC
Organism: Homo sapiens; assembly: GCF_000001405.40. Taxonomy (NCBI): domain Eukaryota; kingdom Metazoa; phylum Chordata; class Mammalia; order Primates; family Hominidae; genus Homo; species Homo sapiens. The sequence goes on along the minus strand of NC_000014.9, from coordinate 44,959,246 downwards.
CACAAAAGAGTAATTGGACAGAGGAAGAAAGTAAAACTCACATTTGCTTAGAGCTTGGAGAAGGTTTTGGTGGAGGTCACTGTTGAAACTTTAGGATAAAATTAGATTTTTTCCATTATTATTCATTTATTATATATCATTTGATTATATATTTTTTAATTTATTATTTTTTCTTTCAATCCTTGGTTGAAGATTATATATATTTTAATCTATCCTTTTTGGATTTCTATTCAAAATATTTTTAGTTTCTTGTTTGAGGTAACACTTTAATAAGTTAAGAAATTATGAGCTTATTTTATACAGGATTGAATCAGTTTTCTTGATGTATATGAGTGATATATTTTCATCTACTTAGGTTTATCTTCCAAAGCCATTATGTATTTCTGTCTTCAGTCAAAACTATAATTTTAAACAAAAATCCAACTTGTATTACATATTAATTACTATGTATAAGTTAACAGAATTTCACATCTGTTGCAGTTTTTCAGTGGACAGGGATTAATTATGTAACTTAGACGCCTGTCATAACATGGATTCAGAAATAACACAGAAGAAAGCAAGTTCAAAGTCATTACCACATCCAGTAAGAGCTCTTGACAGGCTTCTAATTTTACTTTTCTTTTGTTTGTCAATAAAAGTCAAATCTCAGATAAAAGGAAAATATCCTAACTTATTCCATAGGCTCACTGATAGAATTATATACCATTATTAGTTGAATTATCCTATGAGGAAAGTTGAACTGTAGGAAAGAAATTTAAGAAAAGAGCAGATGTGATAGAATATTCTCCTAATTTGATAAATCATTTCTTATTTTCTCTTTTTAAAGAAAACTGTCGGTTTGAATTTTTTTTTTAAGAGTAATCTTGATTTCTGTTCACCATTTATTTACTCTGGGTGTGATCTATATTTATATAGTGGCAGATAAGTGCCTCCCAACTGATTTCAGCACCACTGTTTTGTGGCTTAGGTGTCAATTAAGTAGATAGGTACAAAACTCGCAACTTGACCTTTATTAACTTGGTTTCAGAGCCTAAAGTTAAGTTACTGTAGACTATGGAAAGTTTTATTTTAATTTTAATTTCAAATGGATACTTTTTATTCGATATTGACTAATGCAGTTACCAAGATTCAGAATACTATTGTTTGTTTTATCATTAAAAAAAAAAAAAAAGAACAAAAACTATGGCAGAGATATGGAGGAACCTGATATACCAAATCTGCTTTTAGGCAAATACTGGAAGGCAATGATTGTTCCATGGATCCTTCTTTATTTCATTTTAAAGCCCTGTGTATTTTTGTATCTAATGTGTATTTATTTTATAAAGATTTTATATGAATGATCTATCCTCTGGATTTCCATTCTGCACATTTTTAATTTCTTGTTTGAGTTAAGATTTTAATAAGATTAAGAAATTCTGAGCTTATTTAATAAATGAGGCAGTGTAATAGAATATTTAAGAATTACATAGACAGAGTGCCAAGGTTTAAATCTTGCCTTGGACTTAATTTCTCTGTGCCTCACATTTCTTTATCTGTAAAATGGTGGTAATAATAACAGTGCCTATTATATTGTTGCTCTGAGGATGAAAGGAATTAATACATGTTAAAAGCTTAGACTGTTAACTGGTACATTATGACAGTCAAAGGTATTCTAGATGCTCTTTCATAGAATTATTTCATTTTATGAGAAGTGATAACAATTATAAATTGATTCAGTAAATATTTTAAGCAGCTCAACATTGTTTGGCAGTTAATTTTTTGTATGTAATGTGTAGAGAGCATTGTTCCAAGATTAAGAAAACATTCTAGTCCCAGTAATGTTTTTTACTAATTATGTGATTTTGCTAATTCATTTAAACTCCCTGAACTTAGGATTCTAAAACTGTCTTATTCAAAATTTTGTGCCTTATATTTTCTGTTTTTTAAGAAAAAAGTCTCTTACTGTGCAAAATTTCAAAAACATGTAAAAGCAGAACAATATGATGAACATCTATTTACCTATCACGCATCTTCAATAGTTATCAACTCATGACACCATCTATATCCCCTTCCACAACCTCATCCCCTATTATTTTGCAGCAAATCCTAACAACATATTATTTCATCTACAAATATTTCAATACAGCTGGTCATGGGGGCTCACACCTGTAATCGCAGCTCTTTGGGAGGCCAAGGCAGGAGGATTGCTTGAGGCCAAAAGTTCAAGACCAGCCTGGACAAATAGTGAGATCCCATCTCTACAAAAAATAAAAATAAAAAATATTAGCCAGGCATGGTAGCATGCGCCTGTAGTTCTAGCTACTTGGGAGGCTGAGGAGGGAGAATCCCTTGAGCCCAGGAATTCAAGGTTACAGTGAGCTATAATTGCACCATTGCACACCAATTTCAGCATATATCTGTAAAAGAAAAAAGCTCTTAAAAACACAACCACAATACCACTATTTAGCAACAAAAAATAGCAGTGATTAATTAATATATTAATAATCCAGTCAGTGTGTAAATTTCCAACTGTTTTCTAAATATGTGGGTGCACACACAAGTCTATGGTTCACAGGTTGTATTTGATTGATACGTCTTTTAAATTTATAGATTCATTCTCTTTATTTCTTGCAGTTTATTTGTTGAAGAATTTAGTTTATTTTACAAGATTTTTCACAGTCGGTATGTTTTTGCTAATTGCATCTTTCTGGTATTGTTTAACATGATTTTTCTATTTTCTATATTTTATGTAAATTAATAGTTGGAACTAGAGAATTGGCTGTAGTTTAATTTGCTTGACTTTGGTGTGTGTTGGGGTTGGGACGTGAGAATACTCATGGGTGTTATGTTTTTCCATCAGAAGGCCCAATTATCTAGCTATCTCTCTTTTTGTGATATAAACAGCCCTTCACAATCAATGCCCATTATTTATTAAGGATGCAAAATGATAATATTCCATTATTCCTTCTTTATTTATTAACAGGGATACTTTTAAAAAGAGAAATTTGGCCAGGTGTAGTGGCTCATGTCTGTAACCCCAGTACTTTGGGAGGCCAAGGTGGGAGGATCGCTTAAGACCAGGAGATTGAGACTAGTTTCGGCAAGGTAGCAAGACCCTATCTCTTAAAAAACAAAAACAAAAAAACTCATCTATTTGGAAACCCAGTAGTACAGTTAGTGTAGGAAAGGCATAATAAATGTTTGATTATTTCTCTTTGTTTACTAGGTTTCAAAAAATGAGTTGCTACATTAGCATCGTCCGGTGTTGACCATTAGGACTTTTTTTAAGTATCATTATTAACTCATGCATTTAAAATATCTGATATCGTTTAATCAATTGCAGTTATTATTATTGATGATCAGTTTGTCCTGTCTTTGACTAGTGAAAGCCTATTTAGTTTGGCCCCTGAATATTTTTTATATGACTCTTGTAGTATTTGATAGCTTTCTTGCTACCTAGGATGTATTTATTTATTTATTTTGAGGCAGGGCCTCACTCTGTCTCCCAGGCTGGAGTGCAGTTGTGCAATCACTGCACACTGCAGCCTCGACCTCCTGGGCACAAGCAATTCTCCTAGCTCAGCCCCCCAAGTAGCTGAGACTACAGGCATGTGCCACCACATCCAGCTAATTTTTTTATTTGTTTTTTTTCTTTGTAGAGACGGAATTTCACCGTGTTGCCCAGGCTGGTCTCAAACTCCTGGGCTCAAGCTATCCTCCCACCTTAGCCTCCCAAAGTGCTGGGATTATACTACCTAGGATTTAGATTCCAAATGTGTCTTGACATCTTCTGCCCCAGACATGGTATCAGCTATCTGCCCAAGGAGTTCTGTTCTCTTTGAGGGAAATGGTATTTAGAGAGTACATCTGAATGCTAGAAGTGTTCTTTGCTACCGGGATGGTCAGTTTCTAGACCTTTTCAGTAGACAGAGCTAGGAAATATAATTTATTTTTTTCCTTAAAATAATATTACGTATATTTAATATGTATGTATAGCTCACATGTATTTTATGTATTATATATAAATTATGTATTAGTATATATGAATATTTACTGTTATTTATATACATATATTTATTCTCATACTTTTTATTCAAATACAGACTGTGAGGTTCATAATTAACATCTTAGTGTTATGTCGTTACCTTCTTTTTCCCATACCAAGAATCCTAGATCACAGTGACCCTAGGGTTGATAGAATATCATATCATTACTCATTTGCTTTATAGCACAATACACACATTAACAGTGTCACAATACAAATAAACAGTGTCCTTATCAACAATGCGATTACTGAAAACAGCATAAGATATATATTTTAGGGCATGTCGCAATAGAGACTTCAGATTACTGTTTTAAAGTTATTTGGAATGGTATGGTAAGGCCACTAAGTTGATATTTTCTTCCTTTGTATTTTCAATTTTCAAATTTCTTATGGATCATGTTTTTAAGATTTAATTGTGCTTTATAATTACATAAAATACTTTTCTGATTCCACAGTCAAATCTATAAAACAGAGTATATTCAAAAATATCTACCTTCTATCTCTATCCTCTAGTTTTTAGTTCCATACCTCCTCTTGTAGGTAACCTTTAAAAGTATATATTGTGTAAAATTTCCTTTTTTTAATAGAAATGATTATGTATGTTTGTAATCTTCCCTATCGTAGATAAATGGTGACACACTAAACACACTTTGCTTAGATCAGGGAGATCACTGCAGAGTATTCTATACAGAGATTCCTCATTCCTTTTCATCGCTGTATAGTACTGCATTGTGTGGATGCTCTATAGTTTTCACAACCATTCTTTTGTTGCTGGACATGAGAGTTGTTTTAAAAATCTTGGTCAGTTGCCTTTTGGTCTCTCAAATATGAGGAATAAGAAACATGAGTATATTATTTTGTTTTTATAAATAGATCTGCAATTATTATTAGCCTTATGGATTTGTCTTTATACATTTTTGCCAGTGTAATTTTTGGATAGATTCTTAGAAGTAGGGTTTTTGGGTCAAAGGAAAAATCCAAATGTAATTTTGCTGTATTTTGACAGATTTACCTCCAGAGGTTTTGTATCATTTTCTATTCCCACAGCAATGAGTGAGATTTCCTGTTTCTCACATCCTCACCAACAGACTATACTGTCAAGAGAGAATTGTTAACTCCATGTATTAATTTATTTGATTTTAAGTGAAGTTGAGCAATTTTTGTATGGTTAAAATCATTTATGTTTTTAACAAACATCTGTTCATTTCTTTAACCAATTTTTCCTATAGGGCTAGAAAATTTTAGAAATATTTTATGTATTACTGATATATATTTTATATATGCTACAAATATTTTTCTCAGTCTCATTTATATTTTTACTTACGATTTCTTTATTCCAAGTTTTTAAAATGTAATCAGTTTTACCTATTTTTTCACTGATGTCTTCTGGATTTTGTTTCAAAGTTAGGAAACTGTTCCCTAATCTCAGGTTGTCTTAGTTTGTTTTCCATTACTTATAACACAATATCTGAAACTGGATAATTTATAAGTAAAAGGAATTTATTTCTTACAGTTATGGAGGCTGAGAAGTCCAAGGTCAAGGGGGCCACACCTGGTGTGAGCTTTCTTGGGGCTGCATCTGGTGGAAGCCTTCTTGCTGGTAAGAACTCTGCAGAGTCCCAAGGCAGCACAAGGCCTCACATGGTGAGGGGGCTGTGAGTGTGCTAGCTCAGCTCTCTCTTCCTCTTCTTATAAAGCCACTGGTCCCACTCCTGTGATAACCCTTTAATTTGCTAACATGTTAATTCATTAATCCATAAGTGGATCAATCCGTTCATAAGGACTCTGCCAGTTACCTCTTAAAAGCCCTACCTCTCAATACTACCGCATTGGGGACTAAATTTCAACATAAGTTTTTACCCGTATTTTATTCTAATATTTATATAATTACATTTTTCATATATATACCTCTGATTCATTTGTAATTTATCCTGTTGGTGTAGGTATGTAGCAGAAATCTAGTTTTACCTGTTTCCATATGGCTATTCCGTTATCTCAACACATTTATTTAAACGTTTCTCTTTTCCCTCGCAGAGATTCCACCTTTATCATATACTAAACCTGCATATCTAAATGATCTACTTTTATATTTTCTGTTCTCCATTGATCTATTTTTCCTTACATACGTCTCATTTAATCCTGTTAATCCACAACAAATTTTACAAATGAGAATGTTTAAGCTTAGAATAAGTAATTTGCCCAAGTATCAAATAGCCCAGCTATTAAGTAGCAAAATGTAGACTTAAATCCAAATCTGTCCGACTCTAAAATTAATGCTTTTACTCCCTGTTCTTTCCTGTGTTTGTTTTTTTTTTTTTTATGGTACTTACCCTTCCTTTTACGCAAAGTGGTTACTGAGGTAAATGAAACTGCCAGTGTAAAACTGTTTGACAAATGTGGGGCTTTGAGGATTAGAAAGTATTACTTCTTTGAATTACTTTTTTTAGCCATTTATGGGTAGATAGCTGAGAACCAAATATAGTCACAGTTGCCATGTATAATTTTGAAGGCATTATAGTTTTTGAGCCAAACGCAGTGGTGGACACCTGTAGTCCCAGCTACTGATGAGGCTGAGGCAAGTAGGTCACTTGAGCCTAGGAGTTTGAGGTTGCATTGTGCCATGATCATGCCTTTGAGTGGCCATTGCACTCCAGCCTGGGCAACATAGTGAGATCCTGTCTCTAAAAAACTTTCATTTTAAATATTTCTTAAAAATAATTTTCAGTAATTTTTAAGCTGCTAAACTTGAGCTATAAATATTTTAACTGGTTCTGGAACTTTTGCCTAAGAATAACCTGGAGGACTTAAAACACAGTTTGCCCATTTCCTGCAACCCCACTGCCCTATGTAGTTTCTGATTGCTTACAACTGTGATGGGGCTCAAGAATTTACATTTCTAGCAGGTTCCCAAATGTTGCTAATGCTGTTGGTACAAGGATCAGATTTGAAAACCACTGTTTTAAAAACTCTATATTTGAAAATGTTAGAATTCTGTGCATTTTTCTAAAGTCATATTTTTTGAGAGAGGAAAGGGGCCAAATTAAAAATTTTAAGATTTAATTTGGTCATGCTCAGTGGCTCACACCTGTAATCCCAACACTTTAGGAGTCCAGGGTGGGTGATCGTTTGAGTCCAGGAGTTCGAGACTAGCCTAGGCAACATGGTGAAACTCCTTCTCTACAAAAAAAATACAAAAACTAGTCGGGCGTGGTGATGTGTGCCTGTAGCCCCAGCTACTTGGGAGGCTGAAGTGGGAGAATCACCTGAGCCCAGGAGGTCAAGGCTGCAGTGAGTAAGCTAAGATCTCGCCACCACACCCTGGCCAGGGCAACAGGAATGAGAACCTGTCTGAAAAACAAAAACAAAAACAAAACAAAAAAATTATGTTATGGAAAACTGCTAGTGTAATTCATTTTAAGTTCCCTATTTTTACCTTGCCTTGTTGAAGTTGCTAGTTGACACTGTTTTGATTAAGCATTCAAACTATAATTTTTAAAATTAAACTTTATTCTCAGTAGTTCTTACAAGGAATGAAAGTATATCATTTGCATCTAATACAATTATAAAAATATGCTAGGCTTTCTTTTATGAAGTTACTTTTACCAGTGCCTTTTCTTTGGCCCATTTTAAACACTTTGATAATTTCTATTATTATGGAGTAAAATGAACCATGCTGGTTCAAATGAATAGAATGTCTTACTTACTAGTTGGAATGGTCAGAAAATATTTAAAAGGTTTTAACAACATAGATCTAGGAAAGTGAGATAAAGCAGTATTATAGGGGCATAAGTATAGGGGAACAACTTTGTCATGGTACTCTGGTCACCTTGCATGTATCCATGTAGGCAAAGACTTGGACCTCAGGACTGCAGCTTATCCGTGGCTTGACACACCTTGTGATTCTCCTGGAATATGAGAGAGTGAGAGGCCTCTAAGGAGCTGCTATGAGGTCATCTCCCAATTTTCCACTCACCTCTCTATTTCCCCTACAAGTGTGTCATGAGACAGTTTCTCTTCACTTCCCTGGTTGTGATTAGGTGTTAGACTTTTGACCCCATCCCACACCCTTAGAATAGAGCTACAGAATAGAAAACTGCTTAGCCATAGTTTTCATGGGGCCAGCCCCTTTTTTGTGTTACCATTTTTGATGTGCGGGACAAGGATCCAGGCAGTTTACTCTTTGGCTAATCTTCTTTTCAATCTGTAAGTAATAAACTATCTAAATCTAATAAGCCATCTATATTTTAAAATGGCTCATATGTCTCTTTACTGATAGAATTAGTGAGGCTTTGGCCTGGCTTTGGTAGGTATTTGTTCCCTGGACAGTAAGCAAACTTCCTTCCTTTTTTGGTATGCATGGAAAGGCATTTCATGGATATAGTTGGCAATAACCAAGCTTTTTAAAGGTTGATGAACAGTAAAAATAAATAACGTCTACCAATTACTGAGTGCTTATGTACCAGCACATAGAAAGGCATATTTACAACTGCTTTTTATACAATTTTGTCTATTTTTTTACAAATGAGAAAACTGAAACTTTTGACTGAATTTCCCAAGGTCACATAATACAGACCATTGTATTGTAACCCGGGAAGCCTGGTACCAAAGCCCAGTCTCTTAAAACTATACTGCATATCATACAAATATATGCATGTGTGTATATTTATGTGTTGTGTGTGTACATACATGTATGTGTGTATTTACAGACCTATGTTGTGTCATTTTTGCGTGTCATATGTTGATGGTGTACCAGTTTTGAATTGGGTACACAAAAATTAGGTTAACAATATAGGATCTATCACTATGTGATTCCTAATTATATTAAAAATGAATCTAGTCAATACTTCATAACCTTGATTTGAGAATCAACAATTCTGTGATACTTGTGTTGCCCAGGGTATCAGAGAAGACAGAGTGGGTTTCTTATCTAATAGTGAGAGGTAGTGCAACATAGAAAGTTGACTACTTCTCAAGGGACAACTCGAAGAATTTACTAGTAATAACTCATATTTATTAAGAGCCTACTAAGTGATAGGCCCTATTCTGAGCCCTTTTTATGTATAAACTCGTTTAATCCTCAAAACAACCCTATATTATAATTATTATTCCTGTTGTTGTTGAGTAACCTTCATTCCTTGGTTTTTCATGTGATAACTCAGACCTCCTTTTTTCCCAGACTCAGTACCTCTGTTCCATTACCTGTAAGACATGATTTGAATTTCTGCTGTTCATCAGGTGTTACAGTCTGTTTAGATCCCTGTCAAAGGATGATACCCAAAATCTGTAGTACAGATATGGACTGACATTTGCAGAGCAAAGCAAAAATTTCTCCTCTGTAGTTCTGTATATTATAGTTCTGTTAATGCAGCTTAAACCCACATAAGTTTATGGTGTTAAAATAGTACTGCAATTAAAATCCCTAAACCTGTTAAACACGTTCTACAGATGCGTCTTTTCTCTCTTATTCTATACTTGGGTAGTTGGTTTGGAATCTGCTATAGAATTTTTACATTTATCCCTTTTAAATTTCTTCTTGTTAGATATAAGTCTTTCAGGATCCTTATTGTGTTAGTCAATGCTTTTGCTGTCCTTTGCAGCTTCATGTCATCTTCAAAGTTCAGGACATAAAATATCTTCATCTTGGCCTTACAGAATACCACTAGAAGCATCCCTCTAGGCCTCATTCCATTAAGTGGTATACTCTGGGGGGTATTTGTTCCACTAGTTGCTGATTTAGCTAACTGAACTAGCTTATATATTTTTTTAGTTTTGTTCTTTGAAAAATCATGAAGGGCATTATAAAATTATTTACTAATATCTAGTTAAATATCAAGTCTACTTTTCTGATCTACAAGTCTTCTAAATAAATTTTTAAAAAGAAACAAACCTAGTCTGTAACATGTCTTATTATTTTTAGCTCATATATCCTAATCCTAAAGATCTCTACATCTTCTTATCGGTATTCACAAGTCAAATCTTTAATAATTTGTTTTAGAATGTTATCTGAAATTAACAGAAATCTTACCATATTGTAGAATTTACTGTCTTATTTTTGAAAATAGTCTTCAGTCCTGTGGCACTGGTAATGATTCAATAATCTCATTTGCAGGCTCTTTTAAATATCTTGAAACATAATTGTTTAGTCTGAGAGAGAGATGAATTTACAAAGTGACTAGGTCTCCTTTTTCAATCCCTTCTCTTATTTTTCGCATACATTTTCCTTTTCTGTTGTTCATCCTTCACTTTTTAGTCTACCATTCTCCTTGTTAAATCAGAAAATGAGAGTTGAAAGGGGTATGTTTTACAGAGCAACACGTATAATTGAATTAATTGCATGTAAAGGGATATAGTAAATAAATGCTTATAGACGTCCAGGTAAAGTTAATTTTTGATCTTGAGTTTTGAGAATTTGAATTGGAGGAAAGGAAGATCAGAGGAGAAAGGTTATAGACAAAATCTAACGTGTGGTAAGAAAATATTTGGGAGATAGCAAGTTTTATATAGAGCTATAGTCATTACATGAGCATCATAAGAGTAAAAGGTCATTGTGGGAAAGAATGGGAATTAGTGAAAGTGGGGATATTGGGAAGTGGCAATTTAGTACAGTGAGACGTAAGTACTATATTCTTAACACCTCAAGCTGTATATTTTGTAGAACTTTATACTTTAGAGAATCACTTTCAGGTAAACTTCTGAGATAAGTGGGGTATTCTTATTTTATGAATGAAACAATTAATACTTAGATTAAGAAAGGCTGGTACCTATTATTCCACCTAATAATATAATTTAAGATTCAGATGGGACTAAAACTCATTACCTTATATTTCCAAAGTCTGTGTTCTTCACTGATATGTTTTATCTCTATCGCCTCACTGCTACCATAGTACTACTGTAGTACAATATCACTTACAGTTTATCATGTTTTTATGTACATTGTCTGATTTGATCCTCAAAAACCTCAGCTACATTAATACCTGAATAATAAAGTACAGGTATTATTATGATCTCATTCTGCAAATAAGGAAAACAAAGATTGAGAAGGTAAAGTTAACGAGGACTGCTTTCTTAACCCCATTACCTATTTTTTCTATCTACTTGCCTTTCCTGTTATTCATTCTTTACTTTTAAGTCTAGATTTTAACTTTTTCATAAAACTGAGGCTAAAAGAAGTTACATAGGTTAAAAAGATCAACACTGGAATAACTAACAGAACGTGTACAGATCTAAACTTATGCCTTCTGATTGCCATCTACTTACTAGTATATATTATGTTCTGGAAAAAAAGTACCTACTGGAAGACCCAGAAGCTTCTTGGGACTTGTTTATACCATGACTGCAATAACATTTGAGAATTTTTCTAGTAGATAGGTGTGAGATTATTTGCAGAGATCAGCAGTGGAGGCTGTTACCAGCTGGAAAGTGGCCATATTAACATAATTTATTAACTGACTTAAAATTCATTGTGAAATAAGTATGAAACAATTACGTACTTGACAAAGATAAAAATTTCAAGAGTTGGATTTTTTCCACTTAAAAATGTATAAGAATGAAGTGCTATACTCTCTCAATAGTGTTCAAAATGTTTGAATTTATAGAATTGATGGTTTTAAGATGGAAACCAAATGTACTTTTTCGTTATTGCCATAACTTGTGATTGAAATGTGAGTGAGACAGGAAGGAAATAGCTTATATTGTATACATGACCTGTATTCCTTTTGTCTACTCTAAGCAGCTGCTACAATCCATTCTGAAATATCCATGTATTAATTCTTAAGGTTACTGTAACAAATTACACAAACTCAGTTGCTTAAAACAAAACAAATGTATTCTCTCACAGTTTTGGAGGCCAGAAGTCTGAAATTTGTGTCAGTGGGCTAAAATTAAGGTGGCAGGACCATGCTCCTTCCATAAGCTCTACGGGAGAATCTGTTCTTGGCTCTTCTAGCTTCTGGTGACTGCCAGCATTCCTTGGTTTGTGGCTGCAGCACTCTAGTCTCTGCCTCTTTAGTCACATGACCTCCTCTTCTGTCTGTGTCACGTCTCCTTCTGCCTTCTTATAAGGTACATGTTGATTGCATTTTGGGCCCACTTGGATAATCCAGGATCTTGTCCCCATCTCAAAATTGTTAATCCTTTCCAAAGTCCCTTTTTGCCATATAAAGTAATATTCACAGATTCCAGGGATAGGGATGTGAATGTCATTTGGGGAGCCATTATTCTGCCTACCATAGTCTTTATTGTCTCTCCACTTTCTTTTCTTTCTCATCCCTTTTCTTCCCTGCTATTTTTATTCTTTTTCATCTTCCAGAAGCACAAAGTGGCAAGTAGATTGAGTGGGCATGATCTGAATTAATGATCAAGAGTTGAGGCCGGGTGTGGTGGCCCATGCCTGTAATCCCCGCACTTTGAGAAGCCGAAGCAGGTGGATCACTTGAGGTTGGGAGTTTGAAACCAGCCTGGCCAACATGGTGAAACCTTGTCTCTACTAAAAATATAAAAATTAGCCAGGCATGTTAGCAGGTGCCTGTAATCCCAGCTACTTGGGAGGCTAAGCAGGAGAATCATTTGTAGCTAGGAGGCAGAGGTTGCAGTGAGCCAAGATCATGCCCCTGGACCCCAGCCTGGGCGACAGAGTGAGATTCCATCTTAAAAAAAAAAAAAAAAAAAAAAAGAGTTGAGTGGGTATGGTATATATAGATCAGTAAGTGAGCCTTATTGCCCTCATGGGACTTTGGATTCTGTTCATAATTAATTAAATTAATTGGTGGTAATAGTACCTTCATTAAATTCAGCACCCTCTGTCAAAGCAATTATTGAAATTTTGGGTAAAGTATGTTAATATGAAATTTCTGCCCAATTAAAGCATCTGTTGGTTGGCAAATAGTGTTGTTTGTTCTACATATAATTTTACTTTAACCAAGTTTTTCCCCTCATATTTTCATTTTATTTCAGTGATAGCTCAGACTTGAATTTAATGCAGGGGAAACAAAATGAAAAAGTTGGTAAAGTTTTGATCCAAAAGTCCATTGTCAGAGATTTTTTTGGTTTGGGGCATCTCATGTAACCTTTTGGGCTTCCATTTCCTAATATCTATAATAAATAAGTTGAATGATGTGATTGTTAAATCTCTTCTAACTCTGAAAGCCTCTAGTTCTAGTATTTACTATGAAGTATTTAAAAACCAATGAACAGACAAATAAATTACAAATCTGATTATTCTGTACTATTTGAAAAGCAGTGTTTTTGACAAGTTTACTTTGAAATAACTGTCTATGCTTTTTTATTTTTCTGTAGATGGACCACACATCCCCGACCTACATGCTTGCTAACTTAACCCACTTGCATTCTGAACAACTTCTGCAGGGCTTGAATCTTCTTCGCCAACATCACGAACTCTGTGACATCATTCTTCGAGTAGGTGATGTTAAAATTCATGCTCACAAAGTGGTACTTGCCAGCGTCAGCCCGTATTTCAAAGCTATGTTCACTGGAAACCTTTCTGAAAAAGAGAACAGTGAGGTTGAGTTTCAATGCATTGATGAAACTGCTCTCCAGGCCATTGTGGAGTATGCCTATACAGGGACTGTTTTTATTTCTCAGGACACAGTTGAATCTCTCCTGCCAGCAGCAAACCTACTCCAGATAAAACTTGTCCTGAAAGAATGTTGTGCATTTCTTGAAAGCCAACTTGATCCTGGTAATTGTATTGGAATTTCTCGTTTTGCAGAAACATATGGTTGCCGTGACCTTTATTTGGCAGCCACTAAATACATATGCCAGAATTTTGAAGCTGTTTGCCAGACTGAAGAGTTTTTTGAGCTTACACATGCTGACTTGGATGAAATTGTTTCCAATGACTGTTTGAATGTAGCTACCGAAGAGACTGTTTTTTATGCATTAGAGTCTTGGATCAAGTATGATGTACAAGAACGCCAGAAATACTTAGCACAGTTACTAAACAGTGTACGATTACCATTGTTGAGTGTTAAGTTTCTCACTAGACTATATGAAGCAAATCATCTTATTCGTGATGATCGCACTTGTAAACATCTTTTGAATGAAGCCCTAAAGTACCACTTTATGCCTGAACATAGACTCTCTCATCAGACAGTCTTGATGACACGACCTCGCTGTGCTCCCAAAGTACTTTGTGCAGTAGGAGGGAAATCTGGACTCTTTGCCTGTTTGGATAGGTAAATAGAAGGCTTTCCTAAATGAATGATGCTAATTGATTTTATGCTTTTTAAATGTGCAGATTTTCTATATTTTAAAAATAGTTTGATTTTCCTTTTTACTTTTCTTTGCTTCTTTTTAGTTTTTTTTCTTCTTCCTAAAATACTTACGTGATTGTTTTTATTATATTGTCATTCATTCTTTACAATACTCTCAATTATTAACCATCTCCCCAAGTGCACACTTTATCCACCTGGTTACTCACAAACTTTTATTCCATTTTCTCTCTTTCTTTCTTTTTTTCTTTCTGGAACCATTTACATGTTTATTTGAGTCAGACCACATCAGAAGAGATTTATTATTGTCAATTATATCAGAAGATAGCAAAGAAGAGAACTAGGAACCTGTGGTGAGGGAACTGGGGACAGGAATGGGTTTGAATGAAAACAGTTCACTAGAAGTGCTACCAAAGAAATGAGAAAAAATAGGATACTGATATAAATTATGTACTTTGAGTGTAATTTGTTTTCTTCAGTGTATTTTTAAAAGACAGCATTAAGAAATATGTTTTTCCCCCCAATAACTTAGATTAGGAATTGTCAGACTTTTTCTATAAAAGACCAAACAGTAAATATTTTAGACTTTGTGAGCCATGTAATCTTTGTGGCATCTACTTAACTCTGCCATTGTAGTGTGAGAGCAGCCATAGATAATACATAAGTGAATGAACATGGATGTGTTCCAATAAAACTTTATTTATAAAAATAGCTAGTGGGCTAAATTTGGCCCATGGTGATAGCTTGCCAACCCTTAATTTGGTGCATTATACTAGTAACTTTTATACATTGAAAATATAGCTTGAAGTTATTTTTGCTTTTTCTTAGATAGGATTGCTTCATGAAAACTTTTGTGTTTAATACATATTTTTTAATACTGTGGATTTCTGACCATTTCCAAAAATTTGGTAGATTGCTTTTCCCTTTCCAATGTTAGGAAACTTGACGTTTCATCAATGGCAACTGATAAATTCTGCATCTTTAAAAAAGTCTCAAAATACCTGTAATCCCAGCACTTTGGGAGGCCAACACAGGAGGATCACTTGAGACTGGAGTTTGAGACAAGCCTGGGCATTATAACGAGATCCTGTCCTTACAAAAAATTTAAAATATTATCTGGGAGTGGTGTTGCACTCCTGTAGTCCCAGCTAATCAGGAGGCTGAGGCAAGAGGATTGCTTAGGCCCAGGAGTTTGAAGTTGCAGTGAGCTATGAATGCACCATTGCACACTAACCTGGGTGACAGAATGAGACCCTGTTTTGAAAAAAAAAAAAAAGTCCGATAATACATTTTATTTATTTATTTATTTTATTTATTTTTTATTTTTTATTTTTTTGATACAGAGTTTGGCTTTTGTTGCCCAGGCTGGAGTGCAGTGGTGCAATCTCAGCTCACTGCAACCTCCGCCTCCCAGGTTCAAGTGATTTTCCTGCCTCAGCCTCCCAAGTAGCTGAGATTACAGGCATGTGCCATCATGCCCAGCTAATTTTGTATTTTTAGTAGAAACGGGGTTTCACCATGTTGGTCAGGCCGATCTCAAACTCCTGACCTCAGGTGATCCACCTGCCTTGGCCTCCCAAAGTGCTGGGATTACAGGCAAAAGCCACTGCACCCAGCCTCATAATACATTTTAACTGTAACCTGAAACTAGTATTGTTGAGACTGGGCTACACATAGAACATTAGTTATGTTAGCTACACGAATTGATTGTTTAACTCTTATTCTGAAATGCACTGGTTACTGGCATAAAGTAAATTATATTAGTAAATATTATGACAAAAATTTTCGAATATGTATTTATAGTGTAAAAATTTTTGAGCAGTTGCCTCTTATTTTCTCAACTATTAAAAATAACAAATTATTGAAGAATAATAAGACCTGTTCATATCTTTTGACATAGTAATCTTTTATCATAGAATCTATCATAATAAAATTTTAAAAATTAAAAGTATTATTTGCATAGAGCTGTTTATTGCAGCATTATTATAACTCTGGAAAAATTAAAACCAACCTGAATGATCATTCAGGTTAACTCTACAAAAGATATTAAACACCTGTGCATCAGATACACTGCTAGATAATTGACCTTCAACAAGTTCATAATTTAGTAAAGGAGACATGTAGAAAATAATACATAATGTTTATGCAACGATCAAGATAGTTTTATAGAAACATTAAAGAGAACCATTTATCCCATCTGGGGGATTTAGGGAAGAGGAATTGTAGAGAACTTCATGTACAAGTTGAGTGTTGAATGCTAAGCAAGAATCAAGCAGAGAAAGAAGAAAGGTCACGAGGAATGTACAAAGACACAATGGCATGATACATTATGGGATATTCAGGAAACTAAAAGCTAATTGGTATTCAGAAGTAAAGGGTTCTAACCAAGAAGTGTCAAGCAGTGGTCTTTGAACCAAGTCAAAGAAGTTATTGTATGCCATGATTTAAAAAAAAAAAAAGACTTTTATGTGGGTTGCAAAACCATTCTAAGGAGGTTAGTGAAATTATTAGATTTGTATCATTCTGGCTGTATTATGGGAAAAATTGAGAGGCCAGGATTAATATCAGATTGATTAAATAAGATGTTATTGTAGAACCTCTTATCTAATATAGGCAAGAGATGATGAGATCCTAAATTAGGGTAGAAGTAGTAAAGATAGAGAATGGGGCATTCATTTTAAAAAATGTTTTAACAGAGTAAATTGACAGGATTTGGTGTTTGAATGGATATGAGGGAGGGATGATGAGGAAGAGGGAGGAATCCAAGATGAATGAGTTCTTTTGATTAGATGATTACATGGGTGGTTCATATATGCAGAGAGAGAGAGAATATGGGAGGAGAAGCCACTTTCAGGGGAAGAGTTTTGGACACATTGAGTTTGAAGTGCCTATGAAATATCCAGGTAAAGGATATTCTATGGTAGCTGGATATGAGTGCACAGCTCAAAGAAGAGCTCAGGGCTGGAAATTTGAAGGTCATCAGCATATAGTATAGTTTAGAGGTATGAATTAAAACTATGAAGTCTTTGATGGAGTTATTGACAGTTTAAATGTTCCTCCTTTTGCCTGGTGAGAAAATATAGAGAGGAAAAAGGATTGATTGTGAATGAAAATCTGGGAAACATTAATATTTAAGATGAGGGCAGCAGGAACAATTTTAGCGGTAGGGGAACCAAGTGAATAGAGTCATAAAAGCCAAGGAATTTGTGTGTCAAGAAGGAAGGAATGTGATCAGCTATGTAAAATGCACTGGAAAGATCCAGAAAGATAAAAATGGAAAAGTGGCTCTTAAACTTGGCATTATGGAGAACATAATGACTTTTGGTGGGTAATTTCTTTTTCTTTTTCTTTTTTTTTTTTTTTTTGAGACAGAGTTTCGCTGTTGTTGCCCAGGCTGGAGTGCAGTGGCGCAATCTCGGCTCACCGCAATCTCCGCCTCCCAGGTTCAAGCAATTCTCTTGCCTCAGCCTCCCGAGTAGCTGGGATTACAGGCTTGCACCACCACGCCCAGCTAATTTTGTATTTTTAGTAGAGACAGGGTTTCTCCATGCTGAGGCTGGTCTCGAACTCCTGACCTCAGGTGATCTGCCCACCTCAGCCTTCCACAGTGCTGGGATTACAGTCGTGAGCCACCGTGCCTGGCCTTGGTGGGTAATTTCAAGCAGAGTTGTAGAAATGCTGTAGATACATTACAGTGGGCCTAGAAGTGAATACAAAGTAAGGAAATAAACTGAATGAAGACTTTTCTTTTAAGAATCTTGCTAGAGACAGGAAGGAGAGAGTTAAGGCAGTAACTGATAGCATCAGGGGAAGTTTTGTTTGGTTTTATTTTGTTCTTGAAGAGAGAGACATGAGTTTTTTTTTGTTTATTTGGAGACGGCATCTCGCTCTGTCGCCCAGGTGTCTCACTTTGTTGCCCAGGCTGGAATGTATTGGCATCATCTCAACTCACAGCAACCTCTGCCTCCTGAGTTCGAGCGATTCTCCTGCCTCAGCCTCCTGAGTACCTGGGATTACAGGCATATGCCACCACACCCGGCTAATTTTTGTATTTTGGGTAGAAACAGGGTTTCACCATGTTGGTCAGGCTGGTCTTGAACTCCAGACCTTGTGATCCACCCGCCTCAGCCTCCCAAGTATTTTTATAATTAGATGAATAAAGAGATAAGTAAAGAGGGATAGGGTAAAGATATAAGATAGATGAATGCTTATTGATGAAGCAAGATCTTAGAGGAAATAGAAGAGATTGATATCAAAAGCAATGATAGAAAGTTGTGAATAGGAGAAAGAGAGACTCTTTATGCCTCAAGACAATTGAGGTTTACTGGCTGGCGGGGGGGTTGAAAGCAAGGGTTTAAAACAGCACTTGTCCAATGGCTTTAGTTTTTTTCTTTAATTAAGAGAGGAGGCCTGCTAGAGAAGAAAGTGGGGATTGGGTAGGTAACTTAAGAAAATTGGGGAAGCTCTGAGAACTGTATTGTTTCTACTTATACATAAGGAGTCATAAGGATGGCAATACATTGAAAGCATTTTTTGAATAGTTGTGCAAATATGTTAAATGTTGAATGGACATTCAGCCACATCACTCATCTCAACACTATAAACCACAGGTCTAATTCAAGAATGAAACTCTTATTAGAACTGATTATTATTGCCCTCTGCTATAGTTTAAATGTGTCCCTCCAAAATTCATGTGTTGGAAACTTAATTGCTGTTGGAACAATGTTAAGAGATGGGGCCTTTAAGAGGTGATTAGGCCATGAGGGCTCTGCTCTCATGAAGGGATTAATGCTATTATTGTGAGAGTAGGTTAGTTATCTCAGGAGTGGGCTCCTGATAATAAGATAAGTCCTGCTTCCATTTTCTCTTTGTCTCACATACATACTCGCTTGCACTTCATGTGATGTCTTCCATCATGGGATGACCCTTCCCAGATGCAGGCATCATGCTCTTGGACTTTACAGCCCCCAAAACTGAAAGCCAAATAAACTTTTGTTCTTTATAAATTACCCAGTATTTTGTATTAGCAGCAGAAAATGGGCCAAGGCAGAATACTGGTACCAAAAAGTGGGGCCATTGTTAAAACAAATATCTGAAAATATGGAAGTGGCTTTGGAACTGGTTAATGGGTAGAGGTTGGAAGAATTTTAAGTAGGAGTCTGGAAGAAGCCTAGATTGCCGTGAATAGAATGTTAAGGGTGATTCTGGTGAGGGCTCAGAAGAAGAGGCCATAGGGAAATTCTGGAACTTTTTAGAGATAACTTAAGTGGGCATGATCAGAATGTTGATAGAAATGTGCACAGTAAAGCTATTCTGATGAGGTCTCAAGCAGAAACTGAGAGTAAAGGCCATCCTTGCTATATATTAGCAAAGACCCTTGCTGAATTGCATCAGTTTCCTAGGACTTTATGGAATGCAGAACTTCAGAGCGATGAACATTCAGGCTGCTTTGTGGCTGCTTTTAACTGCATATAGTAAGGTGCGAGAGGGAAGAAATGATTTAAAAATGGAATTTATAATTAAATGGTAAGCGGAACAGAAAGACTTGGAAAATTAGCAGCTTGACCATGTAAAAAGTGAAAAGGTATCTTTTAGGAAAGTAAACCAAGGATGTGTGCTAAAGAGATGAGTGTGGTTACAGGGGAGCCAAGTGCTAGTCAAGACAATGGGAGAAAGGCCCTGAAGGCATTTTAAGATCTTTGAGGCTGTACCTCCCGTTGTAGTCTCAGAACACTAGGAGGGCAGAATGGTTTGGGGGAATCAGCCTGGGACACCCTCCACATGCTCACTGCCCATGGCCACCTTGGGAGTCTGCTCTCCACATTCTAGTGTAGCTTCCCCAGCTGTGGCTCAAATAGGCCCAGATGTGGCTCAGGCTGCTACTCTAGAAGGCACAAGTAGTAAGCTTTGGTGTTGGCCATGTGATGTTAACTCTACAGGCTTGCAGACTACAAGAGTTATGGGGGCATGGCTACCTTCTCCTACTGTAAGAGTGTTGCAGATAGCACAGGGGGCAAGCAGAAACCTGTCTTGAGGCAGAAGCACTACAGAGCACCCTCACTAGGGCAATGGCTAGGGGAGTCATGGGAATGGGGCCACCCCCAAAAAACACAGAACTGTAGTGCAAGTAGTGTGCAACGTCAGCCTGTCAGAACTGTAGGCACAAGATTCCAACCAGTGAGAGCTGTATGGGCTAAGCCCAGCAAAGTTATGGGGACAGGGCTGCCAGAGGTCTTGGGGGCCCAACTCCTGCCCCAGTGTATCCAGGAAGTAGGACATGGAGTCGAAGGAGATTATTCACCAGCTTTAAGACTTAATGTTTTCGGCCGGGCGCGGTGGCTCACGCTTGTAATCTCAGCACTTTGGGAGGCCAAGGCGGGCAGATCGCGAGGTCAGGAGATTGAGACCATCCTGGCTAACACAGTGAAACCCCATCTCTACTAAAAATACAAAAATTAGCTGGGCGTGGTGGTGGGCGCCTGTAGTCCCAGCTACTCGGGAGGCTGAGGCAGGAGAATGGTGTGAACCCGGGAGGCGGAGCTTGCAGTGAGCCGAGATTGCACCACTGCACTCCAGCCTGGGCGATAGAGCGAGACTCAGTCTCAAAAAAAAAAAAGAAGACAATGTTTTCCTTGTTGGGTTTTGGACTTACCTGGGCCCTCTTACTCTTTGTATTTCCTTTTTCTCCCTTTTGGAAGGAGAATATCTATTCTCTGCCTTTCTCACCATTGTGTTTTGGAAGTAAATAACTTGTTTTGATTTCACAGGCTCACAGCAGGAAGGGAATTTGCCTCAGGATGTATCATGCCTTGACTCTCGCTTATATATGATTTAGATAGACTCTGGAATTTGGACTTTTGAGTTGATGCTGGAATGAGTTAAGACTTTTGGGGCTATTGGGATGGAATTAATATATTTTGCATGTGAGAAGGACACGAATTTTGAGGGCCAGGGGCAAAATTCTATGGTTTGAAAGTGTTCCCCAAAAGTTCATATGTTGGAAATGTAATTGCCATTGAACAGTATTAGGAGGTGGGGCCTTTAATAGGTGACTAGACCCTGAAGGATCCACCCTCTTGAAGGGGTTAATACCATTATGGTGGGAGTGAGTGAGTTATTGCTAGAGTGGGCTCTTAATAAAAGGATAAGTCCGGCTGCCATTTTCTCTGTCTTGTGCACAGGCTTGCTAGCTATCCATGTGATGTCTTCTACCATGAGATGACCCTTCCCAGATGCTAGCACCATGTTCTTGGACTTCCCAGCCTCCAGTACCTTGAGCCAAATAAACTCCTGTTCTTTATAAATTACCCAGTCTGTAGTATTCTGTTATATCGGCAGAAAATGAACTAAGACACCATCAAAAGACCATAAGGACTAATGACATTGTATGTTGTATGTATTTAGCTAAATCATCTCCAGAAATCCATAACTTACAGATAATCCATCATCATAACCTTTAGTCTTACTATCACTGAGAAGTCTTACTCTCATACCAACCAATTTTCCAATTCTCTGACATCAACTAGGTATTTAACAATTCAATTCTGGGCCGGGCACAGTGGATCACGCCTGTAATCCCAGCACTTTGGGAGGCCTAGGCAGGCAGATCACAAGTTCAGGAGTTCGAGACCAGCCTGGCCAATATAGTGAAACCCTGTCTCTACTAAAAATACAAAAAAAGTTAGCTGAGGGTGGTGGTGCATGCCTGTAATCCCAGCTACTCAGGAGGCTGAGGCAGGAGAATTACTTGAACCTGGGAGGCGGAGGTTGTGGTGAGCCGAGATTGCGCCACTGCACTCCAGCCTGGGCGACAGAGTGAGACTCCGTCTCAAAAAAAAAAAAAAAGAAAAAAACAAACAAAAAAAACAATTCAATTCTGACACTAAGTCTTAAGAGTTAACCATATCCTACAGGTTAAGGGCTCAGTCCTAGACTGTTCCTACTTCAGATGCCAGCCTTTGTTATTACCAGTGACTTCAACACATTCAAAAATCTTGGTTCACACATTCCACTCTTTGACAGTGGTTTTTTCTTGCCAGCTTATTTCTTTCAGTACACACCCTCCAATGAGTCTTTGTCCCTTTCAGGATTCTTCATCCATTGGCCCCATAATCAGTTAGTAGAATTGATTGCTCTTGAACCACCACACGTTCTTATCTTCCATCTTGCCTAGCTTAGATTCGAGAAACATCACAGTCATCATTCCTTTAAATACGCCATGGCCCCTTTGCCTTTCTGTTCCTCCGTCATACTCATCTAGTTAAATTCAATTCTCCACTTAGGCCATGGCTACATCTGAGCAGCAGAATGTAACTGGAGAAACCTACATACCCATTTTAACTTGTCTCACATGGAGCCTTCAGCACTCCCCAGTAACTACTCTACATTTCCTTAATCAGTTTATTCTTTCACTCCCTCATGTCTGACACCTTCTGCTCTCTTAAAAACATCCACAAACCCTTCCCCTTACCTCTTATTCTACTGAAAAGATGGAAGCAACCAGAAGAGAACTACCTCATCTTCCCAACACCAAATCTGCCAAGTTATTTCTAAGACCAACCCTTCCACCTCTCTACTTATTCACTAGATTTCATTCACTCTGCATTACACAAAGACTTTGCTTTTCCATTTATCCTATCTCTCTCCTATATCATCATCTTCTCCCTCTGTACTATATGTATCATTACCATCAGCATGCAAACACATTTTGGTTTAAGCTTCCAGGTTAAATTAATCCCCTCTGGTCCCATGGTCTTTCTCTGCCCCACTTCATAGCTATCTGCTCATATTTATTTTACTCATTATAGTAAAAATCATTGGAAAGTTATACCCCCTGTTTTCACTTCCTTATCTCCCATTCTCTTTTAAACCTTGTTAGGGTCAGACTACTCCATCATATATCATTGCATCAAATTCATATTTTTAAAACAAGTATTATAATAAAAACTGACTTTAAATAGGAATTCTGTAACTATTGAGTGAATGAATATAGCTTGATTATACTGGATGGAGGACTTTTTTTATGCTGTTACATTATTGAGTTTGGGGACATTAGCTACTTTTTCCCAACTTTGCGGGGGGAGGGTAAAGATATATATATATACACACATATATATATACATACACATACACATACATACATGCAAAAGATTATATAGTATATGGGTGCAGGGTATCAAGAATAAATACTGAAGTACCTATCAACCAGCTTCACAGACTATTAACAATACTTCTGAAGTCCCCCTGTGCCCCTCCTTGCTGCCATCTCCCTTCCTCCAGAAGTATCCACTGTCCTGAATTTTTACGAACTATTCCCTTGCTTTTCATTATAATTTTGCCACATATTAAATGTGCCCCAATATATTGTTAGGTTTTACACGTTTTAATATAAGTGCAGTAATATATATTATTCAGATGTTTTTTCACTGAACAATGTTTGTGAAATTCATCTGTGAGATTGCATGAGGAAATGGTTCACTTAATTGATATGTTATATAGTGTATGAGCATAATATACTTTATCTTTCTACAATAAAAATTTTAATTTTAAGTATTAAAGTGTTACACACATGCAGAAAAATGTACAAATCCCAAATGTACAGCTCAGTGAATTACCACAAAGTAAACATTACAAACCAGTTCAAGAAACAGAGTATGACCAACACTCAAAAGCCACCCTTGAGCTCCCTTCTTGTCCTCCCCAAAAGTGACCACTATCTTCATTCCTAATCCAGAGATTCGTTTTACCTGTTTTTGAACTTAATTGATATCCTTTTGAATTTGACTTTTTTATCTCAACATTATGTGTGTAAGATTCCCCCAGCGACATGTAGCTATAGTTTGTTCCTTTCATTGCCATGTAGTATTCTTTTATATGATATGGCACAATTTATCCATTTTATAGTGGATAAACATTTGGATTGTTTCCACTTTGGAGCTGTTACAAATAATACTGTAGTAAACACTCTTGGACATATATGTATGCATGCCTTTTTCATCAGTAGAGTTGCTCAGACAGGACACATAAAGTACACTTTAACCATTCTTTTGGTGGATGATTGTGTTGTGCTTCTGTGAACATTTGTGTATATTTATCTAGATGCAAAATTATAATAGACATTCAGAAGAGTAGATATATAGGAATGTAATTACTGAGTCAGGACACATGTATCTTCAACTTTTTTAGATAATGTAAAATTGTTTTCCAGAGTAATTTATACAAGTTTACACTCTCACCAACGGAGTATGCATTTCTTGCTACACATTCTTGCCAACAATTATTATCTGACTTTATATTTTTTGCCACTTTGGAAGGTGTGTCATGGTTTATTGTGCTTTTAATTTTTGTGTCCCTGATTACTAATAAGATTAAACATATCTGTCTTTATGGGCCACTTTGGTTTTTAAATTTTATATTTTTTCTGCTTATTCTTTAGTGTGGAGATGTACTTTCCTCAGAATGACTCTTGGATTGGTTTGGCACCCCTAAACATTCCTCGCTATGAATTTGGAATATGCGTTTTAGACCAAAAAGTATATGTTATAGGTGGTATTGCAACTAATGTGCGTCCTGGCGTCACTATCAGAAAACATGAAAATTCAGTGGAATGCTGGAATCCTGATACAAATACTTGGACTTCTCTAGAGAGAATGAATGAAAGCCGAAGTACTCTTGGAGTAGTAGTACTTGCAGGAGAACTTTATGCCTTAGGTGGTTATGATGGACAATCTTATTTACAATCTGTAGAGAAGTACATTCCCAAAATAAGAAAATGGCAACCTGTGGCACCAATGACGACAACAAGAAGTTGTTTTGCTGCAGCGGTATTGGATGGAATGATATATGCCATTGGTGGGTATGGTCCTGCCCACATGAACAGGTATTTAACTTAATAATTAAATTGCATATGTTTATGGATTTTTAAAAGTCTCATTAGCAATGATTTCTGAGTTTTAAACAATTTGTGTGTATGAATGAACTTCCGGCATTTGGGAAACTTAATCTGCTCCATGGATATAATTGTAATTGTTTTACATGGGAATTTAATACAAACCTAACAATCAAATCCCTCTCATTAAATTTTACATTCATTCACTATAAATGGACTAGATTTTAAAACTCAGAAACCTAAAAATAAGATGAAGTTAGACAACTTTAGATTTTGTGTGGTGTGTACATCTATGTGCACAGTATGTAAATTATCTTTTATTGTATTGCTTAATAGAATAAAGAAGTAGAAATTTAATTCCTGTGTGTCTATACAATATTATAGCACATCATAAACTTAAAACCTTATTTAAATATTCCTTTCTGAATTCTTTCCTGTAATCATACATGTATCATCAGGTATTTGACTTGTGCTGGAGTTTGAATTTGTGATATCTGTATTCTGTAGTTTTATCTGAATAAAGGAGAAATATATATGAGAAAATAAAAGTATGAAGTAACTAGTTATATGAGAAATTAATCGTAATTCTGAACCTTTATTGAAAATTGATGTTCCAAAGGTTTTATCTTTGGCCAGGTGTGGTGGTTCACGCCTGTAATCCTAATACTTTGGGAGGCTGACGTGGGAGGATTGCTTGAGCCCAGGAGGTTGAGGCTGCAGTGAGCCTTGAATGCACTACTACACTCCAGCCTGAGCAACAGAGTGAGACCCTGTCTCAAAAAAAAAAAAAAAGAAAGAAAGAAAAGAAAAGATTGTATCTTTAATAGTAATTAGAGTGGTTTGTGTTATTTTGATTGTGAGTATTTTAATGACAGGGCATACAGTCAGCCCTCCATATCCACGGGTTCTACATCCACAGATCCATCCAACTGTGGATCAAAAATATTTGAAAAAATTTACAATAATAAAAAACAAAATAATACAGTATAACAGCTATTTGCATAGTATTATAAGTAATCTAGAGATGATTTAAAGTATACAAGAGGATACGTGTAGCTTATATGCAAATATTATACTGTTTTATATAAGGAACTTGAGCATCTGCAAATTTTGGTATCCTTGGGATGGGGTGGATCCTGGAACCAATCCTCTACAAATACTGAGGTTTGTTGACTGAGAAAGTGATGGCACAACAGCATTTCATCTGTAAATTTTTACTTCTATTGAAGCCAAAGTATTCCTCCTTTTATTTATTTATATTTTTTGCCCTTAGTTGAAGGAAAAATATGGGACATAGACATGCATTTCTATTCTTTGAAAAGCTTCTGCCCAAAATTTGTAAGATAAAAGGTTAAGTATTTTAAATTTGATTATCTTGAAAGTCTTGCTGCAGTGCATCAACTCTTCTTCAATGATTTTGGTCTAATGGATTCTATCCTGGAGTTCTTTCAGAAACATTACCCAGTCTCTATTATGAACTCCAGAATGGTGTCACAGCCTGTTAAATGCTTATGGTTTTTTCAGGAAATAGGTTAGGGCCAGAACAAGCCCAACAATCTTACCTCTGTGCCTTTGTGCACCTTCAGAGGAAACCATAGTCTTAAACAGCTGCTAGAATTTTCTAGGGAAGCCTTTTTGAAAATTCTGATTTAATTTGGATTCCATAATGCAGCTTAGAAATGCCACACGTTCTCTGAAACACAGTCTTGACTCAAATTCCTGAGTACTCCTAAATCACCCTGAGATAATTATGATCAGCCAGTTTGTACTATGCAATCTACAGTGATTGCTTTGCAGTAAGCCACATGAATTCTCCTGTGACGAAAAAAAATAAAGGTTTTTCTCCCCACCCCCCACCCCTCTCTTCCTCTTCTTTTCCCCTTAACTGTATAGAAGATCCTAAAAACCTCTGTATTCAAGCCAGGCATGGGGGCATGTACCTTTAGTCCTAGCTACTCAGGAGGCTGAGGCAGAAAGATCACTTTAGCCCCGGAATTTGAGGCTGCAGTGAGCTCTGATCTTGTCACTGCACTCCAGCCTAGGTGACAGAGCGAGACCTGCCTCAAAAATAAATAAATAAAATTTAGGAACAAAAAAAAAAAGTCTGTATTCAGTTAGTGGTTTTCAAAGTCACGTGCATACTCATTTGACTTTATTCTTATATGAATCCCTTCAGGTTGCACTATCCTCATTTTTGCAGGTGAGAGGAAATGACTTATTCAGGATTACACAAATCCACAGCAGTAGGGTTAAGGTTCGTTCAGCCCTAGGTATACAGAATTAGTACTTGAACCCAGGTCTTCTGACTCCAAGTTCTATGCTCTTAATATACTTTGCCGCTTGCACAATATAATGGAATAGCATATGGAATTGCACCTTGTTTACAAGGTAAGCTTTTATCTTTGCAATCTTATCAGCAAAACCTAAGCATTTGTGGCAGACTACTCTTGTTTAATATCTCTCTATTATGTGAACTTTTAAAGCTGTAGTGGGTTTTAGTTTTGCTTTGACAGGAAGAATGACACAAAAGATCTGTAAATTAAATTTTTTTTAAATATTTGCAGTGTGGAGCGTTATGATCCAAGTAAGGACTCCTGGGAGATGGTTGCATCCATGGCAGATAAAAGGATTCACTTTGGCGTGGGTGTCATGCTAGGCTTTATTTTTGTGGTGGGTGGACATAATGGAGTCTCACATTTGTCCAGCATTGAAAGATACGATCCTCATCAAAATCAGTGGACTGTGTGTAGACCAATGAAAGAACCTAGAACAGGTAATAAGAATTTATTAATTTCTAAACATGTAAGGCAATGTTTTCTATAATGATGTGCTTGCAATAATAGTTCCTTGGAATATAGCAGTAGGAATATTACTTGTCCAGAAAAAAAAAAAAAAAGACTTGTATGTGGTAAACTTGAAAGACAATTAGCTAGACAAAAGTATATAGATTTCTTTATTGTGACTTTTATATGCCAATGTGCATATTATTGTTTCTCAAACTTGCTGAATACATTTTGGGAAATGCTTATACTAGAGTGTGTATTTATAGAAGCTCCTTTTGTCCATGTAACAAATGTCATCTTTTCATATGTTACATACATACAATCCTCGGATTGTTCTGTTTTGTTTTCTATTGTATATCAGTAATCTGTATGTTCACTTTCAAATGTTCTTTCTTCCCCAGGGGGTATAGTTGATCAAAAAGGGTTGTATTTCAGAGTTCGTAGAAACAAAACAAATCCACTTTTGTGGTTTAGGAAAAATTGTTATCTTTGAACTCAAACTCATCACATCATTTTAAGGGAAAGGTTTTAAGATACTGACAGAAATGCTTTAGGGAGCACTCCTCATACAGATTGAATATTTCCTATCCAAAATGCTTAGGACCAGAAGTGTTTCAGGTTTTGGATTTGGGATTTTGGAATATTTGAATTATGCTTACCAGGTTGATCATGCCAAGTTCAAAAATCTAAAGTGTGAAATGCTTAAGTGAACACTTTCTTTGAGCATCATATGGTGCTCAAAAAGTTTCAGATGTTGGGCCAGGCACGGTGTGGCTCACACCTGTAATCCTAGCACTTTGGGAGGCCGAAGTGGGAGGATCACTTGAGGTCAGGAGTTCAAGACCAGCCTGGGCAACATGTTGAAACCCCATCTCTACTAAAAATGAAAAATTAGCCTGGTGCGGTGGCACATGCCTGTAGTGTCAGCTACTCGGGAGGCTGAGGCATGAGAATCGCTAGAACCGAGATCGCGCCACTGCACTCTAGCCTGGGAGACAGAGCAAGACTCCATCTCAAAAAAAAAAGTTTCAAATGTTGGAGCACTTTGGATTTCATATTTTTTGGGTATTGGATGTTCAACCTATATTTATGATTAAAGAACCTTTTGAAACAAACATGCAAGAGAAACTGAAAAGACAAGCTGAAATGAACTGTTTTAGTGTTTACTATAATTTGTTTCTTTTGTATCCTTGAGAGGGAAAGCCACAGAAACAATGAGAACTTTAAAAATTGGAGTAAACTGTTTCTTTTTAGAACTATATAAGATAATATCTAAAGTAGAATTTTTAGAAGCATAAATTATGTCATTTAATATATTTTAAATATTTCAATGTATTTGAAAACCTCATAAAATGATTTTTCTAGAATGAAATGAAATTAAAAAAAAATAGCCTATGGAAAGATATATACTCCATTTTCCTGTAGTGAAGGGAAAGGAAGAGTAGGATTAGAGAGGAGAGGTAAAGGAAGACTTCAACTCTTGCTTTTATTTATTTTATTTCAGTGTCTAGACAGGGTCCTAGGCTGTCGAGCCAGGCAGGAGTGCAGTGGAACAGTCATAGCTCACCGCTGCCTCAAACTTTTGGCCTCCAGCCATCCTCTCACCTCAGTAACTCTTACTTTTATTATAAGGATTTTGTTTTTCCATCAAGCTCATATTGCTCCAGTAGGCCCCCCATACCCACAGGAGATATATATTCCAAGACCCCCAGTGGACTGAAACTGCAGATAGTACCAAACCCTATATATGTAATATTTTTTCCTATACATATATATCTATGATAAGGTTTAGTTTGTAAATTAGGCGCAGTAAGAGATTAGCAACAACAATAATAGAATAGAACAATTGTAACAATATATTGTAATAAAAGTTATGTGGATGTGGTCTCCCTCAAAATATCTTACTGTACAGTACTCCCTATTTTCTAGTCATGGTTGACTTCAGGTAACTGAAAGCATGGAAAGCAAAAACTCAGATAAAGGGAGGACTACTGTATATTGCCTGTATAATTAATAATAGATTGTTAAAATGTATTTTAATAAAACATTAAAATACAAATTTATTTTTAGTGAGAAAAAGTATACTTCATGGTTAACATGTTTCTATCTTCTTTTTGCCAACCTTTCCTAGGAGTTGGTGCTGCTGTAATCGATAACTACCTTTATGTCGTCGGTGGTCACTCAGGGTCTTCCTATCTGAATACAGTGCAGAAATATGATCCTATCTCAGATACGTGGCTGGATTCAGCTGGCATGATATACTGTCGCTGCAACTTTGGGTTAACTGCACTTTGACAAATGTGAACTCTCGGAAATAGTATGGTGGTGAAACTTGTACTGCATGAACATCCGGATGGCCCAGTTTTCTGAAACCCACAAGCTGCATTGCTTTCTTTTTAACTTGAAGTAGCATGAAGGCTCAAAAGTTTTGTTGGGTACTTTTAATTGAGAAGTAGTTTTGGTTGCTCTTGATTACACAGTAAATCAATAATCAAAAAGAAAAAAGAGAAAAAAAAAAAGTAAAGACTTTGCCAATTGAATTCTGCACTTTTTCCCCCAAGACTGAGATGTACTAGTTTTATGTTCATAAGTGTACATGTAGACAAAACGTGGCTGCTTTTTTTTTTTTTTTTTTTTTATTTTAGCTCTCCTTCCCTGATAACCATGATTTTCTAGGATGAGCGATGCTTTAGGTGCTGGAGTGTATTGAATGAATGGACAGAGTGCTGATACTGCTTCTTGGATGTAAATGCTTCACATTTTTCATTTGTTTTAAAACAAACAAAGGGCTGCTTTTTATTTTGGTACTTTTAAAGGTTGTAAATAACATGCCAATAGGTAGTCATCTGAATACTTTCCTGCTAAATGGTTTTAGGGCTACGGATGTAATAAATTTTTAAGACAATTGCTTTTATTATCATGATATTTGGGGCCCTATTTTAGGAAATCAGATATTTACTGTTTATGCCTTTTGTATATGGGCAGGTTAACGTTGGATGAATTTAATTACCTATCTATGCTATGGTTAGCATGGATAGGAGTTTAAGCATATCAGGTGTTTCAGTTTTTCTTCAGTAGTACAGCAGGCCTCCCAGTGCTGATGTAAATATTTGAGCAGTGTTTAGTACCATTCTTAGTGCATATTAATTTTTTTATATATCCTTATAATTTTAGTTTTTTAAGATCTTTGCTTTTTCAAAGTGTTCAGATATAAAATGGTGCTAACTGTAGGATTTATAACAAGGCTATAACTGATGTCCTTTTGGATGTTCAGTATGAGATATGCATGACATGTTTTGATAGTCTTTTGCATTTTTAATGGCTTGATTCATTTGTGCTTATTAAAAATGTTAGTGATTACGCCAATGTTAACATCCAAAAATCATCAGAATGGCCTGTGTTATGCTTTTCATGGTTCCTGAATAGTGATTTAAAGAAAGTTACACTTTTGATCTTCTTTCTTCTTGTGCTAGATATTACATGTCTTTCTTAAAAACAGAAATATATGCATTAAATATAAAGCACTAGGCAGTTATGCATTACTTTGTACATTTCTTAGGTAACTGAATATTTTAAGGTTATTGAGGAAAACTGGAACTCGATGTTTACTTGAGTAATAGTTCTAAGTTGAGTTCTACTTTGATTAAAGAAATGATCTTTTAAAGCAAAATTGTTTGCTGTAGCCAGTGACAGCTTATTTAAAGAAAGTGTTTAACTTATTTGATTTTAGCATGTTTTAGTAAATGTCTGTTAGTCTTAAACACATTCACTTGCATTTTATTATTATGTCGGTACTTGTATTTTGGAACTGTAGTCATTTGATTTTCTTTTCCTTGATTTTTTTTAAACCTGTTTGCGATCTCCTTATAAAGTCTCTGCAAGATAATTTTTCTTAAGAAAAAAATTCATATTATATTCTTAAGTGCCATAATGTTCTAGACTATTGTTAAGAAGCCATTTGTAATTATAAAACATAGGTTCATTTGTTAGTATATATGTTTATTTCTTGAATACTATAGCCGGGCAATTTACAGTTCTTTGTTCTTCCATAAACTGCCAGTTGTAGATTTGAATATATACTACAAAACTATGTAAAATCATTTTTAATCATAAATGTAGTATCATGCTTTATGAATATTTGCACAGATTATAAAACCTTGCAAGTGATTTTTAGTCTCTTCTAATTTAGAACTCAACAGGAGCAACTAATAACAATTGATAGTCTGAGTATTTTCTATGTTGCTTGTCTGAATAACATAATAATATATAGCAATAACTTTTTCATTGATTTGAATAAATCTATTGCATAGAAATAGGTGCACTATTGTAGTTGGCCCAGACTTTATTTAAAGAAAAGCAGTTTAAAATAGATTCATCACATATTTAGTTTTAAATCCCCAATTCAGTTTTCTTTGTTTATAGCAATCAAATTATTAAATATATCCTATTATACTATTTTTAATCCCCTATTCCCAAAAGATAAGGGAATTTGAAAGACTGTGGAAAATGATTTTAGGACGGGCGCAGTGGCTCACGCCTGTAATCCCAGCACTTGGAGAGGCCAAGGCGGGTATATCACCTGAGGTCAGGAGTTCGAGACCAGCCTGGCCAACATGGTGAAACCCCGTCTCTACTAAAAATACAAAAAATTAGCTGGGCATTGTGGCAGGTACCTGTAATCCCAGCTACTTGGGAGGCTGAGGCAGGAGAATCACTTGAACCCAGGAGGCAGAGGTTGCAGTGAGCCGAGCTTGCACCATTGCACTCCAGCCTGGGCAACAAGAGTGAAACTCCACCTCAAAAAAAAAAAAAGATTTTAATTATAAACACATCTATTCTATACATTGTATTTTAACAATATTTTACTCATGTATCATCTCCACTATCAAATTAGTGTATAATCATTTGGTAAATTAGATCAAAAACATATACTGGTCATTGTTTTTGAAAAATCTAAATTTCATCTTGATGAAGACTAAATGTGAAATATCTTGGGCAGTAGTAGTAGGAGCCATACACCAGTGAACAAATTATGAAAATCTGTGAAAGGAAGAGGAAAAATGTTCAAAATTTAGAAGTATATTTATTTTAGGATTGCTTAACCTACTGTATTATTCGTAACAACCAGAGCTACTAATCTGACCTGACAACTAATATGTTTACATTAGCGCCTTCTTTTACAAATTTGTGAGAAGTTTCATTATGAACACTCTGCTGACAAATTGTGAATTTAAAGCCACATGTTTCTATGTTAAAAAGGATCAAAATGTTTGGTTATAAATCCTCAGGATTAAAAGTATTAGAAATAATTTTACATATTCAGGCAAGAAGAGAAAAGCTATTTAAGATTTCCCAGAAATATTTTGGAAAAGAGCAGCACTGGGAAATAGAAATTAATGTAATCAGTTGCAAGATACTTGCCTTCTATAATTATAACAACTTAATCTGTTAGGCACCTTTGGCTATTCAATAATCATTGGATGTTGTAATAGAATGTAAGTGGCTTTTAATGTAGCTCCAAGGATATTTATAAATTGTGTTATTGCTGTTATTGTTTTAAATGTGAGTGAATATTAAATTATAGGAAGTGGTATCAAGTGATAGGAAAATGGCATTAGGTTTTGAAATTTTATTTTGATAATTTAACACATATGGAGGGTTTGCTATATGTATGAGATATTCTGTTAGATGCTGTGGGAGCTAGAGAGATATACTCTTTTTCACTCAAAGAGAGTAAAATATAGTGGGAGAGACCCTAATAACTATTTTGGTGAAGGATGAATCTAATTCCTTATCTCTGACATCGTAAGAAGTGATTAGAGACCTAGTTTATGCATAAGCAATTCCTTAGTGTCCAATTAGGTTTTATTGGCATGAAAAAGAAATATTAAAAAACCTAATATTTATAGAACTCCAAATCTCCTAGAATTGGATAATGTATTTTCTAGTAAGAAAACTATAGAAATTTTAAATATATATATTTCCTGTAGTATCAAGACTCTGGCTGACATTGAGAGAAATATATGTACATGTTGTGTTTATTTTCAGTTTTGGTGTTGGATTCCTGGTATTGTCACCTAAGTGCTCATTTTCAGGAAAATCAGATTCTACAATAAACACTTACTGCTTAAAGTTCAGTAAACTTGTGATAACCTCATAACCTCTGTAGTCTAAAAGTTAAGGAATTATAAGATGTCACATGTCAAGTTAACATCCAGTTCTACTTCTTAACCTTTTTTCCCTTTGTAAACAGCACTTTAATTAGACATGATTTAATTAGATAACAATTATTCCATGGCTGGATATGTACTGGATTTTCACTTACAGTACATTGATTTGGTGTTGATACACATTTGAAAAGAGTGAGGAATACAATACATTTTTAATACAATAGGTTTACAAATTTTCCTACTGGTGTGAATATGGAGTCAAATAAAAATCCAGTTTACATCTCTGCAGAGAGAAAAATTGTTATCCATATGTCTTTTATATTATACATCTTTACTAGAGATAACTTATTGTTAATTTTGTCAAGTTATGTGTAAGTCCCATTTATTTTTAAATACTAAGCAAAAAGTTCCAAGTTTGCCTTAAAATACAAGTGAAGTTAAAGAACTGGATGATAATGCCTATATTTTTGCCTTATGAATTGTGCTGTGTATTATAAACCAGCAACGGTTTTGATTTTAACAGGATTCTGAAATTTTGTAGCTGTAGAGTACTAATATTTGTACTCTCTTGCAAAGAATGTGATCTAGTTGTGGATTATGTTAGTTTAAATGTTTTTGTATATGTATTTTACCTCTGAACATGTACCTTTTTAGCATCAGGGTTTTATTTTATTTATGTTTACACACTAAAGTGTCATTTAACTAGTTAAGAATTGTATTCTTTTTTATTTTAAAGGTTATTTGTGTGTATCATTGTGGTAATGTTCTGTAATTATTATGGTTAAATTTCATTTAATGTAAAATGTTTAAAATAAAAATGAAAAATCTACTTTGTATATGTCATATGATAATTGTGAACTGAACCAAGCTAACTTTGTCATGCTCAGCTCTTAGGGTTTTATGCATAGATAGGTAGTAGCCATAGAGTAGCCACTCCTTTACATCTTCATTAGCAGGTTACAGTGAAAACATGTCTTAGGCCCGGCCTGGCTCAGTGGCTCACACCTGTAACCCCAGCACTTTTGGAGGCTGAGGCGGGCAGATCACCTGAGGTCAGTAGTTTGAGACCAGCCTGGCCAACATGCTGAAACCCCGTCTCTACTAAAAATACAAAAATTAGCTGGGCATGTTGGCGTATGCCTGTAATTCCAGCTACTTAGGAGGCTGAGGCAGGGGAATCGCTTGAACCTGGGAGGCAGAGGTTGCAGTGAGCCGAGATGGCGCCATTGCATTCCAGCCTGGACAACAGAGCAAGACTCCATCTCAAAAAAAAAAAGAAAATATGTCATAGGCCAAATTCTGCCACACATTCAGACGTTTACTAAAGAAACATTCATAAGTATAACAGGAGTAAAAGTGTTCAGTAAGCCCATTGCAGTCCCAGCTTTCTGTTCTTTTAGATTCTCTAACCAGCCTTTTAAGAAAGGTTTACTCGAGGCAGACATAGTAATATCCAAGAGGATTTCATTACTTTTATGGTCAGCATCGGGTAACCAGCAATCAAAGAAACAAGCAGTTGAGACTTGGGTGCCTTTTCTTAGGAAGTGGCAAATTACAGGCCTGAATGGATTCAGTCTTTATGAGTAAAAGTAACTTTCCTTTTTTCTTTTTTTTTTGAGATAGTCTCACTTTGTTGCACAGGCTAGAGTGCAGTGGCAGTGGCACAGTCTTGGCCACTCACTGCAGCCTCCATTTCTTGGACTCAAATGATCCTACTGCCTCAGCCTCCTGAGTAGCTGGAAGTACAGGTGTGGGCCACCACCTGGCTAATTTTTTTAATTTTTATTTTGTAGAGATGAGGTCTCGCTATGTTGGCCAGGGTGTTCTGGAACTCCTTGCCTCAAGTCATCCTCCCACCTCGGCCTCTGAAAGTGCTGGATTTCTGGATTTATAGGCAAGAGCCACCATGCCAGGTCAAGAGCAACTTTTTGATATTGTAGTCGATGAGCCACTTCCCCAAGAAATGCTCCCGACATTTAATATGCTAATTAACAAAGCATTGGATACTGATTAGATTATGGATAGATAACAGGAGTACTTGAAGTTGCTTTCAGCATGAATTTCCTAGATAGAATGCTAGCTAGCCACCTGTTAACTCCAGTCTTTTAAAAAATTATAAAAATAATTTGCTATGATACATAATAGTTGTACATACTTATGGGGTACGGATGGTATTTTGATACAAAATATGCAGTGATCAAATGGGTAACTGGGGTATCCATCACCCCAAACGTTTATCACTTGTGTTAGGAACATTCCAATTCTACTCTTTTCGTTATTTTGAAATATGCAATAAATTAATGTTAACTATAGTTTCCCTATTGTGCTACCGAACACTAGATTTTTTTTAAAAAAAAAATTATTTTATTATAAGTTCCAGGATACATGTGGAAGACCTCAGGTTTGTTACATTTGTAAACGTGTACCATGGTGGTTTACTGCACCTATTAACACATCACCTAGGTATTAAGCTCCACATGCGTTAGTTACTTATCCTGATGCTCTCCCTTCCTTTGTCCCCCCCCACAGGCCCCGTGTGTGTTGCCAAACACTAGGTCTTATTCCATTTAACTGTATTTTTGTACCCATTAACCATCCCCTCTTTTCCCTTTTCCCCACTACCCTTCCCAGTCTCTGGTAATCATCATTCTATTCTCTTCCTCCATGAGTTCAAGTTTTTATTGCTCCTATATGAGTGAGGGCGTGCAATATTTGTCTGGCTTATTTCACTTAACATAATGTCCTTCATTTCTATCCTATTGCTTCAGATGACAGGATTTTATTCTTTTTATGGCTGAATAGTCCATTGTACATATGTACCACATTTTATCCATTCAACCACTGATGCACACTTAGATTGATTCTGTATCTTGGCTATTGTGACTAGTGCTGCAATCAACATGGGAGTGCAGACATCTTTTTGATACACTGATTGCCTTTCTTTTGATATTAAGGACGTCAACTGCATTCTTGATGAGAGCAACTCCTAGAGTTGAAGTTGGAACTTAACAGACATATCCTGAAGTGTTTAAAATGTATTATAGATGACACAGAAAATGTAAATAATGCATTTTGAATGGAGTACACATTAAAATATTGAAATTGAGATTTCTTGGCCACATAGATGCTTTTTTAGTTTTGCCTTTTTATTCTAATGCATGCAGAAATAGCTTTCACATTACCCAGAAGTCATTGTAAAATTGGTCAGCTGACAGTATTGAGAGTTTAGTATGTGTAAGACATGGTGGAAGGTGTAAAGGAGTTATTTAAAGGAGTTTAAAGACATATCCCACAATCCACTAGAGGAATGTAAAAGTCACCTCAGATTTTTTTCCCCCTGGAAGGGAGAATAGAGAAAAGTGCTAGTCTGGCAGAGGTCTAGTTATGTCTCTTGGGTTCTTTCATAAAATTACTAGATGGTCCTCTCCTTTGCGGCAGTAATAGGGGTGGAAGTTTCTTTTTCTTTTTTTTTTTTTTTCAGGCAAATAAGAAAAATGTTTATATTGTTGATTTTTTTTTCCTGCTGCAGTAGTTTTTTTTTTTTTACACTTTAAGTTTTAGGGTACATGTGCACAATGTGCAGGTTTGTTACATATGTATACATGTGCCATGTTGGTGTGCTGCACCCATTAACTCCTCATTTAGCATTAGGTATATCTCCTAATGCTATCCCTCCCCCCTCCCCCCACCACACAACAGTCCCCGATAGGGGTGGAAGTTTCAACTCTAATGTGGAAAACTGTGATGAGTAGATTTTAGGAGTCAGCAATAGACTGGTAATGGAATACAAAAAAAAACAAAACCCTCCAGTGCAGAGCCAGAACTCAAGTCTAGGAGTAAAATTGAGTGGTGTGATGAGAAGACAATATGTATTAGAACAGCTCAAGTGAGTTTTGATATGTCTTCCAGGCTTTTTATTTTTTTTCTTTTTAATAGAAATGAAACCTTCACACACCCATCTCCCAGCGTCAACTATTAATGACATTTTGCTAATCCTATTTCATCTATTCACTCCACTTTTGTTTTTGCTGGAATATTTTAAAGAAAATCCCAGACATCATGTGATATAACCAGTAAATAAATGAGGCTGCTTCTCTAACTGATAAGGACACTTTAAAATTTTATTCTAAAAATAACAAAAAACTTTTCTATAAGCCACACTAATATATTCACACTGAAAAGTTACTACTTTTGTTAATATTTAGTACCTAGTCTATATTCAAACTTCCATGATTATCTCAAAAATTTTTTTGATTACCATTGGTTGCTTTAATTCTGGGTCTAAATGAGGTTTATTCATTGTATTTGACTGTTATGTCTCTTAAATCCCTTTTAATCTCTACCAGTCACTACCTCTCACCCCCTTTTTTTCATGCCATGTATTTGTTGAGGAAATTAGGCCATTTGCCTAGTAGATTGCCCCACATGCTGGATTTAGTTTTTTTTTTTTTTTAATTGGTATAGGTGGATGTAGACTTTTGTTTAGATTCATGTTCTTTTTTTTTGTCAAGCATAATTGATGCAGTATATATTTCCTATTGCATTGCATCATAAGGTATATTATGTCTGGTTATCTCACTTTTAGTTATGTTAGGATTAATTTTTAGGCGTGAGTTTCAGGTGTTAACCTGATCCCTCCATTATCAAGTTCCCCATCAAACTCTCTCCTGATGGTTTTAGCGGCTCTTGATGGCCACAACTGGATCTGTTATTAGGTTGGTGCCAATGTAATTGTGCTTTTTGCCTTTTAAAGTAACGGCAAAGACCGCAGTTACTTTTGCACCAAACCTAATACTACATTAGGAGTTACAAATGGTGATTTTTCCAATTCTGTCATTTCTTCTGCATTTATTAGCTGGAATCCCATAAAGGAAAGCACTTCCTCATCCATCACTTATCTGGTTACTCTGAGATACATTATATACAAGAATGGCAGGGGAAAATGTTTAATTCATTCCTTTCTCAATCTTCAGAGTAATGAACTGCTGACCTAGCAACCTTCAACGATGATTAAGTATCATGAAACCAAAAATTTTTACGTATCTGTTTCAATACATGCATTTCAATTAATTGTCCATCTTAGTCCTGTGGATACCCACTAAGTTCCATTGAAAGTTTCCTTTCTTTTTTTAAGAAAAAGTACCAACAAATTATTAAATTATTTGAAATAATTTAAAATATTGTCAAATATACAGAAAAGTTGTTAAAACTCTTGTATACTTTTTCCAAGATTAACCAATTTTGAGCATTTGGCTTCATTTGTTTTTAGAATGTTTTCTCATTTTTTTCAAGCCATTTGAAAGTCAGTTGAATACATTATGTCCTTTTATGCTTTAATACTTCAGTGTATGTGTCTTAAGAAAAAAGATATTCTCTCCTGTAACCACAATTCAGGTATCAAATTCAGGTATCCTTGTGTTTTAGTTCTTTTACATTTTCTTCCCCAAATCCAGAATCACCTATTCCTTTAAGGGCCCATGATACCTTCTGCTAGGGAAAGGTATTTAGAGATCCCAGTATGGGTGCTAGGGGTGCTTTCTCATTTGTCCTTGCTTATAGGCTATTCAGTAGGCAGAGTCAGGAAATACTTTATTTTTTATTTTTTTAATT
Source organism: Homo sapiens (assembly GCF_000001405.40). NCBI lineage: Eukaryota > Metazoa > Chordata > Mammalia > Primates > Hominidae > Homo > Homo sapiens. The sequence continues at coordinate 44,919,542 of NC_000014.9, read as the reverse complement.
TTTAAGAGAGAGGTAAAGGGCTTTTACTTAAATGCTTTGATTTTAATATATCTTTTTTTTTTTTTTTTTTTTTTGAGACGGAGTCTCGCTGTCTCCCAGGCTGGAAGGCTGGAGTGCAGTGGCGCAAACTAGGCTCACTCCAATCCCTCCAAGCTCTGCCTCCTGGATTCATGCCATTCTCCTGCCTCAGCCTCCCGAGTAGCTGGGACTACAGGTGCCCACCACCACACCCGGCTAATTTTTTGTATTTTTAGTAGAAACGGGGTTTCACCCTGTTAGCCAGGATGGTCTCCATCTCCTGACCTCGTGATCCACCTGCCTTGGCCTCCCAAAGTGCTGGGATTACAGGCGTGAGCCACTGCGCCCGGCCATATATCTTTTTTTAGTCTGAAAATATTGGTCTAGCAACATTGACATAATTACCTATTTGATTTATCTTACAACATATGTATAATAGTTTCAAATTAGCAATACTGATATAGCTATAAATACTACCAATAAATAATAAGACCAAAAGTTAAGACTGTTATTATTCCATCCTTAAATTATATTTTACAAGGATGTATGATACGAACACTGGCTTTAGAGTCAAATGAAGTAATCCTTTTCTTTGGTTAATAACCTAATGAATGTATAGTTAGGTTATTTTGATTCAGCTTTTAATTTTTAGGGATATACTTTTTGATTTAATTTTTAATTACATATAATATTTACTTGACTCTAGAGTAGAAACTATATGACAAGATGCATTCACAGAAATTTTTTCTGCATTTTCATCTTTTCCACCATGTTCAGTTTATTTCTCTATAGGTAATAACTTTTATTAGATGTTGGTTTCATTGTTTCATTTTTAAAATAAAATACCATTTTCTCCATTTTCTTACAAAAAGGATAGCATACTACAAAAACACTTTTTTTCACTTAATATGTTCTGGAGATTTTTCCATATCAATATATTGAGATCATTCTTACTCTTTTTTACAGTTGCACAGCACTTTGCTGTGTGGATATACCATAGGTTTTTAACTAGTCTACTGATGGACATTTGAGTTGTTTTCAGACCGTTGCCTTTACAAATAATGAATGTGATGAACTGCCTTGTGCATTTGTCAAAATGGCTTTTTAGAAGTGGAATTGCTGGGCCAGGGTGGATGACATCAACATTGCTAGATCTTGTCCAGTTCTTCTAAAAGGTTGTTCCATTTTGCATACCTGTCGGCAATAGACAAGAGTGCCTTACAAGCTGTTTTGTTGTTGTTGTTTTGAGACACAGTCTCATTCTATTGCCCAGGCTGGAGTGCAGTGGTGCGATCTCGGCTCACTGCAACCTCCGCCTCCTGGGTTCCAGCGATTCTCGTGCCTCAGCCTACCAAGTAGCTGGGACCACAGGTGAGCACTACCACACCTGGCTAATTTTTGAATTTTTAGTAGAGACAGGGTTTCACCATGTTGCCCGGGCTGGTCTCAAACTCCTGACCTCAGGTGATCTGCCCACCTTGGCTTCCCAAAGTGCTGGGATTACAGATGTGAGCCACTGCACCTGGCCTTACAGGCTGTTTTTATTAGTCTCCCTACTTGGGCTTGTTAAAAGGTGTCAGCTGGCCTCAGGTTCATTTTGGCTTAAACTATGTCTAACATTAAAATATAGTTAAAGAATTGAAAAGCTTCTTATGCTTTAATGCACATCAAAAGCTGATTTAAATATCTTACTGAGTAAGGCAGGACGTAAATAAGGATGGACCAATCACTTTTGTCTCTGATCAGGAAAGAAGTCTTATAAAGTATATTCTTGTGTGTGCCCTGAGAAGAGTTAAGAATTTAAATAGGCAAGGGTCCTAGAATTTTATATAGAGTAGGTGGTTCCCACTGAATAGAGGAGTATGTCTGGGAAAAGTTTTATAGCCAGATTTTAAAAGACCAATATCATATATGTCTATATATACGTATATGTGTATGTCTATATATAGATATATGTGTATATCTATATATGTCTAAGACATATAGAAATATATATCAAAGTCATATATACACACACTATATGTGTATATATACATATGTACACACACTATATACGTATATACGCACATATATGGTGTATATACGTATATACACACACACAGTGCGTGTGTGCGTGTACACACACACAGTGCGTGTGTGCGTGTACACACACACAGTGCGTGTGTGTGTGTACACAGTGTATATATGTGTGTGTACATAGTGTATATATGTGTGTGTACACAGTGTATATATGTGTGTACACACAGTGTATATGTGTGTACACACACAGTGTATATATGTGAGTGTACACACAGTGTATATATGTACACACACAGTGTATATATGTGAGTGTACACACACATAGTGTATATATGTACACACACAGTGTATATATGTGAGTGTACACACACAGTGTATATATGTATGTGTACACACACATAGTGTATATATGTGTGTATACACACACATATATAGTGTATATATGTGTGTATATACACACACATATATAGTGTATTTATGTGTGTGTATATACACACACATATATAGTGCATATATGTGTGTGTATATACACACACATATATAGTGCGTATATGTGTGTGTATATACACACATATATAGTGCGTATATGTGTGTGTATACACACATATATAGTGCGTATATGTGTGTGTATACACACATATATAGTGCGTATATGTGTGTGTATACACATATATAGTGTGTATATGTGTGTGTATATACACACATATATAGTGTGTATATGTGTGTATACACACATATATAGTGTGTATATGTGTGTATACACACACATATATAGTGTGTATATGTGTGAATACACACATATATAGTGTGTATATGTGTGTGTATACACACATATATAGTGTGTATATGTGTGTGTATACACACATATATAGTGTGTATATGTGTGTGTGTATACACACATATATAGTGTGTATGTGTGTGTGTGTACACACATATATAGTGTGTATGTGTGTGTGTGTACACACATATATAGTGTGTATATGTGTGTGTGTGTACACACATATATAGTGTGTATATGTGTGTGTGTGTACACACATATATAGTGTGTATATGTGTGTGTGTGTACACACATATATAGTGTGTATATGTGTGTGTGTGTACACACATATATAGTGTGTATATGTGTGTGTGTGTACACACATATATAGTGTGTATATGTGTGTGTGTACACACATATATAGTGTGTATGTGTGTGTGTGTGTACACACATATATAGTGTGTATGTGTGTGTGTGTGTACACACATATATAGTGTGTGTGTGTGTGTGTACACACATATATAGTGTGTATATGTGTGTGTATATACACACATATATAGTGTGTATATGTGTGTGTATATACACACATATATAGTGTGTATATGTGTATGTATACATGGTGGTATCTTAGTTCATTTGGACTGCTGTAACAAAATACCATAAACTGAGTAGCTTATAAGCAACAGAAATTATTTCCCACAGTTCTGGAGGCTGGGAAGTCCAAGATAAAGGCAGATTTGGTTTCTGGTAAGAACACTTTTTTTCTGGTTCATAGGCGTAATCTTGCTATGCCTTCACATGGTAGTAGGAGTGTGGCATCTCTCTTGGGTCTTTTTTCTAAGGGCACTAATCCCATCCAGGAGGGCTCCACTGTCATGACCTAATTGCCTTGCCCCACCTCCTAATGCCATCATTTTGGGGATGAGAGTTTCAACATATGAATTGTGGGCAGACATAAACACTGAAGACTATGGTAGGGGGATAAACAATTTTGGATAGTATCTGGTGGTTAAATGGTTAAAGATTTTGAACAGGAACAATATGGGATATTTTACCATTTGATGTCTAGGAAACTTTATTCACTTTCTCTTCAAATTTTTGCTTTGCTTTGTTCTTGCATTTTAAACTAATTCATGTATTTAACTTTTTAAAACTATTTTTACATTGTAATTTGTTCTGTGATCTTCATTTCCACAGAAATACCAGCAATGGTTTTCAGCCAACAAACTTGAAATATTTGCATAGAATTTAATTTTCTGCAACAACACTACACACTAATTTGCTGTAATTTCTTAATAAAATATTGAAAGAGGAATCCATAATGGTAATGTTACTGGGTGGGAAGTTCTTAACTGTGAATTGTCCAGGTTCTTGGCGTGTTGAACAAAGAATTGAACAAAATACACAAAGTAACAAAAGAAAGAAACAACAAAAGACAAAGCAACAAAAGAATAGAGTAATGAAAACACAGATTCATTGTAGTGAAAGTACATTCCACAGACTGGGAATGGGCTTCAAGAGGCAGCTCAAGAGTCCCGCTACTGAAATGCTCCCCAAGGTTTTTATAAAGCCAAAAGAACATGGGCAACACCCCTACATAACATTTGGAGGCCTCCAGTTGGTTACACCCTATGAAGGATTGGCCTACGACCAACCAGAGGCTGAAGTGGAGGCTTGCCCTGCAGTCAATCACAGATTGAAGCGGAAACTTCTGTCTTGTTATCACAGGAGCCAAGATGTAGCCTGTATGCTGCCTAATCTTGCCTAGAACTATCTGCGCCTGCTGTTCTTTTGCTTATGCATTAACCCTTGGTTACCCTAATTCCCTATTCTCCTGCCTCAGCAGCTAGCACTTTCATAGTGCTTACTATGTGTCAGGCAGTAAGTGCTATATATAGTAATTCATTTAATCCTCACTACAACCTTATGAGATATATTCTAGTATTATCTCCACTTTACAGTGAGGAAACAAATAGGTTAAGTCACATGCCCAAAGCTACACAGCCCATGACTGAGCCTGGATTTGAATCCAGGCAATCTAACTTCAAAATCCGGATTTAACTGCCATATTCTTGCCTTTCCTCGACAGCCTGAAAACACAATCAATCAAGAACTAATGATAAAAGAGATAATTCATTGATCATATAGCATGATTCACTTAGTCTGCAAATCCAGTCTTTTTCCTGGGTGAAAAAGGACAATCCTAAATTAGGTCTTCTGGCATTTTATAAGCTTGCTGAGGATAAAATTCCTAAGCCTTCTCAAAAAGAGAGCTGAAGGAAGAGGGGGAAATTTCAGAAGCCATGAGGGTTGGGAGGAAATAGGTGAAGAAACCCCAGGGGTCAGTTTACAAATAATATTTTAGCGGGAATGTTGGCAGAGAGCACAGCCAACTTTATCAAACGCATCTTGGTTGTATATTTCCCCCGACTTATGAGTAGGTAGTATCACAGAACAGAAGGAAAATTTGCTCGCATCACCCAAATTATAAAGTAAGTTAATAGCTGGTCGTGGTGGCTCACACCTGTAATCCCAGCACTTTGGAAGGCAAAGGCGGGTAGTTCACTTGAGGTCAGGAGTTTGAAACCAGCCTAGCCAACAGTACAATTTTTGTACTAAAAATACTAAAACACAAAATACAAAATACTAAAAATAAAAAAATTAGCCAGGCATGGTGGCACATGCCTGTAGTCCCAGCTACTCGAGAGGCTGAGGCAGGAGAATGGCTTGAACCCGGGAGGCAGAGGTTGCAGTGAGCTGCGCCATTGCACTCCAGCCTGGGCAACAGAGCGAGACTCTGTCACACATACACACACTAAAAGTAGGTGAATACTTTTAAGGCCAAAAAAGTTCAGGTATTGTTTTCTCTCCAGGTCCTTTACATTCTATGCCGTGGAGCTTCTACCACCTAGTGTTTTTGAAGAATACTGCAGGAGCTGGGAATCAGTCCTTTTCCTTCAGAATTCCAGCGGACATTTACCAAGTGCTTAAAGAAGGCCCGGCGGGGCGCAAGGGCTCACGCCTGTATAATCCCAGCACTTTTTAACGCCGAGGCGGGTGGATCAACTGGAGGCTAGCGTTTCGAGACCAACCTGGCCAACATGGTGAAACCCCATCTCTACTAAAACACAAAAAAATTAGCCAGGCATGGTGGCGAGCCCCTGCAGTCCCAGCTACTCGGAAGGCTTGAGCCCGAAAATTGCTTGAGCGCGGGAGGCGGAGGTTGCAGTGAACCGAGATTGCACCACTGCACTCCAGCCTGGGCCACAGAGCCAGACTCTGTCTCAAAATACTACTACCACTACTACTACTACCACTACTACTACTACTAGTAAAGAAGGCTTATCCCAAGTGACCCTCTCACATATTCCCTATTATCAGAAAGAGAAAAAAATTGAGGTTAATTTGTGTGGATTACTTTAGCTGTGACATATTTTCTTAAAATTTGAAGGTGTTTGAAAATTTTTTATCTTTAAATGTAAGGCTTATAGCATTCTAGTAGAAATAATGGCAGTTAGGCTTTGGGGGTAGAAGAAATAGTACTGTGTCCGGAGTTGGTGGGTTCCTGGTGTTGCTGGTTTCAGGACTGAAGCTGCAAACCTTCATGGTAAGTGTTAGAGCCCATAAAGGCAGCACGGACCCAAAAAGCGAGCAACAGGAAGATTACTGCAAACTGCAAAAAAACAAAATTTCCACAGCCTGGAAGAGGACAAAAACCAGCTGCCTGCTTTTATTCCCTTATCTGACCCCACCCACATCCTGCTGATTGGTCTATTTTACAGAGAGCTGATTGGCCCATTTTACAGAGAGCTGATTGGCCCATTTTACAGAGAGCTGATTGGCCCATTTTGACAGGGTGCTGATTGGTGCGTTTACAAACCTTGAGCGAGACACAGAGTACTGATTGGTGCATTTATAATCCTTTAGCTAGACAAGGAAGTTCTCCAAGTCCCCACTAGATTAGCTAGACACAGAGCACTGATTGGTGCGTTTACAAACTTTGAGCTAGACACAGGGTGCTGATTGGTGCGTTTACAAACCTTGAGATAGACACAAAGTGCTGATTGGTGCATTTACAAACCTTTAGCTAGACATAAAAGTTCTCCAAGTGCCCACCCCACTCAGGAACCCAGCTGGCTTCCCTAGTGGGTCTGGTGTAGGTCCGCTGGCGGAGCTGCCAGCCGGACACACGCCCCACGCCCGCACTTCTCAGCCCTTCCGCGGTCCATGGGTCCGGCCGTCGTGGAGCAGGGGGCGGCGCCCGTCGGGGAGGCTCCAGCCGCGCGGGAGCCAACGGTGAGGGGGCTCAAGCATGGTGGGCTGCAGGTCCCGAGCCTTGCCCTGCGGGGAGGCGGGTGAGGCGCGGCGAGAATTCGATCGCGGCGCGGGCGGGCCTGCCGTGCTGGGGGAGCCGGGGCACCCTCCGCAGCTGCTGGCCCCGGTGCTAAGCCCCTTACTGCTGGTGGCCGGTGGCGCGGCCGGCCGCTCCGAGTGCGGGCCCGCCTAGCCCAGCGCCCACCCGGAACCGGCGCCGGCCCGTGAGCACCGCGTGCAGCACCGGCTCCCGCCCGCGCCTTTCTCTCCACACCTCCCTGCGAGGAGAGGGAGCCGGCTGCGGCCTCGGCCAGTCCCATAGTGGGACCCCTCCAGCGCAGCGGACGGCTGAAGGGGTCCTTGAGCGCGGCCACTGCTTGAGCGCGGCCAGAGTGGACGCCGAGGCCGAGGAGGCGCGGAGAGAGAGCGAGGACTGCTAGCACGTTGTCACCTCTCAGTACTATATAATTGTCTTTGAAATAGTACTCTGTAATTGTAGAGGTAGAGGAAATAGTACTGTATAATTGTCTTTGAAATCACAAGCTGAAGAATCTGTAATCTTTTTCCTTTACAGATCTCCTCCGGGAGTGGTGGGCAGCTACTGTGAAAGGCCTGGTTCAAAAACCTCACAGCGGTTGTTTTCAGAGTTGTCCCTCCTGTGTACTCTCAAAGCCCCAGGTACCTACCCTGCCATAGTATTTCGTTTTATACTGTCATCATTGTTTTACTCATTTTTCTCCCGCTGTAGGCATGTATACTCTTCCAGGGCTGAAAGCATATCTAATTCAAGTAGCAAATGGTAGATACTCAATAAGTATATATTAAATGAATGCTGCAGAGAAAATATGTCTGATATTACCTTGTTCTAGTTTGCAGCCCCCAAATCAAACCTAGCCTGCTTGGGAAAGGATTTTCCTAGCTGGTGGGCCATTTTCTCCAAGCCTTAACCTGGTCTCTTCTTAACTTGAGCTCAGGTCAGCTCTCTTGTGTTTTTTCTCCTTCCCAATCCCTTTCCACTGCCCTAAAATTCTCATATGTTGGGTATGCGGAGATACTTACTGTATCTGCTTCTCTCCTCTTCAAAAACTCTCTCAGATTTTGTCCACCCTGCCCTTAAAGCTAATTACGTTGAGTGTATTTTAATCTTTCTTTGTTACAACTCTGTATTAGGTTAACAGGAAAACAGAAAGTCTATTTGGTTGTATCTATTTGGGGACAATTTATTCCATCCTGGTCTTGCTTCCAAACTTCAGCACCCGGGATACTATGATTAAGATGTAGGTAGAGGATTGTAAAGGAATGATATCCTTTGTAAAATAAAAGAATGAGTTATTGAAGGTTTAAGAAGACAAATGTTTTTGAAAGCAAGTGTCCGGGTGAAAAGAAATGCCTGAACAGGTGGCCACAGCTGTTTTCCTGAGTCTTACTTTCCTCTTGGAGTTTTGTCATGTTAATTATCTCTATCACCACTATGCTGGCCTCCAGGAGTATACACTTCTTCCTTCCAAGCCCTAACTCCTTGGTTCTTGGTTCTCTTCAGTACTGTAGAGCCATGCTAGACTTTCCAAAAAGTCTTTACCAGTGTGAGCCAATCACTGGATTATGTAATCATAATTGTGTAAATTATGGATGGAAGAAATGATGGTGGAGAAGTTATGGATGACCTTTATTTTCTTCTTCAAACTTCTTTTGTATTACTGATTTACATATTATTTTATATTCATATTGCGAAATGAGTGTTTATAAAATTCAAAGATAGGCCGGGCACGCTGGCTTACATGTGTAATCCCAGCACTTTGGGAGGCCGAGGCAGGTGGCTCACCTGAGGTCAGGAGTTTGAGACCAGCCTGGCCAACATGGTGAAACCCCGACTCTACTAAAAATACAAAAATTAGCCGGGCGTGGTGGCACTTACCTGTAATCTCAGCTACTTAGGAGGCTGAGGCAGGAGAATTGCTTGAATCCGGGAGGCGGAGGTTGCAGTGAGCCAAGATCATGCCACTGCACTTCAGCCTGGGCGACAGAGCAAAGCTCCGTCTCAAAAATAAATAGATAATAAATAAAATAAAACTCAAAGATAAAACAAGTAATGAAAATCCATCCAACTTGTATAAATAGCAAGTTTCTGATTCTACTATGGCTAACTTGCCTACGCAGCTAATTTGCTCCCAAAGCTCCTGTTCCATTCCACACCCTTTTTGAGGTTCCTGCCGAAGCAGCTCACCTTTTCATTTTTAAGCAATATTCCTCCTGATACCTTGCAGAAGATCTTATTGAGAAAACAGTGGATAAACAATGGAACTGATTGCTCATTTGAGGATAAATAATCTAATTACATCCTCAGCATATAAAGAAATTATCTAGTTACAGATGGCTTCTTACTAACTTCCTCCCCCTCAGCTACAAGAGATAGAGTAAAAGGCTGTTTTCTCCCCAGGATCAAATTAAATTTGAGGTTAAAGGAGTGTCTTAGTTCATTTGTGCTGCTATAACAAAACACCTGAGATTTGGTAATTTATAAAGAAGAGAAATGTATTTCTTACAGTTCTGGAAGTTGGGAAAATTAAGATGGAGATGCCAGCATCTGATACGGGTTTTCTTGCTGCATTATCACATAGCAGGAGGAAAAAGGGCGAAAGGGTCAAACTCACTCTGTCAAGCCCATTACTGGCTGGGCACGGTGGCTCATGCCTATAATCCCAGCACTTTGGGAGGCTGAGGCAGGAGGATTACTTGAGCCCAGGAGTTTGAGACCAGCCTGGGAAACATACAGAGACCCTGTCTCCACAAAAAATTTTTTAAAATTAAGGGGATTTGGTGGTGCATGTCTGTAGTCCCAGCAACTTGGGAGGTTGAGGTGGGAGGATCACTTGAGCCCAGCAGGTTGAGGCTACAATAAGCCATGATTGTGCCGTGGCACTCCAGCCTGGGTGACACAGTGAAACCCTGTCTCAAAAAAAAAAAAAAAAAAAAGTCCATTTATAAGGGCAATTCATCTCACTCATGAGGGCAAAGCCTCCCCAAACCTCCCCAAACGTCCCAGCTCTCAGTACCACCACCATAGGGATTAAGCTCAATGTAAATTTTGAAAGGGAGACCATCATTCAGACCATAGCGAGGAGGCTGTCCAGGTGACCAGAGAGTGGAGCTTGGGCCAGTACGGTGGGATGTAGGAACCCCTGATAGTAAGACATTCAATTTAAGATCTTTGTATAAATGTCTCAATAAGATGAACTTTTAAAGCTATGAAGTTTTAGGGCAGAATAATTTGATGCTGATTTTAAATGCTAGGGCATCAACAAAGGAAAAGGAGAAAATTTAAAAATTTTAAATGTTTGGTTTGGCTGTAGTTTAGTAATATTAATTACAATCATTTTATATGAATTCTTACCCTTTCTGCCTTATAGTACATTACAGTTATTTTCTAATAATTAAACATCACTGAATCATTATAAAACTAAATTTCGGGCCGGGCACAGTGGCTCACGCCTGTAATCCCAGCACTTTGGGAGGCCAACGCGGGCAGATCACCTGAAATCGGGAGTTTGAGACCAGCCACCAACATGGAGAAACTCCGTCTCTACTGAAAATACAAAAATAGCCGGGTGTGGGTGGCGCCTGCCTGTAATCCCAGCTACTCCGGAGACTGAGGCAGGAGCATCATTTGAACCTGGGAGTCAGAGGTTGCAGTGAGCCAAGATGGTGCCATTGCACACCAACCTGGGCAACAGGAGCGAAACTCCATCTCAAAACAAACATAACTAAATTTTTCATATGCTCAACATGTACAGCTTTCCTTTTCTTTGCTTTTTTTTTTTTTTTTTTGAGACAGGTCTTGCTGTGTTACGCAGGCTGCTCCAGTGATCTCTGCTCCCTGCAACCTCCAACTCTTAGGCTCAAGCCATCCTCCCACCTCAGCCTCCTGAGTAACTGGCACTACAGGCAACAAGTGAACACCATCACACCTGACTGATTTTTGTATTTTTAGTAGAGATGGGGTCTCCCTGTGTTGCCCAGGGAACTCCTGAGTTCAAGTGATCCTCTCACCTCAGCCTCCCAAAGTGCTGGGATTACAGGCATGAGCCACGTGTCCTGCCATGTGTAGCTTTTTATGTGTGATAGTAGTCATCTGATTATATAGTTGTTTGCCCATACTTTAGGAAAGAAATAGAACATGGGACTCAGTCTAGTAGGCATGCCTGTGGTGGTCAGTTATCCTTTCTCTTCCTCTTTCATTGGATGGATTAGATCTAGTGACAGTTTAAACTAATAATTTATAAATTATTATAAACTACTTTGAAGGAATAAGATTATTTACAGAAGTTAAAGAAGAAACGGTTTCTTTTACTGAAGCTAGTTGAAGACTCCTTCTTAAATTTGCTTATTTGTTCTTTATGCCAGATTGCAGAAAAGGTTTTAAAATTATTTTTGCTGTCCCTGTAGGTATAGGAGTTGTTTGTGGTATTTTGATTAAAAATATATTCTGGGGCTGGGTGCGGTGGCTCGCACCTGTAATCCTAGCACTTTTGGGAGGCCGAGGCAGGTGGATCACCTGAGGTCAGGAGTTTGAGACCAGCCTGGCCAACATAGTGGAACCCCGTCTCTACTCAAAATACAAAAATTAGCCAGGTGTGGTGGCTGTGCGCCTGTAATCTGAGCTACGAGGCTGAGGTGGGAGAATCGCTTGAACCAGGGAGGCAGAGGCTGCAGTGAGCCAAGATGGAACCACTGCACTCCAGCCTGGGTGACAGTAAGACTCCATCTCAAAAAATAAAAAATAAAAGAAAAACAAAACCAAAACAAAAAAATATATAATCTGATTATTACCTCGTATCTTTAGCCCCCCCCCACCAGTAGATTATTCTGATTAAGGATGTTTATAGAACTACAAAGAATTTTCCATACCCTCACCTTCACATTCCGTAATCTATTTTAGTTAATTCTTTTTGATCCTTTTTCTATTCACTGTTTGGTCAGCAGGGGATAATTTCTTGTTTCTATCAACTGCTACCATAAAAATAAACTATCTGTTCTCCTCCTTAAGCCCCAACCTGGGGTCAAGAAGGCATACTGAATTTCCATTACACACTAAATATATTAGTGATATGAGCTACAGCCTAAGTAATTTTTTAAAATCTGCAAAGTTCAGTAGTTAGAGAAAATCTGGGAGCCTTGCCTGCAAATAAAAGAGGTAGAAAAATGTTTTTTTATTAGCATGTTCAAGGTAGTCAAGATTTTAACAAACATCTTAATCCTCACAACAACCCTGTGAGGTAGGTAAGTCATTGTTTCATGATAAACTAGTATTCCAAATAAAGTGCATTTCCTGAAAGAATAAATCTGCATTAGGAATAATTTTGTTAATGACACCATTTATGTTTACTGTAATATTTGTGTTATTGTATACTTCAGTTCATGCAATCAGGTGTCCCCAGAAAAGTTTACTCTAAATTAAATCCTAATCAGATACACTTGGGAAACTAAATAAATCTTGGGGTGAATTTTTTTTTTTTGTAAAATAAATCAGTTTGATATATAAACAAGAATTTTCATAGTATTTGCTAACGTGAGGCATTCTCAGTAATGTTTCACCCATATTTATCCATTCTTGGGTAAGTTTTCTCAACATGGCACCAAGCACTTTAGCAGTTCAGCAGATGGCAGTGATCTGTGCTGTCATGTAGGAGCTTCTAAATATATTGCAACTAATCTCAATCCCAAACCTGAAGTGAACTATTTATTGAAATGTAAACACTAAAATGGTGATAAATTTCAAAAAGTATTTTCCCTTGAGAATATTTTTTCCCTTAAGTTGCAAAAAGAAGAGTGACCTTAGGGTCTTTATAAAGAAACGTAATGTTCTGATAACTATAAAATCGTAATGATTTGTATTGCAAGTCAAAGCCGCATGCTATCAATCACTACTTACAAGGAAGCCAGTAGACATCACTCAAAATTTTAAGTATTCTTTTCTCTGTGTCAATATAAAACTTCACTAGGAAAAGAAGTATTTCCAGGCACGCATTTCCCCTTAAATATATATTTAAAGTGCATTTCTATTGCTAGTCCGACACTAGTAAACATCCAGTTGCCTAATATTGTTTATAGTTGTTTTATCTGCAAAATACATTAGAGCATTTCAAATTACATTTAATTATAAGATAAACATTTAAGATAGTTATATAATTTATTTGTAATAACGTGAATTAAGCTTGGAAGCTTAGCTATCACTTAAAATCCACTGGCAGGTTTATAATACTTTAGGAAGTAGTTAAAAGTAATTTGCCATTATAAAGAAATAGTTTAAGCTCTGAAAAATTTCTCAGACATTTTAAAAAATTGCTGCAGGGATACTAGGCAAATCGAACTAATAAACTAAGCCATCGATAAATTGTACATTCAAATCCATACTAGATCAAATAGTGCACTTTGGATTATAGTGAGGTAGGGCAAAGAAATACAGTCAGATATATTTTGAACTGTTAAATTATATAAACTTAAAATACTTTTACCTAGGTTTTACTCGAATATCCAAAAAGAAAAATTTAGAATTCAGATGACAAAGTATTTCTTGAATTCAAAGACAGAATTGTAAAAATCTTTGAGGTACATATAAATAAAAAATACAAAGGCCACAAGATATATTTTATTCCAACATAAAATATGCTCATATAAAAATAACTCAGGAAATATAAAAAAATTACAAACATTTTTGCACAGATCCTCTATATAAAACATTTACCTGGGGTTAAACACTGAAAATACACTTCTGAAACTAGTATAGTTGAACTATTTTCTTGGATACCAAGTATACACAAAATAAAAGCCCTTCATCTGGGAGAGCATGGGCAGGAGGGAAAACAACTTTTAGCATCAATCTATATTTATTTCTCTGTTGCTCGAATATAAACCAATGATGACAAGAGGAGAAACTCTGGGGGTTTATTTAACAAAATTAAATTCACATTTCTGAGCCCATCATAGTGCATCCAATGTCCACCAATCTGGAAAGCTGCAGAATAATGATGTTCCTCTTTGTTAAATAATGTGGCACCTTCCAACAAATACCTGCAAATTAAATAATATAGTATGAGAGAAAATTTAATACTTTGTTAAGATAAACATTCCTTAAATTCATAACTAAGGAATAAAAACATTGACATTGTTTGTATTCTGTTCCCTGAAAAAGATATCCATCTCTATAGATCATGTAATAAAATTGGAAATGTGGAAATTAAGAATTTCTTAAAAACATATTTTAACAGATGAACTTATAACCTGTATGTTTCTTTTAAAAAAGAGTAAACACGTAAGAAAACTTTTACAGGGAAAATGTTAAAAGAACCCTTTATTTCCTGATTTGTATGCAGATATTTTTATTTATAGTGACAAGTAACATTTTATGTTTAAATTATGACCACCTGCATACTACTACGAACTTCTCTGACTTGAAATACAAGTATTAGCCAGTATGTGTCAGGCACAAAATACTGTGCTATTATTATACTATCCAGTATTATGTGTCAGGTACTATCTTAAACACTTAGTATGTGCTTATTAAATCTTTACAATAATTGCACTAGGTTGATACCATCATCTGTGTTTTATAGATAAGAAAACTGACATGTAAACTGGTTAAGTTGTTGGCCCAAGGTTAACTTATAAAAGATGGGGCTAGGATTTGAACCCAATTCTGTCTATTCTGTAGTCCACACACCTACCCACTATGTGCACTGCTAGTAACTGACTCTCTGTAATAAATTCTGATTCTATTCAGAATACATAAATTTAGAGACAGATATGATTGTTTTCAACAATATCTCTTAAGGGCTAGTCAAAATCATAATATAACAGGATAAATTTTTTTTATTAGTTTTATAAAGAAACAACAACAAAAACACCTACTTGTGATCAGACAAATCCAAGTAATAGGGTACATACGCCAGATCTTCAGATTTCCAATGTTGCATATTTAAGACAACAAAAGGGGGTGCCCCATGGCAGAAAATTCGTTGGGAAAATTCTCTTAAGCCACCACACCTAAAATAGAAAACAGGCATGAACATTATTACACTTGGGACAAAGCTGGCTTTCAACACTTCAGAGTTGTCTTTATGACTTTAATTTTCTTATAATTATCTATTATAGGTGTAGGTAATGGTTAATACCTATAGTTATAGGGTAATTACTACCTTATATCACCTAATAGTTCCAGAAGTTTATAAGCTGTGTTCCTTACACTAGAAATGACACGTTTAAAACTCCAGGAAATGCTGGCTATTTCTGTATAAGCCTATGAAAGCATAACTCTGCAGAACTGATACAAACGCTTTTATATTTCACTCTATATGCTGGTTTCAAATAATGGCAGAGAGGGGAAAAATATGACTCTAATTGCTTCCTTTTGCCATTAGACTCGACTATAAGCATGAACAAATTGTTTCCTCATATTATGAGGTATTAAGTATATGGATCAGAATATAACATATTGAATTATACAGTAAAATCTTGATTAACCGGAATGCTCAGGGTACAGTATTCTGGTTAACAAACATTATTAACTAAACCAAATTAACCAGAAAACCATCTGTTTCAGTATTTGTTGCTACAATATATTCGTTCACTTTCTGGACTTAATAGGTACAATTAACAGAACATATTTTTACCTTTCCTTTTGTAATTAATCAGCAATAAGATCATCCTTCTAAATATTAATTCTCATTATACAATAATGTAGTCACAGAAAATTTTAAGAGATTGGGATGAATATGTTCTGCTTCTCTCAACTTTTACTAGGTTAAGTTTTTTAGTTGTCATTTACCTCTTTCTCCTAAATGGAGAGTGCAGAAAAAAATCCAGATAATTGAGGGTCCCAATTAGCTGGGTTCCAGTTAACCAAGGTTTTATTGTACCTACTCAGCAGTGGGGGGGGAAAAAAGAAAAGGTATTTGCTTTGTATTCATCAATCAGCTGTAGTACCATATTCTATGTAGTGATATACTCCGTAACAAAAACACTGTAAAATGTCATAGTAAACTAGGTTAATAAGATTCATAAAGTACTTCAAGGAGCACATCTGCCTAGGTTTCCTTATAAACACATACATACTGTCATTTTAAATGTCTATTGTATACTCACCCATGCTCTTCACACAGTTCAATCTTGGAACAGAATAACTCATTCACAGCCAGTCTTATCAAGTTTCCATGTGGAATTTCTTGGGGAGGACTATAATAATTATTAAATGCATGTAAGAACTGCTTCAACATTTTATATCTTAATATATTATAACAAATTTTACAGCTCAGTCCTTTATTAGCAAAACCAGTTATACCAAGTATAACCTTTATGACACATTCAGAATTTCTTGCAGATAGTATAGAAACCAGTTGAACTCAAACACTAATTATGAAATTTTCAAAGAAACATATTTTTGTATAAACAATCCTGATATATCCAGTTGCTGCTATGATAATTTAAAACATTTGTGAGAAGATTCAAAAGAGGCAATCTGGTCTCGTGGGAAGGAACTAGGACCCAGAATCAGAGGAGCAGCTGATTAGTTACCTGATTAAATGTAAGTAATAATCATTCTTGGCCTCAAGTACCTGATCCGTTAAAAAAAACTTTTTTTCTACATTACTTCAGAGGTTGCTTTAAATATAGGATTTTTTAAAAAGTAGGCAAAAACTTAAAAGTTATAGAGTATGATGAAAAATATTTTATTCAATAGTATAAAATATAGAATTATAAATATTTCATTATAGTTTCAAAATATTTACAGATGAAACTAGTTTTTAAAAAACAAGATATTAGGCTGGGTGTGGTGGCTCACGCCTGTAATCCCAGCACTTTGGGAAGCTGAGGTGGGTGAATCAGAAGTTTGAGACCAACCTGGGCAACACAGCAAGATCCTATCTCTAAAAAAAAATACAAAAATTAGCCGGGCATGGTGGTACATGCCCCTGGTGCCAGCTACTTGGGGGTGCTGAGACAGGAGGATCTCTTGAACCCAGGAAGTCAACGTTGCAGTGAGCTGTGATCACACCATTATACTTCAGCCTGGGAGATGGAGTGAGACCCTGTCTCAAAAAATAAAAAAATAAATAAAACATTAGCTGGGCATGGTGGCATATACCTGTAGTCCCAGCTACTGGAGAGGCTGAAGTAGTGAGCCATGAGGCAGGAGGATCACTTGAGCCCGGGAGTTCAAGGCTGCAGTGAGCTATGATCACTGCAACACTTCTGAGTTGTCTTTATGACTTGATAATTATTTCCATTGATTGATATTTCAAATTAGCAATGCAGGAAAATAGACAGTGTATTTCAGAGAAATGTAAGTTTAACAAATTAGGGTATGTGATATACATTTCCAAATGGGAACGATCTATCAGGCTGTTTTTCTGGACCATAGGGCCAAATACCTTTCTGCCAAAAATGCATTTGGGTCTGTTTTTCTTCCACTGGCAATTATCCCCTTTCCAGCTCATGTCCCTTGGAGGCTTTAACGTTTCCCAACACTCCACTAGGGCTTGCCAATTTGGACTTTGTCCCTATCATTTACCAGGTGGGAGATCTGCCTTTTCTCTGAAAGCCAAAAACACTCATCTGGCTCCTTGCACCTTTCCTAGTCAAAATAAAAGCTGCTTACATCCACATCCACATGTGAGATGCCAAGTTCTGGGTTTCTGTCTATAATTATGTCTTGGCCATAATATGAAAGGATGCTTTTAATTTTCTTGTTCATATGGAACTAGCCCTCCTGACAGAGACCTATTCAAAGGGTGAAACATTCCAAAACAGTATTAAGCGCTCTTAAAGAGGTTACATTTGTGACACTAAGAATCATCTATAGTCATATTAGTAAATTCAAGTAAGAGTAATATATTTTTCATACTGAATAATTCATTACTTTGCTACTGACAAGGTTATCAGCTGGTTTTGTAAAGTAATTATAAGATGTTTGGATGTAATAGGCTGTAACACTGTTTTCAGGGGACCTGCAGAAGAATCTTGCATTTCTGTGACTGCTTCATGCCTAAGTAATTATAAAGGCTCTGTACTTTAACAAATACTTTGGCAATATTGTCATTTGTCATCCAATGGGGACACATTCTGAGAAATGTATCCTTAGATGATTTCATAGTGTGTAAACATCCTAGAATGTGCTTACACAAAACTAGATGGTATAACCTTTTACACACCGAGGCTATATGGTAAAGCCTATTGCTCCTAGGCTACAAATCCATACAACATGTTACTATACTTAATTCTGTAGGCAATTTTAACAAAATGGTAAGTCTTTGTGTACCTAAACATAGAAAGGTATACTAAATATACAGTATCCTACAAACCAGCATGGCATATGTGGTCCTTTGTTGACCCAAATGTCATTATGGGGTACACGACTACATATCTAAAGCAACATTCATTAAAAAAAGTAAAAGTGACAAAACAGACGTTAGACCAACTTACTTTATATTAATTGTGCGCTGCTGATCCTCCTGCACTCGAGTTGGGCATCGCCAGTTGGAACAGTAACTCTCTTGAATGGTAGACATGAGATTTTCAAGATTTTTTGTAAAATTATCATGCTCATTCCCAAACAAATCAATTATTAATGAAGCTTTATGGACTTCAGATTTGTATTGCTGTTTTTCCATCTTGTCCCAAATCCAAAGTAGCTTCACAGTTGTAAAACTGTAGGTGTCCATTAAGTAAAGAAAACAGTCTACAAACTCTCTACCAAAATGAAGAGAGAGTTCCCTAGGGAAGTTTTCATTTTCATTAAGAATGACATATAATAACATCAAGAATCCATCTATGGTGCAGGTATTTTTCAGTCTTATTTCAACATAGAGTGGTGTACAGGATACTGCTTTGCGGCCAGCTTTGATAGTAAAAACACCCCCCCAAGGAAGAACAGGCCTACAAAATGATCGATCTTGGTTATAGTTATTTTTAATTGATGCTTTGATCTCTTCAAACAGTGTCTTCATCCTACATTTTAAAAGTTTAAAACAGAACACATAAAATTGTAACTTTGTATATTAAATGCATAATATGTTTAAACGAAAATAAATCCATCTAAAGACTCAAATCAAATGTGGTTATTAGGCCTCCCAACATAGCAAAAAAATTTAAATGAGCCACTTTTCGCGCACTATGCATGCTCTCTGGAAAGACCATTTAAGAAGCTGCAGTCTTTTTTTGAGGTACAGATGGCCATTTGATAGGCTTTATATTAATTACATTGCAGATTTTATCTGTGACAGAGGGAAACCCTGTAATAAAAAAAATCCTGAGGCTGGGCACGGTGGCTCACACCTGTAATCCCAGTACTTTGGGAGGCTGAGGCGGGCGATCACCTGAGGTCGGGCGTTCGAGACCAGCCTGACCAACATGGAGAAACCCTCTCTCTATTAAAAATACAAAATTAGCTGGGCGTGGTGGCGCATGCCTGTAATCCCAGCTACTCGGGAGGCTGAGGCAGGAGAATCGCTTGAACCTGGGAGGCGGAGGTTGCGGTGAGCCGAGATCACGCCATCTCATTCCAGCCTGGGCAACGAGTGAAACTCCATCTCAAAAAAAAAAAAAAAAAAAAAAAAAATTCCTAAATGAAAATAAAGCTATTAAAAACATTAACTTTGGTTAGGCATATTCCTAATGTAAACCTCCTCATCTTTCCAAAATACAGGCTGTGCTTGCTTCATTTTCTTGTTAATATGGGTGATTCCACTTAAGAAACTAATATAATGGGATCCTTAATTGGGGGTACAGAATAATAGCCATTACATAATCTTTATATTAACTATACTACATATTTTATTTGTTGTAGAGAAAAACTATGTAAAAAAAAAAACTCCTGTTGCTATATAGACTAAGACTAATTCTGACATTTAGCTTTGAAAGACAGCATGAGGAGTAATCATGAAAATCAATCTTAAGTGAATAGTAGCATAGCTAATATTGCTAATCACTTTGGGATTTTTATTTGCAACTGAGAATTGTGCTATTGTGCAATTTAGATATACTATAATTTTTAACTACAGAGGCTATACTATGAAGATCTGATTCAGAACTTGATAAATATCCTGATTATTCCCTATGCATGTTTTCAGAATGAAGCAAAGCATCCTCCCTTTTCAAACTGGCACTCTTCCCCAACCTTGAGGACCACTAGGCACTTTGTTTTTAAAGCCACAGTAAGTATTTTAATAAATATGTTGTGTTATATGTATGTTATATAGCGCACATACTTTTGAAAGAATGAGTTCTTTTTACAATTGTATTGAAAAAACTCCTTCACTTTACTTGGGACAAGCAAATAAACTAACAACATCATATTGTTTTCCGAGGTTACTTTTATGGAGAAGTATTGTTATGAAAAAAGGGAGGCATCTGAGGAGTGGAAACAGAGAAATGAGTGACTGAGATCAGTGTCTTATTTTGACCATCTTTTCCAAGTGCTGCATCCTCCCAAACACAACATGAACTCAACACTTAATAAAGCTGCAGTCCTACGTGTTTTATTTGTGTAAGAAACTAAGTCCAAAACATTCTGCAACGCGAGTAAAAATTCACTTCTGCAATATATTAAACACACATGAACACAGTGTTTTCAGTTTGAAGCAAGATACTGTGGACTCTAAAATATCCAGTAACTATATTTAGTATGAAGAGTGGATGTTTATATCTAGTTGGCCAACACATTGATTCTAGTCATCCACTTAGGAAGAAGAGGGTGTGGCAAATCTGCAGCCTAGGAAAACACAAACTCAGTTTCTTCGTAATAGATACTGATTCGTTTTGTTTACAAAGATTTTAAAAAACAGTTATGCATTCAAATACTTTAAAAACGAAAATAACTTTATGGTTTGATTTATTTCCGTTGAATTTTAAAGAACTTTGTAGCAAGGTTTAAGATTGCTTAAAGAGCCTGAGTTCGGATTCCTAAAATAGTGCATTGGGAAGGAAGCATAAATCTCTAGGATATTTTCTTCACATTATCTTCAGACATGACCAAATGAAGTGTAACTACCCTTACACTCTAAGAGAATTAAACTATAATGACATATGTGGCATGAAACTTTAGTCTTTCTCTGGAAAAAACGGGAGGAGGGAAGGTTTGGAAGAACTAGAGGATACTAGTTTCATCATGAATTTGGTGATTTGTTCCAAAGTAAATTGCAATAAAAATGAGGGGTGGGGAAAAATGATGGAAAGATAGCTGTGAAGAGCTTTACTTAAAATTGTCTTAGCTGTTTAGCTAGGAACTGTAATTAGAAGGACTGGAGGATGTATTCCGCTGGCTTTATTCTCCAGGCTCTACGGGCCCTCCAATTTGAATAAACCTGGAAAACTCTCCTGACCTCTATTTCTTTGACAAAACATCTTTCTTTCGTGGTGACTTCCAAGGGAGGAAATTGGTACCCCAAGCTAGCCGTGAGGACCCCACCACATGCCCAAGGCATTGAACGCCAGACTCCCTAAGGACTCAGGGATTCTAAAAGTCCCCTCTCAAATCAGCGCCTAAAATACGCCTGTACAGCCACGCGCTACCGCTCCCAGCAGCGCGGGACTTCGGGACAGGGACAAGGCGGACGCTAGGCGTGCGCCCCCGGGGAGCCCCCACGTTCCGGCCACGCCCACCCTGGCCCTGGGCAGCCGCGCCCGGGAGGCCTGGCACCGAGGCGGGCGGGTCCCCGAGTTAGGGGCCCGCGAGTCGGCTGGGCGCCCCCGCCTCTGCCCGGGCAGTGCCCCGCCGAGTGCTCAGAACTGCGGACAAATAGGCTGGAGGGCCGGGCCGCGGAAGGCGTTCCCACACCGGCCAGTCTCCGTCCACCAGGAAGCAAACTCCTCGTACCTCCCTGGGGACCGAAAACTGCCGGTGCCGCCGCACCCGTCGCCGCCGCCGCCTGCTCATGGAGAGCCCGGGCTGCCGCCGCCGCCGCCGCCGCCGCTGCCTCATCTATGAGTACCGCCGGCTGTCTCGGCCTCCCCCGGCGTGAGTTCTGGGCTCTGGCATGGCCTCCATGGCAGCCGCCGCGGCGGGAGCCACAGCAGCTCCAGCGCCCAGGCCCAATCTCACTGGACCCACGGAGCCAGGACAGTGGGACACGTCGCTTCTTATTACGGAGGAAGATTCGGCACGACCTCCGCCCCCCTCCCCCCAACCCCCCCGTTTTCAGCCGCCTGACAGCGCAGCTGCGCAGGCGCGAAGACGCCCCAGCCTAATGTGCGTGTGTCGGCTGTGTATACAGCATCCAGATTCGCCCAATGGGAACCAGGATCAGGTGTGGGGGGCGGGACCTCGCAGAGAGGGGCGGGGTTCCACTGGTAGAAGGTGGGTGGGGAAGCCGGAAGTGGGCAGAGTTTGCACGGAGGCGGAGCTTTATTGGCAAACCTGATTGGCTTTTTGAGGTTTGTACCATTTTAGGACTTGATTTTAGTTTGCTTCTGGGTCTTGTTTTCTCAAATTCTTAACCTAGAAAGAAAGCTTTGTTTTCTCAGTAAATTACGGTTTTTTAAGCGTTTAAGTATTTACTTAGAAAACAGTTGAATTGATCTGTTAAATGCCAGCTTTAGTGTTCAAGTTAATTATTGGCCAATATA
The DNA here is from genome assembly GCF_000001405.40 of Homo sapiens. Classification (NCBI taxonomy): domain Eukaryota; kingdom Metazoa; phylum Chordata; class Mammalia; order Primates; family Hominidae; genus Homo; species Homo sapiens. The sequence continues at coordinate 44,896,819 of NC_000014.9, read as the reverse complement.
CTGTAACTTACAGTGGAAGTTAACCCCATTTTGAAAAATTAGATTGTTTTAATTCCATTGTGAAGTTGAAAAAATTGGGTTTTGGAGATAATAAGGTCCCACACAGCAAGTGACGGAGCTGGAAATTACAGTTAGGACAACTTAATGCTAGTTTGTGGGCTCAACCACTATTTCTGTTTATTAGGGCCGAGTTTTTGTATCTCCCGTAAAGAAGCAAGGCCCTGTATGGCTCTGCATCTGGAGAACACAGGCCACCCTGCAAAAACTACCTCTCCTTGCAAGTAGGCATGGAGATCTGGTTGAGATTTTCCCCATCCAGCCTTTCAACAAATAATGAGGGTCTGGAAAGTTAGCTCTAACGTTCAGAACACGTGAGGGCTAATGAGAGAGCTCAAGGCTATCCTAGTAAATCAGTGTGGTTTTCCGTCACAGGCTGAGCCTGGGAGAGGCTGGATGCCTTCTTGACCGGTGTGATGGTCGGCCAAAGCTATGGAGGGGAACTTCCTCATGGATCTCTCTAAAAAAGTCTAGAAATGGAAGAGAGACTTCCATTTCTTGAGTTTTGGCTCTGCCCAAAAAAGAATAATTAATAGCTCTGGCAAAGCCTGCTCTTTTTAGTTTCCTGTTTTTTCTTATTTCTTATGGTATTTTATAGATGAGGAAACTGAGGCTCTTAGAGATAAACTAGTGTGTTGGAAAACTTGCAAAAAGTTCACTCTCAATATTAATCCTCTCCTACAGGTAGAAAAGCCCTTTAAAAATGTTTGTAAATGTGGATTATGTGTTTAATTATAAATCTCTCACAAGACATGGAGTTCATTTTATACTGATTAGGTCATTCTCTTCCTGAAAACAGCCATAGTATGGTGGATGACACCATTTCTGGAGAATAGTATTGAGATTGCTCATTAAACTCTGCCGAGTCTCAGCTAGATGGAGGAAGCATGGATTCCTTGAATACTTGGATAACTCACAAACATCACTGAGGCCTTTAACTGAAATTTCCATTCTGCATCTTTTCCACCGTCTTCAAAATCTGACATCTGAGTTGTAGGGTTTTTTTAGATATATTTACTGAAGTATAATTGGCATAGAATATATAGAGCATACTTAAAGTGTATAATTTTTATCAGTTTTGACATATGTATAACCCCTTAAACCATCACTGTGATCAAATGAGTATGCCCATCACACTTAAGTTTCTGCTTACCTACCGCCCCCCAACTCTGCCTTTTTTTTTTTTTTTTTTTTTTTTTTTTTTCAGAATCCTGATCTGTTACCCAGGCTGGAGTGCAGTGAATGATCTCGGCTTATTGCAACTTCCGCCTCCCAGGATCAAGAGTTTCTGGTATCTCAGCTTTCCGAGTAGCTGGGATTATAGACGTGCACCACCATGCCTAGCTAATTTTTGTATTTTTAGTAGAGGCAGAGTTTCACCATGTTGGCCAGGCTGGTCTCAAACTCCTGGCCTCAGGTGATCTGCCCACCTCGGCCTCCCAAAGTGCTGGGATTACAGGCGTGAGCCACCACACCTGGCCCTCATTCTCTTAGCAGTGTATTTTGAAGAGAAGTTTTAACTTTTAATAAAGTTTAATTTATTTATTATTTTATGGATTACATTTCTAGTGTTGTTTCTAAGAAATTTTTGCCTACCCCAAGCTCACAAAGAAATTTTCCTATGTTTTCTTATAAAAGTTTTATGTGTTCAAGCTGTACATTTAGATGTATGATGCATTGTAGTTAACTTTCTTATATAGTTTGAGGCATGTATCCAAGTTCATATTTGATGTATGGATACCCAGTCATCGCAGCAATTTTTTTTTTGAAAAGCCTGTACTTTTTCCACTGGGTTGCTTTTGTGCTTTTGTCAAAAATTAGTTGCGCAGCTTGGGCGCAGTAGCTCACGCCTGTAATCCCAGCAGTTTGGGAGGCCGAGGCGGGCGGATCACAAGATCAGGAGATCGAGACCATCCTGGCTAACATGGTGAAACCCCGTCTCTACTAAAAATATAAAAAATTAGCCGGGCATGGTGGCGGGTACCTGTAGTCCCAGCTACTTGGGAGGCTGAGGCAGGAGAATGGCGTGAACCAGGGGGGCGGAGCTTGCAGTGAGCCGAGATCACACCACTGCACTCCAGCCTGGGCGACAGAGCGAGTCTCCATCTAAACAAAAAAACAAAAACAAAAAAATTAGTTGCCCAATACCATTTTATAAACACTTTATTTATTTATTATCAATCATCAACCATATGTCACACAGTATGCTAGCAGTGGAGATATCAGTAAGTGTTCTTTGGTTGCAAAGACTGGAGACCAATATTGTTAATTTAAATAGGACATTTTTGGGGTTTTTTTTTGTTTTGTTTTGTTTTTTTTTTGAGACAGACTCTCGCTCTTTCGCCCAGGCCGGACTGCAGTGGCGCTATCTCGGCTCACTGCAAGCTCCGCCTCCCAGGTTCACGCCATTCTCCTGCCTCAGCCTCCCGAGTAGCTGGGATTACAGGCACCTGCCACTGTGCCCAGCTAATTTTTGTATTTTAAGTAGAGACGGGGTTTCACTGTGTTGGCCAGGCTGGTCTTGAATTCCTGACCTCAGGTGATTCACCCGCCTCAGCCTCCCAAAGTGCTGGGATTACAGGTGTGAGCCACTGCTCCCGGCCTTCTACTAGTCTCAATAAGTCCTCTTTAGAATTCAAATTATAATGCTCAGTTACATTACTAGTAAACTATTTTTAATCTCATTTTTCCAAAAGCTGAATTTTTGCTTTAAATCTATAAACTTTGTTGGTAGATGTTTAAAAAGGTCCAGACTCCACCACAACAGATAATCCAGTAATTATCCTGGGATGTAAAAATATCTGAAAAGATGAGAGGAAGACATTGATATCTGAACTTAAAGTTACAGAGCCTGTTTGGAGAGGCTATGTGACAGACACAACCAGCCCATAATTACCCCTCAATGAGAGGCCTTGAGAAAGAAATATCCTGATATCACTTTTCTCCTCCCTCTGATATAATGATGTGTTGTCATTATTTCTATTATTGTATACCGTTTGAAAGTGACACATTTTCTATCGCCCTTGCTTTGTTGATTGACAGTTCTGACAGTTTCCATGCTGGTTGACAAAACAAGTGATTCTGCAGTTGCATAAAGTTACATCTATTTTACTCCTGTCATTTGTGCTGTGCTTGCTGTACATTTTTACTGCTATATGGGAATTTAAGAAATAATTTTAAAGTGTTTATTATTATTATTAATTTATTTTTTGAAACAGAGTCTCACTCTGTTGCCTACCACACTGCAGCCTCATCCTCCCAGGCTCAAGGGCTCCTCCCACCTCAGCCTTCCAAGTAGCTGGGACTACAGGTGTATGCTACCATGCCCGGCTAATTTTTTTTGTATATTTTTTGTAGAGAAGGGGATTCACTCCATTGCCCAGGCTGGTGTTGAACTCCTGGACTCAAGCGATCTACCCAACTCGTCCTCCCAAAGTGTTGGGACTACAGGGATGAGCCACTGCGCCAGGCCAAATGAAAAAATAATTCATACTATCTTTGTTACCAGTCTTAAAATTTAAAATATACCCCATTTTATTTCATTTTTTTGAAACTTATCCTTTAAAAAATTGGTTTAAAGTCTTATTTTTCTGTTGGGTCTCATGTTCTTGGTAAAGTGGTCGTTAGATCAAGTTTGATGTACACAAATACCATTTATCTGTCTATCCTAGTACATTTGCTGAGCTCCCATCATGAACTTTGAGTCCCTGAGGATCTTGAAGTTAAGAAGGTTCCTGCTCTAGAAAATATGTAAGCTGTATAAACAACAATAACAATGAGGAAGGGCATGAAAATCTAATTTCTGTAACTCAATTCAATTCAGTCGATCTCATAGCCTTATTATCTGGGGAAAAATCAGAACACATAGGCCCTAAATTTAGTCATAAACTTTAGTCTAGATATATTTTCCAGAAGAAAGGGGTAGTCGTGGGGACTTAGCCCCAGAAGCAGCTGTCACTTGCCATTATATCAGACTCTGTTGCATTAAGCTTTCCAAAAATAGAATTCACATCTTCAAATTCCCGTATTCCTTTGGGTATCCCCAACAGACTTTTCCCCCAGTGAACAAACATTATGTTCTTACTTTTGACAATCATTTCAACTGTGATACAGGAATTTGGTTCTAAAAATTCAGGGACAGGATCAGCTCTTTCCAGCCCCTTCTAGCTCTAAATCTTAGGAAACAGTGGGTGCCACTTTTTCCCAATGTGAAGCCACATGGGCTGGGTCCTTTTTCTCCCTCAGATCACAGAAAGTAAAGTAAGCAAATAAGGGAAAAATCAGACTTTAGTTCACTAAAAGTGTTCTTTTTATTTGCCGACATGTTTAGTATTTCTGGTGCTCTTTATTCCTTTGCATATATCTAAGTTTCCCTCTGCTATCACTTCACTTCACTTTGAAAAAACTTGGTTTAACGTTTTCTGTAGTGCAGTCTGCTAGGATGGTTTTAAAAAATGGCTGCACACTCTTTTACATTGTTTCCATTGAGACATTGGGTCTTTGTTCCTTCTTCTTGAATCTGGGTAGACTAGTAGCCTTTGACCTACAGAGTACAGCAAAAATGAAACTCCGTGGCTTCTGAGGCTAGGTCATAAAAGAACATGCAATTTCTGCCTTATTCACTTGAATACTTGCTCTTAGAGCCCTGAACCATGATGTGAGAAGACCCCTATCCTGGAGAGGCTATATTCTGGTCAGCTGAGCAAGCTGAGCCCAGCCTTCTAGTCATTCCTGCCACAATGCCAGATATATGAGTGAAGGTCTCCAGATCCTCCAGACTTCCCATTCAGCAGATAAATACTGCTGATGACCTCCCTTGATACTAAAAGGAGTAAAATGCAAATCAAAACCACAATGAGACACCATCTCACACCAGTCAGAATGGCAATCATTAAAAAGTCAGGAAACAACAGGTGCTGGAGAGGATGTGGAGAAATAGGAACACTTTTACACTGTTGGTGGGACTGTAAACTAGTTCAACCATTGTGGAAGTCAGTGTGGCGATTCCTCAGGGATCTAGAACTAGAAATACCATTTGACCCAGCCATCCCATTACTGGGTATATACCCAAAGGACTATAAATCATGCTGCTATAAAGACACATGCACACGTATGTTTACTGTGGCACTATTCACAATAGCAAAGACTTGGAACCAACCCAAATGTCCAACAATGATAGACTGGATTAAGAAAATGTGGCACATATACACCATGGAATACTATGCAGCCATAAAAAATGATGAGTTCATGTCCTTTGTAGGGACATGGATGAAATTGGAAATCATCATTCTCAGTAAACTATCACAAGGACAAAAAACCAAACACCGCATGTTCTCACTCACAGGTGGGAATTGAAGAATGAGAACACATGGACACAGGAAGGGGAACATCACACTCTGGGGCCTGTTGTGGGGTGGGGGGAGGGGGGAGGGATAGCATTAGGAGATATACCTAATGCTAAATGACGAGTTAATGGGTGCAGCACACCAACATGGCACATGTATACATATGTAACTAACCTGCACATTGTGCACATGTACCCTAAAACTTAAAGTATAATTAAAAAAAAAAGATCACCCAGCTGAAACCTGCCCAAATCTCTCATTCTCTTAATCATGAGATATAATAAAATCATTATTGTTCTAAGCAACTATTTTTTGAAGCCCATTTATACATCATTAGATAAGTAGAACAGAATTTGGGGTGCCATTGTAATAAAAACCTAAAACATGAGCATTGCCTTTCGGACAAGATGTAAGGAAGAACTTGAAAGAGCTTTGAGGAGACTGTTAGTAGAATCCTGACAGGTATTGAGGAGGATGTCAATGAGGGCTTCAAGGAAAGTAAGGAAAATGTTATTGGAAGCGAGAGGAAAGGAGCCCCTTGTCATGTCATGGTAGATGGTTTAGCAAATGTGATAACATAGCAAATAGAAAATGTATTTAATGAACTGCTGTATCTGGCTTAGAGTACCAGGAAGAACTTTGAAAGTATCAACTGTTTTTTGTTTGTTTTTGAACTAGGTATCATAACATCTGGCTAGACAAATCTACACTAAATATTCAATTTTCAAACAGAATTTAGAAGAATTATGTAGGAACTAGATCTGAAAATGAAACTATTTCTTGTTGTTATTTTCTCCCAGCAGAAGATGCTCAAAGTAAGATAGAGCTGCAGGGCAAAGATCAAATCCTAAGGTCTTATTAGAAAAACATGAGTTCAAGGTAGACCTGAGTTCAAGGTAGACCTAAGTCCAAGGATGTGATTGAAAGCCTTTTGTTAAGAGTTCAGAAACAGATAAAAGACCTTGTAAGATTCTGTTAACTTAAATTCATGAGATGTACAAAGTTAGAAAAGAGAGTTTTATTTCTTATAAAGGGTTGCAGTTTGCAGGCTGGACATCCTGACAGGCCAGGAAGCACAGCCTCCAGCAGAGACAGAAAGCAAGCACTTAGAGGGAGGAAAGGGTGGAACAGGGATTTATGCCAAATGGGTTAGCTAAGTATACATAATCAACAGGTTATAGGAGGAGCTATGGATATTCACAAAGCGAGGCATGCAAGCATAGTAAGCAAACATGCATGTTACATGCATCCCATGTTCACTTTAGGGTGGAGACTTAACATTTAAATGCATTATTGAGTTGGGCCTCATATGTCAAAGGTGAAGGCACTCAGTACAGCCTTTGTAAACCAGCCAGAACCAGTCTACGGTCAGTGGTCTCTTATCAGGAGAAAGTTACTAAAATCAGCCTCTTGTCCAGTCAAAGCTACAGTTGTGGCTTGAAGAACAGAGGTGTCAGTCAGAGTCTGGTGGTTGATGAGCTGCAGTTGTTTTAGTATTGCTTACCTCAAGGCCAGTGCTTAATTAGCTGCTAGAGAAAAAGAAAAATCTGTGGCAGTTAAAACATACTTTAGTCTTTAAGTGTAGGAGTGCATGACTTAACTCTCGTCTGGCGTGGCCTTAGGTCTTGTTTATAATTTGGTATCTTATTGCCACAAAGTTCAAAGTCCATTCCATTAGTTTTATGATCTTTTATTTTATCAATTCTTAAGGGGTTAAAATACAGACTCTTAAACATCAAGGTTTCTAAGAATCTTAAGGGCATTGCCCCACAGCAGCCTTACAGGAAGCCTGAGGTAGAAAAGGGCTTATCTAGAAGATATTTATGGATGTGGTTTTTATCTAACAAAATCAATTATAAGTTGATACACAAAAAAATCCACAAAATTTTACAAGTAATTACATCAGTTCACATTAAAAAACAAACAAACAAACAAACAAAAAAACACCAGAGACTATACAAAGTGAAAAACGACTTCTGGACCCTTAAACTTCTATGAGCAGGCAGCAGGCTGAGGGGGCTACTTATCTGCAAAAATGGAACAGTTCTTGCAGAAAAGAATGTCTGAGAGGGCAAAACCAAGATCCCAAAGGGAAGAGCCAAAAATCATAGAAAATCATTCTCAGAAAGCAGGATAAGGCCTAACTGCAAAATAGTAATATGCCCAACTGGATTTTAGAATTTCAATGGATTGGTGATTTCCTATTTTCCTCCTTTATTGAATGGAAATATTTATTGCAGTTATTCTATTCCTGTCCCACCATTGTATGTTGGCCATGTATGGGATAGTAACTTGTCTCACTAGTTCACAAGTTTTCAGATCAAGAGTATCTGAACAGTATGGATGGAGCCTCATCCATACCTGGACTTGATTTGTTTGTCTCACCCACTAGAGTGTGCTTATTTGCAAACATCCACCTGGGATGAAAAGCGCTACAAAGCCTGGTCCAGTATTGCTTATCAGCTGATTCCCAATGTTCAGCAACTGAAGATGAACACAAGGAATTTTGCCCGAATTCTTGAAGTCGATGAAGTTCTACTGTTTGAAAGAGCTACATTCTTGGTTATTTCCCATTACCAGTGCAAAGAGCATCACGATGGCCACAGATTTGAGAAGATCAGCAACATTATTAAGCAGTTCAGCTGAGCTGCAATAAATTGGTCCCTTCTTTCCGGAGTATGGAAGTTATGAATTCTAACTTCACCTCATTCATTGACATCTTCACATCAAACATCTAGGTGACGGTTGTTACGTCAGATCCGTAGATGCCTTCTGTAGCTACTCTGATCAACAGTCGAAAAACCAGGAAACACTGAAAATCTGGAGAATGGATGGCCCCAAGCACAGTCTCTTTATGCGTTGAATATTGCCAAATGCTCTTTCTGAAAATGCTGAATTGCCTTTTCTGGGGAGCATATGTGCTTTTAAATATTCATAATATTGCGTGCTTAAAAGTGGACTTTGAGGCCGGGCGCAGTGGCTCACGACTGTAATCCCAGCACTTTGGGAGGCCGAGGTGGGGGGATCACAAGGTCAGGAGATCGAGACTATTCTGGCTAACACGGTGAAACCCTGTCTCTACTAAAAAGACAAAAAAATTAGCCGGGCGTGGTGGCGGGCACCTGTAGTCCCAGCTACTTGGGAGGCTGAGGCAGGAGAATGGCGTGAACCCGGGAGGCGGAGCTTGCAGTGAGCCGAGATGGAGCCACTGCATTCCAGCCTGGGCGACAGAGAGAGACTCCGTCTCAAAAAAAAAAAAAAAATCAACAAATGTTATAAAAGTATTTTTTAAAACATTTAACTGATTTTTCTATTGGGGGGAAACAGCTTAATGGTGGAATGTACAAAAACCTACCTGTTTCCTTTGTAAGACTCTAGACAGAGAGATCCAGGCCTGCAATTCAAGTAAGAGAAAGCCATTTTAGAATTTGGAGTTTGTCTTCTTGTAGATAGAAAAGTGTTATGAACTGAATGTTTGTGTCCCCTCCACCTCCATTCATATGTTGAAATCCTCAATGTGATGGTACTAGGAGGTGGAGTCTTCGGGAGGCTATTAGTTCGTGAGGGTGAAGCCCTCACAAATGGGATTAGTGTCTTTATAAAAGAGATCTCAGGGCTGTGGTGGCGGCGGTGGAGGCTGAGGCGGCGGCTGAGGCGGCTACGGAGGAAACAGAAGATGGCAGATTTTTTGAAAGGACTGCCTGTCTACAATAAAAGCAATTTTAGTCGATTTCACGGGGACTCCGTGTGCAAAGCCTCGAACCAACGGCCCTCAGTCTACCTGCCCACCCGAGAGTACCCGTCTGAACAGATCATCGTGACCGAAAAGACAAACATCCTCCTGCGCTACCTGCATCAGCAATGGACAAAAAGAACGCTGCCAAGAAGGAAGACCAGGAGCAAGTGGAGCTGGAAGGCGAGACCTCGGCGCCCCTCCGCAAGTTGGCGCTGACCCACAGCCCAGAGATACAGGAGGACACTTAAGACTCTCAACCCCACAGGCGCCTCCTGTCGGGTCTGCTCCTCGGTGGCCCACTCACCCGCCTCCTGGCCTGCCCATCCACACCCTGCGTCCACACCATTTCCAACCTCATAGGAGCCGACGTATTTATTTTTCTTGAGTTTTTATTTATGCTGTAACCTGTATCAAGCGTTGGTTAAAGGGGACATCAGACCCAGTAGTGTGATGTTGGTAGATGCTTTTTTAAAAAAAACATTGTCCCCCCGACCCCCGCCTTCCACCTGGCCAGTTTCCCCACTCCCGCCCCCAGTTCTCCAGAGAACCAGAGCGTGCCTGTGAGGGTCTCTAGCGAGGCTTTACTGTGGCCAGGCGGCAGGGGCCGGCCCAGGGCGGCCGACCCACCAGGACAGCCAAGCAGCCCTCTCCGACACTGGTCCAGGCCCTTGAGACTCGGTCTTGTCCCACGTTCCGCCCGGAACTCTCTCATGCCCAGACCTCACTCTGAGCTTGCGCGCATGTTGGGGAGAAGTCGGCCCTTGGGATCTTTCTCTTGAGTCACTTTTTCATAGACTCGTGGGTGATCCGTGTCCACCCCAATAAAAGGGTCTTTCTTACTTGGAAAAAAATAAAATAAAAAACATAAAAAAATGGCGGGAGGCAGAGAGCTCTCCTGTCCCTTTCCCACCATGTGAGGGAGGATACAAGGAGAAGTTATCAGTCTGCACCCTGGAAGAGGGCTCACACCAAAACTTGACCATGCTGGCACTCTGATCTTGGACTCCTAGTTTCCAAAACATTAGTGAGTATCCATAATGACTGGGCTTCAGAATCATTTGTGAAATTTTAAATAACACAGATGTGAGGATCCTATCCCTAAAGATTCTGAAACAGTAGATTTTAGTGGGGTCTAGAAATCTGTATTAAAATTATTTTTCAGATAACTGTGTTGTTTCCTGGCTTAAAAACCACACAGAGATGGAATGTGTGTATTGATTAGTAAGAAGAAATAAGCCTGTATGATCCAGGACTCTTTTGGTTACAAATGTCAGAAACTGAAACAAGCTTGAGAAAAAAGAGATTTATTGGTTCATATAAGTGGGAAGTTCAGAGTGGAGCTGGCTAGAGTTCTCCATTGGTGCCTTACAGGGGCTCACATATCATTAGCCTCCTCTCTCTTTCTTTGCTCCTTTTTTCAGCTCTACCAACAGGTCTTTCTGTGCAGTGGGAAAGGTGGCTCCCACAGCTGTAAGCTTTCATTTTTATTGTTCATGATTCAAAAGGAAGGAAGAAGAGACCTTTCCTCTTCCAGTATTCTCATATCAATCTGCATGAATGGGCTCTGGCCATCACCCCTTTGACCAGTCACCATGAAAAGGAGGATAGCTGTATGATTAACCAGGGGTCAAGGGGGCCTAGTGATCATCAGTTTTACCAGAACCATATATAATTGGAGAAGGTGCAGTTTTCCATTGGAAACAGTTATGCTGAGGAAATTAAAACACGGATGTCCTCTACTGAGATTCACCTACCTGGATATGTAATGCAAAGACTTGTGTTGATACCATAATTTATGATGGATCTTCTTTAGCATTAACTATTTCATCAAATGATGCAAAGTTATTGAGGTCACGTAATTTCAAGTAGGGAAACTTCAGTTTGAGTTATCGTGTAAGGGGTATAGTATGTACCTCTTACAATTTGAAAAATATGTCTTCTATCTCTCAACTCTAATCTTGATAGGTATGGTAGGCGGCCTTCTGAGATGGCTTCCAATGATCCCCACCTCTTTGTATTCACACCATTATGTAATCCCTTCTCTTTGGGTGTGGGCTGAGCTTAATGACTTCTAATGAATAGAATACAGCAAAAGTGATGGAATGTCACTTCCAAGATTGGGTTGTAAATACTATGACTTCCATCTTGTTGACACTTTTTCTCTTGCCTTTTTGGCTTGCTTGCTTTGATGAAGGAAGTTGCATGTTGGAGAGGCCCAAGTGGCAAGCAACTTCAGGCAGCCTCTGGCCAGCAGCCATCATGAAGCTTGCCAACAACCATGTTGGTGAGCTTAGAAGCCCATTCTCTGGCATTTTAAAATAATTTTTTTAATTTGAATTTTTAGTTAAAAATATTTGTTGTATGTTTAATTTTTGTGGGTACAAAGTTGTTGCATATATTATGGGTTACATGAGATATTTTGATACAGGCATGCAATGCATAATAAGCACATTAGGGTAAATGGGGTATCCATCACCTCAAGTACTTATCCTTTGGGTTGCAAACAATCCAATTACACTCTTTTAGTTATTTCAAAATGTGCAATTAAGTTATTTTGACTATAGTCACCCTGTTGTACTAGCAAATACTAGGTCTTGTTCATTTTTTTAAACTATTTTTTTTGTACCCATTAACCACCCCCACTTCATCCACACCCCCCCGCCCCCACCCACCCAAACAACCATTCTCAGCTTCTGGTAACCATCCTTCTACTCCATATTTTCAAGAGTTCAATTATTTCAATTTTTAGCTTCCATAAGTAATTGAGAACATATGAAGTTTGTCTTTCTGTGCCTGGCTTATTTTACTTAACATAATGATCTCTAGTTCCATCCATGTTGTTGCAAATGACAGGATCTCATTTTTTTATGGCTGAATATACTCCATTGAGTATATGTACCACATTTTCTTTATCTAGTCATCTATGGATGGACACTTAGGTTGCTTCTGAATCTTGCAAAAGATGTGTTGTGAATAGTACTGCAACAAACATGGGAGTGCAGATATCTCTTCAGTATACTGATTTCCTTTCTTTGGGGTATATACCTAGCTGTGGGATTGCTGGATCATATGGTAGCTCTATTTTTAGTGTTTCTTTTCTTTCTTTCTTTTGTTTTTTTTTGAGACAGGGTCCCACCCTGTCATTCAGGCTGGAGTGCAGTGGTACCATTTCGGCTTACTGCAACCTCCACCCCCTGAGGTCTAGCGATCCTCCTGCTGCACCTTCCCTAGTAACTGGGACTACAGCTGTGCACCACTATGTTCAACTAATTTTTGTATTTTTTTTGTAAAGATGGGTTTCGCCATGTTTACCAGACTCATCTCAGACTCCTGGACTCAAGTGATACACCTGCCTCGGCCTCCCTTCTCCCCATGCCTGGCCTATTTTTAGTTTTGTAATGATCCTCCAAACTGTTCTCCATAGTGGTTGTACTAATTTACATTCTCACCAACAATGTAAGAGGGTTCCCTTTTCTTCACATTCTTACCAGCATTTGTTATTGCCTGACTTTGCATAAAAGCCTTTTTAACTGGGGTGAGATGACATCTTACTGTAGTTTTGATTTGCATTTCTCTAATGATCAAAGATGTAGAGCACCTTTTTATATACTTGATTGCCATTTGTAAGTATTTTTTGAGAAATATCTAGTCAGGTCTTTTGCCCAGTTTTAAATCCGATTATTAGATTTTTTTCCTATAGAGTTGTTTGAGTTCCATATACTGGTTATTAATCCATTGTTAGATGAGTAGTTTGCATATATTTTCTCACACTCTGTAGGTTGTCTCTTCACTTTTTTGATTGTTTCTTTTGCTGTGCAGAAGCTTTTAAACTTGATGTGATCCCATTTGTCCATGTTTGGTTTGGTTGCCTGTGCTTGTGCTTACTCAACAAATATGCCCAGTCTGATGTCCTGGAGAGTTTCCCTAGTGTTTTCTGGTAGTAATTTCATAGTTTGAGGTCTCAGATTTAAGTCTTCAGTCCATTTCGATTTGATTTTTGTAGATGGTGAGAGATAGGGATCTAGTTTTATTCTTTTGCATGTGGATATCAAGTTCTCCCAGCACCATTTATTAAAGAGATTGTACTTTCTCCAGTGTACATTCTTGGCAGTTTTGTCAAAAAAGAGTTTATTGTAGCTGTATGGATTTATCTCTGGGATCTTTATTCTGTTCCACTGATCTATGTGTGTATTTTTATGACAGTACCGTGTTGTTTTGGTTACTATAGCTCTGTAGGATTATTTAAAGGCAGGTGATGTGATTCCTCCACTTTTTTTTTTTTTTTTTTTTTTTTGCTTACAATAGGTTTGTCTATTCTGAGTCTTTTGTGGTTCCATGTAAATTTTAGGATTGTTTATTCTATTTCTGTAAGGAAGGTCATTGGTATTTTGATAGAGATTACACTGAATCTGTAGATTGCTTCGAGTAATATGGACATTTTAACGATTTTGATTCTTCCAATACATGAACATGAAATATCTTTCCATTTTTTTGGTTTATTCTTCAATTTCTTGCATTAATGTCTTAATAGTTTTCATTGTATAAGCTTTTCACTTTTTTGTTTAATTCCTGGGTATTTATTTGTAGCTATTGTAAATGGGACAGCTTTCTTGATTTCTTTTTCAGATTGTTCAATGTTGGCATATAGAAATGCTTCTGCTGATTTTGTATGTTGATTTTATAACCTCCAACTACTGAATTTGTTTATCAGTTTTAATAATTTTTTTGTAAAGTCTTTGGTTTTTCTAAATATAAGATCATAGCATCTGCACGCAAGGATCATTTGAACTCTTGATTTGCAATTTGGATCCCCTTCATTTCTTTCTTTTCTGATTGCTCTAGGTAGGACTTCCAGTACTACGTTGAAAAAAAGTTGTGAAAGTGGGCATCCTTGTCATGTTCTTGATCTTAGAGGAAAGGCTTTCAGTTTTTCCCCATTGAGTATGATTCTAGCTATGGGTTTGTTACATATGGCTTTTATTTTGTTGAGGTATGTTCCTTCTATTTCCAATTTTTTTGAGGGTTTTTTTTTAATCTTGAAGGGATGTTGAATTTTATCAAATGCTTTTTCAGCATCAGTTGAAATGATCATATGGTTTTTGTCCTTCATTGTGTTGATATAATGTATCACATTAATTGATCTACATATGTTGAACTATCCTTGCATTCCTTGGCAAACTCTACTTGGCTGTAATGAATGACCTTTTTAATGTTTTGTCAATTTTGCTTTCCTAGTATTTTGTTGAGGATTTTTGCATCAATATTTATCAGTGATATTGGCATATAGTTTTCTTTTTTTTGATGTGGTGTTGTCTGGTTTTGGTAACGGGGTAATACTGGCCTCATAGAATGAGTTTGGAAGTAGTCTTTCCTCTTCTATTTTTCAGAATAGTTTGAGTACGATTAATATTAGTTCTTTAAATGTTAGGTAGAATTTAGCAGTGAAACTATAAAATCCAGGGCTTTTATTCACTGGGAGTCTTTTTATTATGGCTTTGATCTCATTACTTGTTAATGGTCTGTTCAGGTTTTAGATTTCTTCATAGTTAAGTCTTTGTAGGTTGTATGTGTCCAGGAATTTATCCATTTCTTCTAGCTTTTTCAGTTTTTGGCATATAATTGCTCATAGTAGCCACTTATGATCCTTTGAATTTTTGTGGTATTGGTTGTAATGTCTCCATTTTCATCTCTGATTTTATTTATTTGGGTCTTATCTCTTTTTTTATTGGTTAGTCTGTGTAAGGCTTTGTTGATTTTGTTTATTAAAAAAAAAAATAGGCCAGGAGCAGTGGCTCATGCCTGTAATCCCAGCACTTTGGGCGGCCAAGGTGGGTGGATCACCTGAGGTCAGGAATTTGATACCAGCCTGGCCAACATGGTGAAATCCCATCTGCACTAAACATACAAAAATTAGCTGGGTGTGGTGGTGCACACCTGTAGTCCCAGCTACTTGGGAGGCCAAGGCAGGAGAATCGCTTGAACCTGGGAGGTGGAGGTTGCAGTGAGCCGAGATCCTGCCACTGCACCCCAGCCTGGGCAACAGAGCAAGTCTCCATCTAAAAAAAAAAAAAAAAAAAAAAAAAATCAAATGACTTTTCATTGATTTTTGTACTGTTTTCTTCACTTCAAATTCATTAATTTCTGCTCATATCTTTATCATTTTTTTCTACTACTTGGTGTTTGCTTTCACTTTTCTAGGTTTTTAAGGTGCATCATTAGGTTGTTTATTGAAAAATTTTCTTCTTTTTTGACATAAGCACTTATAGCTATAAACTTCCCTCTTAGTACTGCTTTCTCTATATCCCACAGGTTTTGGCATGTTGTGTTTCCCTTATTTGTTTCAAGAAATTTTTCAGTTTCCTTCTTAATTTTTTCATTGACCCACTGGTAATTCAGAAACATATTGCTTACTTTCTGTGTGTTTGTATAGTTTCCAAAATTCCTCTGGTTATTGATTTCTAGTTTTATTCTATCATAGAGAAGATGCTTGCTGTTATTTCAATTTTTTGACGGTTTTAAGATGTGTTTTGTGTTGTAACGTATGGTCTATCTTTGAGAATTATCCATGTGCTGAGAAAAAGAATGTGTATTCTGTAGTCATTGGATGAAATGTTCTGTAAATATCTATTGGGTACATTTGTTCTAGAGTGCAAATTAAGTCCAATGTTTTTGTCTTGATTTTCTGTCTGGAAGATCTGTCCAGTGCTGAAAGTGGGGTGTTGAAGTCTCCAGCTAATACTGAATTTGAGTCTCTCTCTCTCTTTAGCTCTAATAATATTTGTTTTACATAGCTTGGTGCTCCAGTATTGGGTGCATGTATATTTAAAATTGTTATACCCTCTTGCTGAATTGACCCCTTTATCATTATATAGTGATCTTCTTTGTCTCTTTTTATAGTTTTATCTTGAAATCTATTTTGTTTGATATAAGTATAGTAACTCCTGCTCTTTTTTTGTTTTCCATTGGCATGGAGTACCTTTTTCTATCCATTTATTTTTTTAGTCTACATGTGTCTTTATAGGTGAAGTGTGTTTCTTGTAGGCAACAGATCAATGTTCTTATTTTTATATACAGTTAACCAGTCTATGTCTTTTTTTTTTTTTTTTTTTTTTTTTTTTGAGATGGAGTCTCACTCTGTCACCCAAGCTTAAGTGCAGTGGCATGATTTTGGCTCACTGCAACCTCCACTTCCTAGGTTCAAGCAATCCTCCCACCTCAGCCTCCTGAGTAGCTGAGACTATAGATGTATGCCACCACACCTGGCTAATTTTTATGTTTTTAGTAGAGATGGGGTTTCACCATGTTGGCCAGGCTGGTCTTGAACTCCTGACTTCAAGTGATCTGCCCACCTCAGCCTCCCAAAGTGCTGGGATTACATGCATGAGCCACCCAGCCCAGCCTCAGGCTATGTCTTTTGATTGGAGAGTTTACTTCATTTACATTCAATGTTATTATTAATAAGTAAGGTCTTACTCCTGCCATTTCATTATTTGTTTTCTGGTCTTTGCTTTCTTCTTTCCTTTTTTCTTGTCTTCCTTTTAGTGAAGGTGATTTTCTCTGGTGGTATGATTTAGTATCTTGCTTTTTATTTTTTGTGTATCTGTTGCATGATTTTTGATTTGAGGTTACCATGAGGCTTAAAAATACTATCTTATAAACCATTATTTTAAGTTGATAACAACTTAACAGTGTTTACATAAACAAGTGAAAAGAAAACTAATAAAAACTTGACACCTTAACTTCCTCCCCCTGCTGGGGTTTTTTTTTTTTTTTTTTTTTGAAATGGAGTTTTCACTCTTGTTGCCCAGGCTGGAGTGCAGTGGCACAGTCTCGGCTCGCTGCAATGTCCGCCTCCTGGGTTCAAGTGATTCTCCTGCCTCAGCCTCCTGAGTAGCTGGGATTACAGGTATGCAACAACACACCCAGCTGATTTTTATTTGTATTTTTGTAGAGACGGGGTTTTACCATGTTGGCCAGGCTGGTCTCAAACTACTGACCTCAGGTGATCAACTCACCGCAGCCTCCCAAAGTGCTTGGATTACAGGTGTGAGCCACTGCACCCAGCCCCTCCCCCTGCTTTTTAACTTTTTGTTGTTTCTATTTGTAGCTTACCATACTGTCTGTGACTTAAAAAGTTGTAGTTTTTTTTCATTGTTTAGTCTTTCTACTTAGGATAAGAGTAGTTTACACACCACAGTCATATTGTTATAGTATTCTATGTTTTTCTATGCACTTACCCGTGAGTTTTTAAATTTTCAGACAATTTCTTATTGCTCATTAACATCCTTTTCTTTCTGATTTAAGTACTCCCCTTACCATTTCTTGTAGTACAGGTCTGGAGTTGATGAAATCCCTCAGCTTTTGTTTGTCTGGGAAAGTCTTTATTCCAGCTTCATGTTTGAAGGATATTTTCGCTGAATATACTATCCTAGGAGGAAAGTTTTTTCCTTTGGCACTTTAAATATGTCATGCCATTCTCTATTGGCCCATAAAGTTTCTACTGAAAAGTCTGCTGCCAGACATATTAGAGCTCCACTGCATGTTGTTTATTTTCTCTTGCTGCTTTTAGTGTCCTTTCTTTTTCATTCACCTTTGGGAATTTGATTATTAATTGCTTGGAGGCAGTCTTCTTTGGGTTAAATCTGCTTCATGTCTTATAACCTTGTTGTACTTGGATATTGATTTATTTTGCTAGGTTCGGAAAATTCTGTGTTATTGTCCCTTTGAATAAACTTTCTAACCCCCCTCTTTCTCCACCTCTTCTTTAAGACCAACGACTCTTAGATTTGCCCTTTTGACGCTATTTGCTTTTGAGACGGAGTTTCGCTCTTATTGCCCAGGCTGGAGTGCAATGGCATGATCTTGGCTCACCGCAACCTCCTCCTCCTGGGTTCAAGCAGTTTTCCTGCCTCAGCCTCCCCAGTAGCTGGGATTACAGGCATGTGCCACCACGCCCAGCTAATTTTGAATTTTTAGTAGAGATGGGGTTTCTCCATGTTGGTCAGGCTGGTCTCGAACTCTCGACCTTAGGTGATCCTCCCTCCTTGGCCTCCCAAAGTGCTGGGATTACAGGCATGAGCCACCGTGTCTGGCCGATGCTATTTTCTAGATCTTGTAGGCATGCTTTATTTTTTTTTTTAATTTCATTTGTTTCCTTTTACTGTCTATTTTAAAATAGCCTGTCTTTAAGCTCACCCATTCTTTCTTCTGCCTTTTCAGTATGTCAATTGCATTTTTCAACTCCAGAATTTCTTTTTGATTCTTTTTATTTAAATATCTTTCTTCAGTTTATCTGATAGAATTCTGATTTTTTTTTCTCTGCTTTATCTTGAATTTCTTTGAGTTTCCTCAGCACAGTTATTTTGAATTCTTTGTCTGAAATGTTTCATGTCTCTGTTTCTTCAGAATTGGTTCCTGGTGCCCCATTTAGTTCTGGGGCCCCATTTAGCCTGGTGAGGCCATGTTTTCCTAGATGGTCTTGATGCTTGTGGATGTTTGTCTGTGTCTGGGCATTAAACAGTTGGGCATTTATTGTAGTTTACACAGTCTGGGTTTGTTTGTATCCATCCTTCTTGAGAAGGTCTCCCAGCTATTTAAAATCACCTGGGTGTCATGGTCTAAGCTGTACTGGCATTAGGAGGCACCCCAAGCCCAATAATGCTATGGTTCTTACAGACTCATAGAGGTACCAACTTTGATAGTCTTGGATAAAATCTGGAAGAATTCTCTGGATTACCAAGTAGAGACTCTTGATCTCCTCCCTTACGTTCTCTCAAGGAAATGGAGTTTCTTTCTCTGTGCTGAGCCGCCTGGAGCTGGGGGTGGGGTAACATAAGTAGCCCTATGGCCACCACCACTGGAATTATGCTAGGTGAGACCTGAAGCCCACACAGTACTGAGTCTTGCCCAAGGCCCACTGTAACCACTATCTGGCTACCACCTATGTCTTCTCATGGCCTGGGGGTCTACAATGCACAGGTGGTGAAGCCAGCCAGGCATATGTCCTTCCCTATAGGGCGATGAGTTCCCCCAGGCCCTGCGGGGGTCCAGAGATGCCATTTGGGAGCCAGGGACTAGAGTCAAAAAGCTAGGTGTCTACCTGATGTTTATTGTACTGTGGTTGAGGTGGTGCTCAAACCATAAGACGTGGTCCTTCTCACTCTTCCCTCCCCTTTCCACAGGCAGAGGAAGCTCACCTATGGCTACTGCCACTACAGGTCCACAGGGAGTAATGCCCGGCTACCACTGATGTTCATTAAGACCCAAGGGTTCTTCAGTCGGCTTGTGGTAGATGCTGCCTGGCCTGGGACTCACCCTTCAGGACAGTGGGCTCCCTTCTGGCCCAAGGCAGGTCCAGAATTACTGTCCAGGAGCCAAGGCTTTGAATCAGGGACCTCAAGAGCCCGCTTGATGTTCTACCCCACTATGGCTGCGCCTGTACCTAAGGTGCAAAAGTCCCCTTTACTTTTCCCTCTACTTTTCTCCAGCATAAGGAGTCTCTCCCCATAGCCACCATGGCTGGAAATGTGCTGAGTCTCATTTGAAGCCAGCTAGTCTCAGAGTCTCACAGAAGGCCCACTGCATACCTAGGTATCGCTGGTATCGCTGGCTATTTGGAGCTTAAGAGCTCTTCAATCCTCTGACATCTTGATTGCAGCCTTTGAGAGACCCTGGGCCAGAGGATCCAGCTATTGCCATGCTTAAATTTCCAACCCAAATGTAACTGTGAGATAAATGTTGTTTTAAGCCACTAATTTTTTTAATTACTGTATTAATTTTAACAGATAATACAATAAGAGTTTTAAAATAAAAATTTTGATATTACAATAATATACTTCATGGATTATTGTGACATGTTGGAATGCACTTACCCTCTTAGACCTGAGTTCCTTTTATCCAGTGATGACTCTTGAATTGCTTCTTCCTCCTGAGTCTCCTTTGTTAATCAGACCTGGATTTCTGTGCTTCCTTTGCACAGAAAAGTGCTTTCCTGTCTTCTGAGTTATATTGCTTCTTACCCCATATATGTTAATTCGGTCTCAGGCCAGAACTAGGGTGAGGCAAGAGAGAAGCTTAGGGCACAAAATATAAGGAGACCCTCGGTGTCTCATTTAGCTCACCTTAGTCCTGTCCCTGATCCAGCCAAAATAGAGCTGATTTTGTGACTTGGCTCATACTCTTATGAAGTTATCTCTCTATTTGTGATAGTGTCCTAATGCTCCTCTAGAAATTCAACTTTGTCCTGTACACAAGCATAGGTAGATATCTAGTGTGTGTATGTCTGTGTGTGGCAGGTGTGTGTTTGTGTACATTTATTTTCCTACACTTTCTGCCCTCTGCACATCCTTTTCTAAGTGTCCCCTATCCATGTGAACAAAAGTGGATATTCTGGTTGGCTAGGGCCCAAGGCATTCACTGGCAACTGCATTACTTTTAGGAAGGTATTATGGACTGGATATTTGTCACCACCCCCACCCCCAAATTCCTATGTTGAAATCATAATCCCCAAAGTGATGATATTAGGAGGTGGGTCCTTTTGGAAGGAGATTAATTCATGAGGGAGGAACCCTCATGAATGAAATCAATGCCATTAGAAAATAGGACCAAGGGAACTCATTTGCCCCTTCTACCATGTGAGAATGCCACAAGAAGTCAGAAGTCTGTAACCTGAAAGAGGACCCTCACCAGAACCTGACCATGCTGCCTCCCTACTCTTGAGCTGCCAGCCTCCAGAACAGTGAGAAATAAATTTCTATTGTTTATAAGACCCCAGTCTGTCGTGCTGTGTTGAAGAAGCCCAAACTAAGATGGCAGGGCATTGTGCTTTAAATATCAGTACTTATGCATGATATTCTATTTTGTTCTGCCTACCTTCCTATGGTAAGCACACCCAAGTAGGCCCTGCCCTTTTAGAACAAGGCAGACATCTTTCTCTTCTTTTGTATTTTTAATTGCTGTGTTGAACTGTCTAGACAAGATCTGTGTTTTTCCTTTTCCCCATTCCAGATACTCTCAAAGTGTCACTAAACAGAACAGATTAGTCAAATCTATAATAACAAAATACTTATCAACTGGTGCTTGGATAGAGTCAATAATTTTAATACTAATGGGTATAGAAGATTTGATGGGGGGGGACCCATCAAATGTTGTTTAATGTTGTGGTAATCCACCATGAGATGCCAATAGCAGTCATTCTTTCCAAGTTCAAATACAGGCCAAATTAGGCAGTTAAATGGAGAAGTAGTGAGGATAATCACCCCTTCTCTATGTATCTTATAAAATAGATTTCGATCATTCTTTTAATTTACATTGGGTCATATCAATTATTTTAACTTGAGGAGAAGATCCATGAAGTCACATTTTGTCAAGTACCAATGGGATATTTATTTCTTTATTTATTTTTGAGATAGAGTCTCGCTCTGTTGCCCAGGCTGGAGTGAGTGAAGTGGTGTGATCTTGGCTCACTGCAACCTCTGCCTCCTGGGTTGAAGAGATTCTCCTGCCTCAGCCCCCTGGGTATCTGGGATTACAGGTGCCTGCCACCATGCCTGGCTAATTTTTGTATTTTTAGTAGACACAGGGATTCACCATGTTGGCCAGGCTGGTCTTGAACTCCTGGCCTCATGTGATCTATCTGCCTTGGCC
The DNA here is from genome assembly GCF_000001405.40 of Homo sapiens. Classification (NCBI taxonomy): domain Eukaryota; kingdom Metazoa; phylum Chordata; class Mammalia; order Primates; family Hominidae; genus Homo; species Homo sapiens. The sequence goes on along the minus strand of NC_000014.9, from coordinate 44,875,036 downwards.
TCCCAAAGTGCTGGGATTACAGGTGTGAGCCACCACGCTGAGCCCCAAAGGCTTAATTTAATTTTAATTTGTTGCTCACTGGGTAAGAGCATCCATGTCCACTATGGTATATTTTAGGTCAATGCTGTGGCTGTGGATAATTTAGGCAAGGTGATCGTTTCAGTGACCAAGGTGGGGCATACCTATTTGTCCTCTATTTTATATTTGGTTACTCTCGTAGGAGTGTAGGGGGTACCTTGTTTAACTATAGTGGGATCCCTGGTATTGATTAAATCCATAAAATTTGCCAATTGGTGCATTTTAGCTGATATTAAAGTTACTTATATAAGCACAGAAGCCAGTCAATGCCCTTTTATCTTTGTTATATACATTCTTTTTTACATTTTGGATTTCCAGCTGGGTCAAACTGTGGACTTTTATGTTAGCTTTTAGTTTGTTTCTTCCTCATGTATCCAGCCTTCCTTCTTTTTCCTCTCTCTCTCTCTCTCTGTGTGTGTGTGTGTGTGTGTGTGTGTGTGTGTGTGTATGTGTGGTGTTACTAGACATGTTTCAAGAAGGGAGAAGGGAGACTCCTCCAACATGCTTATATTCATAATTTTTTTTCACCAGAGAGCCTCAAATAGATATCATCAAAGTTAGGGACCTGCCCCATGACAATGGATGTTTTACAGGATTAAAGCATCCCAGGCTTAAGTCACACTTGGATTAACCCCTTTGCTGTGCCACAAGGGTGCCATGGGTGTTTTTTCTTATTATCGTGAAGATTAGGATCTTAGTTGTGACAGAGGCATATGCAGCATAGCAACCAAGATATTTAAGTATTCTGGTGAGCCCTTAGTTCTTTAGAGTGTAAATTTCAGCCCACCATATAATGGATGCTTGTTTCTTCTTCTCTCTTTCTCTGTCACTGTCTCTTTCTCTTTTTAAAAATCTCTCCCATTTTTCCAGCAAGATGGCTGAATAGGAACAGATCTGGTCTGCAGCTCCCAGGGAGATCAATGCAGAAGAAGGGTAATTTCTGCATTACCAACTGAGGTACCTGGTTCATCTCATTGGGACTGGTTGGACAGTGCGTGCAGCCCACGGAGGGCGAGCTGAAGCAGGGTGGGGCATTGCCTCACCCGGGAAGTGCAAGGGGTTGGGGGATGTCCCTTTCCTAGCCAAGGGAAGCTATGAGAGACGGTACCGGGAGGAATGGTACACTCCTGCCCAGATACTGCACTTTTCCCATGGTCTTCTCAACCAGCAGACCAGGAGACTCCCTCCAGTGCCTGTCTAGGTGGGTCCCACACCCACAGAGCCCAGCAAGCTAAGATCCATTGGCTTGAAATTCCCGCTGCTAGCGCAGCAGTCTGAGATCGACCTGGGACACTGGAGCTTGGCAGGGGGAGGGGCATCTGCCATTGCTGAGGCTTGAGTAGGCAGTTTTACGCTCACAGTGTAAACGAAGCCGCTGGAAAGTTCAAACTGGGCAGAGCCCATTGCAACTCAGCAAGGCCGACTGCTTCTCTAGATTCCACCTCTGTGGGCAGGGCATCTCTGAACAAAAGGCAGCAGCCCTAGTCAGGGACTTATAGTTAAATCCTCCCATCTCCCTGGGACAGAGCACCTGGGGGAAAGGGGCAGCTGTGGGTACAGCTTCAGCAGACGTAAACGTCCCTGCCTGACAGCTCTGAAGACAGCAGTGGTTCTCCCAGCACAGCATTCGAGCTCTGATAATGGACAGACTGCCTCCTTAAGTGGGTCCCTTACCCCCATGTAGCCTGACTGGGAGACACCTTCCAGTAGTGGCCGACAGACACCTCATACAGGAGAGCTCTGCCTGGCATCTGGTGGTTGCCCTTCTGGGACGAAGCTTCCAGAGGAAGGATCAGGCAGCAATATTTTCTGTTCTGCAGCCTCTGCTGGTGATACCCAGGTAAACAGGGTCTGGAGTGGACCTCCAGCAAACTCCCACAGACCTGCAGCTGAGGGGCCTGACTGTTAGAAGGAAAACCAACAAACAGAAAGGAATAGCATCAACATCAGCAAAAAGGATGTCCACACCAAAACCCCATCTGTAGGTCACCAACATCAAAGACCAAAGGTAGATTAAACCACCAAGATGGGGAGAAACCAGCACAGAAGGCTGAAAATTCCAAAAACCAGAATGCCTCTTCTCCTTCAAAGAATCACAACTCCTCACCAACATGGGAACAAAACAGGATGGAGAATGAGTTTGACGAATTGACAGAAGTAGGCTTCAGAAGGTGTGTAATAACAAACTCCTCCGAGCTAATGGACTGTGTTCTAACTCAACTCAAGAAAGCTAAGAACCTTGAAAAAAAAGTTAGACAAGTTGCTAACTAGAATAACCAGTGTAGAGAAGAACATAAATGACCTGATGGAGCTGAAAAATGCAGCACAAGAACTTTGTGAAGAATACACAAGCTTCAATAGCCAAAATAATCAAGTGGAAGAAAGGATATCAGTGATTGAAGATCAAATTAATGAAATAAAGTGAGAAGACAAGATTAGAGAAAAAAGAGTGAAAAGAAACAAACAAAGCCTCCAAGAAATATGGGACTATGTGAAAAGACCAAATCTACATTTGATTGTGTACCTGAAAGTGACGGGGAGAATGGAACCAAGTTGGAAAACACTCTTCAGGATATTACCCAGGAGAACTTCCCCAGCCTAGCAAGGCAGGTCACCATTCAAATTCATGAAATACAGAGAACACCACAAAGATATTCCTCGAGAAGAGCAACCCCAAGACACATAATTGCTAGATTCACCAAGGTTGAAATGAAGGAAAAAATGTTAAGGGCAGCCAGAGAGAAAGGTCGGGTTACCCACAAAGGGAAGCCCATCAGACTACCAGCGGATCTCTCAGCAGAAGCCCTACAAGCCACAATAGAGCTGGGGCCAATATTCAATATTCTTAAAGAAAAGAATTTTCAACCCAGAATTTCATATCCAGTCAAACTAAACTCCAAGGATCACTAAAAACCACTGCTCAATGAAATAAAAGAGGACACAAACAAATGGAAGAACATTCCATGCTCATGGATAGGAAGAATCAATATCAGGAAAATGGCCATACTGCCCAAGGTAATTTATAGATTCAATGCCATCCCCATCAAGCTACCAATGACTTTCTTCACAGAATTGGAAAAAACTACTTTAAAGTTCATATGGGACCAAAAAAGAGCCTGCATAGCCAAGTCAATCCTAAGCAAAAAGAACAAAGCTGGAGGCATCATGCTACCCAACTTCAAACTATACTACAAGGCTACAGTAACCAAAACATCATGGTACTGGTACCAAAACAGATATGTAGACCAATGGAACAGAACAGAGGCCTCACAAATAACACCACATATCTACAACCATCTGATCTTTGACAAACCTGACAAACATAAGCAATGGGGAAAGGATTCCCTATTTAATAAATGGTGCTGGGAAAACTAGCTAGCTGTATGCTGAAACTGGATCCCTTCCTTACACCTTATATAAAAATTAACTCAAGATGGATTAAAGACTCAAATGTCAGACCTAAAACCATAAAAACCCTAGAAGAAAACCTAGGCAATACCATTCAGGACATAGGTATGGGCAAAGGCTTCATGACTGAAACACCAAAAGCAATGGTAACAACAGCCAGAATAAACAAATGGGATCTAATTAAACTAAAGAGCTTCTGCACAGCAGAAGAAACTATCATCAGAGTGAACAGGCCACTTACAGAATGGGAGAAAATTTTTACAATCTATCCATCTGACAAAGGGCTAATATCCAGAATATACAAAGAACTTAAACAAATTTACAAGAAAAAAACATACAACCTTATCAAAAAGTGGGCAAAGGATATGAATAGACACTTCTCAAAAGAAGACATTTATGTATCCAACAAACTTATGAAAAAATGCTCATCATCACTGATCATTAGAGAAATGCAAATCAAAACCACAATGAGATACCATCTCACACCAGTTAGAATGGCAATCATTAAAAAGTCAGGGAACAACAGGTGCTGGAGAAGATGTGGAGAAATAGGAATGCTTTTACACTGTTGGTGGGAGTGCAAATTTGTTCAACCATAGTGGAAGACAGCGTGGTGACTCCTCAAGGATCTAGAACTAGAAATACCATTTGACCCAGTAATCCCATTACTGCGTTTATACCCAAAGGATTATAAATCATTGTACTATAAAGGCACATGCACAGGTATGTTTGTTGCAGCACTATTCACAATAGCAAAGTCTTGGAACCAACCCAAATGCCCATCAATGATAGACTGGATAAAGAAAATGTGGCACATATACACCATGGAGTACTATGCAGCCATAAAAAAGGATGAGTTCATGTCCTTTTCAGGGACATGGATGAAACTGGAAACCATCATTCTCAGCAAGGTAACACAAGAACAGAAAACAAAACACCGTGTGTTCTCACTCATAAGTGGGAGTTGAACAGTGAAAGCACATGGACACAGGGAGGGGAACATCACACACCGGGGCCTGTCGGGGTGGCGAAAGGATAGCATTAGGAGAAATACCTAGTGTAAATAATGAGTTAATGGGTGCAGCAAACCAACATGGCACATGTGTACCTATGTAACAAACCTGCACGTTGTGCACATGTACCCCAGAACTTAAAGTACAAAAAAAAAAAAAAAAAAGAAAACCACAGTGAGATAGCTCTTTACACCTATCAGAGTCACTGAAGTAAAAAATAATGACAACAACAACAACAACAAAATCTCTTCCTAATGATTGTTCTTTTATGAGCAACCACTGATGGAGTCATATCTCACATAGAGTATAGTCTTTCCCAAAAGCATTTTATAGACCAGGGGACAGTGCCAGGTTGAGATACAACCAACTGGTTACAGGGTAAGATTCTTTTCCCAGAACCCAGCACCTGGTACAGCTGGATTCTAAGATACACAGATAGGTCCAGCCTGAGACACATGAGCCAAGACCACTTTATGGAGGGCCCCAATACTGTACTTTTATCCCCAAATGCAAATATAAAAACTTCTGACCTATTTCAGCTATTTTTTTTTTTTTTTTGAGACGGAGTCTTGCTGGGTTGCCCAGGCTGGAGTGCAGTGGTGCGATCTTGGCTCACTGCAAGCTCCGCCCCTTGGGTTCACACCATTCTCCTGCCTCAGCCTCCCAAGTAGCTGGGACTACAGGTGCCCACCGCCACACCCGGCTAATTTTTTTGTGTTTTTAGTAGAGACAGGGTTTCACTGTATTAGCCAGGATGGTCTCAATCTTCTGACCTCGTGATCCACTTGCCTCGGCCTCCCAAAGTGCTGGGATTATAGGTGTGAGCCACCGCACCTGGCCTATTGGAGCTAAATTTTTAACAGGGGTTTTGTAGGACTCGACACATGTTGCGCAGTACAGCAAAACTCAAAGTGCAAGCTTGCCAGCAAGCAGAGGAAATATCCTACATGCTAGGTGCAGTGGTTTGTACCCAGTTAAGACAAGAACAAGAGAAGGAAGATCCCTAGTGGTGGTGGTCAACATTGATACAGTCTGGCTCACAGCATCAACTTTTGTGACTACTCCATAGGTACAGGCTAGATTACCACTCAAAATTTGATTTAGATGTCAAGACTGATGATCACACACACACATACACACACACACACACACACACACCTCAACAGTGTGAAAAAGTTTTATTATGAGGATTTTGGATGAAAGCAGGGAAGGCTTCTCAAGCTTGTCTGAAAATGGATTGAAAGGCAAGGAAAGGAGACTGGCTAGAGATTTCTATTGTGGGGGATTGGGCCAGGGCGAGGGTTCCTGCAGACAAACAGGAGCTTATGTGTTTCAATTTCAATCCCCTGATGACACTAAAGGTGACAGCATCTGAGCTTTATCAGCTTTCCCAGACATGTGGAAGAAGGGAAGAGTCATGGATAGGCTTAAAAGTTATTTGCAGTCGAACATCAAAAAATGGAATTAGACTCTATTACATTTTAGCTCTCAAATTTAGGTCTTTGATCTTTTTGAGTTAATTTTCTATATAGTGTGAGATAGGAGTACAATTTTATTCTTTTGCATGTGGATATCCATTTGTCCCAGCACCATTTTTTGAAGAGAATATTCTTTCAATTTAACTGAAAAGCCCAGCAACAGGGAGTATCATTTGCTTGCCCAAGCATTAATAATGCGGTATTTTATTTCTTATTTGGCTATGAGTCCTATGTGCATTGGTACTCATAGCCTGTGCATAACCTCACTCATAGCCTTGAAAACCTAGGGCAGATATCCTGCAGAAAAACCCATTGCTTATTTGCTTATCTGGAGTTTTAAGCATGGATTTTAAGCTACTGAGTTTTATCTATTCTTGAGATTCTACAATTCACCTTAGGCTCATCTTGGTAAAAACTGATTCTGGAATTTTGCCTGAGGCTGCTGAATGTCGTGGATGATCCTTTGAGTTTTGCAGTTTCTCCTTTTCCCAGTTATTTCCCCTAGAAACTACTGGGCAGATCACTTACCAGGTCCTGGCTCTTTCTCCTTCCTATGTTGCTGCAGATGGACCTTCCTACCTGTGCTCCAATTTTAAACAATACTGTCAATAGATAACATTTACCAAATACCACACTGAACTAAGAACTTCTAACATGTGGACTAAATGCCAACCACTGTGGGGGCCTGATTCCTGAATATCCATATAATGTTGTCTCAAATCTTTATTTTACTTCCTGTGGAAACACAAAGTGGTTCCCATGATTGCAGATCCTTGTGGTTCTTTATATTCCTCTACACTGTCTGCTGAATTAGAACGATTTATGGATTATCTTGCTATTTCACATGTGTTCTTTCCTTCATGACAGTTACCCAGGGGTGACTCAACTGCTCACTCTCACTGTCATTTTTATGTGTAGTTGAGTTTACTCAAAAATTGGGATGGGTTCAGAGGGATTTATATGTTAGCAATGCAAAAAGCTCTAATTAAACACTGGACATTCTCATTTCCTAGAAGACCTTTGACAACCTCAGATCTATGAATTTTTTTCTAAAACTTTTTGTTTGGAGATAATTTCCAACTTATAGGAAAGTTGCAAAAATATTACAAAGTGTTCCTGTGCATCTATGGTTTGCCAAGTCCAGCGGGTGCCTGCAATGATTGGTTATAAATTTGTTATTTTTCTAAGCCACATTTCCTTCTTTAGGAACAGGGTTCTAAGCTTAAGTCCAGAGTAATGAGAACATATTTAAGATTAAACATTCTATTTAAAGTAGGTTAACGGAGTAGGAAGGCATCACAGCCCATCTTTCCCTGGATTTGTCTTATCCAGAATGTGCAGTTTTGCTTCTAATAGATTTCTCCACTTTTATCCTTGGAGTGAATTGAATCATCTAAGGAGGAGAGGGTACAGAGGTGAGAGGAGAAATGCTGGGACTATATACCTCCTCTTCTGTTCATTGATGGTAGAGAACTCCTAGCCTGGTGATATATCCCAATTACTCCCTGATTAATGAATCTTCTGGGATTGATGGGTAAAGAACTAACAGTTTTTTGAGAACCTGGCAGTCACTGAATTATAGATTCTATGTTTGAAAATGTAGACAGACTGGAGATCTTTTGTATGAAGTCTCTATTTAAAAAGAACCTCAAGTCCAGAGCTCTATCTGAAAAAAACAGTTGTTCCTCTGCTGTCTTGGGTATTAGAGGAGCTGACATCAGCAAGATGGCAGAATATGAGTTTCTGGCACTCATCCCCTTGAAGAAACATCAATTTGAACAACCACGCATGTACAAAAATACCTTTGTAAGAGCCAAGGAATCCAGATGAGAGATTACAGCACCTGGGTAGAGCACGGATATAAGAAAAGGCATATTTAAGAGGGTAGGAAGGACAGTTTCATGTTGCCAGCATCACTGCTCCCCCAAACCTAAACAGTGCAGTGCAGAAAGAGACCCATCACATGAGGGAAAGAGAGTGTAGTGAGCAGACTTCACTGTGGATCCCAGCACCAGGTCTGGTCCAGTGAACACGGGCACAAGGCCAGCCCCTATGGTCTCAGGCTTCAGGTCAGTCCCTGCAGCCCCAGACCCAAGGCCTGCTCCAGCATCAGGCTGGCATCTGTGGTCCCAAACTCTAGGCCCATTCCTGTGGTTGGAAGGCTCCAGACCTGCCCCAGTACCAGGGAGGCCCATGGGGCAATAGCCTCCAGATCATCCCTAAAGCCATATGCTCCAATGGACTTAGAGTATAGGCTAGCTCCATTAGACACTGGCTCCAGGCCTATCCCCCAAAACCCAGTCTCCAGGCCTGCCCTCATAGTCCCAGGTACCAGGCCTGTTCCTATAGACACAGGTACTAAGCCTACCCCAAGGTATCCTGGGTAAACTGTGACACCCAGCCAGCTCCTGAGGACTCAGGAAGAGGCCCATGTCCACAGACCCAGACATCAGCCCTGCCGCAGTGCCAGGTCAGTCTGTGTGGACCCAGGCTTTGGGCTGGTCTTAGTGATCCCAGACTCCATGCCTGCTCCTTTAGGCCCAAGGGCCAAGCCAGCCCCTACAGACCCAGGCTCCAGGCTTACCACTGCAGACTCAGGCACCAGGCCCATCCACGCAGACTCAGGCCCCAGATCTTTTCCAGTAGACATAGGCAGCAGGCTGGCCCCTGTGAACTCAGACTGCAGGACTGTCTACTTGCTGACCAAGGAACAGGGCCAGCTCACTTTTCACTTATATAAAAATTAAATGATATATTAAAAAAAACAATAGCTACAATAATTTGTTAATAGATACATGACATATAAAAGATGTAAATTGGGCACAGCAGCTGAACTCTGGCAGAGTGTCAGAGGCCGTGTGGGGCTCCTTGGTGCTGGAAAAGTCCAAAGTTGTTGACCCCCTGGACTATGAGAATGTTATCGCCCAAATAAAAACCCAGATTTACAGCAACCCCCTCAGAGATCTGCTTATGTTTCCCAAGGAAGATATATCTGTCTCGGTGATGGGTCGTCAGCACAGAACGGTGCAATCCACTGTACCAGAAGACGAAAAGAGGGCCCAGAGTTTATTTGTCAAAGAGTGTATTAAAACCTGTAGCACAGATTGGCACGTGGTAAACTTTGAGACCAGAAAAAATTCCTAATCACGTATTTGAGATAGATGAAGACTGTGAGAAAGATAAGGACTTACCTGCTTTATGTTATCAGAAGGGTGGTGTGATAAAACAAGGCTGGTTGCATAAGGCAAATGTAAATAGCACCATCACAGTAACCACGAAGGTATTCAAGAGACGATATTTTTACTTGACCCAACTTCCTGAGGTTAATATATTCTCAATTCCTATAAAGATGAGAAAAATTCAAAAGAATCGAAAGGTTGCATCTACTTGGATGCCTGCATTGATGTTCAGATGATGAAACTAGTAGCCAACGAAAAGCCGATAACATCATGGCAAGTTTGGAAAGGAGCATGCATCCGGAAATGATGAAGTATGGAAGAGAAACTGAACAACTAAACAAACTCAGTAGCGGAGATGGAAGACAGAATCTCTTTTCTTTTGATTCAGAAGTTCAGAGGTTGGACTTTTCAGGAATTGAACCTGATATAAAGCCATTTGAAGAAAAGTGCAACAAACGTTTCCTGGTAAATTGCCATGATTTAACTTTCAATATCTTGGGCCAAATTGGAGACAATGCAAAAGGACCACCCACAAATGTTGAGCCCCCCACCCTTTTTTAAAATCAGTCTTGCCTTATTTGATGTAAAGAACAATTGTGAGATTTCAGCAGACTTTCATGTAGACTTGAATCCCCCATCTGTCCATGAAATGCTGTGGGGCTCTTCAATCCAACTGTGCAGTGACAGTAACCCAAAGGGCTCTTCACCTGAGTCTTTCATTCATGGAATTTCTGAATCTCAGTTATGCTACATAAAACAGGGAATTTTCTCAGTGATGAATCCACATCCTGAAATTTTTCTAGCTGCGAGAATCGAAAAGGTGCTACAGGGAAACATTACATACCATGCAGAACCCTACATCAAAAATTCTGATTCAGTAAAGACGGCCCAGAAGGTGCCCAGGACAGCTAAACAAGTGTGTAGCCATTTTGGACAATACAGAATGCCTTTTGTTAGGGCTGCCAGATCCATTTTCAAAGATACTCAAGGCTTTCTCTATCTGGATGGGAGATTTTCTTCTCTGTATAAACAAGAGTAGCAAGCTTTCAAATGAAGACGTTCTCAAGTTGCTATCAGAATATAAGAAGCCAGAAAAGACCAAACTGCAGATTATTCCTGGGCAGTTAAACATCACAATAGAATGTGTTCCTGTGGATTTATCAAATTGTATTACTTCTTCATATGTGCCTCTGAAGCCTTTTGAAAAGAATTGTCAAAATATTACTGTGGAGGTTGAAGAGTTTGTTCCAGAAATGACAAAATATTGTTATCCATTTACTATTTACGAAAACCATCTGTATGTATATCCCTTGCAATTAAAATACGATAGCTAGAAAACATTTGCCAAGGCAAGGAACATTGCAGTCTGTATGGAATTCCGGGATTCAGATGAAAGTGCTCTAAAGTGTATTTATGGAAAACCTGCAGGGTCTGTTTTTACCACAAATGCTTATGCTGTTGTCTCACATCACAATCAAAACCCAGAGTTCTATGATGAGATTAAAATTGAGCTTCCCTTTCACTTGCATCAAAAACATCATTTGCTTTTCACTTTTTGTCATATAAGTTGTGAAATTAACACAAAGGGAACAACCAAAAAGCAAGACACAGTTGAAACTCCAGTTGAGTTTGCCTGGGTACCATTGCTGAAAGATGGTAGAATCATCACATTTGGGCAGCAGCTGCCAGTTTCCACCAATCTTCCCCCAGGCTACTTAAATCTGAATGATGGATAATCAAGAAGGCAATGTAATGTGGATATTAAATGGGTAGATGGTGTAAAGCCTTTGTGGAAGATTAAAAGCCACTTAGAATCTACCATTTACACTTAAGATCTGCATTTGCACAAATTCTTCCATCATTGCCAGCTGAATCAGTCAGACTCGAAAGAAGTTCCAGGGGAGCTCATTAAATATTTAAAGTCTTTGCATGCCATGGAGATCCAAGTCATGATACAGTTTCTAAGTGTAATTCTTATGCAACTCTTCTGAGTTCTCACAAATATGATCCATGAAGATGATGTTCCTATCAACTGCACCATGGTTCTCTTACATATTGTATCAAAGTGCCATGAAGAAGGCTTGGATAGTTATTTAAGATCATTCATAAAGTATAGCTTCCGACCTGAAAAACCAAGTGCTCCTCAGGCCCAGCTGATACATGAAACCCTGGCTACTATGATGATAGCACTATTGAAACAGTCTGCAGATTTTTTAGCAATAAACAAATTGCTGAAGTACTCATGGTTTTTCTTTGAAATAATTGCAAAGTCGATGGCCACATACTTGTTGGAAGAGAATAAGATTAAGCTTACCCATGGCCAGAGATTTCCCAAGGCATATCATCATGCCTTACATTCACTGTTTCTTGCAATAACCATGTGAATCTCAGTATGCGGAGATTCCCAAAGAGTCCAGAAATGTGAATTATAGTTTGGCTAGCTTCCTGAAGTGCTGTTTGACACTAATGGATAGAGGATTTGTTTTCAATTTGATAAATGACTATATATCTGGATTCAGCCCCAAAGATCCTAAGGTTCTGGCTGAATACAAGTTTGAATTTCTGCAAACAATTTGCAATCACGAACATTACATTCATCTGAACTTGCCAATGGCATTTGCAAAACCTAAACTGTATTCAAGAATCTTGAATACAGTTTATCAGTTGAGTATTGCAAGCATCACTTCTTGTTTGGTGTACTTCTGAGGGAAACTTCCAGTGCTCTTCAGGACAATTATGAGATCAGATATACAGCTATCTCTGTCATAAAGAACCTTTTGATAAAACATGCATTTGACACAAGATACCAGCACAAGAACCAACAAGCCAAAATAGCACTATTGTACCTCCCCTTTGTTGGACTGATTTTGGAAAATATACAGTGATTAGCAGGTCAAGATACCTTGTATTCTTGTGCAGCCATGCCTAATTCTGCATTCAGAGATGAGTTTCCATTATGGCTTTACTTCACCTGACAATAGAGGGAGTCTGAGCACTGACAAAGACACTGCTTATGGGTCTTTTCAAAATGGACATGGAATTAAGAGAGAAGATTCAAGAGGTTCCCTCATCCCAGAAGGAGCAACAGGATTTCCAGATCAGGGCAATGCTGGTGAAAATACCCGACAGAGTTCTACAAGGAGTAGCGTATCCCAGTATAACCGCCTGGATCAGTGTGAAATCAGAAGCCTCTTGATGTGCTACCTGTATATAGTAAAAGTGATTTCGGAAGATACTCTCTTAACTTACTGGAATGAAGTATCTCCTCAGGAACTCATACACATTTTTATACTTTTAGAAGTATGCTTGTTTCACTTTAGATATATGGGGAAAAGAAACATAGCAAGGGTGCATAATGCCTGACTGTCAAAACACTTCTGAATAGACCGAAAATTACAAACCATGCCTGCTCTTTGAAACAGATCAGGAGTAATGCAGGCCTGGCTTCAGAATCTTAGTAGCCTAGAAAGTTCATTTACACTTAATCACAGTTCTGCAACAACTGAACAGACATTTTCCACCAGGCACTTCTTGAAGGCAATACAGCTACTGAAGTTTCCCTAACAGTACTAGATACCATGTCATTTTCCATCAGGGCTTTAAGACCCAACTTTTAAATAATGGTGGCCACAACCCATTAATGAAAAAGTGTTTGATATTCATCTTGCTTTTCTTAAAAATGGACAATCTGAAGTGTTGCTGAAACATGTATTTGCCTCATTGAGAGCTTTCGTCAGTAAGTTTCCTTCAGGCTTTTTCAAAGGAAGAGTGAACATGTGTACTGCATTTTGCTGTGAGGTTTTAAAGTGCTTCACATCGAAGATTAGCTCAACCAGAAAGGAAACATCTGCACTTTTATATCTTTTGATGAGAAACAACTTTGAGTATACCAAAAGGAAGACCATTTAGAGGACACATCTACAGATAATAATTGCTGTAAGCCAGCTGATAGCTGATATAGCACTAAGTGGAAGATCAAGATTTCAGGAGTCTTTATTCATTATCAATAATTGTGCAAATAGTGACAGACCTATGAAGGCAACTGCCTTTCCCACAGAAGTCAAAGACTTGACCAAGAGAATCTGCACTGTTCTTATGGCCACTGCCCAAATGAAGGAGCATGAGAAAGACCCTGAAATGCTAACTGATCTCCAATGTAGCTTAGCCAAGTCCTATGCAAGTATCCCAGAGCTTAGGAAAACCTGGCTTGATAGCATGGCCAACATTCATGTAAAAAATGGAGATTTTTCAGAGGCTGCAATGTGTTATGTCCATGCAGCAGCTCTAGTTGCAGAGTTTCTTCATTGAAAAAAAAATTTCCTAATGGATGTTCACCCTTCAAGAAAATTACTCCCAATATAGTTGAAGAAGGAGCAGTGAAAGAAGATGCTGGGATGATGGATGTCCATTATAGTGAAGAAGTTTTGCTGGAGTTGCTAGAACAATGTGTGGATAGCTTATGGAAGGCAAAACTTTATGAAATAATTTCTGAGATTTCCAAGTTGATCATTCCAATTTATGAGAAACATCCTGAGTTTGAGAAACTTACTCAAGTTTATAGAACTCTTCAGGGAGCTTACACAAAAATTCTGGAAAGTTATGCATACAAAAAAAAAAGAGAATTTTAGGCACTTTCTTCAGAGTTGCCTTTATGGCCAGTCTTTTTTTGAAGAAGATGGAAAGGAGTACATCTATAAAGAACCAAAGCTCACTGGCCTCTCAGAAATTTCCCTGAGACTTGTTAAACTTTATGGTGAAAAATTTGGTATGGCGAATGTCAAAAAAATTCAGGATACAGACGAGGTAAATACCAAAGAGTTTGATCCAAAATATGCTCATATACAAGTTACTTATGTGAAGCCTTACTTTGATGACAAAGAACTCACAGAAAGAAAGACCGAGTTTGGAAGAAATCATAATATCAGCAGATTTGTTTTTGAGGCTCCTTACACTTTATCAGGCAAAAAGCAGGGTTGTACAGAAGAACAGTGCAAATGCCGTACAATCTTGACAACCTCAAAGTCATTTCCCTATGTGAAGAGGAGGATTCCTATTAACTGTGAACAGCAGATTAATTTAAAACCAATTGATGTTGCCACTGATGAAATAAAAGATAAAACTGCAGATCTGCAAAAGCTTTGCTCCTCTGTTTATGTGGACATGATTCAACTCCAACTTAAATTGCAGGGCTGTGTTTCCATGCAGGTCAATGCTGGTCCATTAGCATATGCAGGGGCTTTCTTAAATGATAGCCAAGCTAGCAAGTATCCACCTAGGAAAGTGAGTGAGTTGAAAGACATGTTTAGGAAATCCATACAAGCATGCAGCATTGCACTTGAACTAAATGAGTGGCTAATTAAAGAAGATCAAGTTGAGTACCATGAAGGGCTAAAGTCAAATTTCAGAGACGTGGTAAAATAATTATTTGACATTATCCATGAGCGGATATTACAAGAAGACACAATGCATTCTCCCTGGATTAGCAACACATTGCATGTCTTTTGTGCAATTAGTGGTACATTGAGTAACCGAGGCTATGGTTCCCCAAGATACACTGAAGTGTGAAAAAATGCAGATGTAAATGACAATAAGATTGAACTTTCTCAGGAATGTTTGCAACTGTGCAAATGTTAAAATTTAAAGATTTGATATACATGGAGTGTTTCTTCTCGACACCAAAATTTTCTTGTGTTCCAACAGAGTGCTTACATATTTGTAAATATTTAAGTAATTTGAAAGTGCCTGGAAAATTGCACCACTGTGCTTGGTTTGTACTTTTTTAGGTAAATCTATATGCTGAAAAGTAGAACTCAAAAACAGCAGTTCAATTTGCTAAATTATTGCTTAAAATAATAATGGTACTATGTAAAATTGTATAATGGAACACAATAAAAGGTAAAACTTATTTGTAATTAGAAGTGAAGGAAATAATAGTTTGAACTTAGCAAAAAAAATGTAAATTATGACATCAATAACGAAATATGGGAGGATGAGAAGTTAAAGAATAGTTTTTCTATGTGGTCAAAGTTAAGTTGTTATCAGCTTAAAATAGACTGTTGTAAATATAAGCTATTTTATTTAAGACTCATAGAAACCACAAAGAAAAAACCTGTAGTAGAAACAGAAAAATAAAGAAAAAGGAATCAAAGCATACTAGAAAAAATAATAAATTCACAAAAGAAGACAACAAGAGAGGAAGAAGGAACAAAGGAGCTAAGAAAAAAAAAACAACCCAGAAAACAATTAACAAAATGACAGTAGTAAGTTTTTAACCTATTAATACTTACTTTAGACTTAAATGGATTAAATTCTTTTTTATTATACTTTAAGTTCTAGGGTACATGTGCACAACATGCAGGTTTGTTACATAGGGATACATGTGCCATGTTGGTGTGCTGCACCTATTGACTCGTCATTTACATTAGGTATATCTCCTAATGCTATCCCTCCCCCCTGCCCCCATCCCACGACAGGCCCTGGTGTGTGATGTTCCCCACCCTATGTCCAAGTGTTCTCATTGTTCAGTTCCCCCCATGAGTGAGAACATGTAGTGTTTGATTTTCTGTCCTTGCGATAGTTTGCTCAGAATGATGGTTTCCAGCTTCATCCATGTCCCTACAAAGGACATGAACTCATCCTTTTTTATGGCTGCATAGTATTCCATGGTGTATATGTGCCACATTTTCTTAATCCAGTCTATCATTGTTGGACATTTGGGTTGGTTCCAAGTCTTTGCTATTGTGAATAGTGCCACAATAAACATATGTGTGCATGTGTCTTTATAGCAGCATGATTTATATTCCTTTGGGTATATACCCAGTAATGGGATGGCTGGGTCAAATGATATTTCCAGTTCTAGATCCTTGAGGAATCGGCACACTGTCTTCCACAATGGTTGAACTAGTTTACAGTCCCACCAACAGTGTAAAAGTGTTCCTATTTCTCCACATCCTCTCCAGCACCTGTTGTTTCCTGACTTTTAATGATTGCCATTCTAACTGGTGTGAGATGGTATCTCACTGTGGTTTTGATTTGCATTTCTCTGATGGCCAGTGATGATGAGCATTTTCTCATGTGTCTGTTGGCTGCATAAATGTCTTCTTTTGAGAAGTGCCTGTTCATATCCTTTGCCCACTTTTCGATGGGGTTGTTTGATTTTTTCTTGTAAATTTGTTTAAGTTCTTTGTACATCCTGGATATTAGCCCTTTGTCAGATGGGTGGACTGTAAAAATTTTCTCCCATTCTGTAGGTTGCCTGTTCACTCTGATGATAGTTTCTTTAGCCGTGCAGAAGCTCTTTAGTTTAATTAGATCCCTTTTGTCTATGTTGGCTTTTGTTGCCATTGCTTTTGGTGTTTTAGTCATGAAGTCCTTGCCCATACCTATGTCCTGAATGGTATTGCCTAGGTTTTCTTCTAGGGTTTTTATGGTTTTAGGTCTGACATTTAAGTCTTTAATCCATCTTGAATTAGTTTTTGTATAAGGTGTAAGGAAGGGATCCAGTTTCAGCTTTCTACATATGGCTAGCCAGTTTTCCCAGCACCGTTTATTAGATAGGGAATCTTTTACCCATTTCTTGTTTTTGTCAGGTTTGTCAAAGATCAGATGGTTGTAAACGTGTGGTATAATTTCTTAGGGCTCTGTTCTGTTCCATTGGTCTATATCTCTGTTTTGGTACCAGTACCATGCTGTTTTGGTTACTGTAGTCTTGTAGTATAGTTTGAAATCAGGTAGCATGATGCCTCCAGCTTTGTTCTTTTTGCTTAGGATTGTCTTGGCTATGCAGGCTCTTTTTTGGTTCCATATGAACTTTAAAGTAGTTTTTTCCAATTCTGTGAAGAAAATCATTGGTAGCTTGATGGGAATGGCATTGAATCTATAAATTACCCTGGACAGTATGGCCATTTTCCTGATATTGATTCTTCCTACCCATGAGCATGGAATGTTCTTCCATTTGTTTGTGTCCTCTTTTATTTTATTGAGCAGTGGTTTTTAGTTATCCTTGAAGAGGTCCTTCCCATCCCTTGTAAGTTGGATTCCTAGGTATTTTATTCTCTTTGAAGCAATTGTGAATGGGAGTTCACTCATGATTTGGCTCTCTGTGTGTTATTGGTGTATAGGAATGCTTGTGATTTTTGCACATTGATTTTGTATCCTGAGACTTTGCTGAAGTTGCTTATCAGCGTAAGGAGATTTTGGGCTGAGACGACAGGGTTTTCTAAATATACAATCATGTAATCTGCAAACAGAGACAATTTGACTTTCTCTTTTCCTAATTGAATACCCTTTATTTCTTTCTCCTGCCTGATTGCCCTGGCCAGAACTTCCAACACTATGTTGAATAGGAGTGGTGAGAGAGGGCATCCCTGTCTCGTGCCAGTTTTCAAAGGGAGTGCTTTCAGTTTTTGCCCATTCAGTATGATATTGGCTGTGGGTTTGTCATAAATAGCTCTTATTATTTTGAGATGCATAGTTTCTCATCAATACCTAGTTTATTGAGAGTTTTTAGTATGAAAGGCTGTTGAATTTTGTCAAAGGCCTTTTCTGCATCTATTGAGATAATCATGTGGTTTTTGTCTTTGGTTCTCTTTATATGTTGGTTTATGTTTATTGATTTGCATATGTTGAACCAGCCTTGCATCCCAGGGATGAAGCCAACTTGATTGTGGTGGATAAGCTTTGCGATGTGCTGCTGGATTTGGTTTGCCAGTATTTTATTGAGGATTTTTGCATCGATGTTCATCAGGGATATTGGTCTAAAATTCTCTTTTTTTGTTGTGTCTCTGCCAGCCTTTGGTATCAGGATGATGCTGGCCTCATAAAATGAGTTAGGGAGGAGTCCCTCTTTTTCTATTGATTGGAATAGTTTCAGAAGGAATGGTACCAGCTCCTCTTTGTACCTCTGGTAGAGTTTGGCTGTGAATCCATCTGGTCCTGGACTTCTTTTGGTTGATAGGCTATTAATTATTGCCTCAATTTCAGAGCCTGTTATTGGTCTATTCAGGGACTCAACTTCTTCCTGGTTTAGTCTTGGGAGGGTGTATGTGTCCAGGAATTTGTCCATTTCTTTTATATTTTCTAGTTTATTTGAATAGAGGTGTTTTTATAGTATTCTCTGATGGTAGTTTGTACTTCTGTGGGATCGGTGGTGATATCCCCTTTATCATTTTTTATTGTGTCTATTTGATTCTTCTCTCTTTTCTTCTTTATTAGTCTTGCTAGCGGTCTATCAATTTTGTTGATCATTTCAAAACACCAGCTCCTGGATTCATTGATTTTTTTTTGAAGGGTTTTTTGTGTCTCTATCTCCTTCAGTTCTGCTCTGATCTTAGTTATTTCAAGTCTTCTGCCAGCTTTTGAATATATTTGCTCTTGCTTCTCTAGTTCTTTTAATTGTGATGTTAGGGTGTCAATTTTAGATCTTTCCTGCTTTCTCTTGTGGTTATTTAGTGCTATAAATTTCCCTTTACACACTGCTTTACATGTGTCCCAGAGATTCCGGTATGTTGTGTCTTTGTTCTCATTGGTTTCAAAGAATATCTTTATTTCTGCCTTCATTTCGTTATGTACCCAGTAGTCACTCAGGAACAGGTTGTTCAGTTTCCATGTGGTTGAGCAGTTTTGAGTGAGTTTCTTAATCCTGAGTTCTAGTTTGATTGCACTGTGGTCTGAGAGACAGTTCGTTATAATTTCTGTTCTTTTACATTTGCTGAGGAGTGCTTTACTTCCGACTATGTGGTCAATTTTAGAATAAGTGTGATGTGGTGCTGAGAAGAATGTATATTCTGTTGATTTGGGGTGGAGAGTTCTGTAGATGTCTATTAGGTCTGCTTGGTGCAGAGCTGAGTTCAATTCCTGGGTATCCTTGTTAACTTTCTGTTTCGTTGATCTAATGTTGCCACTGGGATGTGAAAGTCTCCCATTATTTTTGTGTGGGAGTCTAAGTACCTTTGTAGGTCTCTAAGGACTTGCTTTATGAATCTGGGTGCTCCTGTATTGGGTGCATATGTATTTAGGACAGTTAGCTCTTCTTGTTGAATTGATCCCTTTATCATTATGTAATGGCCTTGTCTCTTTTGATCTTTGTTGGTTTAAAATCTGTTTTATCAGAGACTAGGATTGCAATCCCTGCTTTTTTTTGTTTTCCATTTGCTTGGTAGATCTTCCTCCTTCCTTTTATTTTGAGCCTATGTGTGTCTCTGCACATGAGATGGGTCTCCTGAATACAGCACACTGATGAGTCTTGACTCTTTATCGAGTTTGCCAGTCTGTGTCTTTTAATTGGGGCATTTAGCCCATTTACATTTAAGGTTAATATTGTTATGTGTGAATTTGATCCTGTCATTATGATATTACCTGGTTATTTTGCTCATTAGTTGATGCAGTTTCTTCCTAGCATCGATGGCCTTTACAATTTGGCATGTTTTTGCAGTGGCTGGTCCTGGTTTTTCCTTTCCATGTTTAGTGCTTCCTTCAGGGGCTCTTGTAAGGAAGTCCTGGTGGTGACAAAATCTCTCAGCATTTGCTTGTCTGTAAAGTATTTTATTTCTCCTCCACTTATGAAGTTTAGTTTGGCTGGATATGAAATTCCGGGTTGAAAATTCTTTCCTTTAAGAATTTTCTTTAAGCCACTCTTTTCTGGCTTGTAGAATTTCTGCCAAGAGATCCTCTGTTAGTCTGATGGGCTTCCCTTTGTGGGTAACCCGACCTTTCTCTCTGGCTGCCCTTAATATTTTTTCCTTCATTTTAACTTTGGTGAATCTGATAATTGTGTCTTGGAGTTGTTCTCTCGAGGAGTATCTTTGTGGTGTTCTCCGCATTTCCTGAATTTGGATGTTGGCCTGCCTTGCTAGGTTGAGGAAGTTTTCCTGGATAATATCCTGAAGAGTGTTTTCCAACTTTATTCCATTCTCCCCATCACTTTCAGGTGCACCAATCAGACATAGATTTGGTCTTTTCACATAGTCCCATATTTCTTTGAGGCTTTGTTTATTTCTTTTTACTCTTTTTTCTCTAAACTTCTCTTCTTACTGAATTTCATTCATTTGATCTTCAATCACTGATACTCTTTCTTCCACTTGATCAAATCGGCTACTGAAGCTTGTGCATGTGTCATGTAGTTCTCATGCTATGGTTTTCAGTTCCATCGGGTCATTTAAGGTCTACTCTACACTGTTTATTCTAGTTAGCCATTTGTCTAATCTTTTTTCAAGGTTTTTAGCTTCTTTGCGATGGGTTCGAACATCCTCCTTTAGCTCAGAGAAGTTTGTTTTACCAGTCGTCTGAAACCTTCTTCTCTCAACTCGTCAAAGTCATTCTCCATCCAGCTTTGTTCTGTTGCTGGTGAGGAGCTGCGTTCCTTTGGAGGAGAAGAGGCGCTCTGATTTTTAGAATTTTCAGCTTTTCTGCTCTGGGTTCTCCCCATCTTTGTGGTTTTATCTACCTTTGGTCTTTGATGATGGTGACATACAGATGGGGATAGGTGTGTGTTGGGGTGCCTGTCTCTTGCGAGTACTCACCACGGTGGTGGAGACAATGCAATTGAGGGTGGTGGGGGGCCCCTGCTGGTGACTGTGTGTGCCATTGCACTGGAGGTGGTGTTGGCTCATGGGTGGGGTGCTGGCAGGCACAGGTCTGGGTGCCTTCTCTGTTTCCTGGAAGCAGGAGTGGGCCGTAAATTTCTTACCTGCATCAAGTGAAGGCTAAATGATGTCATGTTAGGTATACAAATGAAGTTGTTCTCTAGCTCACCTGCAGCATATTTAGTCCATCACCAAAGGGCACATTTAGATGTTTGATGAGTCCTCTCACCCACTCTGGAGGCTGCTTCTGCTCCTCTCTTTCTCTGGCACCTATGTTTTCCAGGGTGATTGAACAAGAAGGCATTTGTCCTTCTGAAGGGTTGTGCTGGCTCTGTAAAACATTTAAAGAATAATTAATGCCTAATCTTCTCAAACTCTGTCAAAAAATTAAAGAGGAAGAAATATTTCCAAACTCTTGAGGCCAGCATTATCTAATACCAAAGCCAGACAAGGACTCTATAAAAAGAAGAAAATTGTAAGCTAATATCCCTAATTAACATAGATGTGAAAATCCTCAACAAAGTACTAGCAAATCAAATTCAACAGCATACTAGAAAAACTACACATCATGATCAAGTACAATTATTTATCCCTGGGGTATGAAGATGCTTTAATGTATGCAAATCAATAAATATGATACACTGTATTAACAAAATGATGGATAAAAATCTTACAATCATCTCAACAGATGCACAAAAAGCATCTGAAAAAACTCAACATCCTTCCATGATAAAATTGCTCAACAAGGTGGAATGGACTTGAACATATTAAAGGCCATATATGACATACCTACAGTTAACATTATACTTAATAGTGAAAAGCTCAAAGCGTTTTCTCAAAGTTCAGGAACAAGACAAGGATGCCAACTCTCTCACCATATTTATTTATTTATTTTAGAAATGGAGTCTTGCTCTGTTGCCCAGGCTGGAGTGCAGTGGCGTGATCTCAGCTCATTGCAACCTCTGCCTCCCAGATTCAAGCTATTCTCCTGCTTCAGCCTCTCAGGTAGCTGGGACTACAGGTGTGTGCCACCACACTTGGCTAATTTTTGTGTTTTTAGTAGAGACGGTGTTTTGCCATGTTGGCCAGGCTGGTCTCAAACTCCTCACCCCAGGTGATCCACCCACCTTGGCCTCTCATACTGCTGGGATTACAGGTGTGAGCCACCGTGCCCAGCCAGCACTTCTATTTAAAATAGTATTGGAAGTCCTAGCCAGAGTAATAAGTCAAGAAAAAGAAATAGAAGTCATCCCAAATGGAAAGAATGAGGTAACATTGTCTGTTTGCAGATGACATGATCTGATTTATAGAAAACCCTATAGACTCAAGCAAAGAACCAGTAGAACTAATGAACAAATTCAATGAAGTTGCAGAATACAAATGCAACATACAAAAATCAGTAACATTTCTATTCACTAACAATGGACTATCTGAAAAAGAAGCCAAGAAACAATCCTATTTGTAATAGCTACAAAAAACCTCAAATCTTAGGAATAAATTTCACCAAGAAGGTGTAAGATTTTTACACTGAAAACTATAAAACATCGATGAACGAAATTAAAGAAGACACAAATAAATGGAAAGATATCCCATCTTGATGGATTGGAAGAATTAATGTTATTAAAATGTCCATACTACCCAAAGTAATCTATAGATTCAATGCATTCCCTGTCAAAATTCCAATGACATATTTCACAGAAATAAAAAAATAGAATATTAAAAAAATTTAAAAAAAAATGAAAAGGCAAGCTCTGTTTTAAGAAAATCCACTATGAGATGTATTTATTAAATACATTAAAAAGTATTATACAATAATGTATATAATACATTAAAAAGTAGGAGCAATGGTAATGCCTTATTATTAGAATATAGTTCTTTATGATTGTGTTTGTTTCTCAAACTTTTTTGTTCCCCAACATACCTGGGAGACAGTCATCAACTCATTAACGTCATCAACTCATCAATCTATATTAAAGCAATGATTCTTGATGTGGGATATGGCAGATTCTTGTGGGCATGTTAATTAATTGGAAACAAATCCTCACTCTCAAGTGATTCTGTTCCCCATCTCCCTCTCCTCAGAGCACCCTTTCCCCACCACACATACCTTAGAAATTACTGCTTTTGGCGCAACTAGAAGATACAGATTTTGTCTCATTCATTACATCATCTGTGTAACTATGTGTTCCTAGAACACAGTGGGTTCTCAGAAATATTAGAATTAATAAAATGTTTCAATCATTCTGAAAAAAAAAAGAAAAAAACCTAAAATATTTTATTGAATCACGAAAGACTCTGAATAGCCATAGCAAACTTAGGAAATAAGAATAAAGCTGGAAGTATTGCCCTACCTGATTTCAAAATACATTACATAGTTACAGTAACCTGAACAGTATGATCCTGGCACAAAAACAGACATGTAGACCAATGGGATGACATAGAAAGCCCAGAAGTAAGTGCAAACATTATGGTCTAATAAATCTTTGACAAAGATGTCAAGGATATTGTGTAATTGGAAAAGATCAGTCTCTTTCAATAAATGCTGTTTAGAAAACTGGATATTTATATGCATAAAATAAAATTGGACCCTTATCTCACATCATATACAAGAACTAAAATATATTAAATATAAAATATATTAAAGACAAAGAAAATAAGACTTAAAAACTACTAGAAGAGAACATATGAGAAAACATCTTAACACTGCTCTGGGTAATGATTGTTTTGGATAAGACATCAAAAGCATAGTCAACAAAAGCACAGGTAGACAAATGGGACTGCATAAGACTAAAATGCTTCTGTACAGCCTAGAAAACAATCAATAGAGTGAAGAAACATCCTGCAGAATGAAAGAAAATAAATATTTGCAAACCACACAACTGATAAAGGGTTAATATCCAAAATATATAAGGAACTCAAGTAACTCAATAGCTAAAAAAAAAACCTGATTAAAATGTGGGCAAAGCATTTCTGGACATTTATCCAAAGGAAAGGAACTCAGGTATATCAAAGAGTCATCTGCACACAAATGTTTATTGCACCACTCTTCACAATGCCAAAATATGAAATCAACCTAGTTGTCCAACAACAGATGAATGGATGAAGAAAATATGCTACATATACGCAATAGACTACTATTCAGCCACAAAAAAAGAATGAAATTCTGTCATTCACAGCAACATGGATAAAACTGGAAGACATTGTGTTAAGTGAAATGAGACAAGACCAGAAAGTTAAACACTACATGTTCTCACTTATATGTGGAAGCTAAAAAGAAGTAGATCTCATAAAATTAAAAAGTGGGACATAAATGCCCCACTTAAAAGGCACAGAGTGCAAGTTGGATTAAAAAAAAAAAGACCCATCTCTCTGCTGTCAATGACACCCATCAGCTCAAAGTAAAGGGTTGGAGAAAGATCTACCACACAAACAAAAAACAACAAAGATTGGGGTTGCTATTCTTATATCAGATAAAGCAGGCTTTAAACTAATAACAGTAAAAAAGGACAAAGAGAGGCATTACGTAATGATAAAAGGTTCAATTTAACAAGAAGACTTAACTATCCTAAATGTATTTGCACCCAATATTGGGGCACCCAGCTTCAAATAACAAGTACTTCTAGGCCTACAGAAAAACTTAACTAGCCACACAGTAATAATAAGGGACCTCTACACCCCAATGATAGTGTTAGACAGATTATCAAGGCAGAAAACTAACAGAAATTCTGGACTTAAATTCTACACTTGACCAATTGGAACTAATAGACATCTACAGAATATTCCACCCATCAACCACAGAATATACATTATTCTCTTCTGCATAGGGGGCATACTCTAAGATTGACCACATGCTTGACCATAAAGCAAGTCTCAATAAATTTTTTAAAAATTGAAATCATACCAAGCATACTCTTGGACTACAGTGGAATAAAAATAGAAATCAATACCAAGAGGATCTCTCAAAACTGCACAATTACATGGAAATTAAACAACTTACTCCTGAATGACTTTTGGGTATATGACAAAACTAAGGCAGAAATCAAGAAATGCTTTGAAGTAAATAAAAAGTGACACAACATACCAAAATATCTGAGATACAGCAAGGCAATGTTAAGAGGAAAGTTTATAGTGCAAAACACCTACCTCAAAAAGTTAGAAAATTAATCTAACATCACACCTACTAGAAAAACAAGAACAAAGTAACCCCAAAGCTAGCAGAAGAAAAGATATAACTAAAATCAGAGCAGAACAGAACAAAATTGAGATCCAAATATACATATTCTACAAAAAGTTAATGAAACCAAAAGGTGGTTCTCTGAAAGGATAAACAAGATCAATAGACCACTAGCTAGATTAACAAGGAAAAAGAAGATTCAAATAAGTGCAATCAGAAATGACAAAGGTGACATTACAATTGATCCGACAGAAATACAAAAGAGCCTCAGAGACTATTATGAACACCTCTATGCACACACATTAGAAAATCTAGAGGAAATGAATAAATTACTGGAAACTTATAGTCTCCCAAGATTGAATCAAGAAGAAATTGAAACTCTGAACAGATCAGTGCTGAGTTCCAAAATGGAAGCAGTAATAAAAAAACCTAACAATCAAAAAAAAAGCCCCAGACCACATGGATTCACAGCTGAATTCTACCAGACACACAAAGAAGAGCTAATACCAATTCTATTGAAACTATTCCAAAAAATTGAGGAGGAGGGACTCCTCCTTGACTCCTTTTATGAAGCTAGCATCATCCTGATACCAAAACCTGGCAAACAAACAAAAAAGAAAATCAGAGATAGGCTCAGGGAATGTGACCCAGGTTTCAGAGGCATTTGCTACAGGAAAGAACTCTTGGTATTATTCAAAAGGACAGGAAAGGTGTGAAGCCTGCCTTAATTTTTGACTGGAGGAGGAGATTGATCTAGCTTCACAGATTATATTTCAAGGACTAGTGGTTAAAAAGTAAAGTTACTTTCTGATTATACTCCAAGAGTCCTTTTTGTTCAGTGTGACAGTTACAAAATCAAAGTCATTATTCACAATGAATGCTTCAAAATCTTTGTCTCAAAGTCAGCATGTTTGTGAGAATGTGAGCTATAGGAGATGGCCTGAGGTGAGCAAAGGTGATGCTGCTGTCCAGGACACGAAAAACAACAAAGCTAGTATCTCTTGGAAGCCTTCACTGTCTGATGATCTAAAAGGTGAAGGCTAACTTCCTTGAGTAAAGAGAAAAACACAGGGTAGCCACGGGAGCTGAAGGTAAGATGTTAATTAGAGGTCATGAGGACTCTGCATGTGGGTTCTGTGGAGACGAATTCAGGCATGGAGCTTCCTGGAATTCAAAAGGCCTTGTCCTGCCTCCCATCTAAAGAATATTTTTGTGTGGTAAAAACAGATATTATGAGATAAAGCCATAAGCTGAAACTAAGTAATATAAATACCAGGTAAGTTGTACTTATCCAAAAAAGGAAGGAAAAAAGAAGAATAATAAAAAAATGACCCCATTTGAACCTGACGCTATAACAAACAGTGGAATCCCCCATGCAACCTTGTGTTTTTGTTTTTTGACACAGGGTTTTGCTCTGTCAGCCAGGCTGGAGTACAGCTCATTGCATCCTCAATCTCCTGGACTGAAATGATCCCCTTGCCTTGGCCTCTCGAGTAGCACGTGCCTCAATATCAGGCTAATTTTTTATTTTTTGTAGAGGTGGATCTATAGAGCCCAGGCTGGTCTTGAACTCCTGGGCTCAAGGCAGAAGGATACTTCTGCCTCAGACTCCCAAAGTGCTGACATTATAGGCATGAGCCACGTTGCCCGGCCTAATATCCATAAAACTCTCCATGTTGGGATTTGCCAGAGGTACACAGCTCTGAACAGAAAATCTGATCATATGTATGACATCTGAAGGAGCCTACGAGATTTTTTTTAATTCACTCCATATCTGTTACAGTAAAATAAATCAACTTTACTTTCTCAATCTTAGTGAATTCATGCCTAACATGTCATCTTTTACCATGGAAACTTTTTTCTCACGCTTGTTGTGCTCCCTATTCTGCAGTTTGGTGGTGGCTGAGAGGTTATGTAAGCAGAAAGACAGCAATGTCAAGGTTAAGTAGAGTATAAGAAGGTAGAAAATGCCCAGAAGAAGCTGACTCTGGGATGTGTTTGGTGTTGCATGACTAACTACCATGGTATCTTGTACGCCTTTTAACAGTTTGGGAGTTTCTGACTAACTGTGTGTGTGTGTGTGTGTGTGTTTTAATCACTTCATTGGACTACCATAGCACATTGAAAAAATATGGCACTATAAAAATATAATATTTTTCCAATATACCATATAAAGGAATTGGAAGACATAGGTGAAGGTGGTTGTTAACATGCCCTTGAGCCAAAAAGGAATGAGTTAATTGACTCTTAATCAGAAGTAAGATAGTTTAATTAAAACTACAACTGACTGACTGACTGGATCTGTTTCTGCCCTGCGGTAGCGGCACGCATTTTCCCATGTTAGACTTTAAAGAACAAGGTTATCTACTATCAACGTTAGTTTATTAGCTCTGTGGTTCTTTGTCTCCCAGATCTTTGATTAAGTATGACTCTCACTCATCCTTGTGCTGGCGGTATTTTGAAAAAAGTAAAAATAGGTGTAGTTTCATATCAGATAGTGACTTGGGAGCTAAGAATTGAGTGAGTTAGGAAATCGAGTGCAAGGCAATTATGAGATGATTAGCCCCCAGGAGTTCTCAGGAATCCTAAGAGGCAGTAGCTTTTCCCATGGACCTGGGATAAGAGTTGAAAACAGTTCTTATACATTTCAGAGATCAGAGTTACCTCAAATGACATCCAGTTGACACTCTCTTTCCTTCTGTGTCCCTAAACCTCCTGTCACTTCTGACACAAGAGTTAGTATAGGTGAGTGGAGCCCAAAGCTCAGACCATAGGGAGGGTCAGGGGCTTTCAGCCTCCGGCAATTAATACCGGTATTTAGATGCAGTCTTTTCTGGGGGGCTGATCAGGAGGTCTGGTTGTAGTATTATATATAACATTGTTTCAGGTTAAAATGAAGTGCTATTAATGGTCGTTTTTACAAACAGTGTTTTAAAGTGCAAATGATTCATAATTTGACTAATCTAGCTACTTGTTATTGAGTAAACTTCATTGTCTCTGTAAAACTTCTGGACCATCTTTTGCTATTCGAGTCATTAATGGCTCTTGCTTTCCCAGTAAACTTTTCTTTTTATTGTCCCCATTCCCAATTTCTTTTTATCCATTTATAGCTCTTTATCATTATTATTATTATTATTATTATTATTTAGATGGAGTCTCACTCTGTTGCCCAGGCAGGCTGGAGTGCAATGGCGCATTCTCGGCTCACTGCAACCTCCACCTTCAGGGTTCAAGTGATTATCCTGACTCAGCCTCCGAAGTAGCTAGGATTACAGGCGCCTGCCACCATGCCTGGCTAATTTTTGTATTTTTAGAAGAAACAGGGTTTCACCATGTTGGCCAGGCTGGTCTTGAACTCCTGAACTCGGGTGATCCACCTGCCTCTGCCTCCTAAAGTGCTGGGATTACAGGTGTGAGCCACCGCACCTGGCCTATAGCTTGATCTTTAAACTGCTGCAAGTTCCATAGTTAATTAATTTACTCTCATATTTCAGATTTCTGGGAAAATGCATATATTTTACTTCAAAACATCCTTACATTAATATTTGACTTAGAAGCTATTTTTATTGCCTGTTGAGGTAGGAGTTCTTTGAAAATATTAATCTAGAATTTCATGTTTTCCGTTTTGCCTGAATTGTGCTTGGGTTTGTTTTAGATTTTCAGTTTGGTTTTAGCTAGAGCTGCATGTCATAGGCTTGTCTCTAGAGGGCAGTACAGTACCATCAAAGAAACACATGGCTTTTTCTGCTAGTAACGCACAATTGGTGTTTCTGTTTCTATAAAGATGACCTTCATTTGCCAATGATAATGTCTTCTCTTTTCATTATTTCCCCTTTTGACCCACTCTTGAGACATTTGATCACTAATTATATCTGGCATCAAAATGAAGGTTGTAAAACATCAAAGTAGCTACACGGTGCTGGATCAGGTCCTGGGTACTACAAAATCTTAGCAGCCATTACATTTTGTGTTTTTATGATAACAATGAAGGCAGCCTAGAATATTAAGAATTCCTGGTCTCGGATCGACACATTATTGGGGCACCTAGTATAGAAACTGAGTTCTGAATAGCACTTTAAATTAACACCATACGTCTAAATATTAACAATCCCCAGGTAGCATTTATTGTTACTTCTCAATTAATACACATCATTTTACCCTGAGCATTATGATGTTTTGCCATTATTGGCAGGTTCAAGAAGATGCTAGGAACTTGCCATCCCTTTCCTCTGTCAAGCCATTTAAACCTCCTGAAACACACCTGTGACCCTTTTGTTTCTGTTGGTGAGTTGAATTCCCTTATGAGATAGTTAATTTTGCTCCTTTCTATGACTTAGCCTGCACCCTTAACACTAGACAGGCTCTTTGAAAATGTATTACCTGGGCCTTGAGGGGGATAAGAAGTGGGAATTTGTATTCTCAGTGCAAATCCTTCATCACCAGCGAGCAGTCAACCCAAAGTCTCTCCAGCAAGGCTTTATTGGTGTTATCAGGGTGGCTGATGGACTGAATGCTCAAAAGGCTTTGGATTGTCATCTGAATTGGTGCATTCCTTTGCATTCCCACTGCCACCGTCCTAGTTTAGGCAGCGATGATTGCGCATGCCTCCTAGATACTTTCCTTCTTATCTTTGGCTCTTGCACAGCCTGGTGTTTCTTTATAATTTGTAATTCTTCAGCGCTTCATCACTGCCAAATTAACAGTTCAAATTCTCTGGATACCACTCATGACATAGTCCTAAAAAATTTTCATAGTGCCCTAATAATGTATCAATGCATGACAAGGAATCTAGGCTGCCTTAATTGCTATTATTGTAAAAATGGCAAGTTCTTTGAGGAATATTGTATTCCTAAAAAAATTGGACTATTCAGTATTCTCTGAAAAAATGTTATGTTTTTTAGTCTCTGTGCTTTTATTCATTGTTTCTTGTCTCTGGTATATGTGTTCCCCCACCTCCATTTTATACTATTGAGATCTTACCAATTCTTCAGAATTTGGCTGAAAATTTAACCCTTCCTAATAAATAATCACTCCACACTGGAAGTAACCTTCCCTTTCTTTTTTTCTTTTTTGAGATGGAATCTCAAATCTTGCTCCATCACCCAGGCTGGAGTGCAGTGGCGTGATCTCAGCTCACTGCAACCTCCACCTCCCGGGTTCAAGCAATTCTCCTATCTCAGCCTCCAGAGTAGCTGGGACTACAGGCGCCTGCCACCACGCCCGGCTAATTTTTGTATTTTTAGTGGAGACGGGCTTTTACCTTGTAGGTCAGCTGGTCTTGAACTCCTGACCTCAGGTGATCCACTGGCCTTGGCCTCCCAAAGTGCTGGGATTACAGGCGTGAGCCATCGCACCTGGCCCAACCTTCCCTTTCTTTATCATTGAAAATGCTTTTTTTTTTTTTTTCACATTCATGGCATTTTTATTACAGTTGTTTGTTCACATGTCTTATCTTCCCTGCTGGATTGTAGGCTTTTTAAAAGATAAGGATTTTTATCATATTTTTTTATTTCTCTCAATACCAGGGGCATAATAGACCAGCAGTACATTTTGAGACATAATGCTTATTAATGTATACATATAGTCCCATTTTTGTAAAAGTATAATATATTACACAACAGATGTTAAATAAGACTTTTTCTATTGTCATGGAATTCTGACTAAGTCATCAAAGCTGAGAACTATGGACAATAAGTACACACTAATTTTAAAAAGAGGTGTAAGCACATCCCAGAGGACTTGCTATGATATAGTGGGCCAAAGTAGCTCAGTATCTACCATCATCAGCTGCTTATGTCAAGCCTGGACATTCATTACAGAGGATGCATAGGTGCATAGGTGCGGCGCATGAGAATTTTACAAGAGAACTGGATACCTGTGCCCAGAACTTCGGGTCAAATGTAAGGAAGATCAAAACTTTTGACTGCCTCTTGCTTGGAAAATCTTGGCTTTGGGAGGCTGTTTGTGAGAGGGCAGCAGTCAGGATGGGTGGGAGAAAAGATTTGTAAATTCCATGAGCCACATAGCCACTGAGGAGGGTGTTAAGGGTCTTGAAAATGTTTTACCCAAGAGGGCTACTGGCCCTAGGGAGAGCCTACAGCAAAAAGGGGTTGTGGGTGAACTGTCAGGTGGCAGATACTGGTGGGGAGTGCTTGTATCCTAGAAAGTATTTTCAGTATCAGGGTACAGGTGGAGTTGCCCATAGAGGTGGGGAAGTGTTTCCAATACAGGCTGAAAATAATGCTCTTCACCCCAAGAGAGAACTGGAATTTGATCGTCTCCCATGACAGTGGGTGCTTGACACAAGGGCATCAACTAAGTAAAAAGGCCATTTCTTTTTATCCCTCCTGCTTGTTGGATCCAATCCTCTTGTCAGAGCCAGAAGAAGTAGGAGGAGGTGGAACAAGGCATGTGAAAGAAGAGCCACATTCTCCTCCCTCCAGTTCCACACTGCCACAGGACTTTAATCCTTGCATAAGCTCTGAGATAGGGGGAAGGATAAAATGTTCTTATAGCCAAAAAGTGACTGGCAAAACATGGGATCCACTCAGGGCATACCAAAGGAGATGAAAAGAGAGCTACCAGAACCAGTTTGAAGGAGGTGGCATGGAAAAAAAAAAAAAAAAAAGAAAGCTCTTCCCTGATTATATGCTACCATGTTTATCCCTTTAAATAAAATCTTATATACATTTATCTATCTATTGATCAATCAATCAATCACTATTTATTGATCACGGGATTACATGTAATTAAAAATTTTATACTTGTTTATGTAAGTTTTCTAAAATGGATGTGTACTGTATAAAAATAAACAATTTGGTTTTTAATAGAAAATTTGAAAAATAGAAGAGTTCTAGAAGAAAATAAAAATTGCTCACAAATTCCCATCCAAATGCAACTACTATTGATATTTTAGTATTTTTACTTATATTTTGTATTCGTATGGCTATTTTCAAAACACAATTGCAATAATATTATCGATACAATTTTGTGTCCTGCTTGTTTAAAGTGGCAGTCTTCCATGACTTTAAATATCTTGAAAAATATGGAATAGAAATTATGGATAAAATAAAATGCATTTAACCAATCGCTATTGCTGAACATTTAAATTAGTTTCAACTTGTGATATGGATAGTCCCATGTAATAAATTTTTGTATGTTTTATGTACTTTTCTAATGATTTCCTTTGTCTAATCCCTTTTATATTTTCTTCCTTTGTTGGACATGTATTATGTGCCAATTACTAAATAAGAGGCTGCAATATAACTGTTAAGAAGTAGCCCTGGCTCTCGAGATCTCACAGTGTAATGGGGAGAGAAATACCTAAAAGAAAATTTGATAGCATTTTGTATATATGATCATATGATATATAAGATTATATGTATCCTGTTCATAGCAATATGAACAGGATATTATAGGGAAACAGGAAGCATTTCTAACCCAACTTGGGAGGGCATAGGGGATCCGTGGGCAAGTGGTAAGGCAAAGAGTATACATGGTGAATAGAAGAGGAGGAGAGAGAGGGTGAGTACTGGCAGGGAGGTAAGAAACAACATTGTCTGGGGTGTGGAGATGGGAAAGAGGAGGATAATAAAAACCTTACACTTAAATAGGAATTATAATAGGCCCACTTTATAGGGCTATTATGAGGATGTGAGGATTAGATGAGATTATATGAATTGTCCAGCAAAATACCTAGCACTTGGTACTGAAATTTAGCTATTATTTTCACTGTCATCCACATTGCAATTTTCCCCATTCTTTGTTTATATGTGAATAGAATTAGGCCTAGCTCTCTCTCAGACCCTTGTATTAGTCAGGGTTCTCCAAAGAAACAGAACCAATAGGATATATATATGTTATACAGGATATATATATTGGTTATACAGGATATACATATTGGTTATACAGGATATATATATCCTATTGGTTCTGTTTCTTTGGAGAACCCTAAAATTTTATTACATTTAATTAATTAATTAATTAATTAATTGAAACAGAGTCATGCTCTGTTGCCCAGGCTGGAGTGCAGTGGCACTATCTCAGCTCACTTCAACCTTCACCTCCCAGGTTCAAGTGATTCTCCTGCCTCAGCCTCCCGAGTAGCTGGGACTACAGGTGCCCACCACCATACCTGGCTAATTTTTTGTACTTTTAATAGAGATGGGGTTTTACCATGTTGGCCAGGCTGGTCTTAAACTCCTGACCTCAGGTGATCTGCCCACCTCGGCCTCCGAAAGTGCTGGGATTACAGGCGTGAGCCACTGCGCCCGGCTTGAATTTTATTTTTTATTACGGGATTGGCTGATGCTCAGGAAATTATGAAGACCAAGTAGTCCCATGATATGCTGTCTGAAAATTCCCAGTTAGAGTCTGAAGGCCTGAGAATGGGGGTGGGATGCTCCAGATGGAGGGAATGGGAGGCTGTACTGGTGTAAGATATGGAGTCCGAAGGCCTGAGAACCAGGAGATCTTTTGCTTGAGGGCAAGAAAAGATGGATGTTCCTGGTCAAGAGGAGAGAGAAAGAGAGAGAGAGAGAGACAGAATTTGCCCTTCCTCTGCCTTTTTGTTCTGTTTAGGCCCTCAGTGGATTGGATGATGCCCACCCACATTTTTGAGGGGGGATCTTTACTCCATCTACTGATTCAAATGCTAATCTCTTCTGGAAACAGCCTCACAGACATACCCAGAAATGTTGTTTTGCCAGCTACCTGGGCATCCCTTAGCCCAGTCAAGTTGACATATTAAAATTAACCATCACAACCATTTCTTGGATGGCCACATGGAAACCCCCACTATTACAGAAAAGCCAACACTCTCATAGCTTGTCCTACATGCTAGGCACTCTTCCAAATGCTTTACATGCACTGAGAGTTTACTCAGGCAGCCTGGTTTCTTGCCCCAAACAGGATGTTTTAGGTCCTTGCCACACATTCTTGCTATCTCTTTTCAATCCTGGAGATAAAACTGTCTACTTGTCTTCTTCTAGATTCCTCAATATTTTAAGCATTTTCTAATGGGATGGCTGCAATCTATGATATTAGAACTTCTTGTAATTTTATTATTGTTAAACAGTTTATAAGAGGAGAGACACCAGGTAACTGGTTTTATTAATCCAAAATTTGGACCCTTCCTCCCATCCTCTGAGTTTATTTTAGGGATCAATAATTTGTACTACTAAAAATAAGATCCAAAGATATTCTGAGATTTAGGACAGGTTTATTGGAATTGGAATTATGAGCAAAACCTGTGCCACCAGTATTTAACTCAGGTGTAAACTCCAGTAGTAGTTATATATCTAGAATAGTGTTTTTTTTTTTTTTTTTTGGAGACATACTTTTGCTCCTGTTGTCCAGGCTGGAGTGCAATAGCATGATCTCGGCTCACTGCAACCTCCGCCTCCTGGGTTCAAGTGATTCTCCTGCCTCGGCCTCCCAAGTAGCTGGGATTTCAGGCACCCACCACCATGCCCAGCTAATTTTTGTATTTTTAGTAGAGACGGGGTTTCACCATGTTGGCCAGACTGGTCTCAAACTCCTGACCTCAGGTGATCCACCCGCCTTGGCCTCTGAAAGTGCTGGGATTATGGGTGTTAGCCACCGTGTCTGGCCGAGAATAGTGTTTCAAATATGAATAGCCTATTTTTATATTTATAGTATATGTACCCTAAGTTTTCCCATTCAAATGCTATTTGCAAGGCTAAATTTGAAACATGATTTAAAGAATGGAATGATTCATCTTTTAAAAGGGCACTGAAACAACTCACTCTTTTTATAAGGACCCATTTTAAAAAATTCCTTCATTACCACTTAAGATATTTGCATGTGAAAGATAAAATGTAAGTGCAAGACTTCTTGATAAGCTACTTGTTATCTTCTGAGGATTACTTCTCTAATACTGGCTATCTTCATTCTCCTAGCTTTAATGTTCAAACTAGTATAAAACTGAACTTAGAAAGATATCTTTACGTTAAAGCCTTATATCGATACTTTATGCCCGAGTTTCTCAAACTGCCCATTTATTAGAAATACTTAGAGCACTTGTCAAAAATAGAGCCCATCCCTCCTCATTCATATTAGCCAGAAAATGACATCTGGGAAACTATATTTTCCACCCAGTGTCCAGGTGACTTATATCATTAGACAATTTTGAGAAACTTCTCAATACCAGTGATTCTTATATCAAGTATACCTGGGGAACTTATTAAACATATGTGTTTTTGGGTTCCATCCCAAAACTCAGATTTTAAGATATAAGTGGTCCCTTAACCACCTCAGGAAAAGCAGTGACTCAGGAGAGTCATCATCAAGGCTGTCGGTCAGCAGAATGGGTCAGTGAGTGAGGTCTGTGACCTCAGAGGATAGCATATTGAGCTTGGAAATCCTGGTGGGAAGGCAATACTGAAAGGACGGAATGGGAAAAAGCCTCAAGTCAGGAATCATGGCATATAGATCAATTATGCCACTAGAATAAGTGTCGGGACTTGAGAACAAAAATCTGACTTTAAAATGAAAGCCATCTGAACCAAGATGCAATTTATATGCCTGTTAAAAAGGTGGACTTTTGTGTGTCTGGATTTGCAGGGTGAACAACAGGATTATGCAACTCTTTAGCAAATGAAAACCTGTAATTGCAAGTTTAGTTGTAAGAAACAGGTTGAAGATAGAAGTAGGGAACTATAGTCACCAGTAGTTTCTGATAACCTAGACTCCCTTAGTTCTAAATTGTCTTCCTTTATAGCATTTCCTCAACAAGGGGTTTCTGGATCATTTCTATAAGTAACATGGGGAATGGGGGTGGGGGGTTGTTTGTTATAAATGCAGGTTTCTGGGCCCTACCTTAGATTTATGGATTAAAAATGTATAGGAGTGAGACCAGGGAATAGCATTTTAAATAAGCTTGCTCTCTCTCTCTCTTTTTTATTTTTGAGTTGGAATCTCACTCTGTTGCCCAGGCTGGAGTGCAGTGGTACCATCTCAGCTCAGTGCAACCTCTGTCTCCTGGGTTCAAGTGATTCTCCTGCCTCAGCCTCCTGAGTAGCCGGGATTACAGGCATGCAGCACCACACCCAGCTAAGTTTTGTATTCTTAGTAGAGATGGAGTTTCACCATTTTGGCCAGGCTGGTCTCAAACTCCTGACCTCAAATGATCTGCCTGTCTCGGCCTCCTAAAGTGCTGGGATTACAGGCATGAGCCACCATTCCCAGCCTTTAAATAAGCTCTTAATGATCCCTATACATACTGAAGTTTGAAACTCATGACCTTATTAGAGGCTCCTGAATCCTGAAATATGTCTAGACAGGTTAACACATTAAACAGATTATCAGACAGTAAATGAATTAGCTCTCTTGAGGATAAAGCAGCTGAGATAAGAATTTGATTGGGGGAGGAGGAGTAGGAGTAGGAAAAAAGTGAAAAGCAAAGGCATAGAAACTTTCCTGATGGGGAATACCCAAGTGTGATTTTACATTTATATGGAGGAGAAGCATCCAGAGGGATAGAAAAATTGAGGGCTTTGTTCCAGCAGCACTTTTAACACAGAAACATACTGGAATGATTGGGACAGATCCGCAGGCTGTTTCTGAAGTAAAGTGAAGAAATATGGTAGGAAGTGTATCTATCAGTGCTCTCTCTGAAAACTTAGGGATGTATTTCAGTGTGTCTTATAACTGTTATAGCTCTATTTTGATTAATTTAAAGACCTCTGGAAACTACCATGCTTGCAGGCTTCACCAATGTGGACACACCTTCAGAAGGAGTCATGATATGGTTTGGCTGTGTCCCCACCCAAATCTCATCTTGAATTGTAACTCCACACCAGCAGGGGGAAATGTTTTTCTAAAGCCAGAATAGTTCTTGCCTTTTGCCTTCTAGAAAGGGAAGTCATCAACCATATATACAAATACATACACACATACATACATACACACACACATCTATATATATATAGAGAGAGATGTGTATAATATATCTCATGTACTTTTTAATATATATATGTGCTCTTATTTGTTTCCTCCCCTAGAATTATGGAGTTACTGTCAAAGCTAGAAATGTGAAATATTTGTGTCAAAAATCTTATCACAGCAACTCTTCAAGATTTTCAGAGAATTGGATATATTTTATAGATATTTCCAGACATAGAACACAAATACTGCTGTCAAGAAAATTTCCTCTAAGAATGATGCAGAAAAGATGTTACTGTCAGAAAAACAATGAATTTTTCAATGATAATAATTTCCGTAATACATTCCTGAGAGAGTAGGAATAACACTACATAAATATTCTTATTCAAACAAGTTGAGAAGACATGCATAAACATAAACTGTATTTATGGGTTTAAAAATTACACTACATGAAGTCCTAAAAATATTCCTTTTGATTTTTTAAATGCATGGACTCTCACTGCTACAAAGAAAGAATAAAATGACAAATGGAAGATGCAAAGACACACAACCAGGGACTTTTAGAAGAAACTCAAATGTACTATATCATCGTAGAATGTTTTTAAATATGAGAGAAATTATGATTCTCCTTATACCAAAAACTTGTTTATCTGGTCTCAATAGCGCAAGAGCCAGAAAAGAAATTCCCACAGGAGAAAAAAGTTGTAAGCCACTGTATAAGAAGACACTAAAAACAAATGATGTTCTTATTTAGAAGATGGAGCCCGAGAAATGATTATTCCAATTTAGAGTAAAACACACCTATTAAATACATACAATATAATAAGTATAGTTATGCAAAAAACTGATTGTGATAACCAGCCTTCCAAGATTACCCCCATAATCATTGCCTCCTGGTCCTTCTCATTTCCATGACCTTAGGTAGTCTTCTTCCACGTTGAATCATGGCTAGCTTGTGTGATAAAAAGAATATTGCAGAAATAAAAGATAGTGCCATTTCTGCCTTGTTCTGTCTCAGATTACTAGCTATGGGGGATGTCATTTTCCATGTCATGACGTTACTGTTGAAAGTCCCAAGTGAGAAGGAATTAAGGCCCACCATGTGTTGTCAAGACCAACTTGCCAGCACCTGAGCAAGCTACTTTGGAAGCAAATCCTCCAGCCTCCATCAAGCTTTTTGATGACTGTAGCCCTGGCTTACATTTTGATTGCAACCTCATGAGAGACCCAAAGATAGAATCACCTAGCCAAACTGCTTTGGAATTTCTGACCCACAGAAACTGTAAGATAATAAATGTTTATTGTTTAAAGTGACAAAGTTTTGGAGTCATTTATTACACAGCAATAGATAACTAATGCAATGACCTCCTCAACCTGATAGGTAGATGTCCTGACATAAGACATTTGTATCTTGTTGAGATTGGAAGGCATATATCCTTTGCTTTCCAAGTTAATAAACTCAATTTTATCAAGTCACCCAGAAGTGATGAGTCTCTAGGAGGTCAATCATTCCCACTAGATGTCAAACTCACAACAGCATTGCTCTTAACCCAAAAACTCAATTTATTAATTTACAATGAGAAGTAGACCTGCCATTGCTCAAAATATTAAGACTTTCAAGAGACTAAGTTAAAATCCAACCATAGTTTCATGAGAGTAGAATTAGACGGCATATCACTGGATATTCTTTTATTTTTTTCAATCAAGCTTTTAATGAAAAGATCATAAAATAACAGTTTCTCGTCGCTGTG
Source organism: Homo sapiens (assembly GCF_000001405.40). Lineage (NCBI taxonomy): Eukaryota > Metazoa > Chordata > Mammalia > Primates > Hominidae > Homo > Homo sapiens. The sequence continues at coordinate 44,836,469 of NC_000014.9, read as the reverse complement.
CATTAAGACTGCACACTTCTGAATGGAGAGATAGTTGTTGGTGAATTGCTTTTCTATGGCACTGGGCAACTGTGTAGCTGCAGCTCTGACCTGAATTTATACAAACTCTCAAGGGACGTGAGCTCAATGTGACGAGTGACAGCGGCGGTGGCCAGTACAGGAGTGCTATCCCGGTGTCCCTCCCCCCTTCTGGGAAGGGCATAAAACAAAACATGATCCCTCTTCCAGTTCGAATTAAACAAAACAGCTATAACCCCATCCCTCCCCACTCCCCTTCAAGGTATTTGCGAGAAATGAGCCAGTGCCCAACCTGGGCCCCGCCGGGGTGGGGGAGGGCAGAGGGAAGCTAGTGATGGGTGGGGTAGAGAGGCTCCCCTCAGCACCTGGCCCCACGGGACCCCCCAAGTGGAGGGTGGGAGCTCTGGGGATCCTTCCTGCCCCAGTGAGGTCTGTTATGCAGCATTTTTGAGGTCAATAAATTACATCAATAAATAGCAAGGTGAGGTAGGGGGAGGGGGTCCTGGTAGAAAGTTAAAGCGGGGTGACTGAAGCCGGGGCATCCTAGGAAGGGGGTCCTGGGCAGCCTCAGTTCCCACTGCTCATGTCCACCCCCACCCCAGCGTGGAATGTCAGACTGAGGCTCCAGTTAGGTCCCTCCCCAGCCCCTCACTCCTGGCATTTGATTCACAGGTTCAGTAACATCTGCCCAAACGGGGTTCTGGGAAATAGGAATGCGATCACTGGATATTCTTACAGAATATGTCCACAAAACAATGGGAGCTGAATTTAAAATTCTTTCTCCTTTCTAGGAATATTTCTGCCAAAAGAACTAGTCACTAGAATCAGAGCACCTTCTTGTTAGGCCATGCTACATAGACTGAAAAGTTCTTTGCCATTCAAATCCTCTGTTGCAATATTTATGGTATCAACAAAAGTTTCAGTCATTAAAATTTTATCTCAAGCCAAATGTTGCAGTTAATCAGCATGCAATTTAATTTACAAATTCTTCCCTGTGAGATATTAGGTCAAATCCTTATATATCACCTATTTGCCAAATCTTATGGTAATAACCTCACAAATAATTGATTCTACATGTTTATATTAATTTCTTCAGCTTTAAAGAGGAACATTCCTACTGACACAAAATTCTGTAACTATAAGCTCTCAGGATATTTCAAACTTCTGCAGACTCCCTGATAATCACTGACTTCATCAAATTGTAACAAGAGTATCTAGAGGTCCCACTTTTAAGAGGGACACAAGGAAGTGATGCTTTCTGTGGCTAGTGACTTGTATGAGTCCATTTCCACACTCCTGATAGACATACCTGAGATTGGGCAATTTACAAAAGACAGAGGTTTAATGGACTTACAGTTCCACATGGTATAATTGTTAAGTATACAGAAAAATTAAAATGTCAAGTTATTGGCATGAATTTCACCATTCTCTATATTGTATAGTACCAATATATATTTATAATATATAATTATAAATGCAAATATAATGGCATTTAACTCATATGGAATCAACAACATTTTATAGGTCATACCTGCATATATATTTCATTCTTAACAGAACAGTAAGAAAAAATGGCATAAAACTAACTTTTACTTCACTTCTTTATATGCACATATTCTACCAATACTCTCTACTTCAGCTTACTGATGTGTAAGGAAAGATTGAAATGAAAAGGAACTGTGGGTTGCTTTATTTTTCTTTTTTTTTCTAAGTCATCATTTTCAGCGGTAGTGGTACTGGGAAGTGACTCGAATAAAAAAGGATGTAATAGGGTTCGTTGGTCATTTGTGTTTCTTAGAACACCATTACCCTTTTCTGCATTCCAAGCAAGTTTTGGTTCAAAGGAAAAACATAAACTCTCCGATCTGTCAGTGACATCACTTACTCAGTTTTAGATGTGAAGTATAGAACATGAACACAGAATTGTGGTGGATCCACTACGCATTGTATTTTAGTAAGACTTAAAGTGAAAGAAGCATGTTATGGAAGCTATGAAGACTATATGCAAATGAGGTGGCAAGTTATGTCTGGCATGTGCAGAGTATATAGCAAATACTCTGCGATATGTATGCTCTATTGTCTTATGGGAATTCATGTATAAAACACACACTCAAATTCAAGATTCTTAACAGCAGAGCTTTTAGCCAAGTTCAGGACCCTTTTGAGCGCAGGGCTTTATGTGATTGCACTTGTCACCTGCCCATGAAGCTGACCCTGTGCCTACTTTATGACATTGTAAATCTCCTAGCAGAGGACATAATAGGTGACTTAAAATGTCCTTCCATTTTCTTATAGAAAACATTAGATTCCTTCAGAGTAGACATACATGAGGATAGAACTCTGAATCTTGAGGCCCAAGGAGTGATGAAAACTATTCACATTGACCTGTTACTTTTACTAAGAGAAGAAATTACAACTTTACAGGTTCTTCAGAAACCACTTTAAATCTTTTTGTAGTTTGTTCTGATGTAGTCACCATGATTGTTTTGGTGAGCAGATGAAATAAGAGGACAGATGTTTGGTGTGGTTTTCAGGGCCTTATAAAACTTCCTCTCCCCCTCAGATGTCTCTCCATTATTTACTTGCCACAGTGCTTCCAAGTTCACCATTAGAAATTTATTTATTTGGGTGAAAGTGCTGTCCTATTTTAAAACACTGCAAATAAAACTGCTGTGTAACTGAGCATGAAGTCGTTTGGGTCCAGTCACTTAAAGTGTTTAGAGAAAGAAAAGGGCAAGGTTCCTTTTGGAATCATTCTGGCTTTGACAGTCATATTTAGTCAGCATTTAGTCAAAGAAATAGATTCCTTTAGGAAATGATCTGGAGGAATCAGTGATAATTCTGACTGAGTCCCTCTGTCTTCCTAGGAGATAGTAATGCTTCCTTCAAAGGTCAACTTTGAAGAGTTGTGAGTCAGAGGCTTGTTGGAGGCAAATGATTAATGCCAGGAAGAACTTATTAAGGCTTGCTTTGGTTGTGTAAGTCAAGGGAGGTTAGAAAGGAGCCTACCAGTTATAAGATATATGCCAATCAACTTACCTTCTTCTGAATTCTCAGTGTAAATCCTCTTGTGTTTCCTCTCCTTTCAGTTATTCATCCCTAAATTTTTCTACTTTTTGAGACTTCTCAAACAGGCACAACTGCATAGCAGTTTATTATTGGACAGAGAGTACCTAGGAGGTCTCAACTAGAAGCTGTACTTATAAATTCAATCATACTATTTAGGGAAAACATCTGAAAATACAAATAAACTTGGAAAGACAATAGGTTAAATAATGATCACTGGACATCCACATGCAAAAAATTAATATAGACAAATCTTATACCCTTCACAAAAATTAATCAAGACAGATCACAAATCTAAATGTAAAGCATAAAACTATAAAACTAGAAGTTAACATAGGAAAAAATTTAAGTAACATTGGGTTTGGCAATGACTTTTTAGATATGACACTAAATGTATTATCCATAAAAGAATTGACAAACTAGACTTCATGAAAATAAAAAATTTCTACTCTGTGAAAGCTACTGTCAAGAGAATGAAGAGACAAGCCACAGACTGGGAGAAAATATTTGCAAAAAATGTATCAAGGACTGTTATCCAAAATACACAAGTAAATCTTAAAACTCAATAATAAGAAAACAAATATGATTAAAAAATGGGTCAAAGACCTTAACAGACACCTCATCAAGGAAGATTTATAGATGGAAAATATGCATATAAAAATATGCTCCATATCATATATCATTAGGGAAATGCAGATTAAAACAGCAATGAGTTATCACCACATACCTATTAGAATGACTAAAATCCAGAACACTGACAACACCAAATACTGGTGGGAATGTGGAGCAACAGAAACTTCACTGCTGGTGAGAATGCAAGATGGTACAGCCAGTTTGGAAGACGGTTGGGCAGTTTCCTATGAAACTAAACATACTCTTACCATATGATCCAGCAATCATACTCCTTGGTATTTATCCAAAGGAGTTGAAAACTTGTGTTCACACAAAATCCTGCACATGAATGTTTATAGTGACTCTATTAATAATTGCCAAAACTTGGATGCAATCAAGATCTTTTTCAGTAGGTGAATAAATAAACCGAGGTACCTCCAGACAGTAGAATTTTATTCTGCACTAAAAATAGATGAGCTATCAAGTTATGGAAAGACATAGAGGAAAAGAAACACATATTATTAAGTGAAAGAAACCAGTCTGAGAAGGTTACATACTGTAATCTCAGCTATATGACATTCTCGAAAATAAAAAACTATGGAGACAGTAAGATCAGTGGTTACCAGGGGTTGGGGGAAGGAGAGACAAATAGGTGGAGCAGAGGATTTTTAGAACATACAAAATACTCTATATAATACTCTAATGGTGGATACATTCTGTATTTGTTCCAAACCTGTAGACTGTAAGAGTGAACCCTAATGCAAACTATGGACTCTGGGCAATAATAATGTGTCAAGGTAGGTTCATCAACTGCAACTAATGTCCCTCTGGTGGGGGATATTGATAATAGAATAGGAAATGTTTGAGGCAGAGGGTATATTGGGTATCTCTCTAGCTTCGTCTCAACTTTGCTGTGAACTAAAACTACTCCAAAAAATAGTCTTTACAAAACAATGACCACAATCTCAAAATAACTATATTGTGTTTTTCTGTGTGCCAACTCCTAAGAGTTTTGCAATTATTAACTTACTTATTTCTTGCTATAATTATTTGACTTAGGTTGTTCTTATTTTCATTTCACAGATAAAAAACTGGCATGTATCAGATGAGCAGACATGAGAAAGAATAAAAAATGCCCCCAAACCTGGCATATAGATGGTAGGTAGTATTTATTATTGCCTTGATACAAATTAATTTTTTAAGTGTTCAATTCAGTTATTGTACAATAATTCTGTGTAATAAACCATCTCAAAAACTCAGTGTCTTCCAAAGCCAAGCATTTATATATTTTTGGTCATGGAACTGTGGGTAGGCTGTGGCTCTGATGTGCTTGGCTGGGATTAGTTGTGTTTATGTCTGCTATCCTCAATTTTCTCATTTCTCCTTGGACAAGCAGCTACCTAGGGGTGTTATTTTTCTCATGGCAAATCACAGCAGCACAAAAGCACAAGTCAAACTACAAAAGCCCATTTAAGGTATCTGCTCATTTCACATCCACTGACATTCATTGGCCAAAACATGGCCAATATCAAAGGGGCAGGAAAGTGTTTTTCACCCACAGTGGGAGGGCACTAGCAAGTGACATAGCAAAGGGCATGGATGTATAATCCTATTATGGGGAGCATTTGGGACCAATGTCCAATCAACTTCTAGATGGGAGTGGGACATTGAGAGAACGTGAATCATATTGGGTGGAGAAGAGGGTACTTTAAGAGCGAACATTAACTATTATGCATGGTGCACAGTGTGAAAGTCCGGGACAGCGGCATGAGGGGTTCAGGTCAGAGGGTGGGCAAGCTACAAAGGAAAGTAACTTTCTCTCACTCCTTTTTTCTAAGCCCAAGGAAGACTGTCTATTTTGCAACTTTATTTATGGCTGTCCCAGCAATTAAGGGGGACACTCAGAAAGAACAATGGCAGTACAAGACCCTGGGGTCCATTTTGAACCATTGCATTGTCACAACGCAGACTAGTAGTAGGTTAGGGTTTTGGGTCACTGCTTATTCTCAGCAGATTTTATGACATTCATTAAAATCCTGGCTTGAATCTCCTTCATTGCAGCACAAACAATATTCTAAGTAGCTTTCCTAAAAATCCCACTGCTCATAGCAGCGAGAATGCTTCTTAATTTAAGGACTGTATTTTGGATCAGTGTCCAGCCATTGGTTCCATTGGGGTTTTGACAAGACTATTTCTGGGAAAAGCCTACCATATTATTGTCTCAGCTGCTACAGACATTATGAAGTTATAACAATATTAATAGCATTTTACAGACTTCTTGTTTGTAGACTAGGGGAGATATGTTAGCCTTTGCAGAGGAGGGGAGGAAATTGAAAAGATGAGTCAGAGCCAGATGAGAAAAGGGTTGGGATGCAATGACAAGAAATTTTGACTTTATGTAGGATTATTCAGAGAAGAAAAGAGGAGGAAGTGAAATGCTAAGACTGATTTTTTTTTTAAAAGATAGATTTGATAGCATGAGAAGAATGGATTTGAAAGGCGATAATGGAAAGGATGCAGAGGCACCAATTTGGAATTTACTGTGATGTTTTAGGCAATAGATGGTAAGAGCAATCACATTCTCATTCCTGGGGCACCCATTTTCTGATATCCTTTTGAGACCATCTGTTCCTAACATTCCCTAGCACTTCCAATTCGAAAACAACAAAATTCTGGAAGGCTTTAGCTGGAAGTACCATCTGATTTTTAGATTTATGCTATTTTTTAAGATGTTTCCTAAAATGCCTGGCAAAAATAGGTGCTCAGTGTTTGCTAAATTAAAAAAAATTGACTTCTATAAACAAAGTGCTTACTTTCTCTCTCTTTCTCTTTGGTTGTTGTTTATGGAAAGACAAAAAAGTACCTTGTAGTATACTCAAGAAGAAAGAAAGCTTGTCAAGGCTCCAGTCTATAAGGGGTAAAAAAAAAATGCCTTTGTTTTTGCTTGCTGTAGGTTTTAGCATCTTGTCTATAATGGCCATGTACCACCTTCAGGTCCAGGGAAGGGAAGAGTAGTGTGCTGTGCAAGAGGCAGATTTGCTGAGAGCTGTTCAGGCACACCTGGAATCATATTCAATTCAGGCTAAAGCAGTATATTTCACACCATTCGCAGGTCAGTGTGTGGCAAAAAAAGCATAGCTTCTCTCTTTTATTTTATTTTTTATTTTAAGTTGCAGGGTACATGTGCAAGATGTGCAGGTTTGTTACATAGGTAAATATGTGTCATGGTGATTTGTTGCACCTATCGACCCATCACCTAGGTATTAAGCCCAGCATGCATTAGCTATTTTTCCTGAGAATATAGCTTCTCTGTTTTATGTAACTTGTTTGAAGGCCTGAGGCCAACCCTGAGATTTGGCAGAAATGTCTGCTTCAGGACCCTCTAATTTTAAAAGGTATTCTTCGTACTGGGCAGTGCTTATTGCAGGCTTAGTATTCCAGCTTTTCCCTGGTGCTCTTGGCTGGGTCTGTGTGCAAATGCCACTGCTGCACTGGATTAAGGTCTGCTGAAGGGTGCCTACTGTCTCTTTATAAAGAGATTGTAGATGCCTATGAGGATCTGGTCTCCCATTTCAAAGGGTCTATTGTTCTTTTACATCTTTCCTTCTTACTTTCCATCCCTGAATGTGAGCTTGAATGTGTCTCCTTTGGTCATCCTTAGATTTTGTCTGTCTTAGTCCATCTGGGTTGCTATAACAGAATATCATAGATTGGGTGGTTTAACAACAACAAATACTTATTTCTCACAGTTCTGGAGACTGGGAAATCCAAGATCAAGGCACTGGATGATTCTGTGTCTGCTGAGGGCACCCTTGCTGGTTTATAGATTCCTGTCTTATCACTGTATTCTCACATGACAGAAAGGGCAAGGGAGCTCTCTTGGGGTCTCTTTTATAAAGGCATTAATCCTATTCATGAGTTCTCTGCTCTCATGACTTAATCACCTCCCAAAGGCCTTGCTTCCAAATACCGTCATATTAGGGATTAGGTTTCAACATACAAATTTTAGAGGGACACACACATTCAGTTTGTAGCAGACTAATTAATCCTGTATTGGGTATTGTGGGAAAGAAGGACCTGTGCCCCAATTTTGAACTTTCGTGGGCCTTGGGAAGTTGTCGTTTTGTTTCTCTGCTTCACCACCTTGATTCACCTTAGTTTTTGTGTCTTTTGCTATGTAAACTAAGAACCTAATTTTATGGAGTAAAATCATTTACATCAGCTCCACAAAGGTTAGAAGAGTATTGCAAAGCATAACCTTGACAGCTTTGCCCACATTTTTGGCTGCACTTTGGAAACTGGAAGGGATTCCAACTGAAGAGCCTCCAAATGTCAGTTCCTCGCTCAATATCCTAATCCATTTTCTCTAGTCCTGTGACAAGACCCAATTTCTAGTCTGTATCTCTTGGTCCTGCTCCTAGGTGCCATTTTTTTTCCCTCTCATATTTATATTGAAGTGCTCCAATAGCTGTCTTATAAGCTGCTTGCATGAGATTGCACTGCTCTGGCTCTTTAACGCATTCTCTGAAACAGAGGTCATTGAGTATAACATCAGGAAATAGAAAGTGAAGTCAGTGGCTTCATTCTTAGTGGCAGCATATGTGTGATGGGAAAGCATTTCAGGGTATTAATCTATGCACCCAAGGGATCATCCATCAAATTATTTCACTTGTGACCTAAAGATCTTTTTCCTCCCCTGGTCCTCTCAGACAGACATGGGTCACCCAGAAACACAGTCTGTAAACACATCATTATTAGGCTAAAGAAAAGTTGATGGCCTAAGCAGGAATGATTTGAAAGCACACTTTCAGAGTTTTTCTACTTTTGGTTAAATGATGCCTTGGGTGGAAAAGAGTAGGAGAAGAAGGGCAGGATCTATGCAGATATTAGTGTACACTGGGGTGGTGTTTCTGAGGCAGGACCAAATGGTTTACAGTCCATTCATTAGCATGTATTCAAAATACTCAATGACTTATTCCATTCGTTCATGATATTTGAACTCCATTCACATATGAAGCAAGGATGACTTTTTGGTTTTACGTAGTTCATGGCTGCTAAGAATAAAGCTTAGGCGGGTAGTAGCTCAGGCTGTCAGTCATACTGCCTTACCTTGGGTCCCCAAGATTGGAAACATTCCAACTTGTTTCCCCTTGAGCATTCTAAATTGTTTCCCTTTTGTTGCTGAGTATAGTATAAATTGCCAAGGGTAGAGCTGGCACAGAGATTATTTACATTTCTGTTGTTACATCTATTTGATAAATTCTTTCATACTATTCTTTGCTGGTTTAAATTTATACATTTCTAACTTAATTTATTATAATTCTCTTATAATAATGTGTAGGAATGTAGGGGTGATTATTACCATAACTCTGTAATTCAGCTCTCTTAAGCTATTGCTAGTGAAGCCAATTTAAAGAATGATAGAAAGATGTGTTACATTAACTTTACCTATAATTATCTTCTTTTTTTTTTTGACTGAGTCTCGCTCTGTCGCCCAGGCTGGAGTGCAGTGGTGCAATCTCGGCTCACTGCAAACTCTGCCTCCCAGGTTCACGCCCTTCTCCTGCCTCAGCCTCCTAGTAGCTGGGATTACAAGCCCCTGCCACCACGTCCACCTAATTTTTTTGTATTGTTAGTAGAGATGGGGTTTCACCATATTGGCCAGGCTGGTCTCAACTCCTGACCTCAGGTGAGGTCTCCCAAAGTGCTAGGATTACAGGCATGAGCCACTGTGCCCGGCCTCTTTCTAAAAATATTTAAAGAGATAAGATCTTTACTTGGAGTAGTAACTGTGGAAGCGTCATTCGGGGAATAGTAATTTCATTCCTAGGACTTAAATAACCCAGATAATCTCACAAATTTTTCTCCAAATTTGTAAATAATATAGTAGAATAAACATTTAAATTAGCCCAGATTACTACAAGTGAAATAATAGCTTTACGTTTTCTTTGGGTCAACCAGTGGGGAATCTTTACCATTGCTAACACTTTGTTTTGTACCTGGATTAATACCAGGGGTGGTGGTGGAGGTGAAACAATCTATTTATTTCTAAGCAAAACCAAAAAGCAATATGACCATCTAAGGTAGAATTTAAGAACTTGTTGAGGCTTGTTTTATTGATCCAGTCTGAAGAATCTTAGGCCACAGTTCTGGAGTGCCTTTTTAAGTTCTGGGATACATGTGCAGGATGTGCAGGTTTGTTACATGGGTAAACATGTGCCATGATGGTTTGCTGCATCTATCAACCTATCACCTAGTTATTAAGCCCCACATGCATTAGCTATTTATCCTGATACTCTCCCTCCCCCTGTACCCCTGACAAGCCCCAGTTTGTGTTGTTTCTCTCCGTGTCCATGTGTTCTCATTGTACAGCTACCATGAGAACATGTGGTGTTTAGTTTTCTGTTCCTGTGTTAGTTTGCTGAGAATAATGGCTTTCAGCTCCATCCATGTCCTTGCAAAGGACATAATCTTGTTCCTTTTTATGGCTGCATAGTATTCCATGGTGTATATGTACCACATTTTCTTTATCCAGTCTACCATTGATGGGCATTTGGGTTGATTCCATGTCTTTGCTATTGTGAATAGTTCTGCAGTGAAGATACGCATCCATGTATCTTTATAATAGAATGATTTATATTTCTTTGGGTATATGCCCAGGAATGAGATTGCTGGGTCAAATGGTATTTCTGGTTCTAGATCTCTGAGGAATCGCCACACTGTCTTCCACAATTGTTGAACTAATTTACATTCCCACCAACAGTGTAAAAGACTGTTCCTGTTTCTCCACAGCCTCACCAGCATCTATTGTTTATTGACTTTTTAATAATCGCCATTCTGACTGGCATGAGATAGTATCTCATTGTGATTTTGATTTTGATTTCTCTAATGATCAGTGATGTTGAGCTTTTTTCCATGTGTTTTTTGGCCACATACATGTCTTCTTTTTGGAAGGGTCTGTTCATGTCCTTTGCCCACTTTTTGATGGGTTCTTTTTTTTCTTGTAAATTTATTTAAGTTCCTTGTAGATGCTAGATGTTAGACCTTTGTCAGACAGATAGTTGCAAAAATTGTCTCCCTTTGTGTAGGTTGTCTGTTCACTCTGATGATAGTTGCTGTTACTGTGCAGAAGCTCTTTAGTGTAATTAGATTCCATTTGCCAAATTTTGCTTTTGTTGCAATTGCTTTTGACGTTTTTATCATGAAATCTTTGCCCGTGCCTATATCCTGAATGACATTGCCTAGATTTTCTTCTAGATTTTTATAGTTTTGGGTTTTACATTTAAGTGTTTAATCTACCTTGAGTTAATTTTTGTACAAGGTGTGAGGAAGGGGTCCAGTTTCCATTTTCTGCATATGGCTAGCCAGTTTTCCCAGCACCATTTATTGAATAGGAAATCCTTTCCCCATTGCTTATTTTTGTCAGGTTTGTCAAAGATCAGATGGTTGTAGATGTGCAGTCTTATTTATGAGATTTCTATTCTGTTCCATTGGTCTATGTGTCTGTTTTTGTACCAGTTCCATGCTGTTTTGGTTACTGTAGACTTGTAGTATAGTTTTAAGTTGGGTAGCATGATGTCTCCAGCTTTTGTTTGTTTGTTTGTTTAAGATTGTCTTGGCTATTTGGGCTCTTTTTTGGTTCCATATGAATTTTAAAGTAGTTTTTTTTCTAGTTCTGTAAAGTATGTCAATGGTTGTTTCATGGGAATAGCATTTTATCTATAAATAACTTTGGGCAGTATGGCCATTTTCACATTATTGAATCTTCCTGTCCATGAGCATGGAAGGATTTTCCATTTGTCTTTGTCCTTTCTTATTTCCTTAAGCAATGGTTTGTAGTTCTCCTTGAAGAGGTCCTTCACTTCCCTTGTTAGCTGTATTCCTAGGTATTTTATTCTCTTTGTAGCAATTGTGAATGTGAATTCATTCATGGTTTGGCTCTCTGCTTGTCTATTGTTGGTGTATAGGAATGCTTGTGATTTTTGCACATTGATTTTGAGATTTTCCTGAGACTTTGCTGAAGTTGCTTATCAGCTTAAGAAGCTTTTGAGCTGAGACTATGGGGTTTTCTAGATATAGGATCCTGTCGTTTGCAAACAGATAGCTTGACTTCCTCTCTTCCTATTTGAAGACTCTTTATTTCTTTCTCTTGCCTGATTGTCCTGGCCAGAACTTGTAATATTATGTTGAATAGGAGTGGTGAGAAAGGGGGTCCTTGTCTTGTGCCAGTTTTCAAAGAGAATGCTTCCAGCTTTTGCCCATTCAGTATGATATTGGAAGCAGGTTTGTCATAAATCTCTCTTATTATTTTGAAGTATGTTCCATCAGTACCTAGTTTATTGAGAGTTTTTAACCTGAAGAGATGTTGAATTTTATCAAGGGCCTTTTCTGTGTATATTGAGGTAATCATGTGGTTTTTGTCTTTAGTTTTGTTTGTATGATGAATTACATTTATTCATTTGTGTACGTTGAACGAGCCTTCATCCCGGGGTTGAAGCCAACTTGATTGTCATGGATAAGCTTTTTGATGTGCTGCTGGATTTGGTTTGCCAGTATTTTATTGAGGATTTTTGCATCAATGTTTATCATGGATATTGGACTGAAGGTTTTCTTTCTTTCTTTTTTTTTTTAATCTCTGCCAGGTTTTGATATCAGGATGATGCTGGCCTCATACAATGAGTTAGAGAAGAGTCCCTCCTTTTCAATTGTTTGGAATAGTTTCAGAAGAAATGGTACCAGCTTCTCTTTGTACCTCTGGCAGAATTCAGCTGTAAACTCATCTGGTCCTTAGCTTTTTGTGGTTGGAAAAGGCTATTTATTACTGCTGCAAATTCAGAACTTGTTATTGGTCTATTCAGGAATTTGACTTCTTCCTGGTTCAGTCTTGGCAGGGTGTATGTGTCCAGGAATTTATCTATTTCTTCTAAATTTTCTAGTTTATTTGCATAGAGGTGTTTATAGTATTCTCCAATGATTGTTTACATTTCTGTGGGATCATTATCATTTTTTAATTGTGCCTGTTTGATTCTTCTCTCTTTCATTCTTTATTAATCTAGCTAGCGGTCTATCTATTTTATTAATTTTTTCAAAAAGCCAGCTCCTGGATTCATTGTTTTTTTGAAGGATTTTTTTTGTGTCTTTATCTCCTTCAGTTCTGCTCCGATCTTGGTTATTTCTTGTCTTCTGCTAGCTTTGGGGTTGGTTTGCTCTTGCTTCTCTAGTTCTTTTAGTTTTGATGTTAGGTTGTCAACTTGAGGTCTTTCTAGCTTTTTGATGTGGGCATTTAGTGCTATAAATTTCCCTCTTAACACTGCTTTACTGCATCTCAGAGATTCTGGTACATTGTCTCTTTGTTCTTATTGGCTTCAAAGAACTTCTTGATTTCTGCCTTAATTTCATTATTTACCTAGGAGTCATTCAAGAGCAGGTTGTTCAATTTTTATGTAGTTTTGTGGTTTTGAGTGAGTTTCTTAATCCTGAGTTCTAATTTGATTGCATTGCATTTGTTATGATTGATGAGATACTGCTTGTTATGGTTTCAGTTCTTTTGCATTTGCTGAGGAGTGTTTTACTTCCAATTATGTGATTGATTTTACAGTAAGTGCCATTTGGTGCCGAGAAGAATGTATATTCTGTTGTGTTTGGGTGGAGAGTTTTGTAGATTATCTATTAGGTTCACTTGATCCAGAGCTGAGTTCAAGTCCTGAATATCCTTGTTAATTTTCTGTCTCAAAGATCGGTCTAATATTGACAGTGGGGTGTTAAAGTCTCCCACTATTATTGTGTGGGAGTCTAAGTCTCTTTGTAGGTCTCTAAGAACTTGTTTTATGAATCTGGGTGCTCCCGAGTTGAGTGCATGTATGTATTTAGGATAGTTAGCTCTTCTTGTTGAATTGATGATCCCTTTACTTTTATGTAATGCTTTTTTGTCTTTTTTGATCCTTGTTGATTTAAAGTCTGTTTTGTCAGAAACTAGGATTGCAATGCTGCTTTTTTTCTGCTTTCCATTTGCTTGGTAAATTTTTCTCCACTCCTTTATTTTGAGTCTATGTGCGTCTTTGCATGTGAGATAGGTCTCTTGAATATAGTACACCAATGGGTCTTGACTCTATCCAGCTTGCCATTCTGGGTCTTTTAATTGAGGCATCTAGCCCATTTACATTTAAGGTTAATATTATTATATGTGAATTTGATCCTGTCATCATGATGCTAGCTGGTTATTTTTGCAGACTTGTTGATGTAGTTGCTTCACAGTGTCATTCGTCTTTGTACTTCAGTGTGTTTTTGCAGTAGCTGGCAACAGTTTTTCCTTTCCATATTTAGTGCTTCCTTCAGGAGTTCTTGCAAGGCAGGCTTGGTGGTGACAAATTCCCTCAGCATTTGGTTGTCTGAAAAGGATTTTATTTATCTTTCACTTATGAAGCTTAGTTTGGCTGAATATAAAATTCTGGGTCGAAAATTCTTCTGGTTTTTTTTTTTTTTTTTTTTTTTTGACAGAGTCTCACTCTGTCACCCAGGCTGGAGTGCAGTGGCACGATCTCAGCTCACTGCAACCCCTGCCTCCTGGGTTCAAGCGATTCTCCTGCCTCAGCCTCCCAAGTAGCTGGGACTGCAGGTGCCCACCACCACGCCTAGCTAATTTTTTTGTGTTTTCAGTAGAGAGGGGGTTTTGCCATATTGGCCAGGTTGGTCTCAAACTCTTGACCTTGTGATCCGCCCACTTCGGCCTCCCAAAGTGCTGGGATTATAGGCATGAGCCACCACTCCCGGCCAAACTAAAAAATTCTTTTTTTTTTTTTTTTTTTAACGATGTTGAATATTGGCCCCCAATCTCTTCTGGCTGGCAGGGTTTCTGCCTAGAGGTCCACTGTTAGTCTGATGGGCTTTCCTTTGTAGGTGACCTGTTCTTTCTCTCTGGCTGCCCTTAACATTTTTTCCTTTATTTCGTCCTTGGAGAAACTGATGATTATGTGTCTTGGGGCTGATCTTCTCATGGAGTATCTTACTGGGGTTTTCTGGAGTTCCTGAATTTGAATGTGGGCCTATCTTGCTAGGTTGGGGAATGTTCTCCTGGATGATATCCTGAAGTATGTTTTCCAACTTGGTCCCATTCTCCTCACATCTTTCAGGTACCCGAATCAGTCATAGGTTTGGTGTTTTTACATAATCCCCTAGTTCTCAGAGATTTTGTTTATTCCTTTTCATTCCTTTTTCTCTAATCCTGTCTGCCTGTCTTATTTCAGCAAGATAGTCTTCAAACTCTGAAGTTATTTCCTCTGCTTGGTCTGTTTGGTTATTGATACTTGTGGTTGCATTGTGAAGTTCCTGGGTTGCGCTTTTCAGCTCCATCAGGTGATTTGTGTTCCTCTCTAAACTGGCTATTCTGGTTAACAGATCCTGTAATGATTTATCATGGTTCTTTGCTTCTTTGAATTGGGTTAGAATGTGCTCCTTTAGCTCAGCGAAGTTTGTTATTACCCACCTTCTGCAGCCTATTTCTGTCAATTCATCCATCTTAGCCTCCATCCATTTCTGTGCCCTTGCAGGAGAGGTGTTGTGATCATTTGGAGGAGAAGAGGCACTCTGGCTTTTTGAATTTTCATCATTTTTTCGTTGATTCTTTCTCATCTTTGTGAGTTTATCTAGCTTTGATCTTTGAGGCTGCTGACCTTTGGGTGGGGTTTTTGTGGGGACATTTTTAGTTTATGCTGTTGTTGTTGTTCTTTTCTGTTTGTTTTTCTTTTAACAGTCAGGCCCCCCTTCCTAAGGGCTGCTGTGGTTTGCTGGGGGTCCACTCCAGACCCTATTCGCCCGAGTTCCTCCCGCAGCTGGAGGTGTCTCCAATGGAGGCTGCAGAACAGCAAAGATGGCTGCCTGCTCTTTCCTCTGGGATCTCTGTGGCAGACAGGGTGTGCTGTGCTGGGGGCGAATCCCACTTGTTCTGACTGGCTGGATTCCTCAGAGCCAGCAGGGGAAAGACTAAGTCTGCTGATCTACAGATACTGTGGCTGCCCCTCCCCCACAGGGGCTCAGTTCCAGGGAGATCAGAGTTCCGTCCCTAAACCCCTAGCTGGAGTTGCTGACATTCTTGCAGAGAGGCCCTGCCCAGTGAGGAGGGATGGGTCAGGGTCTGGCCTAAAGAGGCAGTCTGGCCACAATCTGCCATAGCTGCTGTGCTGTGCTGTGGGGAATTCCTCCTGGGTCCAAACCATCCAATCTCCCTGGCACTGGCAGGAGAAAAGTGGCAAACTGGAGCTGCAGTGTTGGCTGCCTCCCCTTCCCTGAAGAGCTCAGTTGTCTTAGGCAGCAGGCAGTCCTGATAATAGTGGCTGTCCCTCCCCCAGGAACTCAGCCGTCTTATGCAGTCTCCAGCTGAGTGGCTGCTGAGATAATCTGCACAGCTCTGTGCTTGGGACCCAAGGCACAGTGGTGTGGGCTCATGAAGGGGATCTCCTGATCTGCAGGCTGCACAGATTCATATAAAAAGTGTAGTTTCCTAAGCAGCATAGTGTGATCACTCACTGTCTTCCTTGCCTGAAGGTGGGAGCTCCCCTTGCTCCATGTGGCTCTCAGGTGGGCTGTTGCACCAGCCTACTTTTCTTTGCTCTCCATGGGTAACACCAACTGCCTAGTCAGTCCCAATGAGAGAACCTGGATACCTCAGTTGCCAGTGCAGGATTCACTTGCTGTTTTCATTCTTCTCAGTGGGAGCCTCTGACAATGGCTGTTTCTAGTTGGCCATCTTGGCCCCTCCTCTGCAGTGCCTTTTTTAGTACCTTAGTTGTTCCTGTTTTCTTCAGTCATATCACGTTTATTATCAATAGTCTTAAATACTTCTACATACCACTCTCCTAACAGATGATCCAAAATAAGAGAGGTAAAATTATGCTGAGTAGCACTCAGAGTCGAAATTATGCCTCTGCAAATGAGCTTCCAAGAGAATAAATGAGCTTCCAATAGAATCAGTGGCGAAGATCTGGACAATAGTGATGATCTTTCCTGCAGCTTTGGCTGAGAGAAAATAAAAAACAGGATTGAGGGTAAAGAATAATAGTCTTCAGATTCCCAGAAATAGATTGACAATTGCACAGCCATGGTTAGTGTTAGGGTTAGAACTGATTTTAAACTTGTCCAATTGTCTAATTCGTGCTAATGATCAGTAATGAGTAGTGGTCTCACTCCAATGAACATGCTTCTCAGGCTGACATTAAATGTCTGCCTGTGTAATCAACACAAAACGTGCTGTTCAAGCTGATCTCAACCTTTTCAATAAACATTTCCCAAGAATGCTCTATTAGATCAGAAGTTTGCTCTCCCCGACTAGCATAGCTCTTTATTACTTAAGCATCAGATTCATCTTTGTGCTTTTGGTTTCAGATTTCAAGTGTGGTCTCAATCTTTGAGAAGGGACATGAGACAAGTGCACTCACAGGATCACTGAAAGATTGTAGGATGAGGAAGGCATAACGTATTTACTCAAGACAATAACTTTAGACATAAAAATAAGAGCTTGTTCTTCCTTTCTTTAGAATCATTTTCCACTTAGCATGCCCGAGGACAAAGGCAGTAGATTAGCAATGTCTGGGTGGCATATGGACCTTGCCAAGTGTGAGAAAATATGGCAGAGTAAATAAAAAGGGGATATATAAGGCAAGCTGTATGGAAGAGGGAAATTTCTGTTGGGGCAGAAGAGTTTATGGAATATAGTTTTAGATGCTTTGTGCCTTCTCACCACCTCATGTCGGGAGAGAGGAATGTTCTGTGTGCCTCATCCTATCCTGAAGTTAGGGTCGCAAAGAAATTCTCTTTTGGAATTGGAGGTATTTAATATAGGCCGTCATGCTAGTTTCTTGTTTGGAGCTCTCTGAAAGGCCGAACTTATAGGTATAATCAATCCCAGGAACTGGTAGGAGGGCAGCAGAAAATGGGCAGAGCGCATAACCTGTCAGAAGAAGGCAAATATATACCCTAGTGTCCTGTGGAGCAGAGCCTGTCATAGTTGATATTATGTTTCCTTAAGGTATAGAGCAGGCTTTAGAAAGTATCTGTGCTTATAGACTGGTTTGCTACCTCCAGGGCTTTGAGACCGCACACAGAGGCTATGGAATAGACCACTACCTGGGAGTTGTGGTGACAAACCCATTTTTCTCCTGACACAGAGAGGTTATGGAAAGACTGACCAGCAGGATGTTCGAAGACTACCAAACTTTCCATAAAATGGAACCAGCAGCTGGATGCACCAGCACCAGAAGCCAGGTCAGTGGGGATGCAGGCAGCCAGGGCCAGAAAAAAGGGACTGTGAACCAGTTGTGCAACCTCTGCCTCACTTGATGAAAGGGGCAAACTCAGTCCCTCAAGCCCTTTTATAATGCACAAATCCAGAGGGCAGAGCCCTCATGGCCTAATCACCTTCTAAAGGCCTCACCTCTTAATATTGTTGCATTGGGGATTAAGTTTCCACATAAATTTGAAGGGGACACAATTATTCAAACCAAGCAGTAACCCGCTAAGATATAGTCTGTTATGGTTTAATGACATAATCAAATCGAAAATTTTAGAACTCTTATTCTACATGGGACATTATTTTTATAAATGACTGACTTTATATTGTTTAATTACTAATTCTTGTGAATTCATTATTAACTAATTATAATAGCATCCAAGGGTATTCCAAAGAGGTTCCTAGAATTAGCGAGTTTTAAATGGTGGAAATTTCCAACCCTCATGGCAAGAGGAGTAATTTTGAAAGGCTGAGCTGTTTAGCATACACCTAACTTTGTACCAGGTGGTGATCCTGGATTTTTACTCACGTATAAAATCAGCCTCTTTATAGACTCAGTCTGATAGCAACAATATAAACATATGCATGAAAGGCTGGGCTATCACAATTATACATTAATAAGGTAGCATTCATGTTGTATATTAATGTGTTTCTGCAAGTATTTTTGTTTGATTAAATGAAAAAAAAAGCCTGAACTATATTTTGAAATGCATTTGGTGATGAAAGAGGATTGGGTTAGAGGCAATTTACCTATCAGTTCCTTTTGGAGGTACAGCTTAGAGATCTCAGAGCTATAAAGTAGAAATTGCCTGGCAGTCCTGCCTCATTGCTAAGGTGACAATGAGAGTGTCAGATGGGCACCCTCCCTGGATGACCTGAAGCATTAGTGGGTCTTAGTCACTTCATATTAAATAGAACATGTAACAAACACTCACTTCAAATGAAAGGGAAGGCAGTGCACTGGAGATCTAATTCTTCCCTCTATTTAATGGACTCTTAAATTCCTGAATCATTTGGTTCTAAATTCTTTGGTTACTGCTGCTGTGGAAGAGTAATGGTAGAAATGTATTCTTTTGTGCATGTGTGGTTTTTCAGATTACAAATGAAGCTTCTTTTCTCTTTTTCCTTATTGTCAACTAAGCTTAAATAGTAGCATCGAAAGCTCTCTTCTTCACTTTAGATGCTAGTGACACTTGTGAATTTATGATTGCTAACACTTAAACTCTGAGCAAAACACAAACCCACCTCTAGCTGTTGATAATTGATTACTTAGACAGCTGGATTCAGTCTTCATTTTCATTCTGTAGAGTTTGAGTATTGACCAAACTGCTTCCTGCAATATGCAAGCTCTCTTTTGATAGCATCTTTCTTAATTCACAGTCAAATCTTAAAATGTCTAAAATGCATACATACATATATATTTGAATTTTCATTACTTATGTGTTTATAAAGCTAGATAGGAATAAATTATTCCAACTGCACCCAAATTAGTCTTTTGGTTAGCTTGCTTTGTGATGAGAAGAATGGTTTTGTAAGAGATGGAAATGAGAGGAGTGATATGTGAACTGATATCTGATCTTGTAGGCATGGCTTTGTGTGCTTCAGACAGGAAGAAAAAGAAATAAACTCAAAAGACAGAAAGCAGCAGTTTAGAAATTATGTTATTATCGCTAATTTGGAAACTTCTTGACTTTGTGAAGTGGGAAATTTATACAAATAGAGTATGTGCTGGTAATTCAATTCCCTAATCTGCAGTCAAAAATTTACTGCAGAACTGAGAAGGCGAGCAGAGTTGTCTCCTGTCTAGGTGCATGGCTGGATTAGGCAGTGAATGGACTATTGGCAAGCTTAGGAGACCAGTAAAGAACCACCTGCCTCCACTACTGAAAAGAGAATTCTAAACCTGAACTTTGAAGGTAGAACAGTTAGACAGAGGTTATTTTAATTTTAGTATGTGTGTGATTTTTTGATGTCACTTTGAAAAATTCCATGTGAAGGGTTTAACCTTTTCAGTGTTCAGGCCTCTAAAGAGCCTAATCTGGCCCTTCATTGGTTGATGTAGTCCCACATAATGAAATTTGAAGGGATCTCAATGGTATCCTATCTAAAAATATCTAATAAAGACTTTCAGACTCAGATATTGTCTTCCAAAATTCTCTGTGACATGTAAGTAAGAAGTGGAGAGCTTATATATCATGATTCTGGTGTGTGTGTGGAGGAGGGGATGAGAGATTGGGAGGGGAGGTTCTGATTCTTATGAGAAAAATAAACAGATGATATGATTTGGCTCTATGTCCCCACCCAAATCTCATCTTGAATTGTAATCTCCATAATCCCCACATGTTAAGGGAGGAACCTGGTGGGAGGTCATTGGATCATGGGGGCAATTTTCCTTTTGTATTCTCATGATAGTGAGTAAGTCTCATGAGATCTGATGGTTTTACAAAGGGCAGTTGTCCTGCACTGGTGCTTCTCTCTCTCCTGCAACCTTATGAAGAAGGCGCCTTGCTTCCCCTTTGCCTTCTGCCATGATTGTAAGTTTCCTGAGGCTTCACCAGCCATGCAGAGCTGTGGGTCAATCAAACCTCTTTCTTTTATAAATTACCCAGTCTTGGGTAGTATCTTTATAGCAGTGTGAAAACGGACTACTACAATAGAGTAGGGGATAGATTATATTTTCCAAGAAGCTATGATAGGGTTATATTGTTCATGTCCCTGATTCAGTATTTATTCAATATATACAGAGCATCCTTTGGTACTTAAAATATAAGTATATTGGAGTAAGTAGGTATCATTTAGGGAGTCAAGATGACTTCAAATATGCATGTGTGATTACCAAGGTAGTTCAGTATTTGATTACCAAGGTAATATATAGTTAGTTATTATAAAAATTTTTCAAATATCTAAATAAAAAAATTATTAATCCACCACCAAGAGATAGCTGCTATTAATGTGTGTATGTGTATGGTGGTGTGGGGTGGTGCGTGGTGTGTATGTGTGTGTGTGTGTATATATATATATGTATAATTGAAATCATATTTGTAGCTATGTGTGTGTCTAGAAGAGGCTGTGGAGTACTGCCTAGATTCTCTTCTTTATTTTACTTTTTAAAAAATAATAAAAGAATTTTTTAAAAGTTTCTTGCCATTTTGCTTTATTTTTACATTTGTGCTATAATGGTATTTTAAACTGAGATTAAAATGTTTGTATTACCATAGTCCTAATATAGTGCTAAGCTTGGTTCAATACATTGTGATGTATTTATGGGTGACATTTTCCCAGTATAATCCTATTTTAGTTAGTTTTTTGTTTGTTTGTTTGTTTGTTTGTTTTTAGATGGTGTCTCACTCTGTCATCTGGGCTGGAGTACAGTGGCATGATCTTAGCTCACTGCACGCTCTGCCTCCTGGGCTCAATTGATCCTCTCACCTCAGCCTCCCAAGTAGCTGGGAATACAGGTGTGTGCCACCATGCCTGGCTAATTTTTTATTTTTTGTCAAGGTGGGGTCTCCTTGTATTGTCCAGCCTGGTCTCCAACTCCTGGGCTTGAGCAATCCTTCTACCTCAGCCTCCTAAAGTGTTGGGATTATAGGTGTGAACCATGTATGGCCTCTATTTTAGTTTTTAATGCCAAAAAATTTTTATATTGGTATACAGATTTTCTTTGTAGTCAGTTTTGTTGAGTACCTTATTTGTTACCCAAGGGCTATCTCTTGTTAGAGAATTTACAGCTGGAAATTTGGCATGACAAAATAAAGTCTTCTGTCATTTTCTGGTTTGATTTCTTGATAACTGGACTAGCTCCAGGCACATGACTTAAAAATTATTCATTTGCAGAATGAAATTGCATTGCTTCTTCAGGATTTTGATCACTTGCAAATATTATAAATGACTCACTCATTGCCTTCCTTATTAAGCTCCTACTTATCTTATCAGTGTAATTATAGACTGAAAGATGTCAAATGGTCCCATAGCTGCAGTTCACTTGAATTTTGGGTTAGAAGGGAAAACAGGGTCATTTTAGGCCACTGTAACTAAAAATTAAAATGAGCAAAATTCTGAAGGAAGAGAACAAAAGAACAATAATAGAAGCATTTATGGTCTTTATGAAATTGAAAAGGAAAGGCTGCCTCAGAAAACAATCCAATTAAACTGTGAGATGTGAGATAAGCTCTTTAGAGGCTGACAGTTATTGCAATTCGCAGACAATTCAATTTTAGTTAGAAATAAATGGTGAACCTGTTGGTTTTCTCACGTAAAATAAAAATGGGCAGAATATTCTACTATACTCTTCCAGGATGGATTTCAAACCACACTAAAACTTCTCAAGAAATGTAATATAAAATTGGATTTAAAAATTCATGTTCTCTTTGAGTGTGTATCTGTGTTTCAACAATTTAGCTAATCTATATTAGAATGTAATAACTTGAGTCAATAGGTCCTATGAATGCATTATAAGTGCAATTGCACAGTGATAAAGAGATGTGACACCTGGCTTTTTTTTGTGAAATTGATTTCTGCTCTTTTCTTCTATAGTTAGATAACACTAAACTGACGAGGCTGTATTTTTAACAGACATCTTCCTTGCAACAATTTCTTGCTCATTAGCCAGTTACAATGTTTCATTTAATTCCTACACATTTTCTTCCTTTAGGTGACTAGTTTTCATTGTTCTGAATAAAAAGGGTTTTCATACAATTTCCTAGAACTCCATGATATAATGTAATGATTGAAATGTAACAGAAGCAGAGCACAAACAGTAAGGTCAGGAGTCCTTTCTGCCCTCCTCTTTCTTCCTCTCAGGTTTCACAGGTTTCTCTCATTGCACTGCATGGGGAGAAAACTGTAGGTCATCGGTCCTAGCACAACTTAGCTTCAGGACAATGTAGGTGCTTCATGGAGACCCAAGGCAGCATAATAATCATTTAACTTGAAAACATATGTGGCAAGGTAAGAACATTCAGACTAGTTGAAACATAGAAACATAACTGTTTTTTATTCTTTTATTCAGTGTAATAGATGGATGTGAAACAAGTATTTTCACCTGCTTCCTAGGAGGGTTTGATAAGAAAACCCTCCCTGCTCATGAGGATAGGGTAACTAGTTGGTGGCTAAATTGTGTGTTCAACACTTATTCAATAATGCTTTATTGAGCATCTATCACTGGTACCCATTATTCTGGGTACTAGTTTACTTTTTATGTAAATGTATAGGGAGATATAGAGGGAGAAATGTTTATACAGGTAGAGCAGTACAATTAAAAATACAAGTATTTGATTTCAAAAAAGTGCTATGACAAAAATAAAACAAGTAAGGAAATAAAAGTTTCTGGGAGGAGGAGACTATTTCAGATAATGGGTTTACTCAGCCACCAAAGGGTTTTGTTAAAAAAAGAAGGAGACAAGGTTTGAGATTACAGGCAGAGTTCTGGGGAAGCTGGGAGGAGTATGCGGGCACCATCCAGGTCTGAAAGGAGGAGATCTGTGGGCACTACATATAGGTGTACTGCCTGTGGCTGCATCCCGAAGAAGCAGCCAGATTCCCGAGGGGAGTTTGCGTGAGCAGGAAGGCAGCATCCCAAATGCTGCGTTTCTAGCCTCGGCAGACTCTCACGTCCCATTGGTGGGAAGGAAGCTGTAGAGGGCTGTTGGCTTTGAAGTACACTGTGAAGACCAGCTCACAGGCATGACCTGTTTGGGGAGACCAGTGGCCAGAGTGGTTTTCCATTTGAATTGTTGTTAGGCAAACCCTGGAATCCTGGTTTAACCGTGGGAGGGTACGTGGGAGCGCCAAGAATGCCTCAGGTTGAATTTTCTGCTGGCCCAAAGTACTGATTTATAGTATATAAAAGCGATTTTTATTTCATATGTGAGTTTGTTGACTGAAATTCATATTGGCTATATTTAAAAGACTTTTCCAAGCTGCATATCTTCCGCTTCTACACACCCCAGTCTCATCCTGCTCGAATGATTAGCACATTTATTTGCCTGTTTCAACCTGAATATTATTTGAACAATCTTGCTCTCTGAAGTTTACCAAGGATTTGACCTTTTATGGCAATATTTCAGCAGCTTAAGAAAAGTTCACTGGGGTAAAAATTAATTTTACAGCTGAACTTTATGATCTATTTTACATGTTAAAGTGCTACCTGTCTTTAAGGAAACCTAAATTTAAGGCTTAACTTTTAAGCAATTACTGCTTCTTTTGAAAAGACTATGGAGAGATAGAGTGCTACTGATGACATTTTTTATTTTAGGAGGTCAAGGTATACTCATTTTTTGGCAGCTTTGAAATCTGAGAAAGAAAGGTCGAAATGACAATTCTTGTCTCTCTCTCAGAAAAAAATGGTTGTAAAAAGATTTCTGTGCTAACATTTGCTATTTTACGAAAATGATTATGGGTTATGATTCATTGGATTCTGTGTTTAAAAACCTGTGACTAGAAATATTGCTAATAAAACAAGGGTGATATTTTACTGAAATGCTGTGAAAAGTTTCCTCCCTCTCCTTTCCTTGCAAGGAGGTGCTAAAGTGTTTCAGTTTGTTTGAGGAATTGGAATAGGCTCTGGTAATGCTCTCTTTCTTATTCAAGCTCTTAATGTGTGGACCCGGGAATAGAATATATTCAGATAGTGAGGGATACTCAGCTTGGAAAAATATTTTCCCCCTTTTGTAACAAGAGAGGTTCCAGCTGACATGGAAACCTCTATGCTCTCCAGCTACATTTATCACTTCATATTTGGTGTTTTCGTAGCTCTTACTTCACACTCTATGGTGGGAGGAATTGCCAAATAACCCCCCATTCCCTAACCTTTTCATCAAAGAGAGATATAACTCAAAATGATACGACCTGAGCAGGGGCCATTACCTGGTAAACACGATGCCACTGTGCGATTCTCATATGTGGCTGTGCGATTATCTTGTGTAGCTGTGCAATTCTCTTGTGTTGTTGTCTGGTCTCTGCCCAGTTGAATGAAACCCCAGTGTTTCTGAGCTAAAACAGGTTGCCCATTATTTCTCCATGGCAAGACAGAGCCCTGTTACTGGGGAAATGTTCTTTCTTCTACATGGAGACTTACTTGTCTCCAAGGAAAGCTAATGTTTGTCACTGAGAAAAGTGCTTATTTAATTGGTCTCCTAGTAAAAGAATCAGCAGGCTTGTCACTATCGCAGGAGGAAAGCTGGAACTAGAATTGGGGGACACATACTCACTCTGGTTAATAAACTGTAGTAGGGTGGGGATAACATCACTGCTCGCCATCTGATCTGAGGAAGAAATTGAGAATAGGGTCTTTTCACCTGTAGTGTGGAGTATAGGAGGGAAGAGAGTGGGTGAGCAGGTGCATCAGTCAGGGGAACAGAATATACATGAGTGTTATGAGATAAGGCATTTATTATAGGAATTAGATCTTACACAGTTGAGGTGCTGGGAAAGTGATGATCTGAAAGGGGAGTTGCAGGATCAGAAAATATAGGACTTTTTGAGAAACCTCCATATTATTTTCCATAATGGCCGTACTAACAGTCCATCTGAGAAGCTAAGCATGTCCAGCCATTAAAATGGAGCTGCAAAGGTGAAGCACATGGAAAGATCTGTGGCAAGTTCTTGCCTCTATATGGTTACTGCCTGTGGTGGGCCTGGGGTCAACAAGGTCAGCATTTGGGAAGAAGAGTTGGATGCAGAATAGAGGAAATTGAGGATGAAATGAAACCTACCGGTTATTTCTCATCTGTCCATCTCTATGTCTGTCAACAATGAACTCCAGAGAATAATGGTCACTGCTTTACTTCTGTCTTTCAAATCTCTTGCAAATTCTTCTTTTGGCCAACCTACCTCAGACCATCCAGGGAAGGAGATCCTAGGAAATGTGGGTCCCTAGTTTGACAGTGAAAACCCCCACAGCACAGCTGTGAACTGGAGGTCAATGGGTCTGATTCAAAGCAGAGGAAGCTTTGAAGTGGTCACTTTTATTGTGAAGGATGAAGAACAAATTCTGGAGATGCTTTGCTTAAATGGTACATGGAAAAGTCTAGATTAGCCAGAATGTTAACTTTGTCCATCTCACACTATATTTCTCTTCTGAACTTCCCTCCAAAATAACTTCATCATTACATTGCCATCTAATATGTTTGTCTTCTGGAGGCCAGGTGGACAAAGTAGCAGGGAAGATGGGCTGTATATTAGTTATGATGTTGACAGTAGCAGAAAACCTGACCAAGAGTAACTTGAACAAATAGGGTTTAACTTTTTGCACAGGGTAAGAAGTCTGCATGAAGTCTGTCTGAGGCTAGAGCAGGGGCTCAATAAGGTCATACAGGACTCAGGTTCCTTTGCTCTTTCTGACTACTGGTTCTCAGCAGGTTGCCTTTTTGTGCTGTGCTTGTTGCTTCATGGTCTCGAGATGTCTGTTCCAGCATCAGACATTAAATCTGTTTGAATACAGGAAAAAGAAAAAAAAAAGGCCAGAAGCTTTCTCCTATCGTGGAGAAATGTTCCCTGAAGCTCATTTTCAAACTTCTCCTTTTACTTTATTGGCTGAAATTGTTTTATGGCACCTTTAGTGGCAAAGGGGCTGGGAAAGAACTTATCTGGCAAAGTGGAAAGGCACTGCCGTAACTGTTTCCAGTTGATCCTGATCAATTCCTGAACCTTAGGGGAAGCCCAGCGCCCCTATCTGACTGAACATAAAGTTGATATTCTTGTTGCACAGAGGGAAGAAACGGTGATGGTGGGTGGGAGTATGTCTATGGTAGGTAAAGAACAATATCTACTACAGGATGTTTTGCTGTTCCTCTTTTCCTCCTTGACCCCAGGAAGGAAGGGGGCATTCACCTTTAGAGTGGACTGTAAAGGAGAGTCCCTGTTTGCTTTTAGTGGCAGCATAGTCTAGAGAACCACAACTCTGGAGGTCCTGAAGAAAAATTCCCCTGCTATGGAGAAAATTGGAACAAATGTTCTGAATACTCTGCCAATTAACAAATGAAATTCTCCAAAGTAGAGGAGTGGTGGTGCGGTTGATGTCTGAGGATGTATTAAAGATATTGCAATTGTTTTATATCTGACCCCTCCATGAGGAAGCAAACTACCTTTAGGACGGGGATCTTGTCTTACTTATCTTTGTGCCCCTGTGACTAGCATGGTATCTACTTTGAAGTGAATATTGGCTGTTGCAAGGATGAACTTTCCCAGAGAGCACTTGTATGGGTGACAGGGGCCTGGGCTACCCATTTGGTTCACTTGGGGGAAATCTAAAAATTTCATTACATAGGCCACACTCAAGACCTGTTGTATCTGAATCTTTGGGAGTAAGAACCCAGGCATTGGTGCTTTCAAAAGCAGAATTTTAAAAGCTTTACAGGTTATTACAGTGTGCAGCCAAGGTTGAGAGTCACTGCAATAGAACTTTCTCAATTCTTTTTATTTTAAAAATACTCCCTGGGGAAGTACAAGAAACACTGAGCAAATATCCAGTGGTGCTAGGTCTTAAGAACGGTTGGTGGTTAGGATTCTCAGGGGGATATTTCTTACTGGAATTTGGCCAGCAGTTAGGGATTCCCACTCCAACAAAGATAGTGTATTCCTTGAAAATATTTGATCTTGATAATCACTCATACCAGCCTGTTAAAAATCCCCATAAGAGAGGAATATGTGCATTAGGAATGAGATGAGATGATATCATCAGAACTATAGAAGTATTAATGATAATACATAAATTAGTGATCCCATGTTTTTCCTTCATGGATCGCCAAGAATGGCATAATTATATAACTCAGGCTGAAATCATGCCTTTATTTCCTCTTTTCTACTCTCTCACACACCATCTTTTCATCCTTTTCCTTAATTTCTAGTGGTTCTAGGCCGCTCTAAGGTTTTAGACAACTCTAAATTTTCATGTTGTCACTATAAA
Organism: Homo sapiens; assembly: GCF_000001405.40. Lineage (NCBI taxonomy): Eukaryota > Metazoa > Chordata > Mammalia > Primates > Hominidae > Homo > Homo sapiens. Next base: position 44,808,585 of record NC_000014.9, on the reverse strand, counting down.
AAGTTAGCAGTTCTAAGGGTGAGAAAGAGTCTTTCTGGTATGTACTAGACTTGAGAACAGATTCTTTTTCTATGGAGTGTGATCATCACGTTGTGTACTGAATCTGTCCCCAGTCCTAGTTGAATATGAATTTATATCATCTGGCCTTGTATATAGTGGGTGTGCAGTAAATATTTATTGAGAGCAACATGGCTAAGTGGAGTCAGACAGACCTATATTTGGGACCTGGTTCAACCACTTCTTAGTTATATTATTTAGGACTAATTATTTAATCCTTATGATCCTTGGGTTTCTGAGCTATAACATATGCACCAAAATATCTTTCTTTCAAAGATGGTGTGATTCCCATCAGCTTTAAAACATATTCCTGTTTTCTCCCACTAAACCAAACCAAACCAAACACAATAAAACATAACAACCTCTCCCCCGACCCTGCAACGGTTTTATTCTGATAGGGCTACCATAACAAAATACTATAAACCTGGTGGCTTAAACAACATTTATTTCTTGCAATTCTGGAGGCTGGGAAGTACAAGATCAAGGTATCTGCATATTTGGTTCTGGATGAAGGCCCTCTTTCTGGTTTGCATATGGCTTCCTCACTGTATCCTCACATGGTAGAGAGGAAGCGCTGTCTGTTCCTCTTCCTATAAGAGAACAAATCCTATCATGCGGTCTCCACCCTCATTGACCTTCTCCAAACCGAATTACTTCCCAGGCATCAGGGGATTCTCAGGGGGATATTTCTCATTGGAAAACTGCCAATACAATCTGCCAATACAATCTCCTAATACCATCAAATTGGGGGTTAGGACTTTTTATAAATTTTAGGGATATGCAAATATTCAGTCTATAATACCCACAAAATCCCCAAATCTACATCCCAAACTTTTTGTCAACCTCACAGGTATTTGTCTCCTAGAGAACTATCTCAAAATAAATATCTATTTCCACTGCTTCCATTTTCTCACCTTCCATTGACTTCTCAGCTCAATCTTGAAACAACTCTCACGTATTCCTAACTTGATCCTAATGTCTCAGCAGCATTCTAATTTGGTGGTAATTCCCCCCTTTCCCAGACTCTGTGACACTGCACGCCCCTACGTTTCATCCTGCCTCTCTGTTCATTCCTTTGTCTTTGGAGTTTCTAAGACTTAGTCCTCGGCTGTCCTCTTCTCACTTTGCATTTATCCCCTAGATCTTCTCACTTATATCCTTGGCTTCATTTTCCACTGATGTGAGAATGACCCCAAATTTACCTGTAGCCCAGGTCTTTTATCTGGGCTTCACACTTGTCTAATGAACTTGTTGACATTTCTTCTTAAAGGTCTTAAAAGGCAAATTCAGACTCAACATCAGAGTAAAAGAATTCAAAATAGAGCTAAAATATTTTCTTCCCCAAATCTCACTCTCATTTATTTCCCTCTCTTATAGTAGTGTTTTTTTCTTTTGTTCTTCTTTTTCCTTCCTCTTTCTCTTTCTTTCTTTCTCTCTTTTTCTCTTTCTTTCTTTTTCTTTCCTCTCTCCTTCCTTCCCTCCTTCTCTCCTTCTTCCCTCCCCTTCCCCTCCCTCCCTCCCTCCCTCCTTTCTTTCTTTCTTTTTCTTTCTTTCTCTTTCTTTCTCTTTCTTTCTTTCTTTCTTTCTTTCTTTCTTTCTTTCTTTCTTTTTCTTTCTTTCTTTCTTTCCTTCTTTCTTTCCTTCCTTCCTTCCTTCCTTCCCTCCTTCCTTCCTTCCTTCTTTCTTTTTCTTCCAACAGGGTCTCACTCTGTTGTCCAGACCACAGTGTACTGGCACCATCTCAGCTCATTGCACCTTAGCCTCCCAGGCTCAAGCAATTCTCCTGCCTCAGCCTCCCAAGTACCTGGGATTACAGGCACCCATGACCAGGCCCAGCTAATTTTTGTATTTTTAGCAGAGACGGGGTTTCACCATGTTGGCCAGGCTGGTATTGAACTCCTGACCTCAAATGATCCACCCACCTCGGCCTCCCAAAGTGCTGGGATTACAGGCGGGAGCCACCATGCCTGGCCATGGTAGCACTTTTATCCATTTTACAAGGCAGAAATCTGGAAAGAACTTTCTTTGTCACTCCACATAACCAAACAATTGCCATGTCTCTGTACCCTTATCTCTTAAGTCTCTCTTTTAAAAACAACTTTATTGAAGTATAATTGACAACTACACATGTTTAATGTATACAATTTGATGAGTTTGGACATATGCAAACATCTGTGATACCATCACTACAATCAAGGTATTAGATATATCTAACACCTCCCAAACTTTTCTTGTGCTCCTTTGTGTGTGTGTGTGTGTGGTAGGAGCACATAACACAAGGTCCACCCTATTAACAAATTTTGACATGCACGATACCTTATTGTTAACTATAGGCACTATGTTGCACAGTAGATATCTAGAATTTATTCATCTAGCGAAACTGAAACTTTATCCCCATTGAACAACAGTGCCTCATTTTACCCACCCCTCCAGCTCATGATATCCACTATTGTATTATGGAATATATTTAAAAGAATTGAAATCAGTATCTCAAAGGGATATCTGCACTCCCATGTGCCTTGAAGTATTATTCACAATAGCCAAGATATGGCCAACTGCTATTGATAGATGAATGGTTAAAGGAAATGTGGTATATATATATATATGTAATAGAATATTATTCATCCTTAAAAAAGGAAATTCTATAATTTATGACAACATAGATGAACCTGGAGGATATTATGCCAAGCAAAATAATCCTCTCACAGAAGGACAAGTGCTGCATGATTCCATTTGTATGAGGAAACTATAAAAGTCAAACTCTTAAATATCTGCATCTTTCCATCTTCACTGCTATCACCCTCGTTTAGGATATCACTTTTCTACCCTAGACAACTGAAATAGCTTCCTAACTGGTCTCCCATTTACTTTCTTGCTGCCCTCCAATCTGTTCTCCCTACTTCAGCTGAAACGCTCTTAAAATTCAAATATATTATTTCCTGCTTAAAACACACCAATGACGTCCAATTTTCTCAGGATAAAGACCTAAATATTTAACTCTTGGTCTGCAAGTATCTGCATGATTTCATGTCTGCTTCCTCCTCCAGCTTTGTTTCATACCATGCTCCCCCTCACAGTCTGTGTTCCAGCCATATCGATTTTCCTTCAGTTCCTGGAAATACGCCCTGTTTCCTCCTCCTACAGGGCTCTGCATAAACTCTCCCTTCAGCCTGAAACACACTGCTTGTCCCTTTCTGACTTATCTTCTACTCATTCTTCAGAGTTCATTCTTCTTTAATGCTTTCATTAGGCCTAATGCTCTTTTATATGCGCTCCTAGTTCTGTGAACCATCTTTTGTCATTTTATCACAGTGTATTAGTTTGCTATGTCTGCCATAACAAAATACCACAGACTAGGTGGCTTAAGCATCTGAAATTTACTTCTCAAAATTCAGAAGCTGGAAGTCCAAGGTCAAGGTGTCGGCAGGTTTGCTTTTTCCTAAGGCCTCTCTGCCTTCTTGCTACATCTTCGCATGATCTTTTCTTTGTGTGCATGCATCCCTGGTGTTTCTTTGTCCACATTTCCTCTTTTTATAAGGACAATAGTCAGATTGTATTAGGGCCCATCCTAATGGCCTCCGTTAACTTAATTACCTCTCTAAACGTTGTATCCCCAAATACAGTTGCATTCTGAGATACTGGAGGCTCCAACATATAATTTTTTTTTTTTTGCAGTGGAGTGGGAGAATACAATTCAGTCCATAACATACGCTTATAGTTTTTATTCCGTTTTGTAATTATTACTGTCTTCTCCAGTAGCTTATAATCTCAACAAGGATAGAGATTTTGTCTGGCATGAACCACCATTGTTATTACATGATCTGGCAGTACTGCAGACAGTCTGTTTGTTGAATAAATGAACAATTAAGAATTAGAAGAGCCTAGCAGAGTGTGATACATAATAAATGTTCTGCAAATGTTAGATGCTATTAATAATGATGATGATAAACAGATGGTTCAGCTGACTCAGGGGATCTCTCTCAATGTTGTTCTCATGATGTAGTTGCTGCTATTAGCATTTACTTCTGAAGTCATGCAGCTGATTTGAATCTTCAGGTTTCCTTGAAAGGGTTTAATCATTGAACATATGGCAAACCAGTACTAGCACAGCTTCAGTAAATATAGACTGATAATTGTGGATTTTCTGTGACTATTTAACTTCCATGTAACAAATTCTCTTGATTGGGCCAGGTGTGGTGGCTCACACCTGTAATCCCAGCAAATTGGGAGGCTGAGGCAGAAAGTTCACCTGAGGTCAGGAGTTTGAGACCAGCCTGGCCAACATGGTGAAACCCCGTCTCTACTAAAAATACAAACATTAGCTGGGTGTGGTTGTGCACACCTGTAATCCCAGCTACTTTGGAGACTGAGACAGGAGAATCGCTTGAACCTGGAAGGCGGAGGTTGCAATGAGCTGAGATTGTGCCAATGCACTCCAGCCTGGGCAACAGAGCAAGATTCTGTCTCGAAAAAAAGAAATTCTCTTGAAGCTTGTTTTATGATTGAATGTGTAAGCTCATTTCTGAAATATTAATTTTTCAACTCCTTTTTGTTATAAAAAACACGCAAAACAGAAAAACTCTTGACTGGTTACATTTTATCTAACACGATCATTTCAATTCTGTGATCTTCATTATAGAATTGTGTAAAATGAAGTTCAGAAATTAATATATAATATTCAAGGCCCGTTAATGTATTTTATGCCTGCTATATCATGTTGCAATAATTTGCATTACTTTCCTAGACTTTTAGTCTTGTCTTGAAAGTGAAATGAACATACTTCAATATTTCTCTCCAACCACATTTCTCTTTTTCACATTTTTAAGGTACATAAATCAATTAAAAGTGAAGGTTGATATGATACATATGATAATATGGACATCAGTTGTTCAAGCAACCAAAGGATTAGATATAGCCAACTTAAAAATATATGCATAAATCTACCTAGGATTTAACTCATTTTCCCTAAAAACCATAGGATAACTCATTGGGCCAAGAATACAGGCTTTTATACTGACCAAAATATGTAGTTCATCTTTGTTATCACTAGATGTCAGTGTTGTTTCATTGGAAACACAGAGGTTGTGGCTCCAGAGGATCCCAAGAGGATTTTGTATGACTAACTAATCAACACTCTGCACTCTTACTAGCTGGCTTCTGAAGCTCACCAAAGTTCTTTTAGCATCACAGAGCTGAAAGAGACCTTACTTCTGCACAGGCTGCACAGAATGTATATTATTTTATTAGGCAAATGAAGAATGAAGGGCAATAAGTTTCAAAGAGCCAAAGGCAATTTTTGCTTAACAATAACAACGATCAAGACATATTGAATGCTCACTGTGTGCGAGGCATGGCGCTAAGTATTTTACACAGATCCTCTTATTTAATGCTTCCTTAGACTAACTGCAGAAAAAATAATACTCACATTTCACATGTGAAGAAATTGAGGTTTAGAGAGGTTAAATAATTTGCTCAGGACTACAGAACCAGCAAGTAATGAAAAAGTGATTCAAATGCAATGAAGCCAATTGCTGAACTTAACTTTGCCTTTAACTATAGTACAGTACTATGTGGCCTCATCCTTTAATCACAAGGAAGACGAATCTTTGCTAAAAACTGCATAAAATAGTTATTTTGAAACTCATTTAGGAATTACTATGACTATAAATTGTATATTGTGACTTATTAGTATAAAATTCCCTGAAATATGAAATCCTAATTTCTGAACATTTTGAAAAAATGTAGGCACTTTTATTTTCTTTTTTACTGCCGCCCAGTCACAAAGAGATGATGTTAATTAAATGACCCCTCAAGGAAGTTGTGGGTGATGTTACAGATGTTTGCACAGACTTTCCTTCATTGTGACCTCTGTAGCTATAGGCAGTGATGGTGGAGCTCTAACTGATGCCTCTTTGGTATAATGGAGGCCAGGATCATAAAACTCCATTGAATGAACCATGGAAAGATTCTAGGTGACTATGATTTTTTTTTGCTAATCTAGCTAGTGGCACAGTCAATTCAATAAAACATAGAACATTTTAAAAAGTTCCTCCTAGAAGGTAATCTGGCAATATGAATCAAAACATAAAAAAGGTATAATTTAACATAACAATTCGCTTCTAGAAATATTTCCCAAGAAAACAGTTTTAGATTTATCAAGTTGTATGTTTATCAAAGCAACATTTATAATAATGAAAAAATTAAACCACTTGTAATTTCAAATTGAGGGAATAAAATGTAGAGGGGAAAAAATGGCTAAATAAAATGTAGTTACTAAAGTAATTAGTAGAATATTTAATGATATAAAAAAGTTTATAACATGTTGTTAAGTTTAAAAAAGGTTAAGTTTGCAAAACTATTTTCAGTAGGATCCCAATTTTGTAAAAAATATATATATGCAGAGATTTCAAAAAGTTCATGGAAAAATAGAATTAAAAGATAAAAGTAAAAATTATAAACTGTATTTCTCAACATATGCTATATTAAGTTCAAGATACTTTTGTAAGTGACGATACCAGCCATTTAGAGCATCCCTAAAGAACTGAGTCCTAGGAATTTAACCACGTCAATGCAGTCTTTTTACATTATTAACTGAAGGAAAATGCATTCCATTTAAGACTTTTTAGGATTATGAAACAAAAAGACATTAGAAAGAGTCAAATCAAGACTATAAGGTGAATGCCTAGTGATTTCCCATCAAAACTCTTCCAAAATTACCCTGCTTGATGAGAAGGATGAGCAGGAATATTGTCATGGTGGAGAAGAACTCTCTGGTGAAGATTTCTTGGCTGTTTTTCTGCTAAAGCTTTGGCTAACTTTCTATAACATTCTTATACTATTGGCTAACTTTCTATAACATTCTTATACTAAGCAGATATTATCATTCTTTGGCCCTCCAGAAAGTCAACAACAAAATACCTTAAGCAACCTTAAAAATTGTTGCCATAACCTTTGCTCTTGGCTTGTTTGTTTCTGCTTTGGCTGGATCACTTCTACCTCTTTGTAGCCATTGCTTAGATTATGTTTTGTCTCCAGGATTGTACTGGTAAAGCCATGTTTCATCTACCATTACAGTTCTTCCAAGAAATGCTTCAGGGTCTTGATCTCACTTATTTAAAATGTCCTTTGAAAGTTCTGCTATTGTCTGAAGCTGATCTGGGTGTTTTGGCACCAATCGAGTAGAAAATTTGCTCAACTTTAATTTTTTAGTCAGAATTATATAAGCTGGACCAGTTGAAATGTTTATAGCATAGGCTATCGTTTCTGCTTTTCATCATCAGTCCTCTTCAATTAAGACACAAACAAGAGCCTGGGCAACATAGGGAGATCTAATCTCTACTTAAACCAACCAACAAACAAAAATCAGCCAGGAGTCCCAGCTACTCAGGAGGCTAAAGTGGCAGGATTGCTTGAGCCTGGGAGACTGAGGATGCAGTGAGTAGGATAACACCATTGCACTTTAGCCTGGGTGACAGAGCGAGAACTTGTTTCAAAAAAAAAAAAAAAAGACATGAACAAGATTAATTCTTTTCTCACAAATTGATATGGATGGTCTGTGACTGTGGGCTTTATCTTCAACATGGTCTCATCCCATTTTAAAATGAATTATCCATTTGTAAACTGCTGATTTCTTTAGGGGCATTATCCCCATAAAGTTTTTATAAAGCATCAGTGATTTCACTTATTTTCCACACAAACTTCACCATAAATTTGATGTCTTTTCTTGCTTTAATTTTAGCAGAATTCATGTTGCTCTGATAAGAACTCTGTTCAAACTGATGTCTTATCCTTCTTAGTGCCCCAAACTAGCTCCTGTTCATACATGTTATAACAAGTTGGTATAAGTTTATTTTGGTGCAAAAAAATTCAAACTCCATGTGAAGTTTTTTCATAGTATGTGTTTCCATCAACCTTTTAAAAAATAATTCAACTTTTGTTTTAGATTCAGGGGTACATTTTCAGGCTTGTTATATGGGTATATTGTGTGATGTTGAGGTTTGGGATATGAATGATTCCATCACCCAGATAGTGAGCATAGTACCCAATAGTTAATTTTTCAACCCTTGCCCCCTTCCCTCTCTCCCCACTCTAGTAGTCCACATTGTGGATTATTGCCATCTTTATGTCTATGAGAACCCAATGTTTAGCTCTCACCTATAATTGAGAACATGTGGTACTTGACTTCTGTTCTTGCATTAATTCACTGAGGATAATGGCCTCCAGATGCATTCATGTTGCTGTAAAGGACGATTTCATTCTTTTTAATGGCTACATAGTGTTCCATAGTGTATATATACCACATTTTCTTTATCTAATCTACTGTTGATGGGAACCTAGGTTGATTCCATGTCTTTGCATTACATTCAGTATTGTAAATAGTGCTGCAATGAATGTAGGAGTACATGTGTCTTTTTGGTGGAATGGTGTATTTTCTTTTGGATATGTACCCTGTAATTGTGTCCGGAATTGGTGGGTTCTCGGTCTCACTGACTTCAAGAATGAAGCCGCGGACCCTTGCGGTGAGTGTTACAGTTCTTAAAGGCAGCGTGTCAGGAGTTTGTTCCTTCTGATGTTCAGATGTGTCCGGAGTTTGTTCCTTCTGGTGGGTTCGTGGTCTCGCTGGCTCAGGAGTGAAGCTGCAGACCTTCATGGTGAGTGGTACATCTCTTAAGATGGCGTGTCTGGAGTTGTTCATTCCTCCCAGTGGGTTCATGGTTTCACTGGCTTCAGGAGTGAAGCTGCAGACCTTCGCAGCCAGTGTTACAGCTCATAAAGGCAGTGTGGACCCAAAGAGTGAGCAGTAGCAAGATTTATTGCAACGAGGGAAGAACAAAGCTTCCACAGTGTGGAAGGTGACCCAGGTTTCCATTGCTGGCTTGGGCAACCTGCTTTTATTCTCTTATCTGGCCCCACCCACATCTGGCTGATTGGTCCATTTTACAGAGAGCCGATTGGTCTGTTTTACAGAGAGCTGATTGGTCCGTTTTGACAGGCTACTGATTGGTGCATTTACAATCCCTGAGCTAGACACAAAAGTTCACCAAGTCCCCACTAGATTAGCTAGATACAGAGTGTCAATTGGTGTATTTACAAACCCTGAGCTAGACACAGAGTGCTGATTGGTGCATTTACAAACCTTGAGCTAGATACAGAGTGCCGATTGGTGCATTCACAATCCCTTAGCTAGACATAAAATTTCTCCTCTCCCCACCAGATTAATTAGATACAGAGTGTCCATTGGTACATCCACAAACCCTGAGCTAGATACAGGGTGCTGACTGGTGTGTTTACAAACCTTGAGCTATATACAGAGTGCTGATTGGTGTATTTACAATCTCTTAGCTAGACATAAAGATTCTCCAAGTCCCCACCAGACTCAGGAGCCCAGCTGGCTTCACCCAGTGGATCCCCGAGCAGGGCGCAGGTGGAGCTGCCTGCCAGTCCCACGCAGTGAGCCCACACTCCTCAGCCCTTGGGGAGTCAATGGGACTGGGCACCGTGGAGCAGGGGCCAGTGCTCTTGAGGAGGATCCGGCCGGCGCAGGAGCGGGGAGGTGGGGGCGGCGGGAGGGCGGGGAGGCGGCGGCGGGGGAGCGGGGAGGCGGGGACGGGGTACGGGGCGGGGGGCGGGGGGCGAGGAGGCGGGGGGGCGGGGGAGGTGGGGAGGCGGAGGCGGTGGGGGGAGCGGGGGGAGCAGGGGGAGGCTCAGGCATGGCCATGGCCGGGTGCAGGTCCGGAACCCTGCCCCGCTGGGACAGCTAAGACCCCAGAAATCCAGCACAGCAGCTGCTGGCCCAGGTGCTAAGCCCCTCACTGCCCGGGGCTGGCGGGGCGGCCGGCCGGCCGCTCCGAGCAGGGGGCCTGCCGAGCCCACGCCCACCCGGAACTCGCGCTGGCTCGCAAGCGCAGCGCGCAGCCCGGGTTCCCGCCTGCGCCTCTCCCTCCACACCTCCCGGCAAGCTGTGGGAGCCGGCTCCGGCCTTGGCCAGCCCAGAAAGGGGATCCTACAGTGCAGCGGGGGGCTGAAGGGCTCCTCAAGCGCGGCCAGAGTGGGCGCCAAGGCCGAGGAGGCGCCGAGAGCGAGTGAGGGCTGCTAGGGCCGCCAGCATGCTGTCACCTCTCATAATGGGTTTCTGGACAGGTAGTTCTGCTTTATTTTTTAACATCTAAAAATAACCAATATACCACATTTTATTTAGAAGAATTGCATTATAAAACAAATGTTTTACAACTAACTGTAATTAATTCTTTTGTTATATATGCCTGAAGAATACACCGAAAAGTTAGTAGTTTCTTTTTTAGGTGATAGGGTAATAGATGACTTTTGTTTTCTTTCTTTGTGCTTTGATTTATTTTTCTTTTTTTAACATATGAGTAATGTATATTATTTATAAATTACAAAAAACTCACAAGCTATTTATATTTTTAAGAATTTTACGTTATTTTTTAAACTAGGTTCAGCGCTTATGTTTATTTAGAAAATCTGATTATTGCCATCTGTTTTCACATATCTTCAGTGTTGTTAACAATTCATGGCGTGTGTTTCTGTGTCGGAGGCAGGAGGGAGCTGAAAAGATGCAGTTTTATCTCCAAAGGAAAGGTAAGATGATTTAAAAAAAAATCTTGGTTACTGTCTTATGCAACTTGAGGGTGATCAATGAGGCTTTGGCCAAGTGTTTCTCAACAAAGTTCCGACTTAGTGTTTCTAATAAAGGGCATTGAGTTTTGTGTGGGTCAACATATTTGAAGGCACTGTGTTTACCATCTTCATTGTTGAAAACAGCTTGTCACGTGTCGTTCATATTTAGTCTGTTTTCTTGTTAACCATGAAAGCAAAGTGGTATATGGGATATTGTAGAATCTGCTGCTGCTTTTAATTCTACATCTTTACTATTTTGATTGATTCTTTTAGAGTTGTTTATCTTTTTTTTAATGTGAGGTTGCATAGTCCAAGGATTCTGGTTTATTTTATGAATGTTAAACATTATTGAAATCACATAAGTCTAATTAGACAGCGAATGCCTAATTAAAGTATTCCTACATTATAGTCTCAAACTTTTGGGAATTTTACTTGGCAATTTCTTCATAAATATATTCATCTGCCTTTTAAATAGCTTTCAATTTTTGTGATATGAAGGCTCTACCATCAAATTATTCTTTTATATTGGAATTATATCGATCAATACATGTCTTTAAAGTGCTGAATTTTATGGAGCATCCATATATCAAATCTCAGGGCTGTAGACGGACATCCTTTCATTGATCACAGCTTGAACCTGAGCAGAGGATGATGGACAGAAACATGATTTAAGAAGTGATAAATCTGTTGTAGCAGACCTGTGATCTTCTGGCCTCAACCTTACAAATGCTATTGGTGACAATTGTGGCTAAATTGATTGGTTATTGTCCTCAGGTTTGCAACTCTGACTCTAAACTCATATTGGGCTGAAAAATTTAAATATCTTGTTTCCAGGAGTCTTCATTTTTGGTATCAGTAAATAATCCACATTTATTTTCCTTTTGAGTGCTTTCTCTGTACTTCCTTCCTAAGTGAGGGCACTAGATTGACTTTCTTCTGAATAGGTATAAAATTTTGGCCCTTAGTATTTTTGTCAACGCTGCTTTAATTAAGAATAACAACAGGTGATGTGCATGTTGGCTGGAAATCAAGATTCGGAAGGATTTTACTGCAAAGAAAAATCTGAAGTTCATGATTCAATGCGTTGTGAAGCTAGTATTGAACCTGGTTAAATCAAATTACACTGAGCTCATGGCCGTAGTGTATGATATAGTTGCTCAGACTGGGCTTATTTTCCATTTTCTTCCATTAAAATACCATCCAAAACTGAAAGTATCACAAAGAACTGCATTCAAGATACCTATTTGGATGGAAAATGGCACCTTTAACTGCATCTTTTTGTACTGACTTATAGGGTTCAGTGACTGAAATGTATTTTTTTTCTTCTTTCTTTTTCTGATTTGTTGTATTCATGCTTGCAAGCACTGCCTGCAAATGACAAAACTGTAGGGAAATAATCTATACTATATAGGCTTACCTATGTCATTGAGAACAAGAGAGGATGTTAAGAAAGTGTTGATTTTTGTAATAATTCACTCGTTTAAGTTCTATTGATAGGTACCGTAGTGTTTAGGAAAAAAAAAAAGAGACAAGATGGTTACATAAAGCACAATTTTGAGTTTTGTTTTGCATTGTATAAAGTAGAAGAATAAGGGCCCAGGGATTTCAATTCCAGAAATGTAAAAATCAAAAAGGTAAAGTAATGAAGGTGACTCTATTTTAATCACAAATGGAAGTGATACATAAGTTACAATCAAAATTTTAAAATGAATTCATTTTAATATGCCTAAACTTTATTTGACAAGCTATTTAACATAGCCTATGAGCCAGGCACTGATTAAGCACTTTGGCATTTTATGAATATTCACTTACTTAAATCTCATAAATAACACTATAAATACTGATACTATCATCAGCAACTCCGTTCTACAGATGGGTGGTTGCTTGTGTTGAAAAAATAGCTAGTAGTTAGCAGAGCTGGAATTGAAGCCCAGCAGGTGACTCATGTCCACCAGCAATCCCTTTGCCTCCCTAGTACAGGTGACTGTTGTCAGAGCCCCTGGTTGGAGTGGGAGGAGCCTAGAGGTGCTGCTCACTAGACTTGGCTCAGAGGTTGCAAAAATAGTATAACTGCCCTCCCAAACCTAATGGCCACTGTGGTCAGCAGCTCTTCTAAGAAGAAGATCCTTTTGGGTTAATTCAATAAAATAACTCTTTATGTCTTTGGAGCAGGGTGGGGAGAATTTCTTCTAAAATGGATGGAGGAGTGGAAATTAAAGAAGTGAACAAAACAGGTGGCAATCTTTCATATGTGGTGTGTTTTCTCTCTTTTCCTGACTTCAATTTCCTTTGAAGGCACAAAATGCTTCATTGAAAAGGGATTGAAGCTGTATTTACAGGTTACAGAAGTGGCTCTGTCAGTCACTCAGTCACCTCCTAGAAATATACCTATCCCACTTGGACCCATCCTTCTTCTCCTAAGTACCCATCAGTTTCCCTCTCCCACTGATTTTTTGTCTTCCTTCTGCAAACCTATTTATGCATTAGTTCCCACCCAGATCCCATACTCTGGCACACCCCTTACTTAGCTACCTCTTTCTGAATGTGATTCTGAGGGATTTCATGGAAACGTTTACAACTGGATACCTTTTGGGTTCCTAGTTTGCCCACAGGCAGACAGTAAACAGATTCTTTTAAGGTATGGATTAATAGAATTTAAGAGAATGTTTTTAAGCCCTTAAACTGCTGTTTCAGTCTCTCAAAAGCTGAGTATCAAAGATTTGAGTATCAAAGTTACACTTCAAGTTAGTAACAACCAAATACTGTTTTTTCATTCTGTTGTCTTTTGGTAAAAATTACATTTTTTGAAAGTAAATTTTTATAGTAATCATTAAGATGTTTAGAAACCAAGTTCTTCAGGATAAAGAAGTTTATATTATGTTGGAAAAGTTCTGGCTCCAGAGATGTTTCTAAATTGAGGCCAGGACACAAAAATATTGTCAAACCACAATTTCTAAGCATTATAATTTTTAAGGTTTTCATTTTGTATATTCAAAAATCATTTTGTTATGTATTAATGAGTCAATAGTAGTGCACTTAGTTAGTGCTATTTTTTTTTTTTCTGAATTATCAGTATGTGGTAAATAAAACTCAAAGCACTATTTGTTTTTCCCTTGGCTTAAAAATTTGGCTTTAGGTGAAATGGACACTGCTGTGCTGACCCTGGGCTTTTTAAAGCTCTGTTGTAAAAGCTATAAATGGTTTCTTAACATGCCCCTCACATTTCAAATATCTTTTTCCACAAGGACTACAAAATAGCAAAATGTGCATCTGAGGCTTTGATACACACAGTGAAAATAGAAAGAGGAGAGGGAAATTCACTTCTTTATTAGGACGGCTTAAGTAACAGAGAGGGAGAGCCAAAGGGGTGAATGGCCTTATTCATGCTTGGTATTCCATAAAAGAATTGGGGTGCTTCTTTTTCTGATCTCCTGCAAGCATTCAGTTGCATAAGCTGGTGAATGAAAACATACCCCAATACAAAGCATTTTTTTTAAAAAGGATTCTGTTCTTGAATGTATTCTTTGTCTTAGTTCTTACTTCAGATGACTCCTTGCTTATGAGTATTTCCTTTGCATACTGTAAACAGAAAAAAAGATAAGTTCCTTCTCATGAGAGATTATTAAAGGGCAAGGGTAAGGAGAAAAGTAGAAACCAGGAAAGGATGAGGAACAAATGGATAGAGTAAAGCAATTAGCATAATGTATTCATCCTGCAAAATGTTTTGCCTCAGGTCCCAGTGGGATCAGTTGTAGAGATATAGATTCTAGTCTGTGTGTAGAAAAGATGCATAAAGTAACTTGTCTGAACACTTGCTTATGACTGAATTCAAGGCTTTTTCTGTCTGGTTCCAATTCTACATGTAAAATATAAGGGTACTCTTTATTGAAATCCTGCTTCAGTGTATTCCAGTGGTTTAGTGGGCTGCAGGGGAGAACAGAATGCCAAAAGACTGCCGCTTTAAAAATATATCTTGGTACAAGATACCCTTGACACACCTGTCTTGATCCTACAGACTCTATGAATGAGAATCTTAGCAAAACTGATTAGGTTACTTGTGAAAGTCTGGGGCTATAACCCTGAGCTTGTGTGGAGCTGAAAACTTTTAATCCCTAGTTTCTAAATGTCCCCTTCAGCATCAACAGCTGCAATACAAACAAATCAGCTAATATGTTGTATATCCAGAAAAAATGTCTCAGTAAAATATGATTCTGTAGAGTGTTGCTTATTTATACCTTTGACATCTTCCTCTCCCCCAAATCCTGACTGTAGTTAGATGAGACCAATCCAGTTAGGGCATAATGGTTTATTTATTCTGAATTTTAATGAAAACATGAAAGGATATGTTGAGAGTTATAAAGACAATACCATGAGAAAGTATACATTTTATTGGTATACATATGTCTGTATACAAATTGTAACCTCCACAAGACGAGTTATCATGGTATAATGTTTATTGTTGAATCCTTAATTCTTAGCACCGTACTTGACACAGGGTCACAGTATATGTTTGTTAAATAAATGAATGAAAAAGTGAAGTCTGATAATTTCTGTGAGTACTAATAATTACTTTTATTTAGTACCACTAAGAGAATAATTTTGAGAAGTTTATTCCATTAAGAAATTTCATAGTCTTTGCTTAGTATTTGCTCACAGTATAGTAATGAGTCTCTGTCACTTCATATTTAGGGAGGGTCTGCTTTCTTCAAAATGCTGGTGCCCTACTTAATTCATTTACTCTTGCTGTGTCTTTATTGTGCAGTTTTTTGATAGCTTCTTCTGTAGCACCATTAAGCATCTTCATACCTGAAATGGCAGTTCATGTAGATTAATTACACTTTAATTGTTATGCATGTAATATCATTTAGGTTATACAGCTATTTATTGAGCACTTACCACATGTTGAGGACTTTTGAAGTTACAGTGAATAATGAGTTATAATCCCTGGTCTCACATACCAATTTTACAAGCCAGAAAATACGTGAAAAATGAATTTTAAAATTCAAATTATTGGAGAAAACAATAAACCATCAATATTTCCTGGTTGAGAAATTCCGAGATTCTTTTGTATTTGAAAAGACATTTTGTATCGTCTATTATTCAACTGCCTTCAAGAAGAGTTGACACAACAAAGAGGTGATTTTAATGGAGGAAATATAGTATAAGAAATAGGTAAATTGATTTGATTTCTCTAACTTTGTCAAAAGACTTTTTTTGAATAAATTATTTTATACTTAGTGTATCTTTTTCTATTTTTAAATTAAAATTTCTGAATTATGGCTTGGAAATTACTTTCTGTTGCTGCCATTCTGATGTTTCTGTGTCCCCTGACTTCCTTTGGTGGAATTGTTTGTATCTCTGAAGAAAAAAACTTCTTCGGTAGCTGCTTAAGAAAGGATATTTGAGAAATAAGTTTTTATGCTTTTTTGCACATCTGAAAATTTCTTTCACCCTCAATTTGGTTAACAGCTTTGTTCAATATAGCATTTTGTATTAAAAATATATCTCCCTCAGAATATTGAAAACATTGATTCCTTATAGTTCCAGCATTGGTATTGAGACATGCCATTCTGTTTCCTATGCCTTGTATGTGACATATACGTGCAGTCATGCATTGCTTAATGAGAAGAATGCCTTATGAGAAATTAATCGTTCCATGATTTTGTCATGTGTGAACACCATAGAGTGTACATAGTACATAAACCTAGATGGCATAGCCTACTATACACGTAGACAATATGGTATAGTCTAGCACTCCTAGGCTACAAACCTATATAGCATGTTAATATACTGAATACCGTAAGCAATTGGAAGACAATGGTATCTGTACATCTAAACATAGGAAATGTGTAGTAAACATACGGTATAAAACATAAAAAATGGTACCTCTGTATAGGACACTTATGAATGGTGCTTCAGGATTAGAAGTTGCTCTGGGTGAGTCAGTGAGTGATGAATGAATGTGAAGGACCAGGATGTTACTGTACACTACTGTGGAATTTATAAACACCGTACAGTTAGGCTATACCAAATTTGTAAAAAGTATTTCTTTCTTCAGTAATAAATCAAACTTAGCTTACTATAACTTTTTTTAACCTTATAAAGTTTTAAAATATTTTAAAACTTTTTGACTGTTTTGTAAAAATACTTAGTTTAAAATACATTGTACAGGTATGCAGAAATATAGTACAGCTATACAAAAATATTTTTTCTTTATATCCTTATTCATAAGCTTTTTCCATTTTAAAATGATTTATTTCTTTACTATTATTTTTTAAAAAACTTTTTTGTTAAATAAACAAAAATAACACAAATACACACATTAGCCTGGGCATACTGATATGGTTTGGCTGTGTCCCCACCCCAATCTCATCTTGAATAATAGCTCCCATAATCCCCAGATGTCGTGGGAGGGACCTGGTGGGAGGTAACGGAATCATGGGGCAGGTTTTCCCCATGCTGTTCTCGTGATAGTGAATAAGTCTTATGAGATCTGATGGTTTTATAAAGGGCAGTTCCCCTGCACATGCTCTCTTGCCTGCCACCATGTAAGACGTGCCTTTGCTTCTCCTTCACCTTCTGCCATGATTGTGAGGCCTCCCCAGCCATGTGGAATTGTGAGTCCATGAAACCTCTTTTTCTTTATAAATTACCAAACCTCGGGTACTTCTTTATAGCAATATGAAAATGGACTAATACAAATACGGAGGATCAGAATCATCAATATCCTTGTTTTCCACCTCCACGTCTTGTCCCACTGGAAGGTCTTCAGGGACAATAACATGCATGGAGCTGTCCTCTCTCCTATGAGATATATATATATATATATATATATATATATATGTATTTCTCTTTCTGGATCCTTCTATAATCTTTCTTATCAGTGTTCTGAACTTCACAGTGATGAGTCTTGGGGGGTGTGTGTGTGTGTGTGTGTTTGTGTGTATGTGTGGCTTGTTCCTAACATTGGGCACTTAGTTGCCTTTTTAATCTGGGATATATCCTTCCATTTCTTATAGATTAGGAAATTGAGAGTAAGGCAGTTAAATAACCTGCCAGATCACACAGCTAAGTGACAGAGCCAGGACTGTTTGACTTCCGAATTCTGTGTGTAGTGCATAAAGTTTAGCATAGCACTTTTGCTTGTCCCTATTTAAAGTGCCCAGGTGGATACAGACAAAAGTGACTCAAGGCACATGCTGAAGGAACCCAGTGCTTCTAAAGTATTTTCTTTGCTTTCACGAAGTCTTTTGCAAAATAGTTTTGTAGACCTTAATATTCTTATTTTTCTCAACTTTCAGCCTTTCTTAAAGCTTCCTCTTCCCTTTATAGCCTATCAACCACTCAGCTCACACACATCAGGGTCCCACATGCTTGATATGTGCCCATCTAACAGCTAGTATTCTCACTCAGCATGGATATTAGCACATCTAAAACTCACATCTACAGTTACTGCCATTTCCTGCACAGGGGTTATAATATCTATACATATGTGAGAAGAGGGAGTTTGCCACAAAATATTACAGATTTTTAGTCTGTAGCTTGTGATTGCACAGTTTGTTCATAGGCAAAAACTTGTTAGCAATCTAAGTTCATTTAGTTTTATTTGTTGTTCCTGTAAATTAAAAAGTTAGGGATAACTACATTTTGATACTCCCTAAGCCACTTCTGACAGAATAAGCCTAATACACATCTGAAAATGACACTTGTGTAATCGCTTATAAAACAAAACTGGGGATTAAGACTATAAGCTTGCATTTTGATGTTCAAATACATAAAAGGAACCAAAATAATAATGCGGATATCCTTTGTTACACAGAAACTGCTTGTGTAGAATTTTGGAGATTACAGAATTAAAAGGCCAAGGAAAGGCCTTGATATCCAATGAGTCAAATGAAAAATAAAAGTAGGATGGATTTGCATTTTACTCTGTTTTCAGGCTTAATTTAAATACTTACTTTTTCCAAGATACTCAAAGAACATTATATATTTAAAGAAAGAAATGCTTAGACCATCTGTTGATATTGGTGAATCTGCTTCTCCAGCAGTTGATGTGATTTGCTGTTCTGTTAACAGAACTTTGCTTTCTTTCTTCATGTCCTTGGTTCAAGCTGACCTTTCTATGCCTTTCTTTTTCTCAAATCCTATTCATTTTTTTCAAGGACACCTCAATCCCCCTCTCACTTTGAATCCTTTGCTAATAACCTTGGTTTAGAAGTTTTTCTTCTTAACTCATGGAGTTTTTGTTCTACATATTTGGCTTATTTAACTATTGTTTACAAGTCAGTAGTGCTAAATATGTCTCTGTGGATTTATGTCTTTCATTTCCTATCACTGGGTAAGTACCTTGGCTACCTGTCATTGGCAGTGCCTTGCTTATGCACAGTTAAATATCTGTAGAATAACAGATTCACATTTTTAGCCATGCTTCATTTGAAGAGATCATAGCACTGAGAACTTGCTTTAAACAGCATAACATCATGGTTAAAAGTGCAGGGTATGGAGGCCACACTGTCAGGTCTGAATCTTGGTTTTACTGCTTACCAGTTGTGTGATGCTGGGCAAATTACTTAGCTTCATGTTGCTTAGTTTTCTTGTAAAGTGATAATGACACTCACCTGCTAGGATTGGCAGACAGATTGAATGAATTAATAGTTTTAGGGTATTTGAAACAATATCTGCTATGTAAGTATTATAGAAGCATATGTTGTAAGTTTTTTTAGATAAAGTTCTATAAAAGAGACAGTTGTCATCATTTATTTACTTAAAATACTGTGGACCTATAAAGTAGGCTAAATCAAATGGTTTTACTTTGAAAACAAGCATGAACATGCTAAAATCCATTCTCTCATCTTCTACAATAGTGAATTCACAAATGCTAAAAGTATCTGAAGGAGGTGGCACCACACCTACTCTGGCATTCTTAGCTGTGAAGAGGTGATGATGGCCACCGCAGGCCATATTCAAACTCCTGTGCAGGATAGGAGAGCTCCTCTTCCTTTTTTGATAGCAGCTTTTCCAAAGGTAGCTGAATTCTCCAACTGGGTAGTTTGAATGCAGTCAGATTCCCTGTGGGAGAATAATAGGATAAATGACTCACCCCAAGCTCATAGGCAGTCAAGTTATATTTGTTTTAGAGCAACAAGTTTTAACATTTTGATGCAGTAGATTTTAGTATTTTCATATAGACATTCCAGTGGGGCAATTGGAGTGACATAAAGTCTATCAAAATAAAATTTGCATTTTGATACACATTACAAACCTCAATCCACTATTTCTGACCCCTAAGAATATAACCCTTTTAAGGTATACCCTTTCAGACATACTCTGAAATTGAGACAGGTGCTTAATTTTCTTCACACAAGCAAGACTCTTTCAGAAAATTACTTGTATAACAGAATAAAAATCTTCTAAAGGTTGAAACTGGTACTTAATATGTGTAGCACATTTTTGAAAATCTGAGATTTAAAAAGTGCTAGAAATACATGACTGGTATCCCTTTAAAAAATTAGTGAAAATATGAAAATACAGTTCCTTATAATCAGTTATTTAAAAGCGAATTTTCTTATGCTATATCAAGAATTCTACTGTTGTTATTGTTTTATAAAACATTACATATAAGAAACTCCCTTCTAAAAACATTGTTACACTGCCCATTTAAAAGCTTGGTAAGTATAGGTTTTAAAATATAACTGAGCATTGTGAAAAGAGTTTATGCTGAGTAACCACACTTAATGTAAACGATCTGTAGTAACCGACTCTGATAATCAGACTATTATCCAATAAATAATTTTTGTCTTAAAAAAATACAAAGCTGAGAACTTTAGTCTTTCAGTCATTTGGCAAGAAAATTGGATGTTTATATTCTGTTGGGAACAATTTTCGCTCTACTCCCCCAAATGTCATTAGAAACTATGAGAGTGAAATGTAAGTTTTTTATGTTATAGATGGATGTTGAATAAATGGATAAATGGTGCCTAAACTGTGACAACATCACATTGTTCCAAATCACTCCAACTGTGTGGGATCTGAGCACACCCGGTAAGTGCTCCAGCCCCACAACAATACTTTGTCATCTGCCTCCTGCTACCCCACCCGCACCTATCTGGCATGTTCTTTCCTTAAGTATCAACATAGTTGTTTTCTTCCCTCCTTTAGATGTTTACTAAATGTCATCTTCTCAGCGAGGCTTCCGAGGCTTCCTCGCTATCCTTTCTAAAATTGCACCTATTCCTTCCACCTCACACTCTTTCCCCACTTCTCTTCTCCAGTGCTTGTCACTCTTAATCTTGTTTACATTGGTCTTCCTCCCCTTCAAACTGTAAGCTCCTTAAGGATAGAAGCTTTGAAGATCTAGTTTACAGCCATATCTTTAGGGCCTAGAATAATATCTGGCACATAGTAGGCATTTAACAAATATTCAATGAATGAGAAAATGAGTCCAAAATCTTTTATATGTGACTTTGTACTTATGGGTATGTCTGATGTCCTGGAGATAAAGGCATTTCAAAAAAAATAATGAAGCTACCATTTAAAGAACAGATATATAGAACAAATCATTATTTTTGTAACATTCTGTGCATTTCAAAGGCTATGCTGTTCTGGTATTTTCCTTCTTTAGGCTTTCTTTCTTTCTTTCTTTTTTTTTTTTTTTTAACATATCCATTATTTTCAGAAACAGCTCTGTTGGACTCTGCCTAATTTTTGTTCAGAGCTCTATTGTAAAGGAATCTGTCTTTGAGGATGCTGACCTTCTTTTCCGTCATTGTCTTGCTTTTTATTTTATACTGTGCTCTTCCTTTGGGACCCAGTCTCTCAAAAGGTTCTCATATATAGGTAAAATTGAATTTGTCTAATGACTTTTAATAAGGTGCTGTAATTTAAAATTTAACAGAATCCATGTGTGAAAAGCAGTGCTGTTCTTTTGTGTAGATAGGTACACTGAGTGATTGTAGTAAAAGACACTGCTGTGTTGGTACAAATTTCTGTTAGGTACTCAGTTCTGCTGCATGAAACAGAAAACCCAAATAACAGTGGCTTAAAAACAAGATAGGGGCTTATTTTTCTTATGTAATGAATGATGCTGGTATTACCTTAGTGGCTGAGGGTGTCAGGACTGCAATGTCTGCAATTCTTTCAGCCCTTAAGATTTAAAGAAGGAAAATGGAGGGAAATAAAGGACAAAAATGAGTGTCAGATGAATCATACTCCCTTTTTCTGAAGCTTCTCCAAAAACCCAGCTTTCACATCCAAGCAGTGGCCTGCTCTATATCCCATGGCCACCCCCATCTGCAAGGGAGGTTGCTTTTTCTTTCTTCGGAGCCAACAAAATTGGAATTCCATTAGTGAAGAAGGGGAGAATGGATATAGAGTAGGCAACCAGCAGTCTCTGACAGAGTAAAATATACCTAAAAGGTAAATAACATTTTTATCTGCCTTTTTTAGAAATGAAATTGACCAGGCCACATCACCTGGAGGAAGTGTTTGGAAAATTATCTACAGGAAATTATGTTTCAAGTTTTTAGAAAGCATGGAAGTAAAATACTCTTTATAGTATTGTGCAAATGTAGACTAGAGCAAAGAAGACAGCTTAAATTCTACACCAAAGAACAATTTGTATAACATCCACGTGGTTGTGTCTGTTGAAAGACATTGCCCAGAAATAGTTCTAACTGTAAGATTTAAATTATAATTCATAGTAATTTTAGATAGGTCAGTGTGGATCATATAGACTATAAAATATGGTGATAAATTGTATAATAATTATTTAGATTATATACTTATTTAAGGTCTATTATTTAATATTTGTAATTAATATTTGGCAAGGTAGATTATGTAATAATTAAAACAATTATATTTTGTAAACGTTAACAATTTAGAATATTTGTAGCTCATCTGCTTGATAACTAAAACAGATAAAAATATCTGAAATAATGAGTTTGTATGCCTTTGTTATTGATTCATTTAGAATTACTTAAATGCAGAGTAATTTTAATTTTTTTATCTCATAATTTAATTCTTTAATTTAAAATTGTAGTAACCTGGGAAATTTGTTGGGAAGTCATTGGCAGGGATGAATTATTATTCCTAAGGAAGAACTTTAAGGTATTTAATTTAAAGTTTCTTTTATTCTTGTAACTACTTAGGAAGTGACTTTAGGGGGCTTATCATAATGCCACAAAAATAGTAAATGGAATGAAAGAAATCAGGTCCCTAAAGAAGCAACACACTTCAGTTTTTCAAATGTTGTCTATAATTATACAATAATGTGTTTTAATCCTAGGGGAAAAGTATTTTGGATCTTATTCTTCCTTAATTTTAAATGAATGGGAGCCTTATTGAGTTTAACTTAACATTGCACATTGAATTGCAGTTGTCTTCATTTTTCTTTATTTTAAATGATGGATAAAGAGAGCTGTTTTATTTTCTATAATCTTGTCGTTTAGAAAATGAATTGTAGGTATAATGATGTTTTAGATTAAGTAAGGCTCAGGGGACATAAGTGTGACTCACACATAGTTATTGTGTTCAAGAAGTTTCTAGTCTGATAGGAGAAACATGTCTGAGACATTTACTTCCTTTGTAGCTAAGGGCTGTCTTTGTCCTTTCCGGATGCTCTACAGAATATTATAAACTGGGTAGCTTGTAAACCACAAACATTCATTTCTCACAGTTCTGGAGGGTGAGAAGTCCAAGATCAAGGTGCTGGTAGATTCTGTGTCTAGCGAGGGCTGACTTCCTGGTTCATAGACCACCATGATCTTGCTGTGTCCTTGCATGGCAGAAGGGGCAAGGGAGTTCTCTGGAATCTCTTTTATAAGGACATTGATCCCATTTATGAGGCCAGAGCCCTAATCACATCCCAAAAGTCCCACCTCCTAAAACCATCACTTTGGGGGTTGAGATTTTAGCATATACATTTTAGGGGGACATAAACATTCAGACCATAGGGTTTATGCTAGAGGTATGAACAAAGAGCCGTGGGGGTCTGGAGGAGGGCAGATGGTGCCAAAAGAGATTGAGGGAAGAAGATGACATTTGACATGGATCTTGAAGGGATTTTACCAGATGAGAGATTAGGGGATGGACATTCAGAGAGGGAACAGGTGATAGAGAGGGAGAGTTCCCTGAATGGACCCTCAGTGGGGAGGGACAGTTAAAGGTGGTGCTTGACAAAAAGTTGAGGCTGACTGTGAAGGGCCTTGTATGTCTCGCTAAGGATTTTTGATCTTACTGGTAGGCAGTGAAGGACTTACAGAGTTTTTAGGCAGCACAGTGATATGACTAAATTCTGCTTTCATGGATATGACTGCAATGACAAGAGGATGGACTAGGGCAGATATGATTGTTGGTAAGGAGACCACCAGGAGGCCTTCCTAGCAGCCCAGGTGGGATGATCGGAGCATGAGCAGAAGGAGCAATCATAAGGACATAATCGAGAAGGTGGCTTTGGGAAATATTTCTCTTAGAACTAGGCATTTGCTTGTGGAAGTATGTGTGTTTGGGTGCAGGGGTCATGAGTACTCGGAGCTGAGTATAACTGATGTTTCTAGCTTGCAAAATGATATAGGTCTTATCTAATGAGTTTAAGAATTTAGAAAGAAATGCAAGGTATTTTGAAGCAAGATAATAAGTTCAATTTGGGATGTTAATTTTTTAAAATATCTGTGTAGGGGACAGTTGGAGATATGAATTTGGAAATAAGAGTTGAGAGAGAGAGATTCTGATGTCATCCTCACAAAGATAATGGTTAAAGCTCTGGGAGGAGGGTGTCTTATCTCAATTTTGCACATTAACTGAGACTGACAGAGGTTAGTGACTTGTTTAAGGTCACTAGAGATACCAGGGTAAAAAGTCAACATCTAATCAGGTCTTCTGATCCCACAGTCAATTATTTAATTTCTTTGACCCTCAGTTTCTTTACATGTAAAGTGAGGATAATGATATCTTCCTCATAATACTTATGATTAAATAATATAATATGTATATGCAGTACCATGAAGTGACACAGGGTCACAATCAGACAGTCATTAAAAGTGTGTTAATTTCCTTCTCCCTTTCCTTCTTTTGTTTACAAATGCTGTTGTGGGTTGACACTCTCGCCTCGACCAAACTTTAGACAGGCTTCTCTGAAACCTCTTTCAACTAGGGCTCTGTCTTCCATAAGCCTACTGAGTCTGGTCTTAGCAAGAGTCCTGTTAAGTCAGTTTACGGAATGTCTCTCCACTCTTGGTATCTGATCACTCTTGATATCTGATCATATTTCTCATCCCACACCCTTGATATCTGATCATCCTGAACTAACTTCAGCAGGAATCATGTTAAGATGGTTTAGCAAGAATTCCGCTACACTTGATGCCTCTTCTTAGTAATTTTCTATCCATTGACACCCCTCACCTCCTACTCCTTGGCTGTAAATTCCCAACTACTTTAATGTGTTTGGAGTTGAGTGGAATTTCTCTCTCCTATTGTAATAGTCTTGACACCTATTGCAATAGTCTTGAATAAAGTCTTCTTTGCCCTTTCAACAAGTGCCAGAATAATTGTTTTTCTTTAACAGGGCCTTAATATGACTGTACCTAATAATATTCCAAGAGGTTCATTAATTAGACAGCTTTCTATATGTCTAGCATGACACCCTTACTACCTAGGGCTGGGAGTTCAAACATGGGTCAAAACCAGAAAGCACCAAGTGGGCATCAGATTGAAGCTGGGTGCCAATAGATATGATTGTGGGAGCAGTCAAGGTTGAAGATATGAGTCATCAGAAAATAAGGAGAGCTGAACAGTCGACCCAGAGTTGCAAGAGAGCCTGGAAACTGGGGAAATAGCCAAGATCATGGGAAATAAGAATATGAGAAGCAGGTATTCAAGTGATCTGACTAATCCCACAGGATGAGAATTTTTTCTTCCCCAGGAATGCTTTTAACAAGTTAAATGCTTTTTGGCTCCATGTGAAGCCTTTTTGGCTACCTTGAAATCTTACACACAGACTCTGCAGGGGATAGAAGTTGGCTATGTTGTTCCATAAGCATATTTTCAACTCAGCACAATGAAGACCATTGTCCTAGATGGCCTGCTGGGGAAATGGATTATGTAATTATGAAGAGCTGAGATTTAACACTTATGCCAGTATCTGCTGGCCAGGCTGGAGGGCAGTGGCAATCATAGCTCACTGTAGCCTTGAACTCCTGGGCTTAGGTGTTCTCCTGACTCAGTCTTCCAAGTAGCTGGAACTACAGGTGTGTGCCACCATGCCTGGCTAATTTTTTAAATCTTTTGCAGAGATAGGGTCTTGCTATGTTGCCCAGACTGGTCTCCAACTCTTGGACTCAGGTGAGTATTATTAATTTTTAAATACCAGAATAGAATCACGTTACTCAATATTAAAATTATATTTCCATAACTGATTTTTTTTATAATCTAGTAGGCATTGAGTGATGGGGGGACTTCAGGGCTTCCATCAGGAATGCCAGTGATCTGTGTTATAGGTATGTGAAAGGCCTGGTGGACAGAATTCTAGTGTTTTCAGTGCCCCTTACCTTTCTTGAGTGCTCAAGACTGACCTTAGGAGAAGGTAGAATAGACAGCAAGGAGAGTTTTAAGGGCCAAACATGAGGGAAATGAATGTTTGGGGCAGAATCAAAAGAGGAGAAAATAGTTCAGCAGCTATAGCAAATCAGGGTGTACTCACTGGAGTGTTCGAAGGAGCAGGTTATGCAAGTGTGAAAAGTTGGCAATTTGGAAGAGAGAGAAAGCAAAAATATTAACAAGGTTGGAGAAAGGGCTCTTATGAGGTCCTTAGGGTGTTAACTTTGCAATGCCATATAAGGCCTTGATTAAGATTTCTAACAAGTTAAAAAAATTAAACCTGAACTGCAAATGTAATGATTCAACTGATGGCATAATTTGTATGGATTTATTCAGGGGAAATGTCAACTATATTTACGGCCCAGTTGAGAAAGAAGAGGGACAGAGAAAGATCAGCAGACAGACCACTATATGTGCTATGCTCTATGGGATCCTGTAGAGAGCCTGGGCTAAGAGGCACTGCCCCAGTGCCCATTCTCAGGAAGGGACAGAAACAGTTAACTCCTGGCTTCCAGTTTTCTGTGTGCCTTTGGGCAAGTGGGCTTCCTTATTCACATAAACTCCCCTTCCTCCAATTCTAGGGGTAAAGATAATCAAGAATTAACTACATATCTCTGGGCAAATGTTTATGTTTGGTTGTAATTAGAATGATGGAACTGAATTATGATGCTAGGCATTAATTTACCATGATAGTATTAACTGATATTTTTGAAAGTCACCCAGATAGTCCAATCTTGAGAAACTAGCTTGCCTATAAAATAATTTGATTGGTAACAGTATGTGTGATTTTCTCTGAAATACAAACTTTAAGGAGAGAGGTAGAATGAATTCCCTTCTCTATTCTTAGCATCTTCATAACCTCATCAAATTTGTTAGATCTCTGAGTGTTTCCTTGTCTGTAAAGTGAAGAGAGCTATAATATATGAAAAATATTGTGAAAATGATATATTAAAGGAGGCTATCGCAGTAGAAGGTGGTTTTTTATAAATGTGAGTTTTTAAAATATCTTTCAGTTTAAGATGTCATCTTGATGACTGCCAGATTTTTGGCTTTTCAGCAGCCTTTGCCAAAATAAGATTCAGAATAGTCGACCCCACCCTCCTAAATCCCCCAGCCCACTCTGTTTTTCACCCTGACACAGGACAATTTAACTTCTGCTGGTGTGGGGTTTGTGAAGTAATCTCTTCCAGAGACACTCAGAACAGTGTTGAGACTTCTCTAAGCCACAGGCAATTACAGAATTTACTCCATCTTCACTTCTTTGCCCTTGAATCTGACGTTTCTAGTTGTATAAGTGGTCAGATGCTGGGCTATCAGTTGCTTTTTAATTTTAAAAACTCTTATCATTTCTTTTATAAACCCACAAAAATGCTTGTAGAAAAGTTAGAGAACTTATATGAACAACTACAAAAATCTTTTTTTCTTATGCATATATATGTGTTTCAACAAAATCCAAATTATGCTATATAAAAATTATTTGCTAAGTTGCTCTTATCTGTACATTGTTTGCATGTATAGGCATTTCTGCTAAAATGCAGTGTATGCACTTCCAAAAAACCTTATATTTGGCAAAATTGCACCCTAAAAATGACAGGGATAAATTGGAAAATAAGGTTAGGGCAGAGTATTCAAAGTTCAAGCAAACTTGCAGCCAGAGAACCAGCAAAAACAGTTGCTAGTATCTGGGTAGATAAGATAGACTGCCAGACAACAATTCAACATGACTGCAGGCTGGTATGTTGGAGATTTTAAAAATGCAAGGACAATAAAGTGGTAATGCCATCAACCTCAACCCTTTAATTAGAACAGGAAGGGCCAGGCATGGTGGCTCACGCTTGTAATCCCAGCACTTTGGGAGTCTGAGGTGGGCGGATCACCTGAGGTCAGGAGTTCGAGACCAGCCTGGCCAACATGGTGAAACCTCATCTCTGCTAAAAATACAAAAATTAGCCAGGCGTGGTGGCAGGTGCCTGTAGTCCCAGCTACTCGGGAGGCTGAGGCAGGAGAATCGCTTGAACCTGGGAGGTGGAGGTTGCAGTGAGCAGAGATTGGGCCACTGCACTCAAGCCTGGGGGACAAGAGTGAGACTTTGTCTCAGAAAAAAAAAAAAAAAAGAATAGGAAGGGAGCACACTGAGCAGGAGTATGCACAATACAGATGGAAACAGATTTCTGAGCCACTGGGGCTACCGTCAAGGTAGGTAGGCACTGGCAACAGTGAAATCTGCCATGAGCTGAGAGCTGCACCTCTCTCGCCTCTCTAGGGCTGTGTCTTTCTGAGTAAAAAGGTCTGCGAGCAAACCTTCTTTTAAAATTTATTTATTTGTTTTTCAACTTTTTATTATGGAAATTTTTAAGCATACCCCAAAGTAAAATATATATAATGCATTCAAAATCCAGCTTCAACAATTATAAATATTTTTCCATCCTGTTGCAGCTATCTATAATTTTACCTGCTAATAACTCAGTATATATTCCTACCAGATAAAAACTTTAAAAACCTATAAACATAATGCCACTTTCACACCTAACAAAATTTATCAAAATTTTTGATATCATCTAATATCAAATCCATGTTTAAGTTTTTCCAGTTAAAAAAAATCTTTTTGTCATTCCTTTCCTCAAATCAGAATTCAAGGAAAATCCATTAATTGGATTTGGTATTATGTTTTTAAATAGTTTTTGGGTATCTTTGTAAGTTTCTTTTTGAAAATATTAGCAAATATTATACATATTGATATTTCCCTTTTTTATGAGGTTCACTGTTCAGTTTCTTGGTGTCTTTCATTTAATAGCTCAATCCTGCAGATCACTCTACATTACCATAAAGAATTTTCATTGGTTCTTATTATATCTGCATAGTCCTTCATTGGTTGGTATACCATAGTTTACTTAATCAATCTTATACTGATGGAATGTGGGTTTTTTTCAGTCTTTTCTTACTATAAATCTTGCAAATCATGCTTTAATAAATAGCCTTGTCTATATTTTATATTTTTAAGCACTTGTTTTAAATTTCTTAAAACATAGCCAATGGGCTCCTGCTGTCAGTGCAGCTGCTGAGCAGAGGGTTTTTCCTTTCCTGCTGATGGTCAGAAGTCCAGTCCTCCTCTTTTGGCTTTGCTTATCCAGAAAAAGTCATATATGAACCAGCACAACTCCAACTTATAGTGCCATAATTCCCCTATTTACTAAGTGTATATACAGAAGCGTGTTGCAGCAGGACAGATGACATGTGCACATACCCACACATCTATCCCCCCATTGTACATACAAACCACACATCTGCATTATCATTTTTAATGGCTGCTGCATTCGTTATTTATTGCTGCATAGCAAATTACCCCAAAGATTAGTGTCTTAAAACAATAAACTTTTATGTGGGTTGGGGCTGTAGAAATCTCAAGGCACAACTGGGGAAGGATTTGCTTACAAGCTCACACATATGGTGCCGGGAGAACTGCATTCCTCATAGGTCACTGGACTGAGCCTCCCTTAATTCCTTTCCCCATGAGCCTTTTGATAGGGCAGCTCACAGCATAGCAGCTGGATACAATCAGAGGAAGTGAGAGAGCAAGAAAGGATGACTAAGACAGAAACAGAATCTTTTTGTAACCTCATCTCAGAGGCAATATCCCATGGCTTTTGCCATATTCTGTTTGTTAGAAGCAAGTCACTAGATCCATTCAAGGGGAGAAGATAACATAAAGGCATGCATATCAGGGGCTGGGTATCACCGTGGATGATTTTAGAAGCTGCCGACCACAAATGCATAGCATCTCATTATGTGTATTATATTAGAATTTACTTAATGATCTTCTATTGCTGGACATTCAGATTGCTTCCATTCACATCACACATCCACACTTTCCACTGTCTTTCTCATGCCTATTGTATGCCTCAAGCTTCCGAAAATCAAAGCTCCAAAAACAACTCTTTCTTCATGTAGAGACTGCAGAGAAATATACTTCCCCCCAACCAACTCCTCTGGAATTTCAGTGAATAACATTTTCTCTATCCTGTTGCAGGCATTTCAGATCAAAGCGATACTGGTCATTTATCCCATAATATATTCTCAACTTTAGAATTGGTATTCTGTATATAAAGTGGTCTTCCAATTCAATGAAGACAATGCCCTCAATAGAAAAACAGGCAGAGAAAGTGAACAGTGAAAAATAGCAGTGACAAATTAAGATATGAAAATATTAAGTTGCATTCTTAAGAAAAATACAAATTGTAACAAGATATTATTTTTAATTAAATCAATTGACAAAGATTTTGAAGTATCATAATACCTAATATTGGCAAGGATGTACACAACCAGGCACTCTCAAACATTCCTGGAAGGAGTTTGTCTTTGTATCCTTTGACCCATCAATTCCATTCACCTATGTCTTCTGTGTTTTCTTCTACATCTTGTAGTTAAATTGCATTGTAGAATTTTTCCAGTGTTAGCTGTCACTGTGGGATCACTGTTGCTATGTTCAAGACATCAGAAAGTATCTGTCAGTGAAGCGAGAGCAGTTTATCAACAAAGGCCACGCCATGGCCACTTTATGGGGGCAGATCTTGACAAAACGATTCTCAAGTTGCCAAGCGGGTTAAAGGCAGTCAAAATAACAGTGACAGCCATTACAGAAACACAGACTTCATTGCTTGCAACGAAGATGTGGGTGCTGTGAAGCAGAACCACTGAAATGTGCCTTGGAAAACATGAAGTGCACTGCATAATACAACAAACTATTTCCATTATATGAGAAAAAAAGTCTTTTGTGAAACTTCACATTATAGAATCTTAAGTTTCTCCAAGTGAATTTATTTTGAAGGGAGGACACATTGGTATAAGCCAAAGAAGTCTCATTGAATCTTTTGTGTTCATTTTAGTAGTCAGTACAGTGAAATGGGTTAAAACTAATTGATTTCTAGATCACTAAAGGAAATGTCATATCATTAAATGAGCATTTCATTCAAAGGGTATGTTATTCTTTGCTACTCTATTTGCAAACAGGCTTCTGCTTATCTTATGATTGTTCCCCAAGCACACAGTAGAAATTGGGCCAAAAGCCTTTTCCCATCTGTCTTTGTGTTCAGGATATAATCCTCAACAATTACAAAATACAGCAATTATATCTTTTGACATTTCTGGATCTCTGTGATCCTTTACAAGATTAGTGTGATGATTAAGAAGGGAGAGATTAATGTACAAAAGGCCTTTGAATTTGTAGGCCATGGTTCTCTCCCAATTAAAGATGTCTACATATTGCCTTCTTTCCCCAAACAGGAGACTGTGTTGATTTTTACTGTTTATTGACTATTAAAAAACAGAGATTATAGGAGTGAATGTGTAATGCAAAAGGCTTAAAAGATATTTTCATTCTGGTTCTTAAGAAGCTTGATATCTGAGAATACAATTTAGTCTTAGAACAGGAAAATTATACCCCTTCTGTTTCTCTAAGTTTCCTTTGAAATGCAGGTAAAAGTTCTACTTCTCTTCATGCTTCACAGGGATCAGACCAAAAGGCAAACACAAAATGTATTGATTCTCACATATATTAGGTATATGATGGTCAGTTACTCAATGTGTATTTTACTTACTGTCCTTCCTCTTTTCTGTATTTTTCCCTCAAGTTTTATTTTGTTTATACGTTCCTATATTTTCATATATAACTAACTCTAAGTAGTTTGATATAATGAAGTTAATGACATAGCCTCAAAAATCATGTTATGTGCCAATTTATTAACATAAGGCATCTTTTGACTTCTACTAGTTTGACAGTGCTCTACTAACTTCAGACTTCCAGTTAATATAGGTATAAGTAATTAAAAATTTATCTCTTTAGTTTGAGAGGTTCACTCTGTCTTCATAGCTGAAAAAATTTCTAGTTAGCAATACTTAGTTATACATTTTCCCCATATCTTGTGGAAAATTCACAAATTCTCATCAGCCTATCTTATTAACAATCTACTTAGCATATTCAACAGATAAAATGACTAATTTGAACATCTTTGGGAACTTCTTCAAAGCAGGCCTACCTCATCTGTTTCCTTCTCTTGTGCGTGTGGACTCTTCCATATGATGAAAGCAGCAGGTATGCTCAGTATGGCCTTCAGATTTGATCATTTAAAAAATTATATATTTTTCATTTTTATAGATTTAGGTGGTACAAGTTCAGATTTATTATATGGATATATTGCTTAATGGCGAAGTCTAGGCTTTTAGTATAACCATCACCCAAATTATGTACACTATATCCATTTGGTAATTTCTTATCCCTCACTTTCCTCCTCCCCCAACCTTTTCAAATCTCCAGAGTCTATTATTCCACTTTCTATGTCCATGGGTACACATTATTTAGCTCCCACTTGTAAGTGAGAACATGGGTTTCAAGATTGTAGAGGGCTGTGCACTTGGAAACCCAAATGTGTACTTTATAGAGTTCTTTTTTGAGAACGTGTCTTGCTCTGTCACCCAGGCTGGAGTGCAGTGGTGCAATCTCGGCTCACTGCAGCCTCTGCCTCCTGGGTTCAAGTAATTCTCCTGCCTCAGCCTCCTTGGTAGCTGGGATTACAGGCACCAACCACCACGCCTGGCTAATTTTTGTATTTTTAGACAGACGGGGTTTCACCATGTTGGCCAGGCTGGCCTTTAACTCCCGACCTCAGTGATCCCACCTTGGCCTCCCAAAGTGCTGGGATTATAGGCATGTGCAACTGCGCCTGGCCTAAATATGTACTTTGTGTGGATAGCCTATGGGTAGGCTGTAAGCCTACAGGTAGGCTAAATCATTGAAATAATGGTGAGCTAGTTAATAGTCCAAATATTCATTTGAGTGAGTCAAGTTGTGTCTCCTAAGGAATGTTTGCTTTGGAGAGCTATGCCTCTATTAAGCATTGAGTCAATCAATATTCCAAATAAAGTGGAAAAAGGCCACACCAGGATAGTGTGAGATTTTGAGAAGTGGCATGTTGATCAATTGCAGTTCTTCTGACAGGGTAAATGTGAGAACTCCCACCACAGCATCTAGTAGAGGCGATGGGATCACTTCTGATTAAAAAGGAGGACTAAAAGACTTATAAGGAAATTTGATCATTTTGACTTGAATAGAAATTCTACATCAAACAAGCAATTTAAAAATATCTCTTAAGTGCTTTGATTTTAAAAATGCTTTAGCATTTTTTTCTGTTTGATCTCAGCTTATCTTGTATGGTGGGAGACAGAGCAGTATGATTTTAAGTCTTGACTCTGTCGTTAGGTCACAGTGTGACTTCGGGAAAGACTGCAAACTTCTCCATGCTCTCCAGGCTTCTTCATTCATGAAATTATGGAGTTGTGCTAAATGATTTCTAAGACAGTATTCGACTTGAAACTCTTTGATCATATCTTGTATAAATGGAATAGTCTCACATTTCTGATTATTTGAAAATAGCACTCAATTGGATTTAAAACAAAAAATAAACAAATGTGAACATTTAAAAAATTTCTATGCTATTGCTATTATTTTAATTTTGAGGCTCATTTTAAATTTTTGCCTTAGTCTTTCAGAAGCCTAAGACTGGCTGTTAAATAGTTCTTCTAATTAGTATGAATGGTTCTTGCATTTAAAATCCTTGTCCTATGTTTGATAAGATCAAAATTAGACTGAATAATATGCCTTGGTTGAACATTAGCATGCAAACCATGTAACTTGAAAAGATGTGTTTAAGAGCTGAGAATAAAGCAGAAGCCAGCACGTCCTGACAGCTGTGAGAAACACAAAAAATATTAATGGTGGCAGTTAGAGAGTCAGACAGAGAATAGCAATGCACAGGTGCGTTTTCCCTAGTGCATATATTTCTTCTTTAGTATTCATGCTAAGTTTTCAATACCTTCATCTTTACACAGGAATTAGAAAACAGTTCAGACTTATTAGTTTGGCTGATCAATAGCCTAGGACAGCTAAAAGAACAATGCCTAAAGGGGTATATATATTTGTAATAAAGTAGTCTTCTATGATAATGCTTTAAATATCAGCATAATGCCATTTTTCTTTTTAAATAAAGTCATCATCATAACAGTTTTATGGTTCTCTTAATTTTACTACTAACATCTTATCTGAAGGGAGTGAAAAATTATATTAATTGCAGGCTGTTCTACTTGTCTCACCAGCACTATCTTTTAGTACAAGTTTCCAATATCTATCTCTCAACATTTTGACTGTAAAGGTTAAGGTGCCACTTACGGTTTAGGATAATTATGTGAAGAAACTTTTCAGTCAATATAGAAACCCATCACTTCAAAGTAACAAAATGCATAGAAATAGGAAACATGAATTTCCACTTTAATAAATTTGAGCACATGATCACATTGAATCTTTCAGCATATTCCTCAAAAACCCCAAACAAACCAGAAATAGATAACTGAAGTACTCTGTTCTCAGAGTTATCAGTGATATTGTGCATCTCTGAAGTTCACTGTCAATAAACAATGTGAAACATTTGGGTCTTGGGTGCCTATATGGATCTCTACTTTATCCTCAAACTTTCACAAGTCAACTACTGGAAGAAAAATGATCCAAGTGGTGTCATGCTGCCTTAGACACATGAATAGTAGAATTCAGCCAAGCCACTGAAGGAAATTTTCTTTTCTTTCTCTACGAAATTCAGAAAGAAAACTTGTATTTAGTTTTCCTAAATTTATACTTTAGGGAAAAATGTCAGTCCTCAAATCATGCTTTATAATTGCAACCAAATATCTTAAGATATATATAAAAATACATATTTAGAATTAAATGAGCTCTAATTTTTTTTTTTTTTTTTTGAGATGGAGTCTCGCACTGTCGCCCAGGCTGGAGTGCAGTGGCGCCATCTTGGCTCACTGCAAGCTCCGCCTCCCGAGTTCACGCCATTCTCCTGCCTCAGCCTCCAGAGTAGCTGGGACTACCGGTGCCCGCCACCACGCCCTGCTAATTTTTTGTATTTTTAGTAGAGACGGGGTTTCACCATGTTAGCCAGGATGGTCTCCATCTCCTGACCTCGTGATCCGCCCGCCTCGGCCTCCCAAAGTAGAGCCCTAGTTT
Source organism: Homo sapiens (assembly GCF_000001405.40). NCBI lineage: Eukaryota > Metazoa > Chordata > Mammalia > Primates > Hominidae > Homo > Homo sapiens. Next base: position 44,773,244 of record NC_000014.9, on the reverse strand, counting down.
TTAAGTGTAACTGAGCTTTAATTTTTAATTCTGTAATTTTAAGACTATTAAATGCTATTTAAAAGATCTCAGCTTGAGCATGGTGATAGTCTAATAACAGCAAGATGGATGATGTTGGTTGGTTAAGATGGCATCATATGATACCTTTGGAGTTTATCCTCTTGGGATTAGCATATTTTATAATTCTGGAGAAAAAAACGTATCTTCCTTGAAGACACAATGTTTTTCTTGCTTCTTTTTTGAAGCTATCTCCCACTCTCCCACCCATGCCCGACATTTCTCTTTCTCTAACAATTATGTTCTTGAAGTTCTGAAGTTTATCCTTGCCTGTTTGTAATGTAGTGATACAGAGTAATACAACTTCACCAGTTTCCTAATTGCCAGATGTGATGTGTCAAGTGAGACTTGAGATTGGCTATAAGATCAGTAATGAGTGCATATGCACATGCACACATAATTTTAAAAATAACAAAATTGTTCCCAATCTGTTTGAATTGATTTTGAGTATCAGGTTTCAAATGAGATCATGTTGTTTGTTACACAGCAAACTCTATATTGACAACCCATATTACTAAGTTTTAAGCTCTATTCTTAGGAAAGCAGATATTAGCTCATTGACTAGGATTTTTTCTTTGATATAAATATTTTGATCCAGTTATGTTTTTTTCCAAATCTAAAAATCTTTCTTTTAGTTGTTTCCAATTTGAAATGGTACCTTCATTATCACCTTTTCTTTTTCACCTTTTCATGACTTTTTTTCTTTTTAACTCTGCCAAAGTGGTACTCAGCATAAGATTCATTATTTTTCTGATTTAAAACCACTGATGGATGTGCTCACACTTTTCCCTGCCTTCTTCCTGAATAATAAAACCTTGAGGAATTTCAGAACACAGGTTTTTAAATAATTTTTTTTTACTGGATAAATTTATCTGGATTTTTGAGCAGTATGTTGAATATTATAAAAGTATTTATATGTGATATAGAAAACAGATGCCAGTTCTTCTGTACTTCAAAATTATTTTTTCAATCAAAACTAGTTCTGCAACCTTACTGATCCCATGGTGATACATTGTTAAGACAGTAAAAACAAATGGGTAGATTGCACTGAAGACTTTTCATTTAAGATATATGGTATGAGCTCAAGTACCAGTAATTGGGGCTGCTATAGCCACAAAGGTCTCCTTGATAGCACAGCAGGTAATTGATTTCCTGGGTTACTCAGGAGCCATGAAAATCAAATCTTTGTGTCTGTTTTGATTTCACCACAGCTAGATCTCGTATCTTCATTAGTCCTTTATCTGAACAAATAAAATTAGTTCAATTTCTCAGTCCCAGATTAGCTCCTGGAATATAATGAACCTCACTTTTTTGATAGGACATAGAATCCATAGCTACTAGCCTGACTATGGGAAGCAGTCTCTACAGTTTCTGACTCTGAAATCCTGTATTTGATTAAAAAAATCAGACCCATGAGGTGCATACTTTATGGAGTCTTCAGGCACTTGACTTTGCTTTCTCATTCCTAAATGCAAGTCAAGTCAGTTTCACTTGTCTAGCTAGTCTTACAACATTCTAGAGTTTAGATTAAAGATAAGAACAAAATGGAAGGCTGTTTTACAGAGTATTTGTTGTATGTCTGTAGAAGGAGAAGATTGTGTAGGAGAGAGAAGAGAAAACTGTAGGCTTGTGGATGTGAAGTGCATCTATAACGATGAGCAATGGGGAAATGTAGAAGGCTGTAACTTATTAATGGGAACATATTGTATAAAAATACATTCTGACCACAGGAGATAGCACTATAAACCTATTAGAACAGCTAAAATAAAAGATAGTGATGATACCAAATATAGATAATAATGTGGAGAAACTACATCTCTCATATATTGCTGGTTGGAATGTAAAATAGTACAGCCACTCTGGAAAATAATATGACAGTTTCTTACAAAGCTAAACATGCACTTACCATATGGTCCAGCAATTGCACTCTTGGGCATTTATCCCAGGGAAATGAAAACCTATGTTTACACAAAAATGTATTGATGAATTTTCATAGCAGTTTTATTTGTAATAGTAAAAACTGGAAACAACCCAAATATCCTTCAGAGATTTAATGATTAAACAAACTCTGGCACATCCATACAATGAAATACCACTCAGCAATAAAAGGAACAGATTACTGATACAGGCAACAACCTGGATGGATATCAAGGTATTATTCTTAGTGAAAAAGGTCAATCTCAAAAGGTTAGGTTGATATGATTACAATTTATATAATTATGGAGGCGGAGAACAGACTAGTTGTTCCAGGGAATAGGATAGGGAAAATGTGTGGTGGATGGGTGGTACAAATATAAATGGGTAGCATGAAGCAGTTCCTTTGTGCTGATAGAACAGATTTGTACTTTGGTTGTAGCAGTGGTTTCATGAATCTATACGTGGGAAAAATTTTGTAGAATTATACATACGCACACAAACACACATAAACATATGAATGTAAAAATGGTGAAAATAAATTCTGTAGTCTAGATAATAGTGTAGCTGACAGCATTTTACCAATGTCGATTTCCTGGTTTTGATATTGTAGTACAGTTTTATAAGATGTCACTTTTGGGGGAAATTAGTTTAAGGGTGCAAGGGAGCCTATGAACAAGTTTTATAACTTCCTTTTTGTTATTTTAAAATGAACAGTTAAAAAAAACAACAACACCCGGTTTGTTTCTGTTTTAATGTTGCTTGTCGAAGATCTCCCTCCCTCTATAGTATACACACTTAGTATGTCTTTGGTCATTTACAGTGTATTTTGCTCTCTTTTGGAGGATTATAGTCACTCGTAATTATGTGAGAAAAATGCCACTGGTTGTCAGCACCAAATCAAGATGTCAAAAGTATGCTGAACTGAAACATAGAGTAAGCACCACACTGAGGAGAGGAGAAGCAACTCTCTTCACTGGGCTCTATAAAGCTGCATCTCACATCTGTACCATACTGGATTAGTGGACAAAGGAGTGGGTATATGTACTCTCTTGTTCTATGGATGGAACACAGCACATAGAGTATGAATTTCCTGTGTTTAGAACAGTGATGATCTGTGCGTAGAAAGAGAACAAGAGTCTTTTTTTTTTTTAATTATTATACTTTAAGTTCTGGGATACATGTGCATAACATGCAGGTTTGTTACATAGGTATACATGTGCCATGGTGGTTTGCTGCACCCATCAACCCATCATCTACATTAGGTATTTCTCTAATGCTATCTCTCCCCTAGCCCTTCACCCCCTGACAGGCCCCGGTGTGTGATGTTCCCCTCCCTGTGTCCATGTGTTCTCACTGAAGAACAAGAGTTTTAATGGCAATCCATATTGTAGGGGAAAGAAACATGCAAGAAAATAGTGTAAGATTAAAGTTAGCCAAGAGAAGCAAGCAGGTCTTTAATGTTCGTTTAGAGAGGAAAGGGATTATCTTGAAAGCAGGAGGATGAAATAGCAAGGTAAGCATAGGAACATTCTGATGGACATGAACTATAAGTAGAAACCTAATAACCAAATGAACTTGGACTCAGTGCTTTCATTCCCTGTTGTGTAATAACCACCTTAACAAGCTGGAAGCCCCATCAGACAAGATACTGGATTCAATCAACAATGATTTCCTAATTATTTTGGCTCTCAGTATGTCTCCAGTGTTTTCAGATTGTTAAAAATCCAGTAGTCCCCCCCGAGGCTGCACACATGAGTACCCCTACCTTGTTTCTTTTTGTGGGCAATTGTGTGTTCCATCAAGTAAGACAGGTATTGGTTATATATGACAAAGTATGGCTAATTTCTTTTTTACAAGCAAATAAATAATTTTGCAGCTCATTTGGCTGATCATTTCTCTGATTTGTTCGACCTTTGCTGTGCTTTTTTATCAGCTGGTTTTCTCAGACCTCATTTCCCCCTGCAAAGCTCCAGTAACCAAATGAATTTCTGGACCCGTCAATCTGATGCCATGACATGTTAAAATGGGATTCATCAGAAGAATTTCATTATGTTTTTGTTAGAACAGTTGTCAGAAATCTTTCATTCCTGCTCTCTAGACCCACTGCATGACAGGTGACTGATACACATGTGAAGGAAGTGTAAGTTTTAAGTTGAGATGCCAGTTGAGTCAGAAGCTTCCTACATATAATATCCTTTGCAGAAAAGATTTTCCAGTGGCCAACTGTGGGTGATTAAACTTGAGATCTTCACCTTTTGAAAAATTAACCTAGGTGTGAAAGTACTTACTATCAGTTTAAACATTAAATGTATGTTTAATGTTGAAATTGTAAGTGGAAAACACATAAAATTGAAAGTGGAAAATAGCGTTTGCAAAGAGGAGTTTAGTATGATTGCCATTTGCCTTATGAATAATCTTTCATTGAAGCAATTAACCTGCAAAATAGAATCTGAACCAGGAAAAAGGAGGGGGGGATCTTTATTGCATCAGATGCAAATAGTTCTAAGCATATTCTTTCCCTACCTTAACATTCCCTCAGCTTGACTAAACTTTAAACAGGCTTCTTACTGACCATAGGTTCCTGTTCTCCCTCTTCTTAAAACATTTGCTCAGAAAACTTATAAATTCTTTCTCTGTCCCTTTGATATGTAAATCTTCTACAATCCAGAAATATTTTTCTCAAGGACCTAGGACACTTTGAAATTTAATCATCAAGAAAGCTAGAATTCTTGTCTAGCTGTGGGAGGGTAGGAGCCTAACTTCTATAAGCAACAATTAGTAAACACAGATGGCCTAATCATGTTGACCAACAGCTCCACTAATGTCTGTCAGAACTTTTCCGTTAGCTCGCTCCAGCATTTACAAATCCTCCTGCCTTTTGTTTCAGTGGAGTTGAGTTCAATTTTTCTCCCCTGTTATAATAGTCTCTCTCTCCTATTGCAGTCATCTTGAATAAATCTTCCTTGACTGTTTAAGTGGTTCAGTACAATTTTTTAAAAAAATTTATCCCAGATAATTTCTTTGACTTTATTTTTAACTTCTACAGATATCTTTGGATATATTTTAAGAATGGAAAGTTTGTGCATTTGGTTTACCTAGTTTTGACTCTGTTTCACAATTTTTTTTTTTTTAATTTTATAGACGAGGTTTTGCCATGTTGCCCAAGCTGATCTCGAACTTCTTGGCTCAAGTGATCTGCCTGCCTTCCAAAGTGCTGGGATTACAGGCATGAGCCACCAAGCGCAGCCATGATTTATTAGATCACTTCTAAAAGCCGTAAGTGTCATTTAGGGGCTAAGGCCCTGCCCTCCTCCCTTTTTAAAGAAAATAAGTAATTTGAGGGTCAACCCTAGGCAAAATGATGTAGCATAGTCCTTTCCTATCAGCATGTCCCTCTCTCTGGTTTCCAGATAACAATCAACTTCCTGGGGGTGAAAGGCGCTCCTTGCAGAGCTGAGTCAACAAAACCAGTAGTAGCAGCTTCTGCTCTGTTCTGAACTTGATCCCCTGCCCTTACTTTTGATATTTGGTTGTATATCTCATTACTGATATAGTTTTGACCAAAGAATGGCCTTCTGCCTTTTACAGAGTGTATCTACCACTGACTTCTCTGGCTCCTAGGGCAGAGTTACAGCCCACTGCCCACAAAACTTGAAGATATTGATCTGGTCTGTCCTCACGAGTCAGTAAATATTAAGTTTAATTGTTTCAGAGAGCAGTAGTGGCTGCTCATCTCGAAGAACCAGGGCCTTGGCTGATAATCACTAACCACTTACTTTTCTTTGATAGGGTTGATATTTTGGGTCAGGGAACCAAGTTCAACATATCTTTAAATTATATCGTGTAGTAAGCAGCATCCTCATAAAACTAGGCAAGGGTGCATACAGCCCTCTGTCACAAGGGTCATGAGACACAAAGTCTCATGTAAAAGACAATAGTTTTAAGCCATTCTAATAGGTGCCTGATAAAGTGTATTCTTAACAACTACCTTGGCTATAAAGTGCTGTACCCAGCAGTTAGATTGGACAGGCCTGAGTCTTTTAAATTCCTGTCTCCTCTGCTCATTTGCCTCTGCCATTTACTGCCTTTGGCTATTGTATCCTGACCCTTCACTGGGCATCCAAAGGCTTCTGTTCTGATACCTGGGTAATGATATGGCTTTATTCCTCAATTCCATCCTTGCCTCTTAGTTTGAGTTTGACATTTGGTCTTAAATTGAGTTTGACATTTGCTAAAACTTTTGCAAAAATGACCTTACTATGGCCACTATTTTGGCCTCACCACCACTTGCCCTAGAAAACCCTGGAATTCAGTCATTTTGTAAGACAATAATTTTTATTAAATTATTATGATTTTAAAGATGAAGCCCAGAATGAAGTCAGAAAAAAATAGCTATCTGTATTGCTAAATGACATCAACACATCAACGGATGCTAATTGGGAAATAAGTCCACATGTAGTTATATAGCATGATATCCCAGATTCACAAAGTCTGTGGCCATAAAATATGATTACACTTACTTTTAATAACCAAATTATGGTAGTTAGAAACCTTACTGACAAGTTGCCCCCAATTAGCCGCTTCCTAATGCCCACTAGTTACTTCTATGAGACCCTGAGACATCCACAGTCCAGTGTGCCATTTGGGGAAGGCTTCCCACCGACTGTGCCTATTTTCAGAATGCCAATATCCATGTCAAGAATGGTGTCTCAAAGTGCTTCCTTGGCATGCCAGAGAATCCCTGGATGCTCTGTTGAGGTGGGAAGTCTAACTTCTTTCTTCTTTTCTGCTGACTGTCACACTTTGTTGCCTGGGCCTAGAAATGCTCTCTTAAACAGTTCTCCATATAAGCCCCTTAGCTATAATCTTCACAAATCTCATATGAAAAAAATGCTCTACCTGTTCCCAGTGGTCTTCATTTTTTCCTCTTTTCCAGCTCTCTCCATCTCCAAGCCAGCAAGTGCTTCTTTGCACCCCAGCTCTAAAACAAAGCCCTTGGGGACACAATCAAAGACAGTAGTTGCCAAGAGGAATAGGGAGCATGGAAAGAAGGTGAGATATTGTTGGCCTTAACAGCATCTGGGCTCCCACTCAGTGAGACAAAAATGCTTGATAAGCTAACAAAAAGGGATTTGGTAAAATGTAATCCTTCACCTGAGTGAAGACCTTTTCCTCTCTTTTATTTTCAACTCTCCTTGGTTGCCCTGTCCCACTGATTTCTGCCAGGAAATGGGCTAAAAGCTATCACCTGGCAACTCTAGGAGAGGTGGATGTCAGGGAAATGGATTTACCAGGTCTCTGGATCTCTGAAGCCGGGGGCACAGTGCACTTCAAAGATCAGACTGTTAGTGGATGCTATTGATGTGATTTTGCTGCTACCTTTGCTCATGAAAAGAGATGAGCCAGTCGGGAAAAAGGCAAGAACAAGAAATTAAGGGGGAGAAAACCAATAGGAGTAGAGAAGTCTGAGAGATCTGCCTGAAGCAGGTGCCTCTCAAAACAAAATGAAGCATTTTTTTTTTTTTTGTAGGTAATCTGAAACAACATAACTTGAATCATGTTAGTTTGTTTTTTTTCTACCCTGCTTAGGAAGGTTGGATGGTCAGGGAAGCTGCATTAAATCCTGTTTTCACAGGTGCTGGATGTGCATACAGCTAACCTGGTAACTCCAAACTGGATGAGCTCATTCCTTGAGACTGGAATTACAAAATTGGAACAGCTCACTAATAATTGAAGATGATTTGGGAAAACCATTATCCTTCCTCAGGTTTTACAAGGTTTTTATGACTCATTTATAAGGTCCTACAGCTAAAAAAAATCATGCTGTATTTCAGAGAAGTTTAACTTGAAAATATTTTTTTCACTAATTAAAAATTCCCATTATACCTTATAGTTGCAATTGTATCCTTATTGCTGAAAGATATCCATACTACCTACCACTTCTTTAAAATTTAAAAAATTCTATAAATAAAAAATATAACAATTGCAAATATGTAAATAACTTCCAACATAAAACAAAATTTATAGTAATTATAAGAAGTTCTTTTATACTAAAAATTAAGTTGTAATTATGATAGAAATAATCTGTAAAAGGTATTTTTAGCAAAATTTATTAATACGGGTAGCAATAATAATACCCAATTATATATGCATATTGTTTGTATTTTAGAACCTGTGACAAATGAAAATGGTTTTCCTAGATAAGAACGAAACTGTGTTGGGTGGCTAACAAGATTGAAACTCATCTGACTTTGAGAAATAAATCAATTTGGTTTGTTTATTTACAATCGTTATTTTTCCTTTTACCAATACCTAAGTTATTTCACTGTAAAACTTTCATAGAAGAATTTCAGGAAAGGCTTGTATTTACGTGTTATAGATGAGGTACACCACAGTGATTTAGATCAGCAGTCCCCAACCGTTTTGGCACCAGGGACCAGTTTCATGGAAGACAATTTTTCCACAGATCAGGGGTGGGCAGAGTTTGGGGGAATGGTTTCTGGATGATTCAAGCGGATTACATTTGTTGTGCACCATATTTCTATTATTATTATTGCATTGTAATATGTAACAAAATAGTTATACAACTCCATAATGTAGACTCAGTGGGAGCCCTGAGCTTGTTTTCCTGCAACTAGACGGTCCCATCTGAGGGTGATGGGAGACAGTGACACCAAAGTGTGCTGCTTATGTCCAGTCTACTTCGTAATCTCATTTTGATTGCTGTCACTGCAGAAAACCCTGTAACATTCTCAAAATTCTATTCTCTCTAGGGTAAAATTAAACTGCGGGACATAGCGCAGAAGACTTGTCACAATTTAGGACCAACCTACCAAGACTTCTTGATCTCTTTCCACTTCTTGCCCCTCACTGTGTTTGATTTCTGCCTTCCAGTCTGAACTTCTCACTATATTCCAGAAAAGGCCTGTTAAAGAGATCTGGTAGTCAAAAGCAACCTCTTTTTTGCTTGTGCTCTCTGTTATACATAAGAAACCAGTCCTGCTGCAGCTCCATATTTGCATTACTAATTTAATCAGTTAGCGGGACACATGCTCTTTATAACCCAAAAAATTGAAGCATGAAATTTGGGAGTCATACCCATCACCCAAATGTGGCATAACAATGTTCTTCTTCCCCGCAAAGCAGTGTCCTTCCCCAAAGAAATTCTGGGGATTGGCATTTTCTTCATCCACTCCTTTCATTATTTCCTTTACCTATTTCTCTGAGTCTATTAGCATCCTTGGAGGGGGGAATGTATCTTATTTATTGTTATATCTCCCAGGCTCACACATCACTCAATAAAGGTTTGTTGAATGAAACAATAAATGGATGCAAGACTAAATGAACAAAGAAAAGCCACGGGGAAGATAACAATGTTATGTCATAATTCAGGATCATCTTTTTCTGTTTTTTCCCCTCCAGCTTTATTGAGGTATAATTGACAAATAAAAATTATATATATTCAAGGTGTCCAACAAGATGTTTTGATATACATATACATTGTGAAATGATTACCACAATCAAACTAATTAGCATGTCCATTACCTCACATAATTACCTTTTTTATGTGTGCTGAGAATACTTAAGATTTGCTTTCTTAGCAAATTTTAAGTATACAATACATTATGATTAACTATAGTCATCATACTTTACAGTAAGTCTCCAGAACTTACTTCATCTGCAGGTTTGTACTCTGACCAACATCATCTTATTTCACTCCCCACCCCACTTTCAGCACTGGTAACCACATTTCTATTCTAAGCCTTCTGGTGAAATTTCTTTCTTATTTCACTCCCAGTGAGTAACACAAGAGAAAAATAAACAACAAAAGCCAGTCAATAATTATAAAGTGAATCTTACCAGTATAGAGTTATAAGCCTTGTTTTTACTTCACTGATAATGTTGTCGTGAACACTGTTTGAATAATGAAGACTAAAGGAATGATGGCATGCACTGTGAGTTCTTGATGTGGTTGAAGCAAAATTCCCAACAAACAGACATTTTGCTATTTCATTAGTGTTTATGGCTGATAAATACCTTGTATGTTTGCTATACTATTGTGTTAGTAACATAATTTTATTTTTATGTAACACTAACAATAAATAGATAAAAGCAAAATTGGGAGGCCTAAAATTTTAATTTCAAGTTGTTGTTTGGAAAAAAAATTACATTTTGTTTTTAAGTAACTGACTTTGAGCTCCAAGGATTTAATTCAGTAAATTGTCTCTCAGGATGCATGAATATATAAGCAGATTAACTGATGGGCAGTGAAATGCAATTACCAAATGAGTTTTCAAAATTTTTCTCTAATGCATCCCTGGAGTAGATTTTGTATTTTAACAGAGACATTTACCAGGCACATGCTGACATTTTAAGTGATCTGAAATAAATAAAAAGCAGGACAGTCCTAAAATAAATTAGTTTATAATATTTTGTTAATTAGGATGTTAGTTGGGTACTTTTAGATCAAAATAAAAATGGCTTAAATAAAATTGGAAATTTTTCTCTGATACAAAAGTCTGAGTTGGAAGACAATCCAGTGTGTCAAGGTGGGACCACTCCACAGGTCATCTCATGGACTCAGGCATTTTCTCACTCACTGCTCCACAGTCTAGTGTTAACCTTGGCTGCCTGTTCTAAGCTGGTTCATCACTAACACACCTGAGTTCCATACCTAATAAAGGGGGAAAGAAGAAGTAGAAGGCAACTGGCTTAAACGGCTCTCACATTACTTTAGGCCATCCTATTGGCTGCAGGGGATGGTGGGGAACTTAGCCTACACTTAGTTGCTTGCAAGGTCCTGGGAACACAGTCTCTACTGGGTAATAATATACAACCCCCCTAACATTTGAGGAATGGCAATACTAGAAGAAAGAGAGGGATGGGCGGGTGCGGTGACTCACACCTGTAATCCAGCACTTTGGGAGAATGAGGTGGGTGGATCACGAGGTCAAGAGATCGAGACCATCCTGGCCAACATGGTGAAACCCCATTTCTACTAAAAATACAAAAAAATTTAGCTGGGCGTGGTGATGCGTGCCTATAGTCCCAGCTACTCAGGAGGCTGAGGCAGGAGAATCACTTGAACCCAGGAGGCAGAGGTTGCAGTGAGCCGAGATCGTGCCACTGCACTCCAGTCTGGTGACAGAAAGGGACTCCGTCTCAAAAAAAGAAAGAAAGAAAGAAAGAAAGGGATAATGGATATTGAAGGGCAATTAACAGTCTTTATCACAAGTGTGCTGTTTCAAAGACACCAAAGTTTTTTGTAGATCTCTAGCCTGTACTTTTTAAAGTAAATCGATGTTCAGAATTGAATAAATCAAGGAAGAATGTCAAAGAACTTGGAATTCTTTCCTGGAAGAATCAACCAGATGAGGAGGATATAAGCATCTTGCCCACTGTCTTATGTTTTTGATTTATAGTTTCTATATAGCAATGATGGACAACATGGAAAGAAAGGAGAAAACTGAGAGGCAATAGCAGCAATGTTTGGATTGTTAAGTATTGATTATATACAGTACAAGTCATTTTCTTCAGAATGCTCAAAGGGCAAAGACAACACCAACATGAATTCCTCAGCAACTACCTGCACTACTTAAGAAACAAGCCATCAGATCTCTCTGGAAATGTGCCTTGAAGAGAAATAGCCCGAGTTGTTTTACATTACTCATTGTCCCTCATAGTCACCTCCTAGTGAAATTTCATGTTCTGATTTCATCGTAGTTGCTCTTTAGGAAGAGAAAACAACTCTTGGGAAAATGAAATTCTTTCAAGTTCTTTAACAGGCTTCTGTTGGCCTAGCTACCACTGACTTCAGTTCAACCAGATTTTCTTGCTTGTTTGTCCAAATTCTCTATCACATGGTGACTAAAGTGTTTCTTTTGACATTTTTTATAGATCATCAGAAACAGCTTTAGGCAATGGATGGCGTCAGAATAATTTATATTAGAAATCCTTTTATTCACTGAGATTAATTAACAGTGTGGTATTCAGGGAATTAGCAGTACAACTCTTCTTGATGCTAGTTGGAGTTTGTGTCCCCTGCAGGGATGACACTGAATGAAATCTTGCAAGTCATTTCAAAATAAAATAACTCTCTATCAGAAGTAAATGGGTGCTGAGCCAGTCACAGAAAATGCTTTAAAAAATAGCTTGCAAAGCTCCTTTTTTTGCATTTGTTAGATTTTGGTTAGCTTTCCTCTAATTAGAAGTTTATAACCAACCTGAAAGTGAGAGAAGCTTAGCATCTAGAGCTGCATACAAAAACATTTTCTTCCAAACTTACTGAAGGCTTTGCTAAGGGAATGGTTTTTTGAACTCTTCGGAATGTAGGTGGTGTATTCAGCCTAATGATATGTCTCAGTTTGCCTCAGTCAGTCCTGGTTTATGTCTGTTGTCTCAGTATAATTATTAATAGCACCCCTTTTTACTTCCCAAAAGTGTCCCTGGTTGAATGGTAAGTTATATGGTCCTGTTAACTACAGTGAACCTTGAAGTTAAAGATATTTCTCTTTTTAAAAAAGTACGTGTTCTCAGATAAGCTTAGGATGGATTGGATGTAATACTAGTAGGTTTAGTACTGGCTAATGGACATGAAATATTGAGCCATTTCCTCCCTCTGAATCCTGAGGGCAGGGTTCAAGTCTATCAGTGGGAACTTAGACTTGAGGTTTTTATAGACCTGACATTTGAAGATCCAGGCATGTCAGAATTTAAAAGTTTTTTGAGACACACACTAGAATTGGTCTGCTTTAGGCCCACTGCACTGCAACTACATATCGGTGGAATTTTGTTATTAGTCTCTTCAAGTCTTAAAAACTTTAATTTTTGTTGAAAGAACCTAATGTCGGCATTCCTGCTCCATGCCTGTATTGACATATATATAATTTGGAGCTTGAGAATTGAGGCAGCATACTTTGTACACACTAGGTTCTCAATAAATATCTGTTCAGTTGAAAGTTACCCTTTTTCTAAACTGTGTTCATAAGTCACTGAATAATTAACCTTTAAGCCATGCCTTATCGAGAACTGTGAAGGGTTTGAGAGTTTACCTTATGAACAAGTTAACAAGTTAACCTGTCATAGTTTCATGGATGCTGACCAAAGTCACGAAACTTCTGGGCCAGAAAAAAGACAACAACTGTTACTCATGGCACAATAGGAACCTGTAGGAAATAGACCGATATATAAAAAGAGAGTTATTATAAACAATTGTCTCATGGAATTATGGATGCTGAGAAGTTCCACTATCCTCTATCTGCAAGCTGGAGGACCAGGAAAGCTGGTGGTACTGCTCCAGTCCAAGTCCAAAGACCTGAGCACTAGGGGAGCCAATACTGTAAGCCCCAATCTGAGTCTGAAGGCCTGAGAACCAAAGAAGGCTAAGGTACAAGGGCAGGAGAAGATGGATGTCCCAGTTCAGGAAGGAGAATAAATTTTCCCTTACTCCATAATTTTGTTCTATTTGGACCCTTAAGCGATTAGATGATGGCTACCCACATTGGTGAGACAGATCTTTTTCACTCAGTCTACCAGTTCAAATGCTAATATCTTCCTGAAACACCCTCACAGATATACCCAGAAATACTGTTTTACCACCTATCTGGGCATCCATTATCCCAGTCAAGTTGATATATAAAATTAACTATCACAGTGTGCATCTCAGCTAAGGAACTCTGAGCTTAGGAAACTCCAGTCTTTCATAATGAACTGCAAACAAAACTGCTCAGTCTTTATCTTAGAAGGAGACATTCTTATACTGGAGAGCAAATAAATCTGTCCACTGTTCCCAAGGGAGACTCTAGATCCATTTTTCAAAGCTGTAATGAAAACAGCCTTGAAAAATAGACTGCATAACTAAAACTGCAACACTTAATCAGTATCTTCCCATTTCCGCCTCCCCCTAGCCCCTGGCAACCACCGTTCTACTTTCCATTTCTATGTTTGACTATTTTAGATTTTACATATAAGTGAGATCATGTGGTATTTGTATTTCTGTGTCTGGCTTATTTCATTTAGCATAATGCCCTCCAGGTTCATTCACATTGTCACCAAGGTCAGAATTTTCTTTAAAAGACTGAATAATATTCCATTATGTATATATACCACTTTTTCTTTATCTTTTCATCTATCAGTGGGCATTTAGGTTGTTGCTGTCTTTTGACTATTGTGAGTAATATTGTAATGATAGTGTGATGAACAGGGGCATGCAGATATCTCCTTTAGATAATGATTTCATTTCCTTTGGATATATCCCAGAAGTGAAATTGTTACACAAGATGAGTAAGTTCTGAAAATCTAATGGACAGCAATGGGAATATAGTTACCAATACTGTATTGTATACTTGAAATTCGCTAAGAGTATAGATCTTCAGTGTTTCCACCACATCTACCAAAAAAAAAAAAAAAATGGTAACAATGTCAGGTGATTGATACGTTAATTAACTTGATTTTGTGGAATTATTTCACAATTTATATGTATATCAAAACATTAACTTGTATACCACAAGTATATATAATTTTTACTTGCTAATTATGCCTCAATAAAGGTGGAGAAAGAGAGAGTACTGCAAAAGAGATAAATCATTTTTAAGAAACATTGTAAAAGAAAAAAGTCTGGAACAAAAACTGTCAGTGCTACTGCTCGTAAGACATGCAGAAACATAAGAGACCCATGGAAAATTTTCTCCCAATATGTGTATGTAATACAGATTTGAGTTTCTAAGTATAAATGTAATTTTATATATAACATTAGTTATCTAATTGCTAAATCTTCATTTCCTAATCAGCTGTGATCACAGACTAAAGAAAGTTTATTTTTATCATTTGACTGTATTCTTATTTTACGCTCCAAAAAGAAATGATGTAAAAATTTGTTAGAGATTATATCTGCTCTAGTTTCTTCATATTATACTATATACTTACTATTTAAAGTATTGCATAGATATTTAGTAAACATGGGTACTGTTTTTGAGTAATTTATAACCAAGAGGTAAAATAATTACCACCCAGGCATTTATTTAGCTACGTCATAGTTTGCTTTCCTTGTATAGTGGAGAAGAAATGTTAAATATGATTGTAATATTTTACGCCTGAAAGAATCCTCCAGCAGTAATTATAGCTCAATGAATATTTTGATTTGATGACTGGAGTTGCCAGATATCTTTGAATCCTTCATTTCCTTATATATTTTCTACTTTACAATGTTTTTGTTTCTCTTCCTTTCATTTCGTCAAAACCTATGAACTCCTATTGATTCTGAATTCAAATAATCAAAAAGCCCAGATGCTGAATTTTCTTTTGGTGGGGGGGAGGTTAAGTTTATACTATACTTTTACAAGAAAAACAATGCATAACAAAATCTTAATAGGCACTCAAAAGCGTAACTGCCACAGCATGTTTTAGGGTCAGAGCAGGTTCTGTTTAGCCTCCTAATGCTAGTGGTAGCAAATACATTGTAACCATAACAACTACTATTTATTGAAGACAAATTATTTGCCAGGTGCTTTTTTGTGTTATTTCTAATCCTCAGAATACTCCTGCAGGGAAGGCTTTATCACCATTCATAGATCAGAAATTGAGGCTGGAGGCTAAGGTCACTTGCTGTAGGTAACAACTCAAGGCCTTTTATTATCCTGCAATTCTCTTTGAATCATCAAAGATAGAGGTCATTATGTTTAGGGTGGCTTTTAAAAATGGATAATCCTAAGTATTCTATGGCTTACTATTTCTGTTCCAAAATATTCAATTTATTTTCATGTCTTAGGTAAATGAGGACATAAATTATGCATTTAAAGTAGCTAAAATCTGTATATGTATATACATATATATGCATGTGTATATGTATATCCTAACTCTCTGTCACTATATATGTATGTGTATGTATATATAATTTCAGCAACAATTAATAGCATGGAAGTTTTTTTCTTCCTAGAGGCTTTCTCTGACGCATTTTGTTAATTATTACTTAATCCTCTGTGGTCACTTAAAGCTTTATTTATCCCTCGACTATAGCACTTAACACATTGCCCTGTGATTAATTTTTTTTTACTGTGCCTCTGTAAGCCCTGAAGGACAGGGACTATTTCCTATTTATCTTTCTACCTGTGGGTCTAGCTTAGTGCCTGGAATTTGGGAAGAATATATGTTTTTAAGTAAAATAAAAAGTGTTTAGTTTACTCTGACTGTGTACATTTTGGCCACTGCTGTGGTCTTTCATTTTTCCAAGTAATTTATATAAGGCATTGTTATAGTTCATCAATGTTACTTTAATAGCATTGAAGTCACTGTGAATCTTAAAGTAACTGACATTCTATAGAAATTGCTGACTAACCTAGAATATGAACCATATTGTTTCTTTTCTGTAACCTACTTCTTTCCAGAATGGCATTATACTAAAGCGTGTAAAACCATAAGGCTGGAAGGAAATTTGAGTGGTTATGTAATCTACTGCCTTATCATTAGGCAGCTTGAAACCTAACCTGGATTAGACACTTTTCTCAAACACTGCCTGCAAAGACAATTCTACAGCTGTACTTGGCACCACATTCTGTGCTTTTTTTGTGTCACCGAGAAAATATTTCTGAATACGTAATCTGCATCTTGCACTTCAGAGTTTAAGTACTATAGGTTAGGCCAAATGTTTTTTGGAAGTGTAGAAACTCTTTAGTGCCTTTGTATTAATCACAAGAGGCTGGTTCATGCTCCTTCAACAAACAACTTCCAAATCTCAGTGGCTTAAAATTACAAAGGTTTATTTCCCACTCACACTATATGTATATCATGGGGCAGCTTTGCGGGCTTTGCATTGCTTTGTCTGGGACCCAGGCTGATGGGCGGCCACTGTGTGGAACATTGCCATGGCAGAGGGTAAAGAAAGGTAGTGGCTAAACACGGTGAGAAGTTGGCCATCTATGAGGAAGCAGGCCTTTACCAGACACTGAATCTGCTATCACTTTGATCTTCCCAGCCTCCAGAACTGTGAGAAATAAATTTCTGTTATCAATCACCTAGTTTATGGTATTTTGTTATAGCAGCCTGTACAGACTAGGAGATACAGCACTTCTGTCTCCTTGATTTTAGCCCTATAAACCCATTTTGGATATCTGACCTCCAGAACTGTAAGAGAATAAATTTGTGTCATTTTAAGCCACTAAGATTGCAGTAATTTGTATAGCAGCCAATAGGAAACTAATACAATGGTCTGTGACTCTGTCTCCGTATCTTCACCACCAGCATCTTCCACCCTCTGCTCTGACCACTGCGCCCAACCCACTGTCTCAAAGGTGTCTGTAATCTACCCATCAGCCAACAATTCACTGACTTCTTTGTAATTGTGTTTAATGTGAGGTTTACTTTCTTTAGGGAGGTTTCTCTGCAGAAAACACTATTCAAAGTTCATCAATATGAACTGTGATATTTAAAATTAGTATACAGTTTATTGAAGTTACAAATAAAAATACAAACAACAAACAAAACAATAATTCTTTCTTTAGGTCTCAAGTTCAGCTTATAAGTTTTATTCTGTTTATAAATCAACACATTTTAGCTATTATTAAAGGGGCCTTTAATTAGTATTAAATATTTGGGAACATTTACAAATTTAGTTAATTGAACTCACTTAAACATTTCAACTTGTATTTAGAAATTTAATATTTTTAATTTGTCTCATAAACACTACAATCATCTATTTCTATAAAAATGTTCTCAGGCTCTTAATGCTTATAAATTAAAAAAAAACTACACATTAATGTGGTGAAATTTAATTTCCCTTAAGAGTAATATGCCAACTAAAACCACCAGTCTGCAATTATTTAAACATTTTAAATTGGGATTACAAGTCTGAACTGTTATTTAAATAGGCCAAATATTCTTAAATGGTAAGTGTATATAAACCAATATGCAAACAAATATTAATACTACACTCTTAGTTCTCTTAAAGATTTCCATATTAATATTAAAATCTTCCTGGGACCTAAAACCATTCACCCATTTAGGAAACAACTATGTTTTCCCAAGCAATTTAGAAAGATTACCTTCCAACTGGTTGAAATGGTATAACAACAAGACATTTTGGCTAAGACAAACTGGGTTCTTGTTATAGACACTGATGGGATATATTTCTTTGATTTATAGTCAATAATAGAGATGTCAAAATAAACCAGCTTCCTTCTGCACTTAGGCTTTTGAATCTGAAGAGTCAATTTTTCCACATTGGTAGAAGCATTCACAAAATCCTCCATGTTTATCATATATTAATGGTATTTCACAAACTAGGTTTTCATTGAAAACTCATGTTAATAGTATTCTATTAAAAATTCTTTTTAAAACACTTTGGGCAACGTTGTTTTCTCTGTCTCAATGTAGGAGGTTCTTAGTCCACATTAGCATAGTAAAGCTTTTCGAAATCCTATAGTGAAGATATTTGTCTTGGTTTAACCTAGCACTTGCAAAATTAAATGAACAAGAACTATTTTTCCCCCCTCCCATTACTTATTAACCCTACAGAATTATCAGCTTGAGAAATGCTACTGAAATCCGTCTACTCCTTTCTATTTTCATTACTCTCACTTTGGCTCAGGCTTTTATTATCTCCCACCTGAACTAGTCTATTAGGTCTTCTAAATAGAATCTCTGCTTTTTTTCTTTCTCATTTTCAATCTATTCTTCAGATGCTGCTGAGGTGATCTTTGCCTAACATGTTTCTAAGCCTGTCTCCTCTCTACCCAGAAGCAAAGGAGTGTAAGGACCGTTGAATCGGGAGTCTTGGAGACCTTTATTCATATCTTGGCTTTGCCACTAGCAAGTGGTGTCATTCATGTTATCTGTCTGGGCCTCTGTTTTTACAATTGAAAAATCAGCAGGTTGTTCTAGATGGCTCTATAGTTCCTTTCAACTATAAAATTCTGTACTTCTATGAAAGTACAAATTCCTTCTTTTGCTTCCCATGAAATTACCTTGGCTTACCTCTTTCTAACTTATTTTCCCATTCTCTTTTTTCTCCTGAACTACAGTTCAATCAAATCAGATTGCTATTACTGGTCTCTCCGTACCTCAGGCCGTTGACATGCTTTTCTTTTTACTTCAACTCTCTTATATCTTACAGATTCCTTATGTGTGTCTTTACAATTCATAGTGAACTTTTAAGACACATCTCAATTATTTTTTTTTTTTTTCAGGAAAATCTTAACACTTCCCTAATCTGTTGGAATTTCTTTCAACTTTAACTCTTATAGTACTTTATGCCTCCAATCTAGCTCCTATTCTTTTGCCTTGATGTATATTGATTTACATGTCTCATTCACCCATTAAGCTATAAATTCAGTGACTGCTATCGTATTCATAGGATCTAAAGAACAGTCAGCAATGACTATTTTATACATACTCATTCTCCCTAGGGCATCTATTGCCAATCCTTGAGATAGCTGGGTGCTAAGTTTATAATTTGAAGAGTAATGTTTAATTGAAGAGTAAATTTGGATGCATTAGAGATGTGCTGAGTTAAAACCTAAGCCCCTAATGGAGATACTAATTTTTGACTTGGAAATAAGTTCTAACATGAAGAGGATTAAGAAACCATTTTTTTGGTATATATATATTTATTAGACTGAGTTTTTATTGTCAACTATGCATAAAGTATAAGTTTGAAGAAATACTTATTCAAACTCCTAGGGCTTAGGTGCTTCTGTTTCACTTTATCTGGATGAAAATTCCTTTTTTTATAGGTTTATAGCTCTTTAATTTTCTCTCGTAATACTTCCTTTGAAAATAGCAAGTTAAGTAAATAAAGGTCTCTCTATTGATAGAGAGATGAAGGCTGGAGTAATCTTATCAATTTTGCTATTTCATTACCTCCCAATTTGTGTTTGTCTGAGATCTGAGTCCTTCATTTGACTTCATTTTGTAGGTGTTCCTTAGACAATACATTCCATGACCCACAGTAGTCAAATTAAGCCAGAATAATTGTAATTCAATACATGGGTCCTATGTATTGCTTTTGTAACAAAACAAAAAAGCTTCAAGCAACACTTTTTTGTGTTTCTTGTATCTTATACACACGTATATACATTACAGAAATGAAATCCTGCCACCTTAAATTTCTCCTCACAGATTAAACATGATTTTTTTTTTCAGGAGCCTTGGAATAGCTTCTGTTAGAGGATGGCCGCTGTGATTAGAGAAGGGAGCAGTGTCGTGCCTGCCATTTGAATAAGGATTCAGTGAGGTCTATAATGCTGAGCTAGTCAAAGGGGGAAGCTTGAAATATATATCAAAGGGAATTTAATCTAGGCAAAGCTAAAAATAAAAAGGCCCATTTCATGGAGAAGTGCTAATAAAAAAATTGTGGAGTGTGAAAAAAAGGCTTATCTGGAAAAAACAAGCCTGAAAAGGGAGGACATAATGTTAAATGGTGACAAATAACATCCAAGCTTTTATGCTCATCAAAGGACTAGTGTTCACACTGTAGAAGTATGTGCTAATTTAATGGTTCTTTTGGCTTAGCTCTTTTAGAAGTTGTCAGCATTTACTGATGACTAGAGCTTTGGAATTTAATTTTTAGGTAAGAACAACCATGATCATGATATTGACATCACTGTGATATGGGAGCATTCACATCACATTGAGAATTGTGCATTCTCAATGCACAATTTGCTTTGTTGAGTTATGGTTAGTGTTCTGGACCAAATGTGTGTGTCCTCCCCAAAATTCATATATTAAAACTGAATTCCTGGTGTTATGGTATTTAGAGGCAGGGCCTTTATTTATTATTTATTTATTTATTTTTTGGAGACAGAGTCTCACTCTGTCGCCCAGGCTGGAGTGCAGTGGCATGATCTCGGCTCACTGCAAGCTCCGCCTCCCGGGTTCAAGCCATTCTCCTGCCTCAGCCTCCCGAGTAGCTGGGACTACAGCCCCCCGCCACCACACCCGGCTAAGTTTTTGTATTTTTAGCAGAGATGGGGTTTCTCCGTGTTAGCCAGGATGGTCTTGATCTCCTGACCTCGTGATCCACCCACCTCGGCCTCCCAGAGTGCTGGGATTACAGGCATGAGCCACCGCGCCCGGCCTGAGGTAGGACCTTTAGAGGTGATTAAATCATGAAGGTGGAGCCCTCATGACTGGGATCAGTGCCTATGTTAGTACGTTCTTACACTGCTACAAAAAAAAAGTCTGAGACTGGGTAATTTACAAAGAAAAGAGGTTTTAATTGCTTATGGTTCTGCAGCAACCAAAGTGGCTTCTGCTCTGGGGAGGCTTCAGGAAACTTACAATCATGGTGGAAGGAGACGGGGCACATGTTACACGCGCATCTTACATGCCACATCTTACATGCGCGGAGCAGGAGCAAGAGAGGGCGGAGGACCATGCATACTTTCACTACATACTTTTAAAGGACTAGATCTCAGGAGAACTCACTATCTGAGGACAATACCAAGGAGGATGGTGCTAAATCATTCATGAGAAATCTGCCCTCATGATCCAGTCACCTCCCACCAGCCCCATCTCCAACACTGGGAATTATAATTCAACATAAGATTTGGTGGGGACACAGATCAAAACCGTATTAGTGTCCTTACAAAAGAGACCCCAGAGAGCTCCCTCAATCCTCCCACTATGTGAGGATGCAGCAAGAAGACTGCTGTCTATGAACCAGGAATAGAGCTCTCACCAGATGCCCAATCTGTCAGCACAGCCTCCAGAAATGTAAGAAATAAATGTTTGTTGTTTAAACCACCAAGTCTATGGTATTTTTGTTATAACAGCCCAAATGGACTGAGACAGTTAGTGTATCTTTAAGGCTAGCTATCTTGGTTGAAGCCTGCTTTTAAAGGATCTCCTGGATCTCCTGAGATCCAGTTTGAATTGTTTAGCACCGTTCCCCTTGGTACTGTCCTCGGATAGCGAGTGAGTTCTCCTGAGATCTGTTCCTTTAAAATATTCTGTCCTCTCAAATCCACTATATTATGCAGAATAAATCTCTATTATGTGGCTATAAACAATGCTAGAATTCCAGGTACCCATCTCACACATACTTGTCATTGACCAAAACATGGGTGGCTAAGAGAAAACCTATTATTAGTGTTTGGAAAAATAGCGCAAAATGCAAGTCACACTGTTGGCATCTCAATAGCCTCATTTTCATACATAAAATAACACATGCCTTAATGTGAAAGGCATTTCAAATCATAATATGAAGAGACAGTTAATTGAGCACAGGGCACACACAATTCGTTGAAATGAAGGATTTTTCTATAATTATTTATTACTAGATGTTGTGTGTCTAGCACAATGTTTAGGAATAACTCTTTTACAACTATTTGGAAAAATATATATCCAATATTTCTGAAAACAGGAGAGGCTTAGCAAGGCAGAGAAAGGACTATTCTTGTCCTTTGGACCTGCATATTAATTTTTTTAAACAATTAGCCATTAGCAAGTTGAGCAAGTAATCTTCAACACATAGATATGTTGTGCACTTTTAGAAAGTTTAGCTCTGGAGGGCATTTTATGAAATTTCTATGTGTTTTACAGCACAGAGATTTCTCACATTGGAAAAATATTTACCTAAATTAAAATTTGACAAAAGAAAGGTGAATTTCATTGCAGTTCCAGTGAGTTTGTATTGGTGTCTGTGATATCACCATACTTTTTGTTTTAAGATTCTTGGAAGGTTTGCTTTGGTAGCAGCTATAGATAGCTAAGATCATTCTTTGTGAAATGTATGGCATGCAACTTAGCATTAATTCTGGCAAAATAATAAATGATAATACACCAAATGTTCTGGCATCAAGGCTAAAAATCTTTATCATTATGTAAGCATATTTTATGTACAATACAATGGAAATTGATATTCATGATTATGCCTATGAGGCATCCCAAGATATGAAAAAGGTACCGAATTAATAAAAGTTAAATTATATTTGCCTCAGTTTTGGAGTTGGTGTATTTGATTGTATTCTGTTTGACAACTGATTATTCATGTGTGGTATACGAAGTGACTTTCATTTTTCCATAATAGAGCCTATAAAACTTATGAACAGATTGAGTTCACAAAATATATTTGTATATCAATTTGTTTGGAACTAGGAAAATATGTTTCTATGAAAACAATGTTATATTGCTTATGTAGAAAAATTTATTGTGTATTTATTATATAGCAGGCAGTACAGGGATTAAAGAAAGATGACTAATACTTTCTCAAAGACCTTTGCAGTCTTACATTCTCATGGGGGTGAGAGCAAAGTAACAGTGGATAAGTGGTGGAGGTAAATGCAGGTGCTTTGGAGACACAGATGATGGGTACATAAATCATTCTAGGGACCAGGAAAGGCTTTCCTTGCAGAGCAATGCCTGAATAATTTTAAATAACAAATAAATGTTAGCATATTGGTTGTGTGGGGAAGAAAAAGAGTGACCCAAGAAAAGGGGATAGCTATGTGAAATGATGGTGGCATGAAATAGTAGGGTATATTCAAGTAACTACCAGTGATTTGATGTAGCCAAGTGTTGGGACTGACAGGAAGAGTAGGATAGTAAATTGGATATGCCAGTAAAGATATGGACAGCTTTTGATGTCTCATGAACAGGAGAATGAAATTATTAAATTAATCCATTGGAAAGACTACTCTGGTAGCTTTGTGCAGGGTCAATTGAAGGGGTGTCATGAGATAGAGAAAAACCAGTTAATAGGCAAATGCAGGTTATCCTGGGGTGAAGTGATGAGACCAGAGCTATTGAATGTCTTAGTATCACCCTCGTCAAAACAGCACCTGCCATTTGGCTTTTGCTTGCATCCCATTCTCTATCAAGATTCAGGACTAGCTCTTTGGGTGGCAAATAGATACTTCCCTTATTTCCATACGACTTCACTATCTCTCCTGAGTCCTGGGACCCATGTCCTTCCTCTTTCAATGAAATCTGCCCCCCACCCTGCGAAGCTTAAGAAAAATGGATTCCCATATGTGTAGGAGGTGAGACAGTGGAGACTGGATTGGAGACATCTTCAGCTCCTCGTATCATATTTCTGCTGGACTCTGCTGGGGCCATTCTTATATAACAAATCCACAGGATTCATTTTCTGCTTGGATGCTTGGGGAATGAGAAAAACTGAAAAATTTAGCATAAACCTCTTTTTCTCACTTTGGAAGTTACTCTTTTTTAGTTTTTAATTTCTCTGGGTACATAATAGGTGCATATATTTATGGCGTACATGAGATGTTTTCATACAGGCATGCGATACATAATAATCACATTATAGAAAATGGGATATCCATCCCCTCAAGCATTTATCCTTTGTGTTACAAACAATCCAGTTATACTCTTTTAGTTATTTTAAAATGTACAATTAAATTATTATTGACTACAGTCACCCTGTTGTGCTATCAAATACTAGGTTTTATTCTTTCCAATTAATTTTTGTTGACTGATTAACCATCCTCACGCCACACCACCACCCCCCCACCCTTCTTAGTCTCTAGTATCCATCCTTCTAACTCTTTGTGTCCATGAGTTCAATTGTTTTGATTTTTAGATGCCACAAATAAGTGATAACATACAATATTTGTCTTTCTGTGCCTGACTTATTTCACTTAACATAATGACCTCCAGTTCCATCCATGTTGTGGCAAATGACAAGATCTCATTCTTTTTTTAATGACTGAATAGTACTCCATTGTGTATGAGTACCACATTTTCTTTATCCATTTATCTGCTGATGGGCATTTAGGTTGCTTCCAATTCTTGGCTATTGTGAACAGTGCTGCAACAAACATGGGCATGCAGATATCTCTTCAGTATACTGATTTCCTTTCTTTTGGGTTTATACCCAATAATGGGATTGCTGGATCATATGGTAGCTAAATTTTTAGTTTATTGAGGAACCTCCAAACTGTTCTCCATAGTGGTTGTACTAATTTACATTCCCACCAATAGCGTACAAGTGTTTCCTTTTCTTCACATTCTTGTCAGAAATTGTTATTGCCTGACTTTTTGATATAAGCCATTTTAACTGGGGTGAAATGATATCTCATTGAAGTTTCAATTTGCATTTCTCTAATGGTCAATGATGTGGGGAACCTTTTAATACACCTGTTTGCCATTTGTATGTCTTCTTTTGAGAAATGTCTATTCACATCTTTTGCCCGTTTTAAAATTGGATTGTTAGATTTTTTCTTATGACATTGTTTAAGCTCTTTAAATATTCTGTTTGTTAATCTTTTTTCACATGGATAGTTTGCAAATATTTTCTCCCATTCTGTGGGTTGTCTCTTCACTTTGTTGACTGCTTCCTTTGCTGTGCAGAAGCTTTTTAACTTGATGTGATCTCATTTGTCCATTTTTGCTTCGATTGCCTGTACTTGTTGGGTATTACTCAATAAATGTTTGCCCAGACCAATGTCCTGGAGAGCTTCTTCAATGTTTTCTTGTAGTAGTCTCATAGCTTGAGATCTCAGATTTAAGTCTTTAATTGATTTTGATTTGATTTTTGTATATGGTGAGAGACAGGGGGTCTAGTTTCAGTCTTCTGCATATGGATATTCAGTTTTCCCAGCACCATTTATTGAAGAGACTGTGTATGTTCTTGTCACCTTTGTCAAAAATGACTTCACTGTAAGTAAGTGGGTTTGTTTTTTGCATTCTCTGTTCTGTTCCATTGGTCTATGTGTCTGTTTTTATGCCAGTACCATGCCATTTTAGTTACTACAGCTCTGTTGTATAGTTTGAAATCAGGTAATGTGATTCTTCCTGTTTTGTTCATTTTGCTCAAGATAGCTTTGGCTCTTCTGGGTCTTTTGCAGTTCCATATAAATTTCAGGATTGTTTTTCCTATTTCTGTGAAGAATGTCATTGGTATTTTGATAGGGATTGCATTGAATCTGTAGCTTGCTTTGGGTAGTATGGACATTTTAACAACATTGATTTTTTCCAGTCCATGAACATGGAATATCTTTCAATGCTTTGGTGCCCTTTTCAATTTCTTTCATCAGTGTTTTATAATTTTCATAATAGAGATATTTCACTTCTTTGGTTAAGTTAATTCCTAGGTACTTAATTTTATTTGTGACTGTTGTATATGGGATTACTTTCTGATTTCTTTTTCAGATTATTCGCTGTTGGCATATAGAAACGCAACTGATTTTTGTATGTTGATTTTGTATCCTGCAACTGTACTGAATGTTTGTAAGTTCAAATAATTTTCTTGTGGAGTCTTTAGGTATTTCCAAATATATCACCTACAAATAAGGACAATTTGGCTTCTTCTTTTTCAATTTGGATGCCCTTTATTTCTTTCTCTTGTCTGATTCTGTAGCTAGGACTTACAGTACTATGTTGAATAATAAAGGGGCATCCTTGTCATGTTCCAGATTTTACAGAAAAGGCTTTCAGCTTTTCCCCATTCAGTATGATACTAACTGTGGGTCTGTTATATATGGCTTTTATTAGGTTGAGTTATGTTTCTTCTATCCTCAGTTTTTTGAGAGTTTTTATCATGAAGGATGTTGAATTTTATGAAATGCTTTTTCAGCATCGATTGAAAATGATCATTTTTGTCCTTCATTCTGTTGATATGAATGTGTCACATTGATTTGTGTATGTTGAACCATTCTTGCATCCCAGGGATAAATGACACTTGGTCATGATGAATAATACTTTTAACATATTGTTGGATTCAATTTGCTTATATTTTATTCAGGATTTTGCACCAATATTCATCAGAGATATTGACCTGCAATTTTCTTTTTAAGATGTATCTTTGGTTTTGGTATTAGGTATTCGAAATATCTCTATTTTGAAAATTATAAAACACTGATGAAAGAAATTAAAAAGGACACCAAAGCATTGAAAGATATTCCATGTTCATAGACTGGAAAAATCAATGTTGTTAAAATGTCCATACTACCCAAAGCAAATTCGATATTTGGTGTTAGGTACTGGCCTTGTATAATGATTTGGGAATATTCTCTCCTCTATTTTTAGAATAGTTTGAGTAGAATTGGTGTTAGTTCTTCTTTAAAGGTTTGGTAGAATTCAGCAGTGAAGCCATCAGGTGCCAGATTTTTCTTTACTGGGAGATTTTTTTTATCACAACCTTGATCTTGTTACTTGTTATTGGTTTGATCAAGTTTTGGACTTTTTCCTGGCTCAATCTTCTAAGTTGTATCTGTTTAGGAAATTTCTACCTGAAAGGTCACGTATCTCTGTTTCTCCAGGATTGATCACTGGCTCCTAATTTAGTTCATTTGGTGAGATCATGTTTTCCTGGATGGTATTGATGCTAGTAGATGTGTTCAGTCTCTGGGCATTGAAGAGTTAGGTATTTATGGTAGTCTTCGCTGCCAGGGCTTGTTTGTACTCATCCTTGGGAAGACTTTCCAGAAATTCAAAAGGACTAGTGTTCTCATCTAAGCTGTGACCTAAGACTCGTAGAGGTATTGCCTTGATGGTGTGGACAAGATCCAGAAGAGTTCTCTGCATTACCAGGCAGAGACTCTTGCTTTCTTCCTTTGCTTTCTCCCAAAGTCTCTCTCTCTATTCTGAGCCACCTGAAGCTGGAAATGGAGTGACACAAGCACCCCTGTGGCCACCACCACTAGGACTGCGCTGGGTCAGACCTGAAGCCAGCACAGCACTGGGTCTTGCCCAAGGCCTGCTGTAACTACTCCCTAGCTACCAGTATGTTTGCTCAAGGCCCTGGGGCTACACAATCAACAAGTAGCAAAGCCAACTAGGCTTGTGTCCTTTCCCCTCAGGGAAGGTGAGTTCCCCCCAGGCAGGTCCATATGTGCCATCTGGGAGCCAGGTGCTAGAGTAAAAAACCTTAACAGTTTACCTGGTCTTTTACTGTATTGTGGCTGAACTGGCACCCAGGCCACAATACACAGTCCTCACTCTGGCAGAAGAGCCTTACCTCATGGACACCACCACCACAGCCCTGTGGGGAGTACTGCCAGACTACTGTGGATATTCCTTTAAGGCCTACCGACTCTTCAGTCAGACTGCTGTGAATGCTGCCTGGCCTAGGACTCACCCTTAAGGTCAGTGGGCTCCCTTCTGGCACAAGGCACGTTCAGAAATGCCATCCAAGATTCAAGGCCTAGAATCAGGAGCCATAAGAGCCTGCTTGGTGCTCCACCCTATCATGGCTGAGCTGGTACTTAAGGTGCAAGACAAAGTCCCCATTACTTTTCTCTCTGCTTTTCTTAAGCAGAAGGAGTCTCACGCTATAACCACCACAGCTGAGTCTCACCTGAAGCCAGCAAATCTCAGAGGCTCACCCAAGGCCCATGATATTCTATCTGGGTACGACTGCTGGTTATTCAGGGCCCAGCGCTCTTCAGTTAGCGGTGATGAACCCTTCTATGATTGAGTCCTTTCCTTCAAGGTAGCAGGTTTCCTTCTGGCCCAGAGTGTGTCTAGAAACGTTGTCTGGGAGCTAGGGCCTGGAAAGGAGACCTTACAACTCTGACCGGTGCCCTATTCTGCTGTGGCTGAGCTGTGGGCTTTGCAAGACAAAGTACTCCCTACTCTTTGCTCTCCTAAAGTAGAAGAAAGGAACCGTGAGCTGTGCAGCCTGGGGTTAGGGGAGGGGTGATGCCAGCCCCTTGTTAGGCACCCAAGCTAGTGTCTCAGTAGGTTGTGTGCCCCCCCTCACCCCAATCCAATGGCTGTGGGCCCAATTCATCACCAGGACTCACCTAGGAATTGCTATTCTCATGGCCTAGACTGCCATTCAAGTTTGTTTAAGGTCTCAGAGCACTTTAGCCCATGGTGGTGAGGCTTGCGGGAACTGAAGTTAGACTGCTGGGATCGGTGATTCTCCTCTGACTAGGGATGGTTTAAATGCCCCTCCATTGGGAAGCATCAGTTGAGTTTGGTCCAGTTTTGCTTTCTGCTGTATAACAGGGCAGCACTGAGTTCAATGCTTCACCATGGCTGTGCTCAACTTCTCCCCTGCACACAAATTGCTCTCCACACCAGGCCACAGCTGCAGGGGGGATGGGAGAGGGGTGACGTCCGCAATTCAAGATTTTTTTTTTTTACATCTTCAGTGTCTCTTTCAGCTATATGAAGCTGAAACTAGCTACTGTGAGAGCTCACCTGATTTTTGGTTCTTATGAAGGTGCTTTTTTTTGTATAGATAGTTGTTAAATTGATGTCCTTGCAGAGTAGATGATTGGTGGAAACTTCTATTCTACCATCTTGCCCTGCCTCCTGGAAGTTATTCTCTAAGATAACTTTTCTAGATCTGGTTTCTAGCTCAGGTGATGGGAGTGTCATTTACTGATATAAGGCTCACAGCAGAGGGTATAAAATGTAAGGGAAAGATATAAGTTTAGTTATGAATCTCTGGGACATTGAGGCAGGCAACCCAATAGGCAGTTTTATGGTACTAGAGTTCAGGAAAGATGTGGTTGCTGGAGTAGATAGAGGAGTTGTTTGCATAAAGTATATCATTACAAACGTATGTCAGATCAACTTACAGCAAGACTGATTAAAGTAAGAATGAGAAACTGAGAAGTAGACAACAGCAACTCTAAAACTTAAGAGAGGAAGCTGAGGGAGATGCTTTTCAGAGGTAGATTTTCTCATTGAAACCTGAGAGATCATTCACCAACTGTATACTAAATATTTAAAGTATGTCATCTTGAAATGAAGGAGTGAAGTTTCATCCAAAAACACAAGACAGGCTGGGCGTGATGGCTCACACCTGCAATCCTGGCACTTTGGGAGGCCAAGGTGGGTCGATCACATGAGGCCAGGTTTTCAAGACCAGCATGGCAAACATGGTGAAACCCAGCATCTACTAAAAATACAAAAATTAGCCAGAGTGGTGGTGCATGTCTGTAATCCTAGCTACTCGGGAGGCTGAGGCATGAGAATTGCTTAAACCTTAGGGGATGGAGGTTGCTGCGAGCCGAGATTGTGCCACTGCACACCAGCATGAGCAACAGACCAAGATGGTCTCAAAAAACAAAAACAAAAACAACAAACAAGCAAACAAAACCACAAGACAGTTTTGATTTCTTATAGAAGAGACTGTACATACACAATATTGGGCTTACTGTGACCTCACATACGATCTGTAAATTGCAAAGTAGAAATAAGGAAAAAGTAAAAAAGCATGAATGAGGTGTAACACAAACATTTAAGTCTCTTCAAGGACCATGTTTCTTTTGAGAGCAATTTTACCCAATAGAGTCAGAACAATTCTAAACTGTAGATAAATATCTAAACTGTAGATAAATATGTCAAAGAGAAACAGTCCAAGTTCAGAGAATTCTACAGAATAAACTTATTCCTTAAAATGTTTGGTTCTAATAATCATGGGATAACATGAAATATTCTGAAGTCAGCAATTCTGAATAAACCTAGCTGTTCTGAAGGGCAGACTTCTTCCTGTTGATTATAGTTGAACAAAGTACATATAATGAAAAGAAACAAAGAATAACAAAATTTTCCTGAGGAGAGTTGTTTGTGGAAATTCTCTTTAGTCCTTTGCAGTTGGATAAAAATCCTTCTGGCTGGGCAGAGTGGCTCACAGTAATCCCAACACTTTGGAAAGCTGAGGCGGGAGGATCTTTTGAGGTCAAGAGTTCAAGGCCAGACTGGGCAATATAGCTCTATAAAAAATTTATTTATTTATTTGAGACAGGATCTGCCTCTGTCAGCCAGGCTGGAGTACAGTGGTGTTATCACGGCTCACTGCAACCTCCACTTCCTTGGCTCAAGTGTCCTCCCACCTCAGCTTCCCCAGTAGCTGGGACTACAAGCGGGTGCCACCACGCTTGGCTAATTTTTGCATTTTTTGTAGAGAAGGGATTTTGCCATGCTGCTGGTCTTGAACTCCTGGGCTCAAGCAATCCACCCACCTCGGCATTCTAAAGTGTTGGGACTACAGGTGTGAGCCAGCCACCTTGCCCGGCGACTACAAAAAATTTAAAAACTGGCCAGGCATGGTGGCATGTGCCTGTAGTCTCAGCTACTCATACTCAGGAGACAGAGATGGAGGATTGCTTGAGCCCAGGAGTTTGAGGTTACAGTGAGCTACAATCACTCCACTGCACTTTCGCCTGGGTGACAGAGCAAGTTCCTGTCTCAAAAAAGATAAAGACAAATCCCAATCCTTTCCCCAAGTAAACACATTTGCATGTCTGTATTTACTAAAGAAGTCTGACCTTTTACATGAACAAAGAAACTTAATCATTACTAAGGCAAGAGTCAACTAAAAGCTTTGCTACTCTAATCTTGGGCTTTCTAAAATTTCTCAGTTTAGAGACATCTGTCACACAGGCTAATTTTAATTGGGAAAAAAAATTAATTTTTTTTTTTTGAAACTCAGTGTGATAGGGTATATGCTTGTTGTCACATATTTTAATATTAATGCTTAAAGTTTAGAGGTCTGTTGGATGTACAAAAGCTATTTGTTAAATTATTTCCACAGAAACCCAATCTTTCATAATAGATAAACTTTGTGAAATCACCCATGAGATTGATAACTTCTTTTTGTCACCACCTCTCATGGCTGAATGTTGTTCCATACTGTTCAATGACAAGATTCAGTAGATTATATTTCAGTGCTTGGCATGTAATATTCTCTTTGGCAAGCTGACATCCTCCCTCCATGAGATATGACCAGCCCAAGAAAACACTGCTGACATTAGGCTCTATTCTGCTGATGTTACACAAAACTGAAGGATTTCAGACATGGCATTGCTCCAGAAATATATGCTATTTTTCTTAGGAATATATGTATGTCAAAGTAATCCAATAAAACAGTCACATCTGGTGTTAGTTTTTATCTTATTTATCAGTTCACACTTTTATTACCATGACATCAACTTTTCAGGTGCTTTTGTAACCTGGAATTTCATTGGTTGGATGAATTAAAGAGTTAAACTAGTCTCTCTAGTATAGGTTTGTGTTTCAAAAGTATTCATCAGTCAGTTGTTTGGCACCAAAAATATATTTTCTCATAGAAAAACTGTAGTGTAAATGATAGTTACATTCCCAAACTGCATTAACCTGTAACGCAGCTGAAATTCCAAACATATTAAATAAAATACAAGACAACATTGTGACATCGCTTTTTAAGTATCATAGAGTGTACATAAACATAAAATGTGTTAAATGGAGACAATACTCTTCTGACTTTTTAATAATGAAAAATGAAGTAGATATGTAAAAGGAAAAAAGTAGTTTAAATTTTTTCCAAATAGTATTGCCTGTGGAAAAGCGGGTTTGACTAGAAGATGAAGTGATAGATAAAGAAGCTTGAGGAGATTCTGAAAGGGACTTTTGGCAGTTTTAAGGAATTTGGAGGTAAAATGTACCACATCTTTTCTATGTAAAATTCAACTTCAATTTTTATTTCTTAATATATATCATTATTACTTCTTCCATGAATATGAACCATGGATGGATTAATTTTTTTTTTGGTGAGTGGAGAGGGTTTCATAAACGGAATAAATCCACAAGTCTCTAAGTCAGAAACCAGTGACATTCCCTGTACCCTTAAATGAAAATTTCTCTCTTAATTTCTGATCCTTTATATTTTATATACATGGATTTTTTTCTCTCAGTAAGTTGAATCTCATTGTATCTCTTTATCTTTATTTTATACTCCCTTTCCTACCCCTTCTCTTCTCTCCCTAGATCTGTTTCCAGAGCGAACAAAACAGTTATAATTAAACTTTCCTTGTACTAATTCCCCACCATTGTCTCTGCCAAATAGCTATATCACTACGGTATTTTAAATTTCTTACTTGCACTTTATTTTTTTTTGTAAACATAGTGTTTCTTAACTCCTTGTTTTGTAATGACTTATACTCTTTTCTTTAGCTCTCTTCCTTATTTTCATCTTCTGTTTCTGCTATTATTTTACATTGTCAAGGATGTTAATTGTGGCAAAGACTGATTGTTGTCACTCAACATTCATTCCTCCTTCTTCCTTAGTAATAGAATCTCGGTTTTAGTTGGACATATAGTTTCCCAGAATAGAACCTACCTTTCCCAATGTCTCTGTGACTGTACCTGGCTGTGTGGTTGGCCAATAGGATGTAAACAAAGTGTTGAGTACAAATTCCAGAAAATGTCCCTTAAAGGGAGAGGACACATTTTTCACCATATCTTCCTCTTTCCTGCTGTCTGGAATGTGGATATTTTAGTTAGTGCTTGAGCAGCCATCGTGGGTCCTGAGGTGGACATCTTGTCAGGAAGCAGCCTAGATGCCTCTGGATGAGAGGCACTACACCAGCTCCAGACCACTTACTGCAGACTCTGTTCACATCAAAGGACAATAGGCTTCTGTCATGTCTAAGCCAAAGTTATTTGGTTTCACAGTTAAACCAAATCTAAATTACATAATAATAGTTATATTCTCTTTTGCAACAACAATTAGGTCTTCTATGATTAGTCTATAGGTTGATTTAAAAAGCTGAAAGCCATCATAGTATTCACACAATTATAATTGAATAAATATTGTTCACAACAAAGCCAAGAAGATCTTTCTTTTGTGTATGTCTTCAAAATTAGTCTATATTTTTTGTCTCAATCTTCCCCCAAAATTCTCCAAAATATGATGTTTTGTTAGTCCCCTTTGTTTCATCCCCTCTGGAAACTTTCCTTCTGGAGCCCTGTGTCTTCCTGTTCCAGTTTTGAACCTGAAACTTTCCATTCCTGCTGAACAGCTGTTATACTGAGGCTTCCATTCGGTGCTTTCAGGAGAAGTTTATTAAAAGGTCAGATGTGACAATGACATCACATCTGTCATTCTTCATCTATCAAGTTGGTCGTTGGGGAAAAGCTGATCAATGGGAATTCCTTTTGAATCTACACAATGCTTTTACGGGCTGCCACCCTGTAGTCTTCCTTGGAACATTATCCCCATTCCTGTTTTTCAGTTGGTTGCTAGGTTCAAGCACATTCTCAGGCTAATACCATTCACAGATTTTCATTTTGAATTATTTCTATCTTAGATTCATTAATTCCTGTTTTTTTTTTTTTTTTTTTTTTTTTGTAGATTTTTCTCTTTCTCTTTCTATTTGTCAGAGACAATACAATGAAGTGGCCAAGTGCATAGTCTTTAGAGTTAGATGACCTAGGTGTTATTCCAGCTGCATCGCTGATTGGCTATATAATTTTAAGCAAGTTAAAAATTACTTATTCCCTCTCTAAGCCTTAATTTCCTTGACCAGCACCTACTTCATAGGTTTGTTGCAGAATTATATGAATTAATCCATGTTTAGTGTTTAGCAAACATGGATTTCCTGTGTTCCTGTGTTTTGCCTGGAACACAGGAAACACTCAGTGTTACTTATATCTACTACTATTACCAGTAGAATTAGAGTGAATTGGCCAAGGTCACACATACAAAATCCTGAGTGCAAGCCCAACTTGACTCCAGAACCTGAGTTTTTAATGATCACCCTATTCTGTTTTATGTAGAATGCATGTATTCAATGATTCTACTGGGAGAAAGCTGCCCTCTAGAACAGTGGTTTGTAGTTACGTGTGTGTACGGTGTGTAGGAGGTGGGGGCTTGATGTGACATAAAAAACAGAATACCCTGATCCCTTTAGGAGCCTTTTCAAAGTACACTTGCTTGGCGCCCCGTCTGAGAAAGTTTGATAAGCCTTGGGAGGGGGCTATGGCAGGGATGTTTATTTTGAATGAGCTTCGCTGGTGATCTGATGCACTCTCTGGTTGAGAAAACTGATTTAGAAGAAGTTGCTACGTTTTGCTGAAGTGGAATGAGCCTACTACCAGAAATCCTAGAAAATCATCCAAGGAGGAAGCCAAATGAAAAAAAAGAAAAATGCTCTTAGGTTCAGTATGCCTCGTGGAAACATTCATAACAATCAACACTTTTTTTTTTTCATATTTTCACTGCTGTGACTCATATTTCTACCTGCAAAACACATTTCAGCAGCCACATCAGTATTTTTAAAAATTCAGCTAGTTCCTATTTACCTAGTTTTTCCTTTGATAAGAACTTCAGTTAACTTCTACAGTACCAAATCTATATGTAATCCCCAAAATGTTCACTGCCATAGATTGACTTCAAATATATAATTCAACAACAACAGCATAAACAAAATAAAGTAAAGATTATTAAGGATTTTCTGGCACTTTAGCAAGACATTATTTCATTGTTCTTTTTTTTTTTTCTTCCTAAAGTGAAATTGTTGAATTTCGTTTCGAGTCCTTCCTGGGACTCCATTAAAGTAACAGGAAAGAGAGAAGAAAACCTACAAGTCGCAAAAACAAAAGGGATAGGAGAGGAGGAACGATTAGTGGTAAGATAATTCAATGAAGGCAGATTGACCACACTGCCTGGTGAGTAGAGATGAGGAAGCACTACCAAGACATTAGATAAAAATAATTGCTGCCAAGGAGGGAAAAGATTTGCTCACAGAACTAGAGAGACCTGCCCAACATACTGCAAAACACAAGGAGATCTTTTTTCCTTCCTTACTTATTTATAGAAATTGAACACATTAGAGAAAAATTAAGGCAATTATCAAGGCGCCCCATATTCACACTCTCTGGCCACTCAGTGTTCACAGCCAGCTTTTCTCTTGACCCACTCGTAAATAACTATGGGTATCTAAGGATCACTAGAAATTTATGGGAAGCTGGCAAACTGAGAGAAAATAACCAGGGCATATAAATAGCAACATATTTTGGAGGAAACAGAGCAAGGCACAAACTTTTAAAATGAGTATGTAACACACTACAATTAGTATTGCTGAAGACTTGGAAAAATAACACTCCCATCAAACAGGAAGAGGATGCTAGTAAAAGACAATAGAATAAGGAAAAAACCCTTGGAAGTTGAAAATTTTACATGAAAATAAAAACATAAAATATACAATTAGAATATAAAATGGAAGGAATCTCCTAAATAATGGAACAAAAGACAAAGGGATAGAAACTGTTAGAGACGGCTGGGCATGGTGGCTCACGCCTGCAATCCCAGCACTTTGGAAGGCCAGTGTGGGCGGATCACCTGAAGTCAGGAGATCAAGACCAGCCTGGCCAAAATGGTGGAACCCCATCTCTACTAAAAATACAAAAAATTAGCCAGGTGTGGTGGCATGTGCCTGTAGTCCCAGCTACTCGGGAGGCTGAGGTGGGAGAATCGCTTGAACCAGGGAGGTGGAGGTTGCAGTGAGCTGAGACTGTGCCATTGCACTCCAGCCTGGGTGACAGAGCAAGATACAGTCTCAAAAAAAAAAAAAAAAAAAGAAAACAAAAAAAGAAGAAGAAGAAACTATTAGAAACAAGAGGCAGAGAGGCTCCATATGGTTTGCTGTGGCAGAGACTGTCAGTGCTCACCAATATCTGTAAAGTCTTCTCTTCCTTTGGCTCATTGCTCTACTACATTTCCTAGCCTTTATTGCAGTTCGGAGTTATGGTAAAAGTGATAAAGCCTCCTTTTTATAATGGAACCCTAACATGTCCTGTGAAATCCTTCATCCTCTCCCATATAGTAGATGAGTGCAGAGAACACAGTAAAACGATTCTAAGGCTCTGGGTGACACAAAGCCACTAGGTCAAAGGAACCACTACTGGTTGGATTAAAAATTATTAGGGCTATTAAAAATAGTCCTTGAGTCACTAACTGGTGCAGACCCCCCCCACCCCCCGTAATGTGTATTGGTAGAGGAGATAGCTAGGAGATAATATGCTAGCTATCTCCTCTACCAATACACATTACATTGTTACATCAGTGAGAAAAAAATCCTTTGTGGTGTTACATGACTAAGATTTTGGCATTGCTTGCTATAGCATTTAGCCTATCCTGCTAGTACAACTACTGATTAATGAGTTCCAGAAAGAGATAGACAAAAAGACAGGGAGAATTTTAAAATAGATAATAGGAGAGAATTTCCCAGAGTTGTAAGACACAAATCTTTATATTGAGAGAGTCTAGTGAGAGACCAACAACATAAATGAAAAATATGGCTAATGCCCAGAGATATCACTGTGAGATTTCAAAATACCAATGTCACGGGTTGAACTGTGTCCCCTAAATTTCATAAGTTGAAGTCCTAACTCCTAGTACCTCAGAATGTGACTGTATTTGAAGAAAGGGCTTTTAAAGACATAATTAATTTAAAATAGGGTCACTGGGTTGGGACCTAATCCAATATGACTGGTGTCCTTAAAAGAAGAGGAAATCAGGACACAGACAACGCAGACAGAAAGATAACCATGTGAGGACACAGTGAGAAGGTGGCTATCTGCAAGCCAAGGAGAGAGGCCTCAGGAGAAACTGTAAACATGGTGACATCTTGCTCTTGCACTCTGGCATCCAGAATTGTGAGAAAATAAATTTCTGCTGTTTAAACCACCCAGTCTGTGATATTTTGTTATGGCAGCTCTAGCAAATAAATACAACCAAGAATGAAGAGAAATTCATAAATACTTTCAGAAAACGAAAACTAAGCAAATTATCTACAAAAGAAGGAGAATCAGGCTGACCTTGGATTTCTCATTAGTGATACTGGGTGCTGTAAGACAATGGAGCAATGTTTTCAAGTTCTGAGGAAAAATCATTTTTAATCTAGAATTCTATACTCAGATTAAGTATCAATCAAATGTGATGGCAGAATAAAGGTACTGTCAAACCGGGAAGAACTTAGAAAGTTTTACCTCCCACACATCATTACTTATGGAAGTTATTTGAAAATATATTTCATGAAAGAAAGCTGTTATTCCAAAAGGAGGAAGAGATAAGCCTCAGGAAAAATAGGCTACATTTTTTATAAAACATGGGAGAAAGATGAAGGGAGGGCACCAGTAGAGGGTTGGCAGGGGCAAAGCTCAGCTGGCAATGTCTGGATTGTCAAGTACTGATTTGGTAGTGCTGAAACAAAACCTTAATTTCCCTAGTCTAGGCTTGCCAGCTTTGACAAATAAAAATATATCCCATAAAATATTTGAGACATACTTACACCAAAACATTGTTTATCTGAAATTCAAAAATTTTTTTTTTTTTTTTTTTTTTTTTTGAGATGGAGTCTCGCTCTGTCGCCCAGGCTGGAGTGCAGTGGCAGGATCTTGGCTCACTGCAAGCTCCACCTCCCAGGTTCACGCCATTCTCCTGCCTCAGCCTCCTGAGTAGCTGGGACTACAGGCGCCCGCCACCACACATGGCTAATTTTTTTGGTATTTTTAGTAGAGATGGGGTTTCACCATGTTAGCCAGGATGGTCTCGATCTCCTGACCTTGTGATCTGCCCGCCTCAGCCTCCCAAAGTGCTGGGATTACAGGTGTGAGCCACCGCATCCGGCCCTGAAATTCAAATTTTACAGGGAGTGCTGCACTCTGTCTGACAACCCTATGTAAGTCTGAAGGCACTAATTTTTGTGTTTCTTAGCACCTGGCACAATATCTGGCACATTAAGAGGCACTCATTAAGTAGTCAGTGAAATGTCGTCCAAAACACTTCTGCACTGTAAGGATGATGGAAAATTAAGAAAAATATCCCAATCAAGAAACTGTAAGGGACTCTTGAGGGAGTCAAATATCCCAATCAAGAAACTGTAAGGGACTCAGAATTTCTAACTATTTCATGCTTCTGTGTAATTTCAGAAACAGAGCATGATTTGATAGACACATCTCATAAAGTTCGTATTTGTTTATTCATGACATTTTACTTCATCAGCAAATCCTTCAACACACTGAGTTCATAATCTATTGTATTCATTATTTGCTCTAAACCTAATATTTATGTTTTATAACTGTAAAATTGAATTTTATTTTTAGAATTTCAGTTGATAATAGAATTTCTTGTATTGATTAATTCTCTTGAAATAATTTAAAAGCATTTGTGCTTTGCTACATGTATTTGTAAGTTCTGCATGAAATTCTACTTTAAAGAAAAAAATTAAGAGAAACAAAATCTATTGACCAGTAAGTGCTAATTTTGGTGCACTCTTTGAAATAATTACAGTTCTACATTTTAAAGATGCGTATTACAACAGAAACCTTATTGTGTTTATCCTTCAGAAATAAATTCCTTGGCTTTTTTCTTGTTTTGAAGAAGTGGTAAAGTGATAAATTAAAATTCACAGCTTATCACTGTGACAGAAGATTAAAAATAGAGGAATTTAAAAACGAACCTTTGTGTTTCTAAAAATGTAAGAAGCACTGCTTTATGAATTTTTCACATGTTTGGGGGGGTTTGGGGAAAAACACATTTGATCTCTCTTTGACTGCAAGACAGAAGTCAAGTTGGTCTAATTTAAAGAGACTTGCTCTTATCATACAATATCATCTCTTATTTTCAGGAGAGATAGAAGAAATTGAGTGAGAAAATTGAAAAATCATTTTAATGCTCCCAAAAGAAATTGTAACATGAGCTGGAACATATGGGTAATTTGTGAAGTAAAGTCAGCTATGGAGTCTAATCATTTTCAATGTGATTTTTGTGACTGAAGCGTTTGAAACCAAAAGAAGCTTTCTTTTTCCTTTTTTGTTTTTTGTTTTCAGATACAAAAGTCTGATCAGACATCAGACTTCTTTGAACTTTATGTTTCATTTGTAACTGGGGTATTGAACAAACATGACTCATGAGATATGATAAAAATGCAACTTCACTTTTGTCCCCTATTGCTCCTTTAAAATTTATTTAGTGGAATAAATCCCTTTTCCCCTGGGTAGAGGGCTGGTTCCATTAATTTTTTGCTCACATTTAGGTAACAGACTGTACCAATATCACTTTAGGTCAAAACCAGTCTCAATTCAAACATTGGAATGTCCAATTCCCAACCATCAAAACATAAATGTTACATTTTCTCTTTTTTCCCATCAGGTCCCGTTGTATTGGGATGGGAAGGGCCTTGTCGTTCCCACCCTATAATATTTCTCCTTTTTTCCCAGCTTGCTGTGTTTTGACTTTTCCAGGGGCAGAGGGAATTAAGGGGAAGGAATACAGTCTTTACATGCAGTCAGAACTGGCTACGTAATTTTCAGGACCCAGTACAAACATGACATTTAGAGTCCCTTGTTCAAAAAGAAGGAAAAATATGTCCCTAAAAGTACTCAAATATAAAGCTTTTTCTTGTCTATCACAGTCTGTCTCAACTTGACATGGTATTTTTCTTTGCTATTTAATGTCATCCTAAGAAAAAAATTAAATTAGTATTATTTTACTGTTCGTCTTTATATTTTGCAATGCCTATTTTCAAAGCAAATGTACAAGCATTTAACTTGTATGCACAGTTACTGAAATTATACAGCTTACATTTTGCAGCTGGGACATACATGTATAGAACCATGGAAACAGTGTCCAAAACTAACTCCACTGTTTTATTCCGCTTCCTGATACTTGTACATCCTACCAACACTCTCTACCTTGGGCTTATCAATGAGTAAGGAAAGATTGAAAGAAAAAGGAATTATGACTTTCTCTGTCTTTCCTTTTCCGTGTTATCATTTTTGGTGTAAATGATTAGCTGATTCAGAAAAGTGAAATGAGTAAGAAGGAACAACTACAACCTATATGATAGAGTTCCTTGGTTGTTTGTGTTTCTTAGAATGCTGTTGTCTTCTTTTTACTGAAAGCAAATTCTGATTCACATGCATAATGTGGCCTGTGGGGCCTGTAAGCAGGCACTGCTTACTAGGTTAAAGATATAATGCATTTACCTTATACTCACTTTGAGTCTTGCTGAACTCCCAGGCATTGTGGGTCTGCTGGAATTCAGTGTCATGGGACATCATGAATGCTATATGCAAATGGGGCAGCAAGGAATGGCAGGCACACATTGTTCTATTTGACTTACAAAACACAAGTTCATACAATTATTAAGAATTTTAATATACAGAGTGTTAAACCAAGCATGGTGTCAGGGGAGGGCCCTTCTGAGTGCAGGGTTCCATGACACTGCACAGGTTGCACAGTGATCTTGAATGCAATCTTCTCCTTCCTGTTTGGAGTCCTGTTGACCCCTCCAGGGGGTTGAATTAGCCAGGCATTTGGCTGACTCCTATGAGATCCACATCTGGTCTACAGTCCATTCTCATCATGCATGGTTTGCTGCAAATACAGCTACTTCCTTCATGCAGCAACAGCCTATACTTACTTTGCCATCAAAGAAGCTCTCCAGTTTTCCTGGGGAGATAGCCAACTTTTATTGGCTCTCTACATGGTCCCAATGAAGCACCCTGCCTCTAGGCTGGAGGTGAAAGAGCAGAAAGCTTTCATTTTTTTTCTTTGTGATCTGATAAGTTAGAAGTCACAACACAGCATCCTCATATTTCTCACTAAGTCCTGTCCCTAGATCTACTTTCTTTTTTTTTCTTTTTCTTTTTTGAGACAGTCTCGTTCTGTTGCCCAGGCTGGAGTGCTGTGGCGTGATCTTGGCTCACTACAACCTTTGCCTCCCAGGTTCAAGTGATTCTCCTGTCTCAGCCTCCCAAGTAGCTGGGATTACAGGCACCCACCACCATGCCCAGCTAATTTTTGTATTTTTAGTAGAGACAGGGTTTCACCATGTTGGCCAGGCTGGTCTCGAACTCCTGACCTCAGGTGATTCGCCTGCCTCAGCCTCCCAAAGTGCTGGGATTTCAGGAGTGAGGCACCGCGCCTGGCTTACTAGATCTACTTTCTCAAGTCTTTTATATCTCCCTGTGGGTACAAACCAATTTCAGACTGTGATCTGGTTTTTGGATAATGTCTTAAAAATCAGCACATGCTTTTTTCTCAAAAATCACTTGGTATCTGATATCTATCCTATCTTAGAGCCTTAGCTGAAATTCCCAAATTAAATGTTCTGTTTCATGTAAATTATCATAGTGAGTGCTAGGCATGCCATGGGGGACAGGGATTGAGTGTGTTAAAACTTTGGTCTTTTTGATTTCCCTAAGAGGCCATATAGAAGAATTTGGATGCCGATGAGTGCTTCCTGATAATATTCTGCTAAGCTTTCAATCTATCTTGAAGCACATAAAATAGGCGCATTGATCAAAAGCATGCTCATTATATGTTGGTCTGAGGAGTTTAAGCAATTTATATTGCTATACCTGAGACCAAACTATTTGTATGGAGATAATATGCTGTAGGGAAAAAAAGCAGGGTTCCAATATCAGAGAGATATGGCTATGATTTTTGTTTACTCTACGTTTTACTTTATTACCTTGTGGCAGTTACTTGACCTTTCTGAACTCTAACTTCTCATCTTGCAACACTGAAACTCTGTACCCACTAAACACTAATTCTGCCTGTTTTCTACCCTTCGCCTTGGCAACCACCTTTCTACTTTCTGTTTTTATGATTTTGATACTTTAGATACTTCATATGAGTGAAGTCATATATTGTCTTTTTGTGACTGAGTTCTTTTGCTTAGTATAATGTTTAATGTTTTCAAGTTTCTTCCACGTTGTAGCATGTGACAGGATTTTCTTCTTTCTTGAGGCTGCATATTATTCCATTGTATAACATTCATCTGTCACTGGACATAGGGGGCGCTTCCATTGTTTGGCTATTGTGAATAATCCATGATGA
Organism: Homo sapiens; assembly: GCF_000001405.40. Taxonomy (NCBI): domain Eukaryota; kingdom Metazoa; phylum Chordata; class Mammalia; order Primates; family Hominidae; genus Homo; species Homo sapiens. The sequence continues at coordinate 44,730,754 of NC_000014.9, read as the reverse complement.
ACTGAAGTGTCTAGGTATCTCTTTGAGATACTATTTTGAGTTCTTTTGAATATATATGCAGAAGTGAAATTGCTGGATCAAACGGTAATTTTATTTTTCACTTTGTAGGGAGTCTCACTGTTTTCCTTAATGGCTGCACAATTTTACATTTCCCCTGAGAGTGTACAGGGCTCCAATTTCTCTACATCTTCATCAACAGTTATTTTCTGTTCTTTTGGTAGTGGTCATCCTGCTGTGTATAAAGTGATATTTCATGGTGGTCTTGATTTGTATTTTCCTAATGAGTGATATTGAGCATCTTTTCATATCCTTCTTGCCCATCTGTATATCTTCTTTGGAGTATTCAAGTTCTTTGTCCATGTATAAGTCAGGTTATTTGTTTTTTATCATTGAGTTTTAGAATACCTTATATATTTGTGATATTAATACCTTATCACATATATAATTTGCAAATATTTTCTCCCATTCTGTAGGCTACCTTTTCACTCTGTTGATTGTTTGCTTTGATGTGCAGGAGTTTAAAAATGTAATGTAGTCCCATTTGTCTATTTTTCCTTTTGTTGCCTGCACTTTTGGTGTCGTAATCAAGAAAATCACTGCCAAATCTAATATACTGAATCTTTTTCTTTATGTTTTCTTCTAGGAGTTTTATAGTTTTAGGTCGTACATTTAGGTCTTTAATCTATTTTGAGTTAATTTTTGCATGTTGTGTAAAATAAAGGTCCAATTTCATTCTTTTACATGTGGTTATCTAGTCTTCCCAAGACAATTTGTTGAAGATGCTGTCCTTTTACCATTATGTAATCTTGACACCTTTGTCAAAAATCATTTGGTCATATATTCAAGAGTTTATTTTTTGGCTCGTTTTCTGTTCAATTGGTCTATGTATCTGTCTTCATGCTAGTACAACAGCGTCTTAATTACTGTTGCTTTGTAGAAGGTTTTGAAATCAGGAAAGTGTGAGGTCTCAAACTTTATTTTTCCAGATTGTTTTGGCTATTTCAGAGTCCCTTGAAATTCCATATGAATTTTAGAATGATGCTATAGTAAATGGGATGTTTTTCTTAATTTTATTTTCAGATTGGTTATTGTTAGTGTATAGAAACAAGTGATTTTTTTGTTGCTTTTGTATTCTTTGACATTGCAGAAATCATTTATTACTTGTATATTGTGTGTGCGTGTGTGTCATCTTCAGAGTTTTCTACATGTAACCGTATATCATCTGCAAACAGAGATAATTTTACTTCTTTTCTAATTCGGATGCCACCTTTTCCCCTTGTTTTTGGTCTAACAGTTCTGGCCAAGATTTCCGTACTATGTTAAATAGCAGTGGTGGTAGGCATCCCTCTCTTGTTTCTGATCTTACAGGAAAAGCTTTCATTCAGTATGAAGTTGTCTGTGAGCTTTTCATATGTTCCTGTTTCTTTGATGTAAATTTCTGAAGATTTAATTTAACCCTTTAAATGGACCTTATTTCTCTCTTTCTTTGGGTGTCTTATTATCTTCTGTTGGGATTTTGGCAATTGAAAAATCAGCCACCTCTCCTATACTTTACAGTCTGGTTTTATACAGCAAGGATTTTCTCCACTCATCTTGGCAAGATATTCCAGAGACCTTTCAAATCTTTTGCAAGGATATATCCTCTACCTTTGATACTGCAGACATGGGTGCATGTTGATCACCTTTCTTGTCACAGGCCCCGAACCTGGTGTCACCATGTTCCTGTTCTTGTCAGTGCTTGTATTAGGCAAGACCTATCTCTTGAGCATCCCTTTTAAAAGTCAGAACATTGAATGTACATTCTGCTCCCTTCCCTCTCCAGAAAGAAAACAGGGTTTCAGGGTTTCATAAGAACCTCAACTGCTTTCTGAATTTTTCACAAAGGCAGTTGGTCTGTGTATTGTTGTTAATTCATGAAGGAAGGAGTATCTAGGGCTTCCCATTCTACCATCTTGATGATGCCATCTCCCCCATATCCCTTTTCTTAAGTAAAGCACTTTAGCTTTGCCTAGGTTTTTCTAATTTTGCATCTTCACACTCTTCACTGAACTTTATCTTCAAGTATGTAGGTCATTACATTAAAAATAATGTGCTCAATAAGCAGAGTTCTTTAACTTGTAGGACTCCTCCCCTAGATGAGTAAATTATAAATAATAAGAGGGTTTTGTTCCATTTTTTGTCTTAGGAATTTCCAAAATATCTTAGAAATGAGAGAAGGGGCCCTGAAAAGCAGTATGAAAAAGGCACAGAACTTCAACTAGCCCATATAGAACTGTCCTAGGATATGTGCCTCCTAAGGCTGTGAAGCAGAGCATGGGCTGAATTTCAGCCTCTCACTCACCCCTTTAGCCAAACACCTCTGTGCAGTAAACAACCTGCACAATTCTATGTGGCAGCCCTGAGGAGGGACAAACAAAGTAGTAGATGGGGCCTTTGGGAAAGATGATCCCTGAGAAGTTGCCAATTCCTACGGGGCTGGAATAATTTTAGACAGGACTGGCTAATGTCCTATTTTAAAGTCATCTACTGAGAGACAAGATAATCATTTCAGTTTCCCTGGAGTCATCAATAAAGTTGTCTATGAATGAATTTTTGAGTTGGTGATACTTTGAGGATTAAGGAAATTGAATCTGGGCCGGGCACGGTGGTTCATGCCTGTAATCCCAGCACTTTGAGAGGCCGAGGCAGGCGGATAACGAGGTCGGGAGATCGAGACCATCCTGGCTAACACGGTGAAACCCCGTCTCCACTAAATATCTGTCTCCACTAAACATACAAAAAATTAGCCGGGCGTGGTAGCGGGCGCCTGTAGTCCCAGCTACTCGGGAGGCTGAGACAGGAGAATGGCGTGAACCCGGCAGGCGGAGCTTGCAGTGAGCCGAGATTGTGCCACTGCACTCCAGCCTGGCCTACATAGTGAGACTCCGTCTCAAAAAAAAAAAGGAAAAAAGAAATTGAGTCTGAGGACAGCTGATCAAACAGTGACCCATGGTAGAAATATGACTGGAGAGAGCTGTAACATGGAAATGACTCAGGAATGGTCTTGAGACTAACCACCTTTTCCCCAAATATCCTGGAGGTGTGTGCTTTGATTACAGGTAAGACTAATGCTTGGGTTAGATTTATATAAAATGGAATTCATAACGTATGTGGATGTACTCAAGGGAGGCCTACAGTATAATGATGAAGAGTATTAATTCAGACCACTGGAATCACATCCCAGTGTGGTATCCAATATTCATGATGGCCCCTAATTATCCCCAGTTCCTGGTATTCATATCCTTGTGCAATCTTCTCCCCTTGAGTGTGGGCTGAATTTAGTGACTTCCTTCTAGGAAATAGAATATGGCAGATTTTTTGTACTGTTATTTCTGAGAGTAGGTTACAAAAAGACTATGACTTTCTTCTTGGGTGCTCCCTATTTGCTCTCTTTTTCTTGCTCTAAAGTAAGTCAGATAGCTGCCATGTTTTGAGTTGCTTTAGGAGAGGCCCACAAAGCAAGAAACTGAGGGAGATCTCTGACAAATAACCAGCCAGTAATGGAATTCTGCCAACAGCTACATGAGTATTTGGTCTTAGTCTGTTTCATGTTGCTTTAAAGGAATACCTGAAATTAGGTTAAAAAAAGGAGATTTATTTGGCTCTTCTATTCTGCTGGGTAGAAGATTGGGCATCTGGTGAAAACCTCAGGCTGCTTCCATTCATGGCAGAAGGTGAAGGGGAGATAGAATCTACATAGATTACATGGTGAGAGAGGGAGCAAGGGTTGGGGAGGTGCCAGGCTCTTTTTAACAACCAGTTCTCTCGAGAACTAATAAAGTGAGAATTCACTCATTACCACAAGGACATCATCAAACTATTTATGAGGGATCCAACTCCATGACCCAAATACCCCCAATTAGGCCCCATCTCCAACACTGGGGATCAAATTTAAACATGAGATTTTTGGGGGACAAACATACAAACTATAGCATTTGGCCAACATCCTGGCTACAGTCTATAAGAGAACTTAAGGGAGAGGCACCAAACTTTATTGCTACATCAGCTATGTATTGCTGAGTAATAAACTTCCTAGAAATTTAATGGCTTGAAAAAACAATAATATTTATTATCTTACAGTTTCTGGGTGACAGAAATTTGGGGGTACTTCACCTGGATGATTCTGGCTTGGGGTCTCTCATGAGGTACAGTCAAGATGCTAGCTGGGGATACTGTCACCTCAAGAGTTAACTGGAGTTGGAGAATTCACTTCCAAAATGGCTCCCTGATATTGCTGGCAAGTTGATGGTAGGAGGTCTTAGTTATTTGCCACATGGCCCTCTTTCTATGACTTCTTGAATGTTTTCAGAGTATGGCATCTGGCTTCCCGTAGAATGAGTGATTCAAGGGAAGAAAAGAAGCTGCAATGATTTTTATGACATAGCACCAGAAGTCACACACTGTCATGTTTGCCATGATGATTGATGACACAAACCATCTCTAATATAATGTGAGAAGGGACTACCCAAGGGTGTGATGATTAGGAGGCAAGATATTTGACCTTGGACTGGTTGCTTAATATTGCTAAACTCTAGCTTCCTTAGCTTTGAAATGCAGATAATATGACAATTGCTTTTTAGAGTTGTAAATATTAAATGTATTATTTTAGATAAACAATATAGGCAGGCTCTCTTTTCTTATTGTAAGTTTTCTAAAAAAGGGTGTATGGAAAGTAAAAAAAAATTATGGGCATTCCTAGTATAGATATCTTGAGTTATAAGAGAATCTTATATGTGTACGTAATAAATGTTAGCTATTTTAATTATTATTATTACTTATGAGGATATAAATACTTATATTGTAGAGCTGACTCATCTTTGTTAACATTAGTTCAGGGGGTTTCCATAGATGATTTGTTGTGTGATCACCTTACATCTGAAGTTCATTTGGAAGCTGTCTAATGGCACCTCTTGATTAAACCACATTTAACACATTATGACCTAATAAAATATTCTGGCTAGTGAGACCGCTTCATTACATGTCACAGAAATTAAAGCACAGCTTCTAATATAAATGTGCTGTCCTTAATGTGCTGGCAGAAAACTTTGCTGACAGGGTCAGCAGAATACAGAACATGCCTGATCTACAATATCTGCAGGGCAGCTTAGACATTCTGAGTCTTGTTTAGGTTGCAGAGAGGGGCATTATATTTGCTTTCTGTCTCATGAAGTTGGAGTACAGACTCAGGAGGAAGATAGAATATAGTTTTAGGAATTATTTTTCATAAGGAGCAGAAATTCTTTCAAGCTTACTTAACAGTGGATGCATTTATTTTTATTGTTCAGAGAAATCTCACAATATTATAGAATACAACTAAGGAAATAGCCAGGTCTCATGAGACTAGAAATTCATCAGGTAGTTTTTCTTTCTGTCTTGCTGCATGATCTTTACCTATCATCTCAGGGTCTTCTAAAATGGTCCATGATGACCTTCTAAGATGGTCCATAATGACCAAACACTCCTGGTATTCATGTACTTATATAATCATCTTGCTTTCAGTGTTGACTGGACTTACTGACCCATTTTTAAAGGTGGAAGTAATGAGATGTCATTTTTGAGATTATGTTAAAAAAGACTGTGACTTCAATCTTGAGTGTGTGCAATTTCTCTATCTCAGAACATCTGTGTTTGGGGAAGCATGATGCCATGTTTTGAGCAGCAATATGGAGAGGTCTACATGGTGTGGGGAAGAACTGAGTTTCTCAGCCCAACAGCCTTTGAGAAACTAAGGTCCTCAATCTGAAAGACCCTGAGTAATTAAAGCTTGCTAATAAATATGTGAACTTGGAAGTTTATCCTTCATTCACGGTTGAGTTGTTGAGCCTTGAGATGGTTGCAGTCCCAGCTGACAGTTTGACTACAACCTTATAAGACATCCAGAGCCAAAATTACCTAGCCAAACTGCTTTTGATTCCTGACTCACAGAAACAGTGTGATAATACATGTTTATTGTTTTAAACTGATAATTTTTGTTGTAATTTTTTATGCATCAAAAATTAACAAATACAGATTTTAGGGCCTGGAATTAGGGTGCTGTCATGATGAATACCTAAAATGTAGGTATGCCTACAATGTAGGTATTTGGAACTGGGCCCCGGGTTTTGAGCAAAGTGTTATTGACACTATATAGTGTCCTTAAGAAGTTGTAAATAGAAGCCTCTTGGTCTTCTATAAGGCTGAGGGTAAATATAGGCAGTAAATTAAGGAAGGAGGAGTCCTTGTTGGTAATAGCAAAAAACTTAGTAACATTTTGCCTATAGTAATGTGGAAAGTAGAAAATGTGCTTCATGAATGAAGTGATCTAGCTTAGGAGATTTCCAAACACAGTGTTGAAGGTGCTGCCTGGTTTCTTCTTGCTGCTTATAGTAAAATAGGAGAGGAAAGAAGGAATTGAGGTAAGGACTGTGAAACAAAAAGCCATCAAGATGTGATAGTTTTGAAAATTTTCATTCTTTCCAGATGGAAAATGGTGCCAACATTTTTTTAAAATGCTTTTGATTAAAGATCAGATCCAGAGCACTCACAGGAGAATGACAGTCTAAAGATGAAGCTAAGGATGTGACTATCAAAACTTCTGTAAATATCTTAGAAAGATCAACTTCATGCCCCAGGATACTTTCATTCATACAAAGTGTTCCTTATAAACATTAATGGTATGTCTCACAGATCCTCTGAATAAAACAATAATGCTTCTAGAAAGCTTTAGAGCTTTTTTGTTTGTTTGTTTCAATAGAGATTGAGTCTGGCTCTGTCTCAGGTATCTCAGCCAAGGCTCGAGAGAGAGAGAAGAGCTTATCTTGTGATTTGCAAGTGGGGCATTTGTCTAAGGAAGTCAACCCCAAGATGATTTATAGGAGATCTGCACAGTTCTTAAAAGAGTTATGTATGCAGGAATACCACCACCTTAGACCCGAGGAAACAGACAGTACAGCATTAGCAGTGACCTTTGGACCTGCTAAGGAAGGAGACTGTGATAGCTGTTTAGCCATAAGCACATGCTATCCTATACAACAAGGAAGGAAGACACAGAGGGTAGAAACATGAACTTGATAAGGTAGAGTTAAGTGAGGAAAAATTATTCCAAGACACCAAATCTAATCAAGGAACTTCCAACATTTACCCAGCTGGATTTCAGAACTGATGTGGATCAGTGACTCCTTTTCATACTCAATTTTCTTTTTTTTTGACAGGGTTGTATACAGCCATTTTCCAATGCCTGTCTCCATTGTATATTGAGTGTGTGTAAGCATGTGTGTGTGTGTGTGTGTGTGTGTGTGTAGGGTGGGATAGATAAAAGTTCTTTTTATAATTTCAGGTCTATAGATCAAGAGGAATTGTATTTGAGGAGCTGTGCTTAAGGAACTTCACCTGAGAAACCTCATCAATGCTTGGAGCTAATTTAGATGACAAGATTCTGAACTTTGAGCTGATGCTCTAATGAGTTGAAACTCCTGGGCCTTGAGAGAGGATGAGGAAATTTTGCATGTGGGGAAGACATGAATCATAGCAGGCCAGAGGGCAGACTGGAGTAGTCAGCCTCTAATACGGCTTCCATTCATCCAAACCATGTAATTTCACCCCTGGCCCCTCCCAAATCTCATGTCTTCACATTTCAAAACCAATCATGCCTTCCCAACCGTCCCCGAAAGTCTTATTTCAGCATTAACCCAAAAGTCCACAGTACGAAGTCTCATCTGAGACAAGGCAAGTCCCTTCCGTCTATAAGCCTGTAAAATCAAAAGCAAATTAGTTACTTCCTATATACAATGAGGGTTCAGGCATTGGATGAATACAGCCATTCCAAATGGAGACATTGGCCAAAACAAAGGGGCTACAGGCCCCATGCAAGTCTGAAATCCAGCAGGGCGGTCAAATCTTAAAGCTCCAAAATGATCTCCTTTGACTCCATGTCTCACATTCACGTCACACTGATGCAAGAGGTGGGTTCCCATGGTCTTGGGCAGCTCCACCCCTGTGGCTTTGCAGGGTACAGCCTTCCTCCTAGCTGCTGTCACAGGCTGGTTTTGAGTGTCTGTGGCTTTTTCAGACACACAGTGCAAGCTGTCAGTGGATCTATCATTTTGGGGTCTGGAGGACGGTGGCCCTTTTCTCACAGCTCCACTAGGTGGTGCCCCAGTAGGGACTCTGTGTGGGGCCTCCAACCCCACATTTCCCTTCTGCACTGCCCTAGCAGAGGTTCTCCATAAGGACCCTGCCCCTGCAGCAAACGTCTATCTCGGCATCCAGGCATTTCCATGCATCTTCTGAAATCTAGGTGGAAGTTCTGAAACCTCAATTCTTGACTTCTGTGCACCTGCAGGCCCAACACCATGTGGAAGCTGCCAAGGCTTGGGGCTTCCACCCTCTGAAGCAACAGCCCAAGCTGTACCTTGGTCCCTTTTAGTCATGGCTGGGGTGGCTGGGATGCAGGGCACCAAGTCCCTAAACTGCACACAACATGGTGACCTTTGGGACAGGCCCAAGAAACTATTTTCTTCTAAGCCTCTGGGCCTCTGATGGGAAGGGCTGCCATGAAGACCTCTGACATGCACTGGAGACATTTTCTCCATTGTCTTGGGGGTTAACGTTTGACCCCTTGTTACTTATGCAAATTTCTGCAGCCTGCTTCAATTTCTCCTCAGAAAATGGGTTTTTCTTTTCTATCACATTCTCAGGCTGCAGATTTTCTGAACTTTTATGCTCTGCTTCCCTTATAAAACGGAATGCCTTTAACAGCACCAAGTCACCGCTTGAATGCTTTGCTGCTTAGAAATTTCTTCCACCAGATACCCTAAATAATCTCTCTCAAGTTCAAAGTCCCACAAATCTCTAGGGCAGGGGCAAAATGCTGCCAATCTCTTTGCTAAAACATAAGAAGAGTCACCTTTACTCCAGTTCCCAACAAGTTCCTCATCTCCATTTGAGAACACCTCAGCCTGAATTTCATGGTCCATATCATTATCAGCATTTTGGTCAAGGCCATTCAACAAGTCTCTAGGGAGTTCCAAAGTTTCCCATAGTTTTCTGTCTTCTGAGCCCTCCAAACTGTTCCAACCTCTGCCTGTTACCCAGTTCCAAAGTCACTTCCACATTTTCAGGTATCTTTTCAGTAACACCCCACTCCTGGTACCAATTTACTGTATTAGTTTGTTTTCACACTGCTGAATAAACACATACCCACGATTGGGCAATTTACAAAAGAAAGAGGTTTAATTGGACTTACAGTTCCATGTGGCTGGGGAAGCTGTACAATCATGGTGAAAGGCAAGGAGAGCCAGTCACATCTTACATAGAAGACAGCAGGCAAAGAGAGAGCTTGTGGAGGAAAAGGCCCCCCTTTTAATAACCATCAGATCTCATGAGACTTGCTATTGTGAGAATAGCACAGGAAAGACCTGCCCCCATGATTCAATTACCTCCTACTGGGCCCCTCCCACAACACATGGGAGTTCAAGATGAGATTTGAGTGGAGACATAGTCAAACAATATCATTCACAATGGTAAATTTAGAAACTTTAGGATATTCAGAAGTTTCCACAAAAATGCCATGAGATGCTATGGTATTAACAGTGATACTTTAAATAAAAAATTATGTATACAAAATGAAAGTTAATTCTGGTTGCAACACAGCAGTAATTAGTAAAGTTCTTTCCACAGTATTTTTATGGAGGAAGTTGAGCCGGCTCTACTTTTTTCAAGGTGCAGGAACAATGCAGGTGATAACTAGAGCTGTCTCGTGAATACATTGGGAGACTCTTCCAGGGAGATGTTCTTATTCATCAGAATGATTCAGAAGTCTGTTAGGAAGGAATTGGCTCACAACACTGTTATGGGGAAGGAGGACTGCTATGTATGCCTAAGGGCACTATGAGTTACAGTTAACATTTTATGTTTCACTGGTGCTTTCTAGTGGCAAACTGCAGTGATTTTTTTAAAGAATAGGTTGAAATCAGAATTGTATTACAGTAATAAAGGACTGTCTTGTTGTAGGCCTTTTTTTTTCTTTTGTTAGGACTACCCTGCATAGCACAGTAACTTGAATGTTCTAGAGGAAATTGTAAATTGTACAAAAAACTATGTAAAAAACTAAGTGTTTTAACTTAAGAAAAGTTAAGGTGAAAGATGGCTTGGGTCAAATATTTAGAACAAAGAAGACTAAACACATCACAGTATCAAAATAGTTTTAAATGTGTGTGTATGATCATTGTCACCTACAATTGACTAGTTGTTCATATAATCTTGACACTGATGGTTATACAGTGAGGTTCAGGTGCACATAAATTTGCCTAACCATCTCATAAATTCTGGGGGCACTCTGTTAGGCATTAGGAGTTCCAATTCTTGAAGGGCTCCGAAGAATCCTAGGAGATGGCTGTGGGGACCTTGGACCTGATGATTTGGCACCCGGGCACTAGATTTATAACTGTTTAATGAGAAAGGAAAAAAAGAGGTTGCTCTAAATATTGACGGAGCATCCTGGGAAACAAACCTCATCCACTCTGAGGTGGGAGAAGATTTAAAGGAGTGAGTACTTTTACAACTATAGGAGGGTTGAGAGTGTGACACAGTGGGAACATCACCTGAATCAACCCTTGGCCTAGCTTCCTGGGAACTTGGTGGTGTTAGTTCTTACACAGAAGGTTTTGTAGAAATTAAACAGCAGGGCTGTCTTTTAGGAAAAAAGGGGCTGTAATCAAGTAAATCAAAGACCATCTATGATTAGTTGAAAAAAGTAATCTTTTCTGTCCTCCATTAGAGGTAGAAGATACAGTAAACATCTAACAAAGCAGGTAATATTGGCAGCTGCCCAAAAAGTTGGCTCAGACAGCAGCAGCCTGAGCTTCACAGGACCACATGTAGTGTTGGAGATGAGGAACTAACAAACCACACAATGTCCTTCTGACTGATTATAGTGGTGTGGTACAATTCCTTTCCAAAAAGCATTAGGGTCAATTCCATGTGGGTCTGGTGGGAAAAATGAATGGATAAATCAAATTTAAAAAAAACACAGCAAACAAACAGATCAGACTACAAAGTTGAAGGACAAAGTTTCCCCCACAAAACTGGAACCAAATGCTTCTAATAACAATCATTCAGTCCTTTAAGTTTATCCCTTTGGGGGCTGATGTGATCTGGGCAAAGAATGGTTAGTCTTTTCCTGTGGAAACTTGCTCGTTTTCTAATCAGAAACCACAGGTTGTTATTAAAATCACTGAGAAACCATGTTTTAAGGTGTATCTTTAAATGGAATTCAGCTGCTATGTTGATGCTCAAATTTGCACTATTTGCATGGAGCAATAATAGGGGCAACCAAAATGTGGTCTATGCAGACAGACAATGCCTGAATGTGCTAAGTAAGTCACTTTCATATGACTTGGGTAGGTTGGCCCTCTCCATCCAATCAGTTGTCTTCTTTTAAGCTTCTTCCCATTGCAAGCCACATGGGCACCAACAATTTTCCTCCAGTGGCAGCTAAATTATCACTTTCTCTTATTATTATTACAAAAGAGCTCTCACCTGGGGGAAAGAGTAAGCGAGAAGGTGGTTAGGTTGCACAGTCCTTCTCAGGGCCAGGCCAGTTTCTCCCATTGTTTCCTGCTTACTGCACACCTAGGACTTCTGCTTGGTTTCCTTTCCTCTTTCAAACTGACACTGCTCACTTCTTCCCTTGGATTTTCCAAGATTAACTTGGAGTGGGACAGAGTTTTTAGTCCTTACTACCTTGGAAAGCAAGCACCAAGCCCTTGATATTTGTAACAGTTTTACTGAATATCACTATAGTCTTTTTCACCCAGGACCTGACGCATCATTCTTTTCACTGTCTCCACTCAGCCCCATATCAGGTTCCCTATCAGTTATCTATTGCCACAACAATGCTGTGTGAAAACCATCCAAAACTCAGTGGCTAAAGACAATTTATTTAGCTCTTGAGTTTTCAGGAGAGCTGGGTGTTTCCTTTAGTATTGGCTGGGGTAATTAATGTATTGATTGATCATGATTGGGCTCTTTCACATATTTGTGTATTGGATCATGGTTGCGTAGTGTAGAAAGGCCTTAGCAGGGACGATTGGGGTCCCTTGACTGTCTTCCACATCTCATTCCCCAGCAGGCTTGTCTGACCTTATTTTTGTGGCAAAGACAGACAAGTAAAAGAACAAGTGAAATTGTGTGAGTGTTTTTTTATGCTTTTGGCTTACTGACATCCCAGTGGCTGAAGCAAGTCACTTGGTTGAGCCAGGAAACCAGGGGTGGGATAGAGTGCCGTGCCCAGAGAGGGAGAGGACTACAAAGTTGCAGGACAAAGGCATGCATATAAGAAGAGGGTGAAGAATTAATGCAAGCAATCCTCCACAGTCTTTTCTTCTCATTTCCTGGATTTCTTAAGTGAGGGGTTACGTTTCACCCTGTTTTCACACCCACAGTCTTCATAGAAACAGCCCAAAGAGGGACATTCTGTTGATTCTAGATTTGTTACCTAGATTGATCCTTGATTAGGATGTTTTAGCCTAAATTTCTAATTCCTTAATAATTACAACAATAAATTGATTCGTGGTAATAATAATTATCAAATTCTTTCTATGTAACAGACATTATTCAGATTTCTTCACCAGAATTATGGTATTATTTAGTCCTCATAATTACTTTTTAAAAAATTGCTATTCCTATGTAACAGCTGGGCAACTGAAGTTAAAAGAAGGTAACATTTTAATAATTGAGATGTGGGAAATTTGCTTTATTGATAATGCCTTCACATGAGCAACACAAGCCTACATTAACAGATTGCACTTATTTGGAGCTGAAATAGACACTCTAACTCTGCCCCCACTACAACCCCCAACCCCCATCCCCCTATACCACATGGTTTGCCTGTTGACTTTATTTTCATATTTTCCTTATTTTGATATAAAGTTTTCTAAATTTGTGATGATATGCAGAACTTAAAAGTGTGTAAAAACAACACAGTAGAAAGAGAGATTATAATTGGAAAATTATGAAATTGTTTTTATCGTCTTGCAAGAAGTATACAAGTTAGGTAAAAGTAAGTTCATTTGTGGAAGCATAAAATATGTAAGCACAAGAAAATGATCAGTGATATTCCAACACATTTCAATTCAGAGCATCTATCAAAATAAGAAGTAAGATTAGAATTCCTATAAAAATCATAATGTTATGATTCCCCAGGTCTTCTTCTTATATGTGATCATCTTTGGTTTTGATGAAATTTGGTTCAAATGCACTGTGAATACCAATAGAACTTCTCAGAGAACCACTGTGATGAGGATGACGTTATTAAAAGAGCCATATGTGTGCCACAGAAGTAGATGTTCCAGATTATTAAATGTTATTACTTTTAAAAGCCAAATTAATTATGTATATTTAAACCATTTCTTTGAAGGAAACCTAACACAAATGTGCTACTTTTCTGCCTTTTGAACTAAGCATACTACATATTTTATTCATTTTTTGATGACTAGGTCTCAGGTTATCATTATGAATAATTTTTGTTTTATATGTTAATATAAAGTTTCTCAAAGGGGCTAGTGAGTTATGTAGGTCTGCTTCAGTAATTACCTTAGATTTTTAAATAAGTTCTGATGATTCTCTTGTCTTTATTATGTTTTCCTTACTCTAAGATGTCTCATTTAACAATGTCCTTTTCTTGATACTTTTAATCTACGTTTTTTTGTTCTACAGCCACTATTTAAGTATCAATCAGATAAACATTCAAAACCAGTAGATTAAATTGTATATTGCATTATAATTTAGTAGCAAGAACTGGGTGTTTCCTTTGGTCTTGGCTGGGGTAATTAATGTATTGGTTGATCATGATTGGGCTCTCTCGAAAGAACCGGAGCCCCATACTTCTTCTGAAAATATAAAAAATGGGATTTATTTGGTCTTGTGAAATATGTTTTGAATGCAAACTACCATATTTTATTGTGTCTAAGATGTCAATTACGATACAGACCACTGTTTTATGGACTACTAAGAAAGACAAAATGTTGCATGTTATAAGATGCAGCCCCAATTTAGAGATGTTAAAACATAAAAAAATACTAATTGGAAGAACTAACATATTAGATGTGTGAGATAATGTTCTGGGTGATGGAGGTTGTGCCAGTGGTCAAAGCAGATAATGTCTCTCTCTTTTCATGGAGCTCATATTCTAGTGGCAGGGGGCAAATGATTATGTCAGGTAACCATTAATGCTCTGAAGGGGAAACAAAACCAGGAAAGAGGAAGAAGAGTGACAGGTGTAAGTGGGAAGTGTTCTCTTCATATAGAGTAGTCAGGCCAGCAGGAATGGCCTCTCTGGTAAGGGTATATATAAGCAGAGACCAGAGGGAAGGGAAGGAATGAGCTATTAAGATGGGAGAGGATAACTCCAGGCAGTGGGGACAGTGAGTGCAGAGGCTCTCAGATGGAAACATGTTTAAGGTGTTGAAGGAAGAGCAAGTAGGTCAGCCTTGCTGTGTGGAAGAAACTAGGGAGTGAGTAATAGGAGATGACATTAAAGAGATGGTGAGCTCCAAATTAGGTCAGGTCTTGTAGACCGGGTAGGAAATTCAGATTTCACTCTGTGACAGAGAGCAAGGTGTTTGAGCAGACATAATCTGATTGTGTTTTAACAGAGACCTTGTGATGGACTGCTGTGTGCAGAAAGACTATAGGGAACAAGGGGGTGGAAACAGGAAGACCAGTTAGGAGACCATTACAATTATCCAGATGAGACATTATGGAAACTCACATGAGGGTAGCAGTGATGGAAGTATTTAGAATTGGGATATATTTTGAAGGTCAGTCTTACAGAATTTGTGACAAATTTGATCATGGAGTGAGAGTGAAAGAGGGTAGTCAAGGGCTACTCCAGGGTTTTTTGCCTATGAAGGAATGGAGTTGACATTTATTGAATTAGGGGGAAGAACCAGGTAGGGTAAGAAGAAATGAAGACTTAGGTTTTCTATGTTAAGTTTGAAATAACATAGCTATCAAGTGAAGAAGTGAAATAGGCAGTTGAATATATAAGTCTGGAGTTCAAAAAAGAGGTCCATACCAGAGAAATATATTTAAGAGTTAAGAAAAAAGGAACGTACATAGGTGTCAACTGTCGCTCATAGATTGAGTAAAAAAAGACTAAGAATTGACATTGGATTTGTCAACATAGTGCGTGAGAGACAGAACATATTGAAATGCATTCGGGAAAGAATGAGAGGAGAAAAAGTGAAGTCACTTCTTTCAAGGAGTTTTGTTGTAAAGAGGGCCAGAAAAATAGGATGACTGCTGCTTTTTCACATAAGTTTGAAATCTTTTTCAATTACTTTAAAAATAATTCCTTTGAAAGGTATAGCAATAAAATATTTGGACTGCAAGGTACATTAAAATTCTCCACTATCACATCTCAAAAGACTTTGTCAAGAAATAAGTCAGCTCAAATATACTTTTATTTTGTTTTGTTTTTTTGAGACAGAGCCTTGCTCTGTCACCCAGGTTGGAGTGCAGTGGCATGATCTTGGCTCACTGCAACATCTGCCTCCCGGGTTCAAGTGATTCTCATGCCTCAGCCTCCTGAGTGGCTGGGATTATAGGCACCCATCACTATGCCTGGCTAACTTTTTGTATTTTTAGTAGAGATGGGGTTTCACCATGTTGCCCAGGCTGGTCTCGAACTCCTGAACTCAGGCAATCCACCCACCTTGGCCTTCCAAAGTGTTAAGATTACAGGCATGAACCACTGCGCCTGGCCAAATATACTTTCTATTCAAAGCAAAAACAATGTGTTCTTTATAATTTGCTTTTATTTCTGAAAATTAGGGTAACATTGAAGATAAAAGTAAAAGAATTCAAATACAGGTTCCAGAAGTGTTGACCACTTTGTACATTAGAAATCTCCACATTACTCTAAGTGGAGACGTTTGTGTAGATGCCTTGGCATATACGAACTTAGGCTTCAGATATTATTTGTATGTATTGATATTCAGACACCACCTGTCTGAAATGATGGCTGTAGATTCAATAAGAACACAGAAAAGCTAAAAATATAGATAGGCTCCCATATAAAATTTATACCGGGAATTTAAGCACCTGGTATACCTCTAGAGTGGGTAGCTTATAGCTGCTTAAAAATACATATCTGAAAATTGAATAATTGTGCTTTAGTAACCTGAAGCATCCAGAAGATATAAATATGATCCACTAATATGTAGATCCATGATTTTTCTGGCTGGATACCTCTCAAAACAGAGACCTCAAGGGAGGATGACAACTTTACTCCCTGGAGTTTCCTCAGACTCTAGCTTCTCAGTGCATTCCTAGGAGGTGTCCACACATGCTCATGGGTAAGTGGCTGCTGTCACTGCCCTATTGGGTGTCACTGCCATACTGGGTGGCACTGCTCTACTGGGTGCCACACCATCTACCCTGCTGTAGATGGCCGTGATGCTCTGCTGCAACTCCATGCGGCAAAGTCTCACCTTTCTTCTGGGTGGGGGCGGGGTCAAACAGCCACTTCTAGGTACCCACAGTTGCTACTTTCCTCAACAGTAGACTCTGTTGCTGAGTCTGGTTCATCATGTTAGATACCTTTTTCACTTGGAATGATTTATTTCCCAGGGACTCTGCATAGCTCCCAGGCAATTTACCACATTCTTCTCCTCACCCCTGCCTGCCCGCTATCCTCTATCCTTTTTTTAATGTTGCACATGCCATTTATGTCTGAACTCCAATCCTGGGCCACATTTGAGTTCCTTGCTTCTGAGGCATCTCATCCTTCCTGTGAGTCTGGACATCAAGAGATCCTAGGTAGTATGGACCAACTGCACATGTCAGATGGATTTAAGTCTCATGTTTCCAGAGTAGATGGGAACCTCTTAGTGCACATATGGATTTTGGAGAAAAGGAGAAATGCTGTGCATTTGAGGTCTCTGTGTTTTTTTCCCCTGTATCTGTGCTGCAGTAGCTCAGGTCTTTGGAGAAACAGGCAGAGAAATGAAGTTCACATTCTGTAAACCAGGGGTACCCAGCCTCTGGGCCACAGACTGATACTGGTCAGTGGCCTGTTACGAACCTGGCCGCACAGCAGGAGGTGAGTGGCGGGCAAGCAAACGAAGCTTCATCTGTATTTACAGCTGCTCCCCATCACTTGTATTACTGCCTGAGCTCCACCTCCTGTCAGATAAGTGGCAGCATTAGATGCTCACAGGAACGTGAACCCTATTGTGAACCTTGCATGTGAGGGATCTAGGTTGCGTGCTCCTTATGAGAATCTAGTGCCTGATCATTTGTCACTGCCTCCCATCACCCCCAGATGGGACCGTCTGGTTGCATGAAAATTAGCTCTGGGCTCCCACTGATTATACATTATGATGAGTTTTATAATTATTTAATTATATATTACAATATAATAATAATAGAAATAAAGTACACAATAAATGTAATGTGCTTGAATCATCCCAAAACCTTCCCCCAACCCCTAGTCCATGGAAAAATTGCCTTCCATGAAACCAGTCCCTGGTGCCAAAAAGGTTGGGGACTGCTGCTCTAAGCCACGGTAAGAACCCACTTTAGTGGCTTAAATTGATGGCAAGTATAGCTGGGGCCCAGAAAAAAAATCACAATGTCTGTCTTTAGGTGTGTGTGTGTGCACACAGGCATGACTGCTTGCTAGTCTGGAAAAAGGTTTCCAGTTTTTTTTTTCTTTTATCGAGTGTAGGACATGCCTTAAAAATAAATCCCCTGACTGATGTTGCTCTTGGAACTTCGAGAGTTCATACAGGTGGGAAATGTGTTGGAGTTTCGTCTAGAATTGCTATTAAAAGGCCTTTGTGTATAGATGGTGATGCTACTGACACATCCCGTTGGCAAACTAAGTGTTTAGTGGCTGTTTTTGTTCTTCTCAGCAGCAGGGGAGGGTTTGAGCCAGAATATCCCTGCTACTCTCCAGGTCCCCATTTGTGAAATGGTTGGCTGCTTCCGGGGAGGAAGTCAATGGCCGGGAACCATTTTCTCTGTGCAATGTTAAGTGCTCCTTGTAGGCACTGCTGCCAGAGGAATGACGAAAACCTGGCAAATTATTTTTCATCTCAAGCAGCTCCTAATGTGCTTTCCTACAGAGGGGAAGTCAGAAAAGAAAAAGGAGGCTGCAGCAGGCAGGTGCTGACATCTTCCTCTCTTCAGCCAGTCTCTAGCTGCTGGGTCTGACTTCTGTGGACACAGCATCCATGAAGGCAGCACAGTCCACGGTCACAGGGCAGCTTCTCACAAATCAGCAGAGGGGGCAGGCAGGTGAAACACTGAAACGTGATGCTATAAAATATTTAGAGACTGCTGTGAATTTAGTTTTCTTTTGATTAGTTCTCCAGATCTCTACTTGAGTAGCTTTGCTGAAGGGCCAGAATCAAACCAGAAATATCCCCAGAGCCCATTTAAGTGCTATGCAGTGTTTACTTAATATTTTAAAGATAAAAAACACTTTGGAACATTGAGCACTCCAAAAGAACAAAACCTATTTATGAACCCGGAGGGCATTTCACCTTTAAGACAGCAAAGCCGTCAGGAAACTAAAGAAGTCGTTCATTTTTATAGCACCAGATAAATTACAGGGTAAATCAGTTCAGTGATGTCTTTTAACTCTTTCTGCTCTTCCTTGTGTGTGAAGCATAACTGCTAGAGAAAATACTTCCGTTTATTAGGATGCCTTCCAACACTTTTTATTTAGAATGTTTGAACCAAAGAAGGCAACCAAATGTGTTTTGCCATAATACAGAGCATGAAGTGGAAAGAAAAGAACAGTAATAGGTTTGCCCCAGATTCAGAATCAGAAAACCTAGGTTCTAGTGCTGGGCCTGCTGTTTGGTGGTTATGTAACCTCAGGAAAATCTTGGCTATGCCAGTTACTAGCTATGTGATGGTGGGCAAGTTACTTAAGCTTGCTAGAAATTATGTTTTCTCATCTGTAGCATAAGGAAGGTTAATAATATCTACCTCACTGGGTCATTGAGAGAATTAAAAAACAGTGCTGATATAGCACCTAGCACAAGGCCTTGCTCATTACAAGTACTCAATAAATGTTAGCTGTTACTAGGACTAAAAATAAATCAGTTATTTTAATCCTTTTTTCTTTATTTTTAGAGTAGTAACAGTAATATATATTGCATGGAGTTATTATAAGACTTAAATTAATATGATATGTGAGTTCTTGTATACTAAATGAAACATTAATGTAAGGTATATTTATAATCATAATAGATTTTAAGAATTTACCGAAGAGGATAGGTAAGTAGAAGTAAATGAAAAGGCCAGATGCGGTGGCTCACACCTGTAATTCCAGCACGTTAGGAGGCGGAGGCAGGTGGGTCACTTGAGGTCAGGAGTTCAAGACCAGCCTGGCCAGCATGGTGAAACCCCATCTCTACTAAAAATACAGAAATTAGCCGAGTGTGGTGGTGCATGCCTATAGTCTTAGCTACTTGGGAGGCTGAAGCAGGAGAATCCCTTAAATCCGGGAGGTGGAGGTTCCAGTGAGCTGAGATTGAGCCACTGCACTCCAGCCTGGGTGACAGATTGAGACTCTGTCTCAAAAAAAAAAAAAAAAGAAAAGAAAAGAAAACATAGGGTGGAGGAGCCAAGATGGCCGAATAGGAACAGCTCCGGTCTACAGCTCCCAGGGTGAGCGACGCAGAAGACCGGTGATTTCTGCATTTCCATCTGAGGTACCGGGTTCATCTCACTAGGGAGTGCCAGACAGTGGGCGCAGGCCAGTGTGTGCGCGCACCGTGCGCGAGCCGAAGCAGGGTGAGGCATTGCCTCACCTGGGAAGCGCAAGGGGTCAGGGAGTTCCCTTTCCGAGTCAAAGAAAGGGGTGACGGACGCACCTGGAAAATCGGGTCACTCCCACCCGAATATTGCGCTTTTCAGACCGGCTTAAGAAACGGCGCACCACGAGACTATATCCCACACCTGGCTCAGAGGGTCCTACGCCCACGGAATCTCGCTGATTGCTAGCACAGCAGTCTGAGATCAAACTGCAAGGCGGCAACGAGGCTGGGGGAGGGGCGCCCACCATTGCCCAGGCTTGCTTAGGTAAACAAAGCAGCCGGGAAGCTCGAACTGGGTGGAGCCCACCACAACTCAAGGAGGCCTGCCTGCCTCTGTAGGCTCCACCTCTGGGGGCAGGGCACAGACAAACAAAAAGACAGCAGTAACCTCTGCAGACTTAAGTGTCCCTGTCTGACAGCTTTGAAGAGAGCAGTGGTTCTCCCAGCACGCAGCTGGAGATCTGAGAACGGGCAGACTGCCTCCTCAAGTGGGTCCCTGACCCCTGACCCCCGAGCAGCCTAACTGGGAGGCACCCCCCAGCAGGGGCACACTGACACCTCACACGGCAGGGTATTCCAACAGACCTGCAGCTGAGGGTCCTGTCTGTTAGAAGGAAAACTAACAACCAGAAAGGACATCTACACCGAAAACCTATCTGTACATCACCATCATCAAAGATCAAAAGTAGATAAAACCACAAAGATGGGGAAAAAACAGAACAGAAAAACTGGAAACTCTAAAACGCAGAGCGCCTCTCCTCCTCCAAAGGAACGCAGTTCCTCACCAGCAATGGAACAAAGCTGGATGGAGAATGACGAGCTGAGAGAAGAAGGCTTCAGAGGATCAAATTACTCTGAGCTACGGGAGGACATTCAAGCCAAAGGCAAAGAAGTTGAAAACTTTGAAATAAATTTAGAAGAATGTATAACTAGAATAACCAATACAGAGAAGTGCTTAAAGGAGCTGATGGAGCGAAAACCAAGGCTCGAGAACTACGTGAAGAATGCAGAAGCCTCAGGAGCCGATGCGATCAACTGGAAGAAAGGTTATCAGCAATGGAAGATGAAATGAATGAAATGAAGCGAGAAGGGAAGTTTAGAGAAAAAAGAATAAAAAGAAATGAGCAAAGCCTCCAAGAAATATGGGACTATGTGAAAAGACCAAATCTACGTCTGATTGGTGTACCTGAAAGTGATGTGGAGAATGGAACCAAGTTGGAAAACACTCTGCAGGATATTATCCAGGAGAACTTCCCCAATCTAGCAAGGCAGGCCAACGTTCAGATTCAGGAAATACAGAGAACGCCACAAAGATACTCCTCAAGAAGAGCAACTCCAAGACACATAATTGTCAGATTCACCAAAGTTGAAATGAAGGAAAAAATGTTAAGGGCAGCCAGAGAGAAAGGTCGGGTTACCCTCAAAGGAAAGCCCATCAGACTAACAGCGGATCTCTCGGCAGAAACTCTACAAGCCAGAAGCGAGTGGGGGCCAATATTCAACATTCTTAAAGAAAAGAATTTTCAACCCAGAATTTCATATCCAGCCAAACTAAGCTTCATAAGTGAAGGAGAAATAAACTACTTTATAGACAAGCAAATGCTGAGAGATTTTGTCACCACCAGGCCTGCCCTAAAAGAGCTCCTGAAGGAAGCGCTAAACATGGAAAGGAACAACCGGTACCAGCCGCTGCAAAATCATGCCAAAATGTAAAGACCATCGAGACTAGGAAGAAACTGCATCAACTAATGAGCAAAATCAACAGCTAACATCATAATGACAGGATCAAATTCACACATAACAATATTAACTTTAAATATAAATGGACTAAATTCTGCAATTAAAAGACACAGACTGGCAAGTTGGATAAAGAGTCAAGACCCATCAGTGTGCTGTATTCAGGAAACCCATCTCACGTGCAGAGACACACATAGGCTCAAAATAAAAGGATGGAGGAAGATCTACCAAGCCAATGGAAAACAAAAAAAGGCAGGGGTTGCAATCCTAGTCTCTGATAAAACAGACTTTAAACCAACAAAGATCAAAAGAGACAAAGAAGGCCATTACATAATGGTAAAGGGATCAATTCAACAAGAGGAGCTAACTACCCTAAATATTTATGCACCCAATACAGGAGCACCCAGATTCATAAAGCAAGTCCTGAGTGACCTACAAAGAGACTTAGACTCCCACACATTAATAATGGGAGACTTTAACACCCCACTGTCAACATTAGACAGATCAACGAGACAGAAAGTCAACAAGGATACCCAGGAATTGAACTCAGCTCTGCACCAAGCAGACCTAATAGACATCTACAGAACTCTCCACCCCAAATCAACAGAATATACATTTTTTTCAGCACCACACCACACCTATTCCAAAATTGACCACATAGTTGGAAGTAAAGCTCTCCTCAGCAAATGTAAAAGAACAGAAATTATAACAAACTATCTCTCAGACCACAGTGCAATCAAACTAGAACTCAGGATTAAGAATCTCACTCAAAGCCGCTCAACTACATGGAAACTGAACAACCTGCTCCTGAATGACTACTGGGTACATAACGAAATGAAGGCAGAAATAAAGATGTTCTTTGAAACCAACGAGAACAAAGACACCACATACCAGAATCTCTGGGACGCATTCAAAGCAGTGTGTAGAGGGAAATTTATAGCACTAAACGCCTACAAGAGAAAGCAGGAAAGATCCAAAATTGACACCCTAACATCACAATTAAAAGAACTAGAAAAGCAAGAGCAAACACATTCAAAAGCTGGCAGAAGGCAAGAAATAACTAAAATCAGAGCAGAACTGAAGGAAATAGAGACACAAAAAACCCTTCAAAAAATCAATGAATCCAGGAGCTGGTTTTTTGAAAGGATCAACAAAATTGATAGACCGCTAGCAAGACTAATAAAGAAAAAAAGAGAGAAGAATCAAATAGACACAATAAAAAATGATAAAGGGGATATCACCACCGATCCCACAGAAATACAAACTACCATCAGAGAATACTACAAACACCTCTACGCAAATAAACTAGAAAATCTAGAAGAAATGGATACATTCCTCGACACATACACTCTCCCAAGACTAAACCAGGAAGAAGTTGAATCTCTGAATAGACCAATAACAGGCTCTGAAATTGTGGCAATAATCAATAGTTTACCAACCAAAAAGAGTCCAGGACCAGATGGATTCACAGCCGAATTCTACCAGAGGTACAAGGAGGAACTGGTACCATTCCTTCTGAAACTATTCCAATCAATAGAAAAAGAGGGAATCCTCCCTAACTCATTTTATGAGGCCAGCATCATTCTGATACCAAAGCCGGGCAGAGACACAACCAAAAAAGAGAATTTTAGACCAATATCCTTTATGAACATTGATGCAAAAATCCTCAATAAAATACTGGCAAACCGAATCCAGCAGCACATCAAAAAGCTTATCCACCGTGATCAAGTGGGCTTCATCCCTGGGATGCAAGGCTGGTTCAATATACGCAAATCAATAAATGTAATCCAGCATATAAACAGAGCCAAAGACAAAAACCACATGATTATCTCAATAGATGCAGAAAAAGCCTTTGACAAAATTCAACAACCCTTCATGCTAAAAACTCTCAATAAATTAGGTATTGATGGGACGTATTTCAAAATAATAAGAGCTATCTATGACAAACGCACAGCCAATATCATACTGAATGGGCAAAAACTGGAAGCATTCCCTTTGAAAACTGGCACAAGACAGGGATGCCCTCTCTCACCGCTCCTATTCAACATAGTGTTGGAAGTTCTGGCCAGGGCAATCAGGCAGGAGAAGGAAATAAAGGGTATTCAATTAGGAAAAGAGGAAGTCAAATTGTCCCTGTTTGCAGACGACATGATCGTTTATCTAGAAAACCCCATTGTCTCAGCCCAAAATCTCCTTAAGCTGTTAAGCAACTTTAGAAAAGTCTCAGGATACAAAATCAATGTACAAAAATCACAAGCATTCTTATACACCAACAACAGACAAACAGAGAGCCAAATCATGAGTGAACTCCCATTCACAATTGCTTCAAAGAGAATAAAATACCTAGGAATCCAACTTACAAGGGATGTGAAGCACCTCTTCAAGGAGAACTACAAACCACTGCTCAAGGAAATAAAAGAGGACACAAACAAATGGAAGAACATTCCATGCTCATGGGTAGGAAGAATCAATATCGTGAAAATGGCCATACTGCCCAAGGTAATTTACAGATTCAATGCCGTCCCCATCAAGCTACCAATGACTTTCTTCACAGAATTGGAAAAAACTACTTTAAAGTTCATATGGAACCAAAAAAGAGCCCGCATCGCCAAGTCAATCCTAAGCCAAAAGAACAAAGCTGGAGGCATCACACTACCTGACTTCAAACTATACTACAAGGCTACAGTAACCAAAACAGCATGGTACTGGTACCAAAACAGAGATATAGATCAATGGAACAGAAGAGAGCCCTCAGAAATAATGCCGCATATCTACAACTATCTGATCTTTGAGAAACCTGAGAAAAACAAGCAATGGGGAAAGGATTCCCTATTTAATAAATGGTGCTGGGAAAACTGGCTAGCCATATGTAGAAAGCTGAAACTGGATCCCTTCCTGACACCTTATACAAAAATCAATTCAAGATGGATTAAAGATTTAAACGTTAGACCTAAAACCATAAAAACCCTAGAAGAAAACCTAGGCATTACCATTCAGGACATAGGCGTGGGCAAGGACTTCATGTCCAAAACACCAAAAGCAATGGCAACAAAAGCCAAAATTGACAAATGAGATCTCATTAAACTAAAGAGCTTCTGCACAGCAAAAGAAACTACCATCAGAGTGAACAGGCAACCTACAACATGGGAGAAAATTTTCACAACCTACTCATCTGACAAAGGGCCAATATCCAGAATCTACAATGAACTCAAACAAATTTACAAGAAAAAAACAAACAACCCCATCAAAAAGTGGGCAAAGGACATGAACAGACACTTCTCAAAAGAAGACATTTATGCAGCCAAAAAACACATGAAGAAATGCTCATCATCACTGGCCATCAGAGAAATGCAAATCAAAACCACTATGAGATATCATCTCACACCAGTTAGAATGGCAATCATTAAAAAGTCAGGAAACAACAGGTGCTGGAGAGGATGTGGAGAAATAGGAACACTTTTACACTGTTGGTGGGACTGTAAACTAGTTCAACCATTGTGGAAGTCAGGGTGGCGATTCCTCAGGGATCTAGAACTGGAAATACCATTTGACCCAGCCATCCCATTACTGGGTATATACCCAAAGGACTATAAATCATGCTGCTATAAAGACACATGCACACGTATGTTTATTGCGGCACTATTCACAATAGCAAAGACTTGGAACCAACCCAAATGTCCAACAATGATAGACTGGATTAAGAAAATGTGGCACATATACACCATGGAATACTATGCAGCCATAAAAAATGATGAGTTCATGTCCTTTGTAGGGACATGGATGAAATTGGAAACCATCATTCTCAGTAAACTATTGCAAGAACAAAAAACCAAACACCGCATATTCTCACTCATAGGTGGGAATTGAACAATGAGATCACATGGACACAGGAAGGGGAATATCACACTCTGGGGACTGTGGTGGGGTCGGGGGAGGGGGGAGGGATAGCATTGGGAGATATACCTAATGCTAGATGACACGTTAGTGGTGCAGCGCACCAGCATGGCACATGTATACATATGTAACTAACCTGCACAATGTGCACATGTACCCTAAAACTTAGAGTATAATAACAAAAAAAAAAACATTAAAAATAAAAAAAATAAAAAAAAAGAAGAAAACATAGATAAGATTGCGGGAAAATTGGAAGCTAATTCATAGTGTGGCTTGTATATTATTTGAAGCAGAAGGACAGAATTAAAGCTGCCCAAACCAAATTAAGCCAAAACCAAAACCCAAACAAAGTAACGCTCAATTGAACCATTTTAGTTGTTACTGTCCATCTTAAGAATACATTCATTATAGCTTTCTTCTCAGAAGAACCTCTGGACAGTGTTTTTGGTTCTAATATAATTGTAGAAAGAATGTTGTAAATATACAGTGAATATCCCACAGACCTTCCTATTTTAGTCCCAGAGGCCCTCTCTGCCCCAGGCTGGGTCCTCCTGGTCAGGCTCTGGATAGTCCTGGTAATAGTAATGCCACTATTTCTGTTATGTTGTAAAATAGCAATAAATTTAAAGAGTTAAATTTGAATCTGATTCACTGATTTGTTTTTTGAGACAGGGTCTTACTCAGTTGCCTCGGCTGGAGTGCAGTGGGTTGATGAGAGCTCACTGCAGCCTCCAACTCCTAACCTCAAGGGATCCTCCCACCTCAGGCTCCAGAATAGCTGGGACTACAGGCATGCCACCACAACTGGCTAATTTTTATATATTATTTTTGGTAGAGACTGGGTCTTGCTGTGTTGCTCAGGCTGGTCTTAAGTTCCTAGCTTCAAGCAATTCTCCCACCTTGTTCTCCCAAAAGTGCTGGGATTACAGGCATGAGTCACGGTGTCCTGGCCTAAAGTCTTTCTTTTAAGAAAGAAAGAGAGAGTGAATATTCTCACTTGTGTGCTAAATACTTTGTATAAGAGACCTTACCTGTATGTATGAATATATATGTCTTTTCAATGACCTTATCGTGTTTGTTCTGTCTTGAAATTATTTTCCTTTCCTCTGGTCATGCACACAAATCTGTACAGCAATCCAAAAGAATGCTTGTCTGAAGAGAGGTTCATGCAAACTGGTGTAGAGTAAAGTATCAGGAAGTGGAGACAGGTTTTTGGAATCAATGAGGACATGAATGTGAATTAATTACTATAAATTAGCACAGGCTCATAGACCAGGACTCAAATAAATCAAGCTGATGCAATGAGGAATTTAATAGAATATAAAATATGATCCGCAATGGTAGTATGTATGGTATTTGTTTGGCTCCTGATTTTATATCATGATTTTATGATATAAAGGCCTGGAAGGGCTGGTTAAAAAGTTTTGAACTTGTGTGAATTTTTGCTGAGTTGAAGTTTCTGGACTAATTCACAATGGCTTCTACTAGAACATTCTTTCTGGAGTATAATGATGTTTGCAGATAAATACTGCTTCTCCTTACACTTGTGAATGCTAGTAAGCCTGACAAGAGAGTCCCTTATTTAGGTGCCTATCATAGTATACCAAATGTCATTCTAGAAACCCTGGGTACTCTATAAAAGCCTTATGTCCCTCAAAATGTCAGGAGATTCTGTGTGGGATTAATTGAATTAAGCATGAGGCTAAAGACAGCTATTTGATACTAAAATTGAAGTAAATATTAAGGACTATTTTTCTCCTTTATTAATCTTTGTTCCCTGCATTCTCAGGGAAGCCAAACACATCCCTCACAGGGTCAGGTACTATTTTATAAGGTAAGAGTAGAGGGAAAATATGTATAGATTGAGGCTTGGAGTCATGAGAATAAAATTGCAATGCGAGGCAGAGGTAGTGAACCTTTATTTTCCTCTGCGTTTTGTTAGCAGCAAGTTGTCAAGGGGCACGTTCAAGACACATTAGTTTGAGAAAGAACAAATCAGACGAAAAGATCTAGTGTCAGATATAAATTAAAAGCTGTTTCTGTAAGTTTTAAGTGTCTTTCTCTCTCTTATAAGGAAGATTGTAGATTATTATTTTTTAACTCAAATCTGAAGTTTGGCATTTGTGTCTCTGAAATCCCAGATCATTTATTATAACTTTTCTTTTTTGAGGTATTAGAATAAAGCTCTGAAGGACAGTGATAATGCAGGTGCTGTCTAAGCCTCTGGGGACTGGGAATAGTATGGAGTGATTTAGGGGCAACCAGACAATGCTTCATTACCTGAGAAACTGACCCTTCTCCGATCTGCTGTAAATGAGATCCGAAAACTTTCTCCATCCTATTATCTTGTCAATTCCTAGCATCAGTTTCTAACAAGAGAGTTGAAATGCAATATAGCTTTAGTTGGGAAAAAAAAGTACTTAGGATTTAGTGGACTGTAACTTGGCTGCAAATCCAAATGGATAATATTTAGCTTGTAATATGATTTTCTTCATGCAGATTGCAGTGTTTAGATCTTGTAATGAAACCCATGTTTCTTTGTATCAGTGATTCTCAAATGGAAAACATTGGAGAAATGCAAGATGGACTTAAAAGGGGTATCTCTGGCACACCTATGTATGAACATCGACCTTTTCCAGTGTGAAAATTGAATATTTTCTTTCATGGAAATTAATCTTATTTTGTCACTTGTATCTATTTACTGTACTGTGCTGTTTGGAAGCTTGTGCTATCAAACTTCTGCTTCTCCTTGTCATAAAATTTATCTGTGCATTCAAAGAAGCAGCTTTTTTTCCTTTTTTTTTTGTGTGTGTGGATGGTTGGGTGAGATAGTTCTATTTAGAAAGAATGAAAAAGAAAAAGAAAAAGAAAAGATTTCATGTATACTTATCACATACTGATTTTGTTAGACTTTTGGTTGTGAAGAATTCAGCCTGAAAGAAACTGGGATCAATTATAGGAAGTATGTATTGGTGAAGAGGAACTAAAACAGCTCAAATTTCCAGCTTCTTTCTCCATCTTTTTCAGGGTCTCTCCCATAGCATCTCTGAATTGGTTCTGTGTCTGAGCCATTCTTTCTCTGCCAATTTCCCTTGCTTATTCAGATCTTTAATTTCTTTATAGTTCTGGCTGGCATAGAGCTCACTGACATTGTCCTGCCTGACTGCTTTTAGCTTCAGCTCTTAAAAATTGCTCCATCTCCTTGTGTTTCTGCATTCTTCAGATTCCTAAGAATAAGAATCTTATTGTCTTAGCCCGCCTTTGTATTCCATATCATGCCATAAGTCATTGGCCTTCCAGTTCATGGTATGGTAGATTGCAAAGAGTCATAATTCCCCATCCCTCCCTGTAGCCACACCTTTGCAGTATAGCTTTGCAGCTCCTGTCACTAAGAAATGGAGTCTATTTCTCTATCCTTGAATCTGGGCCAGCCTAATGACTCGCTTTGGCCAATATAATGGAGCAGAGATGATGTGCAGTTGTTGCTTGGTCCTCTGGAGGCTTTGAGCACTTGGAAACAGGCTATGCGAATATGCTTGGGCTAGGCTTCTTGGAGAGACCAGATGAACAGAGATAAGCAGTCCCTGCTGAGTCATCTTAGACTAGGCAGCCCCCAGACACCTGGCAGCTGACAGCAAAATGCATGAGTGAGCCCAACCAAGATCAGCTAACCCTGGTCCAGGTCAGTTAGGTCAACCCGTTAGTCCAGCACAAATAATTACTGCCCCATATAATCATGAGCTAAATTAATGGCTGTTGTTTAAAACCACTAAGTTTTAAGGTGCTAATCTACTACGTTTGGTCAAATCAGCCATGCTAAGTATTTTGCTGGCATTATGGTACAAAATATGGTTGCCTGCCTTTCTCAGTGGCTATGGGCAAGGCCGTTTTATTTAGAAATCCATGTTTGCTTTTGTTTATTCAACAAATACTGAGTGCCTAAAAAGTGTCAGGAACTGGGCAACAGAAATCAAGGGTGATCAAAAATATACATTGTCCTTGCTGTCAAGGAGTTAATAGTGTTAAATTTGATACTAAATGGAATTTTTGCTTAGCACAGGAGGTAGATGTTAATCACACAACGACTCCAAAAAAGTATTTAATTACAAACCTGAGTTGGGCTTTTAAGTGAAGACATATATTTTTATTAGAGCAACAGCAAAGACCTAGATTGTGTCTTGAAGGCTTACTGAGTATGTGGTGCTTAAGCCAAGATCCCAAAATGAGAAAGGTTAATTAGGGAAGTAAGTTTGGAGAGGGGATTGTGGATGAAAGACTGTAGACCTGTGAGAAAATAATGTCTATTGTTTAAGCCAACCAGACTGTGATATTTTGTTACAATAGCCTCAGCAAACAAATATAGCCCCCAAACAGTCATAGTAGATGAACATGAACAATGGATGGGAGGAAGTCATGGTGAGCAATGGAGATGTTTGATTTGATTGTAGAAGTAGTGCAGTTTCTGTGATGACAAGATACAAGGCGTGACTTTGGGGAGGATTGGTTTCATTAATATCCTTAATTTTAGTAGAATAAAGTATCTGGCTATTATTAAAGGCTTTTCCCCTCTAGTTCTACATTTTCATGTCTTGGCTACATTTTTCTTGGACTTTGTGGTCTAAGGCAGTAGTTCCCAAGCCTGGCTATCCATTATAATCATTTAAACAAAGGCAAATTTCTCATGTCGCAGCTCTGGAGAATCTGATTCATTAAATCTCTGTTTGAGTACAAGAACCTGTATATTTAATTGCTATATATGAGACCATGGGTCCACAGTGGTTTTTTATTTACACTGTGGAATTAGAGGTTATGTGAGTATAGGTTTATTGAGGGTGACTTTGCTCAGAAATTCCAGGCATGCTTCGCTCTTTAGATCATCTACAATATGCCTCTTAACCACATCTCCAATCTTGGCTCACACTTCCCTCATGAGACACTCATAGTTAATACTTACTGAGAACCCATTTTATTCAAGGCATTTTGCTAAGTGATCTGGTTTAATATTCGTTATACTTTGATGAAAGCATAGATAAGAATTCTGAGGCTCAGTAAGGTTAGAAATCACCTAAGATGGCAGAGATTGAGCTGAACTCAAACCAATGAGACCATGCCCTGAAACATCGTTGTATGAAATCTCAGCTCTAAATGCACTGGTATAACTGTTGCCATTTCTGGACATGCCACGTGAAATTTTTCCTTTGCTCATACTATTCATGCAGTTTGGAATTGATTCCCCAATTTTTTCCATTTATTTAAGTGTTAACCACCAAAGACCACCTCTTTCACAAAGTACTTCAGCCATCACAGATAAGAATGATTTTTATTTACTTATTTATTCATTTTTAATGAAGAAAAGAGGTTTATTTAGCTCATAATTCTTCTGGCTGAGAAGTTTAAGGGCATAGCCTTGGCTTCTGGTGAGGGCTTTTGTGCCAAGTTACAACATGGCAGAGAAGGTCAAAGGGAAGTGGACATGAGTGAAGAGGGGGAGAGCCGAGGAGTCTCCTGGCTTTATAGCAACTCACTCTGATGGGAACTAATCCATTCCTATGGGAACTAATCCAGTCTCAGAGAGCCAGAACTCACTAACCTGAGAGCAGCACCAAGCCATTCCTGAGGGATCTGGAGCCCAAACACCTCCCACAAAGCCCCCCACTTCCCAAATGCTACCACACTGGGGATCCAATTTCAACATGAGCTTTTGTGGGGATAAACAAACCATATCCAGACTGTGGCACCAGCCACCCCTGCCCAACTCAGCTCGTAGGTGGCATGAGGACAGGAGATCTTTGGAGTCTGTGGTCTTTCACCCTGTGAGTTTCCAGATAAACATTATTCTTCATGTATACCTCATGGCCCCAGTAATGGGTGGATCTATGACCCTTTTCCACGAATGACTCACAGAGAGAGGTTCATGAACTTACCCAAGGTCTCACAGCTAACAAATGGGATTTGAATGTAGGTTCCAAATGTCAAATTTCCTCATTCTTTTTTTTTTTTTTTTTTAAGACGGAGTCTCGCTCTGTTGCCAGGCTGGAGTGCAGTGGCACAGTCTCGGCTCACTGCAACCTCAGCTTGCTGCAACCTCTGCTCCCCGGGTTCAAGCGATTCTCCTGCCTCAGCCTCCTGAGTAGCTGGGACTACAGGCACACACCACCACGCCCAGCTAATACATATTTTTTAAATTATACTTTAAGTTCTGGGTTACACGTGCAGAACATGCAGGTTTGTTACATAGGTATACACGTGCCCTGGTGGTTTGCTGCACCCATCAACCTGTCACCTACATTAGGTATTTCTGCTAATGTCATCCCTCCCCTAGGCCCCCAGCCCCCGATAGGCTCCGGTATGTGATGTTCTCCTCCCTGTGTCCCTGTGTTCTCATTGTTCAGCTCCCACTTATGAGTGAGAACATGCGGCGTTTGGTTTTCTGGTCTTGTGACAGTTTGCTGAGAATCATGGTTTCCAGCTTCATCCATGTTCCTGTAAAGGACATGAACTCATCCTTTTTTATAGCTACATAGTATTTCATGGTGTATATGTGCCACATTTTCTTAATCCAGTCTATCATTGATGGGCATTTCAGTTGGTTCCAAGTGTTTGCTATTGTGAATAGTGCCACAATAAACATATGTGTGCATATGTTTTTATCATAGAACAATTTATAATCCTTTGGGATTCTGCCCAGTAATGGGATTGCTGGGTCAAATGGTATTTTCAGTTCTAGATCCTTGGGGAATGGCTGCACTGTCTTCCACAATGGTTGAACTAATTTACACTCCTGCTACAGTGGAAAAGCATTTCTATTTTTCCACAACCTCTCCAACATTTGTTGTTTCCTGACTTTTTGATGATTGCCATTCTAACTGGCGTGAGATGGTATCTCATTGTGATTTTGATTTGCCCGTTTTTTGATGGGGTTGATTGTTTTTTCTTGTAAATTTGTTTAAGTTCCTTGTAGATTCTGGATATCAGCCCTTTGTCTGATGGATAGATTGCAAAAATTTTCTCCCATTCTGTAGGTTGCCTGTTCACTCTGATGATTTTTGTAAAAGGTGTAAGGAAGGGGTCCAGTTTTAGTTTTCTGCATATGGCTAGCCAGTTTTCCCAACACTATTTATTAAATAGGGAATATTTTCCTCATTGCCTGTGTGTGTCAGGTTTGTCAAAGATCAGATGGTTGTAGCTGTCTGGTGTTATTTCTGAGGCCTCTGTTCTGTTCCATTGGTCTATAAATCTGTTTTGGTACCAGTACCATGCTGTTTTGGTTACTGTAGCCTTGTAGTATAGTTTGAAGTTAGGTAGCATGATGCCTCCAGCTTTGTTCTTCTTGCCCAGGATTGTCTTGAATATGCAGGCTGTTTTTTTTTTTTTTTGGCTCCATATGAAATTTAAAGTAGTTTTTTCCAATTCTGTGAAGAAAGTCAGTGGTAGCTTGATGGAGATAGCATTGAATCTGTAAATTACTTTGGGCAGTATGGCCATTTTCACGATATTGATTCTTCCTATCCATGAGCATGGGATGTTTTTACATTTGTTTGTGTCCTCTCTTATGGCCTTGAGCAGTGGTTTGTAGTTCTCCTTGAAGAGGTCCTTTACATCCCTTATAAGTTGTATTCCCAGGTATTTTATTCTCTTAGTAGCAATTGTGAATGGAAGTTCACTCATGATGTGGCTCTCTGTCTGTTATTGGTGTATAAGAATGCTTGTGAGTTTTGGCCAGGTGCGGTGGCTCACGCCTGTAATCCCAGCACTTTGGGAGGCCAAGGCGGGCGGATCACAAGGTCGGGAGTTTGAGACCATCCTGGCTAACACGGTGAAACCCTGTCTCTACTAAAAATACAAAAAATTAGGCAGGCATGGTGGTGGGTGCCTGTGGTCCCAGCTACTTGGGAGGCTGAGGCAGGAGAATGGCATGAACCCAGGAGGCGGAGCTTGCGGTGAGCCGAGATCGCGCCACTGCACTCCAGCCTGGGTGACAGAGTGAGACGCCATCTCAAAAAAAAAAAAAAAAAAAAAAAAAAGGAATGCTTGTGAGTTTTGCACATTGATTTTTATCCTGAGACTTTGCTGAAGTTGCTTATCAGTTTAAGGAGGTCTCAGGCTGAGACGATGGGGTTTTCTAAATACACAATCATGTCATCTGCAAACAGAGACAATTTGACTTCCTCACTTCCTATTTGAATACCCTTTATTTCTTTCTCTTGCGTGATTGTCCTGGCCAGAACTTCCAATACTATGTTGAATAGGAGTGGTGAGAGAGGGCATCCTTGTCTTGTCCAGTTTTTAAAAGGAATGCTTCCAGTTTTTGCGCATTCAGAATGATATTGCCTGTGGGTTTGTCATAAATAGCTTATTATTTTGAGATGTGTTCCATCAATGCCCAATTTATGAGAGTTTTTAGCATGAGGAGGTGTTGAATTTTATCGAAGGCTTTTCTGCATCTATTGAGATAATCATGTCGTTTTTGTTGTTGGTTCTGTTTATGTGATGGATTACGTTTATTGATTTGCATATGTTGAACCAGCCTTGCATCCTAGGGATGAAGCCCACTTGATCATGGTGGATAAGCTTTGTGATGTGCTACTGGATTCAGTTTACCAGTATTTTATTGAGGATTTTCGCATCGATGTTCATCAGGGATATTGGTCTGAAATTTTCTTTTTTTGTTGTGTCTCTGCCAGATTTTGGTATCAGGATGATGCTGGCCTCATAAAATGAGTTAGGGAGGATTCCCTCTTTTTCTATTGATTGGAATAGTTTCAGAAGGAGTGGTACCAGCTCCTCTTTGTACCTCCGGGAGAATTTGGCTGTGAATCCATCTGGTCCTGGACTTTTTTTGGTTGGTAGCCTATTAATTACTGCCTAAATTTCAGGACCTGTTATTGGTCTATTCAGGGATTCAACTTCTTCCTGGCTTAGACTTGGGAGGGTGTATGTATCCAGGAATTTATCCATTTTTTCTAGATTTTCTAGTTTATTTGCATAGAGGTGTTTATAGTATTCTCTGATAGTAGTTTGTGTTTCTGTGGGATCAGTGGTGATATCCCCTATATCATATTTTATTGTGTCTATCTGATTCTTCTCTCTTTTCTTCTTTATTAGTCTTGCTAGCAGTCTATCTATTTTGATCTTTTCAAAAAACCAGCTCCTGGATTCATTGATTTTTTGAAAGGATTTTCCTGTCTCTATCTCCTTCTGTTCTGCTCTGATCTTAGTTATTTCATGTCTTCTGCTAGCATTTGAATTTGTTTGCTGTTGCTTCTCTAGTTCTTTTAATTGTGATGTTAGGATGTCAATTTTAGATCTTTCCTGCTTTCTCTGTGGCATTTAGTGCTATAAATTTCCCTCTACACACTGCTTTAAATGTGTCCCAGAGAGTCTGGTATGTTGTATCTTCGTTCACATTGGTTTCTAAGAACATCTTTATTTCTGCCTTCATCCTGTTATTTACCCAGTAGTCATTCAGGAGCAGGTTGTTCGGTTTCCATGTAGTTGTGTAGCTTTGAGTGAGTTTCTTAACCCTGAGTTCTAGTTTGATTGCACTGTGGTCTGAGAGACAGTTTCTTATAATTTCTGTTCTTTTACATTTGCTGAGGAGTGTTTTACTTCCAATTATGTGGTCAATTTTAGAATAAGTGCTATGAGGTGCTGAGAAGAATGTATATTCTGTTGATTTGGGGTGAAGAGTTCTATAGAGGTCTATTAGGTCCTCTTGGTCCAGAGCTAAGTTCAAGTCCTGAATATCCTTGTTAATTTTCTGCCTTGTTGATTTGTCTAATATTGACAGTGGGGTGTTAAAGTCTTCCACTATTATTGTGTGGGAGTCTAAGTCTCTTTATAGGTCTCTAAGAACTTGCTTTATGAATCTGGGTGTTCCTGTGTTGAGTGCACATATATTTAGGATAGTTAGCTCTTCTTGCTGCATTGTTCCCTTTACCATTATGTAATGCCCTTCTTTGTCTCTTTTGATATTTGTTGGTTTAAAGTCTGTTTTATCAGAGATTAGAATTGCAACTCATGCTTTTTTTTTTTTTTTTGCTTTCCATTTGCTTGGTGAATATTCCTCCATCCATTTATTTTGAGCCTATTTGTGTCTTTGCATGTGAGATGGGTCTCCTGAATACAGCACACTGATGGATGTTGCCTCTTTATCCAGTTGGCCAGTCTGTGTCTTTCAATTGGGGCATTTAGCCCGTTTACATTTAAGGTTAATATTGTTATGTGTGAATTTGATCCTGTCATTATGCTGCTAGCTGGTTGTTTTGCCCGTTAGTTAATGCAGTTTCATCATAGTGTTGATGTTCTTTACAATTTGCTATGTTTTTGCAGTGGCTGATACTGGTTGTTCCTTTCCATGTTTAGTGCTTCCTTCAGGAGCTCTTGTAAGGCAGGTCTGGTGGTGACAAAATCCCTCAGCATTTGCTTGTCTGTAAAGGATTTTATTTCTCATTTGCTTATGAAGCTTAGTTTGGCTGGATATGAAATTCTGGGTTGAAAATTCTTTTCTTTAAGAACGTTGAATTTTGGCCCCCACTCCCTTCTGGCTTGTAGGGTTTCTACAGAGAGAGCCACTGTCAGTCTGATGGGCTTCCCTTTGTGGGTAATCCATCCTTTACCTCTGGCTGCCCTTAACATTTTTTCCTTCCTTTCAACCTTGGTGAATCTGAAGATTATGTGTCTTGGGGTTGCTCTTCTCGAGGAATGTGTTTGTGGTGTTCTCTGTATTTCCTGAATTTGAATGTTGGCCTCTCTTGCTAGGTTGGGGAAGTTCTCCTGGGTAATATCCTGAAGAGTATTTTCCAACTTGGTTTCATTCTCCCTGTCACTTTCAGGTATGCCAGTCAAACATAGATGTGGTCTTTTCACATAGTCCCATATTTCTTGGAGGCTTTGTTCATTCCTTTTTATTCTTTTTTCTCCAATCTTGTCTTCTGTCTTTATTTCATTAAGTTGATCTTCAGTCACTGATATCCTTTCTTCCGCTTGATCGATTCGGCTATTGAAACTTGTGTATGCTTCACAAAGTTCTTGTGCTGTGTTTTTCAGCACCATCAGGTCATTTATGTTCTTCTCTACATGGATTATTCTAGTTAGCAATTCGATTAACATTTTTTCAAGGTTCTTAGCTTCCTTGCATTGGGTTAGATCATGCTCCTTTAGCTGGGAGAAGTTTGTTATTACCCACCTTCTGAAGCCTACTTTTGTCAGTTCATCAAACTCATTCTCTGTCCAGTTTTGTTCCCTTGCTGGCAAGGAGTTGTGATCTTTTGGAGGAGGAAAGGTATTTGGGTTTTTGGAATTTTCAGTCTTTTTGCGCTGGTTTTTCCCCATCTTTGTGGATTTATCTACCTTTGGTCTTGATGTTGGTGATCTTTGGATGGGGTCTTTGAGTGGACAAGCTAATCCTTTCTGTTTGTTTCTTTTCCTTCAAACAGTCAGGCCCCTCTGCTGCCAGTGTGCTGGAGTTTGCTGGAGGTCCACTCCTGACCCTGTTTGCCTGGGTATCACCAGCAGAGGCTGCAGAGCAGCAAAGATTGCAGCCTATTCTTTCCTCTGGAAGCTTCAACCCAGCAGGGCATCTGCCAGATGCCAGCCAGATCTCTCCTGTGTGAGGCGTCTGTTGGCCCCAACTGGGAGGTATCTCCCAGTCAGTATACATGGGGGTCAGGGACCCACTTGAGGAGGCAGACTGTCCCTCAGCAGAGTTCGAACGCTGTGATGAGAGGTCCACTGCTCTCCTCAGAGAATAATGATCTTTAATAATTACTGTATATGCCATGAATTAGAGCTTTCTGGGAAGCAATATCATCTTTTCAGATTCAAAAGTAAGCTTTTGAATTCTTTTTTGAATCTGAAAACCTAGTCAGCTTTTTGTATAGAGTTTCTCTGGAAATGTTGAAATGTGAATAGTGAGTGATAAGGATTATAAGAATGAAAACTTATTACAGAATGTTAAAATCTGGGGTGTCTGGTCAGTTGTTCGTTTTCACTCTCTTATTTTCTTTTGCTTTTTTTTTGGTGTGTGTAAACATCACATAAATTTTACAGAATCAACAACAATAGCATATGAAGATCTTAAATTATTAGGACATATTTAAATAAATGTTAAAAAATTATTTTAGCTAACGTTTCCCTCACATTACCTTCCAGTCTTTAAGTATATGCTTAGACTGTAAACAGTAAAACTCAAGAAGTCTCACGTTTGTTTAATGAAAATATCAATACAGATGAAGTGTTCATGATATTTCCAAAAAATAATTTAAAATCCTTTGTGTATTAAGGAAAAGTAGTTCATGTCTTTTATTTTGTGTCAAAAATGTCACTAAATTTGTGACCTCTGTTGTGGAAATCTCCTGAAATTTACTTAGCAAACTGCAGTTTTACTTCCAAGGTTATATTGATTTCATAGCATTTTGTAGTTGGCACATCTTGACATGAACCATAAAGGGTATTTTGAATTCTCAGTGCATTTTAGTAGATCTTTGAATCAATTACTACTAATATGATGAGAAATTCAGAGTTTTCAACCACAAGTACTATATTCAGAACTTCAACTTGACAGCATGTGAGATTCGAAAATAGATGAATTGAATTGAACCCAGGTTTTCTGACTCCTAAATCAGGTTTCCATTCCAGCAAACAGTTCTGCTTAATAGATGATAATTTACTTTGATCCCCATAAGTTAAGTGAATTGGAGATTATAACAGTAGCACTTTAGCTCATATTTACATGCTTATGTTAGAAGGAAATTTGAGATGAGAAAGAGGGTTGCTGTGGTTAGTGTAAGGGCGTCTTAATGGGAGATAAGATTCAGAAAAGTTTGAGAGAATTTTGATTGTTTACACATTAATGCAAATTTGTGTATGGGTCCATGTCCATTTTTATTTTTTATTTTTTTGCCTATCAAATTGTTTTTCTTGTTCTTCCTTTCTGTTATTTCTTGCTCTGTTCTTCCTTCTCGATTTTCTCCTTCCCTCTTTATCCTATTACTTACAAACTGAAGCATTTTTTGCTTGTTGAATTTAATGGATAAACTGCCTCACTTGAATTATAGTTAAACAGCAAATTCATGAAGACCTATTTGCCTCTCTCAAAAGAGAAATGTAATTTCTCTTTTTAAAAGAGTGTGTAGTTCAGTGGATTTTTGTATATTCAGAGTTGTGCAACCATTACCATTATTTAATTGCTGAACATTTTCATCACCTTAAAAAGAAACTCTATCTGATATTATCCAGCAATTCCACTTCAGGTCATATCCAAATGAACTGAAAGCAGGGTCTTGAAGAAATATTTGTGTACCCATATTCACAGTAGCATTATTCACAAGAGCCAAAAGGTAGAAGCAACCCAAGTGTCCATCGTTAGATTAACGGATAAACTAAAGGTGGTATATGATACAATAAAATATTATTCCACCTTAGGAAGGAATTTCTGACATATGCTAAAACACGGATGAACTTTGAGGAAATTATGCTAAATGAAATAAGCTGTCTCACAAAAAAAATACACTATGATTTCACTTATATGAGATAGCTAGAGTAGTTAAATTCATAGGGACAAAAAGTTGAATGGTGGTTGCCAGGGGCTGGGCTGGTGGGAGGTGGAAGTTGGAAGTTAGCATTAAATGGGAACAGAGTTTTCGGTTTTCAAGACAAAATGAGTTCTGGAGGTGGATGTTGATGATGGTTGCACAATAATGTGAATATATTTAATACCATTGAACTGTAGACTTTAAAATGGTTAAGATGGTACATTTTATATGCTCGTATTTTTTTACAATTAAAAAAAAAGAACCTTTGTCTATACACATTAGCATCACTTTCCATTGTCTCTTTCTCCAGCCTCCAGCAACCACTAATCTACTTTCTATCTCTACATGTTTGCCTATTCTGGACACTTCATATAAATGGAATCATTCACTATGTGGCCATTTATGCTTGGCTTCTTTCACTGAGCATGTTTTCAAGATTCATTCATGTTGTACCATGAATCAATACTTTATTCCTCTTTTTTTTTTTTTTTTTTTTGAGGAAGGGCGTTTGGCCCTACCCTCCAGCCCCCAGTACTTCATTCCTTTTTATGACTAAATTATTTATTTTATATGAATGTGCCATGTATTATTTATCCATTTATCAGTTGATGAATACTTAAGTTGTTTCTAATTTTTCTTGATTGTGAATAATGCTGATATGAACATCTGTGTACAAGTCTTTGTGTGAGTGTTTTCATTTCTACTGTGTATGAAGTATATCTTATGGTTTTTATTTGCATTTCCATAATGACTAATGATCTTGAACATCTTGTAATTTGCTTCTTGGTTAGTTGTATAACTTCTTTGGAGAAGTGTTCTTCAAATTTTTTTGCCCATTTTTTTCTTATTGAGTTGTTTGAGTTCTTTATATATTCTTACATTCTAGGTGTAAGACTTTTATTGGATATGTGTATGACTTGCAATATTTTCTCCAATGTTTTGGGTTGTCTTTTCATTTTCTTAATGATTTTGTCATTTGTCATATCTAAGAAACCATTGTCTAACACAAGGTCACAAATATTTACTCCAATGTTTTCATCTAAGACTTATAAAGTATTAGCACTTACATTTAGGTCTACAATTCATTTCGAGTTAATTTTTGTGTATGGTGTGATTTAGGAGTCCAAATTATTACTATTATTATTTTGCATATGCATATCCAATTGTCCAAGCACCATGTATTGAAATGACTATCCTTTTTTCATTGAATTTTTTGGTACCTTTGTTAAAAAACAATTGACCATAGAAGTAAGGGTTTATTTCTGGATTACCAATTATATAACATTGATATATATGTCTGTCCCTATGCCAGTACCACACTTTCTTGGCTACTTTATAGTATGTTTTGAAATCAGAAGTATGAGCCTTACAATTTTATTCTTCTTTTTCAAGATTGTTTATTTTGGGTTCTTTGTATTTCCACATGAATTTTTGGATCACTTTGTCAATATCTGCATGTAAGCCAGCAGGGATTTTGATAAATTGTGTTGACCTTATAGATTAATTTGGAAAGTATTGAATTTTTAACAATATGTGTTTCCTGAGTCATGAGCATAAATTGTCTTTCCATTTGTTTAAGATTTTAAAATTTTGTTCAGTGATGTTTTATCTTTTTTGACATACAACTCTTACGTATTTTTGGTTAAATTTAATACTAAGAATTATGTTCTTTTTGATGCTATTGAGAGTGGAATTATTTCCTTAGTTTCATTTTCAGACTCTTCACTGGCAGTGTATAGAAATGCAATTGATTTTTGTGTGGTTATGTACTGTGACCTTGATGAAGTCATTTATTAATTCTAGTGAATTCATTAGGATTCTTCTTCTTCTTCCTCCTCCTCCTCCCCCTCCTCCTCCTCCCCCTCCTTCTCCCCCTCCTCCTCCTGCCCCTCCTCCTCCTGCCCCTCCTCCTCCTGCCCCTCCTCCTCCTCCTCCTCCTCTCCTCTCTCTTTTTAGAGATAAGAACTTGCTCTGTCATCGAGGCTAGAGTGCAGTGGTGCAATCATAGCTCACTGCAGCACTGAACTCCTGGCTCAAGTGATTTTCCCACCTGAGCCTCCCAAGTAGCTGGAATTATAGGTGTGTGCCATCGTGCCTGTTATTTTTTAAAAATTTTTTAAAGAGATATGGGTCTCACTAAGTTGCCCAGGCTAGTCTTGAA
This sequence comes from Homo sapiens, assembly GCF_000001405.40. Lineage (NCBI taxonomy): Eukaryota > Metazoa > Chordata > Mammalia > Primates > Hominidae > Homo > Homo sapiens. The sequence goes on along the minus strand of NC_000014.9, from coordinate 44,689,574 downwards.
CTCCTGGCCTCATGCTATTCTTGAGGGATTACAAGTAGCTGGGATTACAAGTGTGTGTACTACACTTGGGCAGGATTTTCTATATACAAACCATATTGTCTTTGAATAAAGAGGTTTACTTCTTCCTTTCAAATCTGGATGTCTTTTATTTCTTTTATTTGCTTAATTGCCCTGGCTTCAACTTCTAGCACAATATTGAATAGAAGTGGTGATAGTGGACTTAGCCCCTTTTATTCAACGAGGAAAACTGAATCTAACAATCAGGAAGTATTAATACAGACATACTGGGCATTATAATGCAGTGGTTAAGAGAAGGTACTTATTGCTATAATCCTTAGTTATATCATGTATAATATGTGAATTATAATACTATCTAACTCACAGGTTTCAGTGAACTAATATATATAAAGTGTTTAGCAGAGTGTCTAATGTTACTCCAGTAACATTAAAGAAATGGAACCCACTATTATTATTATCCTACTATATAACTTCTTAAAACAATCAAAGTATTAACAGCAGCATATCTTTCTATGCTTTCTAGAATTATCTCCTCTTCAACCCTGTCCTGGGGATTTTTGGTTACTTATTTATATTAATATTCTTCTTCTTCTTTTGGTACCTTACTCTCCATTACCTACCTCAACAATAAATGGATTAAATAGTAAAGTGTTGAATGTCAGTAGCATTGCATACATTTTTACTTAATTTTGTCATTGCTTTAGACAGGTGAGGATATTAAATATTGGATATTTTCCTGTTTGGTTCACATCTTTCACATGGCAAGGATCATAGATATTTTAAGAGAAGCTAAAAGATTATTTAGTATTTTATTGATCCTTTAAATGCTCTTTCTAGACAATATTTTTCAGTTATGTGACTGCAAGTGCCATGTATTTGTCAAGGTCTCCACGATCTCTATTTCTAGCCATACTCCCTCCATTTTTTCAGCTCTCCACATCTGTCCCCTGAATTTACAATTCCTTCAATGAATATCCTAATGTTTTGTCAACTAATGTCCCTAGAATTCTTCTCTTTCAAAATACACTTTTTTTTTTTTCCAATTTTGCTTCTGGAATCCCCATGTCAAAGGTAGTTAATTCATGTAGCTGTTTAAGTTGGAAAGCATGGGATCACTCTCTCCCTCATTATTTATGCTTAGTTACTCACTAACTCATTATTACTTTGAAATCTATACTGTAAATATCTTTTGAATTTGTCCCCACTTTTCCTCCTACACTGCCTTGGCAACAACTGCTATTTTTATTTATATCTTTATTAGGGCTAGTTTAATTGTTTCCCTAGCTCCAGTATCTTTTCATACAGTCCATTTTCCACACTGGTCATAATGCTCATCTTTCTAACTATGTGACTTATCATGTGCCTTCACTGCTCAGACACTTTGAGTGTCTTCTCATCACCTGGATAAAGCCCAAATCTCCTCCAAACTTCTTAGTGTAGCTACAAGGCCCTACATGATCTGTGCCAGATCTGCTTTTCTAACGTCTTTTCTGCCAACCTCTTGAACAAAGTCTCACCTTTGCCATTACTTTATAAGAAAGGATGAAGTGTTAGATAGTGTTTCACATGTTTTACCTGAGTTGCTCATAATTCTTAGAACATGCCATAATTTTTTATGCCTCTGTGTGGGGCATGTTATATACTATTGAAATCTTCCTTGTTTTCTGTGTGTTATTGTGGTGTTCCTCATGCTATGCTTTTAAGACTTCTAATGCTATTCCTGTCTCTTATAGCCTATCAGAGTAACTTTTATTTATTTTTTAAAAAATAAGTCTGTCTTACCCTCTAGATTATCAGTGCCTTCAGAACCAGGACTTAACCTTATTTCTGTGTTTTTTTTTTAGCCCTGTCACTGTAATGCCTGGAAAACTGACATATTAATAAATATTTGTTGAATGAATGAATAAAGGAATGAACCTAAAACACAGGGGCCACCTAGCAATTTATAGTCTACTGATTACATCGTGATAATGCTTTTTATGGTTTTAAGTGAAATGTGAACAGGGGGTTTTAAGCTCCAAAAGACTGTTACATGTATTCTTGTGATATTTGACATGTTAATCTTATGAAAATAGAATAATTACAAATGCTATTTCAAAATGGCGTAATTTCTTATCGAGGGTCACTGATAAAGGATAAAGTTGATGAGATTGTGCTGAATAATAATGTGCAAGTAACATTTGTCTGAATGATTAAGCTGTGAATTACAACAAAAAGAAGAAATACTTGATATTATGGGTTTGAGACTCTGCTTATTGATAGTACCAGCATGTAAATGTGTCTGTTCAGTGCTGCAGACTACATTTCTCGAGGATTTCACGGCTCTAGGTTGTTCATACTTACCATTAATAAAAAGAAAGTAAATTTCAGGTGAACTTCAAATACTTGATATACACCCAAATTAAGACCTATATGCACGTAAACCATGTATCTCTTTAATATTATTGAATAATGTTGCATAAATAAAGGATGCTTCACAAATGTAATAGCTACTTTGTGTGAAACATAAAAGACAACACTATATCCAGGTTTAGCTCATGATGCATGTTCAGAATCAAGAGATAAGTGATAAGATAAATAAAACTGGGTGGTGTTGTGTTAGGAATGGCCAGTTTGGAGTGAAGAACACAACATAACTACTCAAATATTATTAACTCAAATGTTTTAAGTGATATCTGAACACAAAATAAGACATAATTTTGCACAAATTTAAGTAATAACAGTGAAAGTAGATTGACTTCCCTTGCATAGGCAAATTATACTAACATAACTAATTTTGGATACGTACAGAAAGTGGACATAGGCATGGGGAAAAACTTCATGACTAAAACACCAAAAGCAATAGCAACAAAAGCCAAAATTGATAAATGGGTCATTTTTAGTTTAATTAAACTAAAGAGCTTCTGCAAAGCAAAGGAAACTATCATCAGAGGGAACAGGCAACCTACAGAATGGGAGAAAATTTTCACCATCTATCCATCTGACAAAGGTCTAACATCCAGAATCTACAAGGAACTTAAATGAATTTACAAGAAAAAAACAACCCCATCAAAAAGTGAGCAAAGGATATGAACAGACACTTCTCAAAAGAAGACATTTATACAGACAACAAACATATGAAAATAAAAGCTCATCATCACTGGTCATTAGAGAAATGCAAATCAAAACCATAGTGAGATACTATCTCTCACCAGTTAGAAAGGTGGTCATTAAAAAGTCAGGAAACAACAGATGCTGGAGAGGATGTGGAGAAATAGGAACACTTTATACTGTTGGTGGGAGTGTAAATTATTTCAACCGTTGTGGAACACATTGTGGTGATTCCTCAAGGATCTAGAACCAGAAATACCGTTTGACCCAGCAATCCCATTACTGGGTATATGCCCAAAGGATTATAAATCATCCTACTATAAAGACAAATGCACATGTATGTTTATTGCGGCACTATTCACAATAGCAAAGACTGGGAAGCAACTGAAATGCCCATCAATGATAGACTGGATAAAGAAAATGTGACACATATACATCATGGAATACTATGCAGCCATAGAAACGATGAGTTCATGTCCTTTTCAGGGACATTGATGAAGCTGGACACCATCATTTTCAGCAAACTGACACAGGAACAGAAAAACCAAACACCGCATGTTCTCACTCATAAGTGGGGGTTGAACAATGAGAACACATGGACACAGGGAAGGGAACATCAGACACCAGGGCCTGTCGTGATGTTGGGGGTTGGGGGAGGGATGGCATTAGAAATACCTAATGTAGATGACGGGTTGATGGGTGCAGCAAACCACCATGGCACGTGTATACCTATGTAACAAACCTGCACATTCTGCACATGTATCCCAGAACTTAGAGCATAATAATAAAAACAAGAAAGAAAAAGAAAGTGTGTGCCCTCAAATTTTAGGAAATATATAATTTCTGCATATTTTGATTCAAACAATATTTCCCCCTTCCTTTGTGATGAAAAGGAGGATAAGAAATATAGTAATGGACATTAACCATCTGGAGATTTATAGACAAGATCCACAGTGATGTGGAAAGAGCAAGAACTACAGCTCAGAAAATACTGACTCTGGTGTTGGCTCTCGCAGAAACTTTCCAGCTCTGGGCAAGTCTCTTGATTTCTGAGCTTTCCTCTTCACGTGAAAAGGATGTGATCATAATGCTCTCCTTCTTTCCCTTCTTCCCTCAGAGTTCTGCTGTTGAGATCAAATGAGACAATATAAATTTGTTTTCTCCTTTCTCTACCCTTTCTCTACAATGTTCAATAGGCAGAGCAAAGAGGGTATTGTGATAACCACTGTTTTCAGGGCTTGTGGAAAGAAAGTGAACTTGAGTAAACAAGTCAATGTCACATCATAAAGAAAAAACAGGAAGAAATCAAAGAGAAGAAATGTGGGGTCTCCCTAACAAAATTTAATGCTATGTGATTAAAAATTGCTTTCTTTCCAAGGCTTTATGAACCAGTGTGTTTTTTTTTAAATTTTATTATTATTATACTTTAAGTTTTAGGGTACATGTGCACAATGTGCAGGTTTGTTACGCATGTATACACGTGCCATGTTGGTGAGCTGCACCCATTAACTCGTCATTTAGCATTAGGTATATCTCCTAATGCTATCCCTCCCCGCTCCCCCCACCCCACAACCGTCCCTGGAGTGTTATGTTCCCCTTCCTGTGTCCATGTGTTCTCATTGTTCAATTCCCACCTATGAGTGAGAACATGTGGTGTTTGGTTTTTTGTCCTTGCGATAGTTTGCTGAGAATGATGGTTTCCAGTTTCGTCCATGTCCCTACCAAGGACATGAACTCATCCTTTTTTATGGCTGCATAGTATTCCATGGTGTATATGTGCCACATTTTCTTAATCCAGTCTATCGTTGTTGGACACTTGGGTTGGTTCCAAGTCTTTCCTATTGTGAATAGTGTCACAATAAACATACATGTGCATGTGTCTTTATAGCAGCATGATTTATAATCCTTTGGGTATATACCCAGTAATGGGATGGCTGGGTCAAATGGTATTTCTAGTTCTAGATCCCTGAGGAATCGCCACACTGACTTCCACAATGGTTGAACTAGTTTACAGTCCCACCAACAGTGTAAAAGTGTTCCTATTTCTCCACATCCTCTTCAGCACCTGTTGTTTCCTGACTTTTTAATGATCGCCATTCTAACTGGTGTGAGATGGTATCTCATTGTGGTTTTGATTTGCATTTCTCTGATGGCCAGTGATGATGAGCATTTTTTCATGTGTGTTTTGGCTGCATAAATGTCTTCTTTTGAGAAGTGTCTGTTCATATCCTTTGCCCACTTTTTGATGGGGTTGTTTGTTTTTTTCTTGTAAATTTGTTGGAGTTCATTGTAGATTCTGGATATTAGCCCTTTGTCAGATGAGTATGTTGCAAAAATTTTCTCCCATTTTGTAGGTTGCCTGTTCACTCTGATGGTAGTTTCTTTTGCTGTGCAGAAGCTCTTTAGTTTAATGAGATCCCATTTGTCAATTTTGGCTTTTGTTGCCATTGCTTTTGGTATTTTAGACATGAAGTCCTTGCCCATGCCTATGTCCTGAATGGTAATGCCTAGGTTTTCTTCTAGGGTTTTTATGGTTTTAGGTCTAACATGTAAGTCTTTAATCCATCTTGAATTAATTTTTGTATAAGATATAAGGAAGGGATCCAGTTTCAGCTTTCTACTTGTGGCTAGCCAGTTTTCCCAGCACCATTTATTAAATAGGGAATCCTTTCCCCATCGCTTGTTTTTGTCAGGTTTGTCAAAGATCAGATGGTTGTAGATATGTGGCGTTATTTCTGAGGGCTCTGTTCTGTTCCATTGATCTATATCTCTGTTTTGGTACCAGTACCATGGTGTTTTGGTTACTGTAGCCTTGTAGTATAGTTTGAAGTCAGGTAGCGTGGTGCCTCCAGCTTTGTTCTTTTGGCTTAGGATTGACTTGGCGATGCGGGCTCTTTTTTTGGTTTCATATGAACTTTAAAGTAGTTTTTTCCAATTCTGTGAAGAAAGTCATTGGTAGCTTGATGGGGATGGCATTGAATCTATAAATTACTTTGAGTAGTATGGCCATTTTCACGATACTGATTCTTCCTACCCATGAGCATGGAATGTTCTTCCATTTGTTTGTATCCTGTTTTATTTCATTGAGCAGTGGTTTGTAGTTCTCCTTGAAGAGGTCCTTCACATCCCTTGTAAGTTGGATTCCTAGGTATTTTATTCTCTTTGAAGCAATTGTGAATGGGAGTTCACTCATGATTTGGCTGTCTGTTAAAAACCACATGATTATCTCAATAGATGCAGAAAAGGCCTTTGACAAAATTCAACTACCCTTCGTACTAAAAACTCTCAATAAATTAGGTATTGATGGGACGTATCTCAAAACAATAAGAGCTATCTATGACAAACCCACAGCGAATATCATACTGAATGGGCAAAAACTGGAAGCATTCCCTTTGAAAACTGGTACAAGACAGGGATGCCCTCTCTCACCACTCCTATTCAACATAGTGTTGGAAGTTCTGGCCAGGGCAATTAGGCAGGAGAAGGAAATAAAGGGTATTCAGTTAGGAAAAGAGGAAGTCAAATTGTTCCTATTTGCAGATAACATGATTGTATATCTAGAAAACCCCAGTGTCTCAGCGCAAAATCTCCTTAAGCTGATAAGCAACTTCAGCAAAGTCTCAGGATACAAAATCAATGTACAAAAATCACAAGCATTCTTATACACCAATAACAGACAAACAGTGTGTCTTTTAAGTACCATTGCTGAAATAGCCTGTTTTCTTCAGTTATACTCTTAAGAAGACTTATGTTAAAAAATGATACGAGGATTTCTTACAGAACAATCACAGAATTATAAATGGGAATTGATTCTATTATAATTTCATTGATTTGGGAATTGTGAGTGAACAGCTCAAGCAGAAGATGAGAAATGGAGAGAATAAATTGAGAGTACCCTTTGAGGTTCAGTGATGTAAATCGTTCTTCCTCCCTGACCACAATATTTTGCCTTTTAAAGCATTATATCATAGAATATTAATGTCCAAATTAAGCATTTGCATCTCTTAAGCTATCAACTGGGGAACAAGTTTGGAATAGTATACATACTAAAAATTGTCCAAAAATTATTACTTAGATGGATAAAAATCAAACTCTGTTGTTTATAAAATGTGTTGGAGATATATCAAGTTTCATTCTGCAATAAATATGCTGATTTAGTCTCTTCACATCTATTAATTGGAAGAATCAGGTATGATTTCTGTGGAAAGTATATTGTAACATTACTACTATGGTTTGAATGTGTCACCCGTAAGTTCATGTGTTAGAAACTAATCTCCAATGCAGCAGTGTTGGGAGGTGGGTCCTAATAAGAGGTGATTAGATGAGGACTCTGCTCTCATGAATGTATTAATATTATTACAAGAGTGGATTCGTTATTGTTAGTAGATTTGTTATAAAAGTTAGTTCAGGGCAGGAACGGTGGCTCACACCTGTATTCCTAGCATTTTGGGAGGCTGAGGCAGGAAGATCACTTGAGGCCAGGGGTTTGAGACCAGCCTGGCCAACATGGCAAAACCCTGTTTCTACTAAAAATACAAAAATTTGCTGGGCATGGTGGCATGCACATATAGTCCCAGCTACCTGGGAGGCTGAGGTGGGAGGATCGCTTGAACCCAGGAGGTGGAGGTTGCAGTGAGCCAAGATTGTACCACAGCACTCCAACGAGAGCAAAAGAGTGAGACTCTATCTCAAAAAAGAAAAAAAAAAAGATAGTTCAGTCTCCTTGAAACAGGCCCAGTAGTCCCATACACTTTTCTTTTGGATAAACATAGACATTGGCCATTCTGCTGTTAAAGACTGAAACTTGTATTTGTTTTATTTGAGTTCCTTTCCCAGGGAAGAACTTTCATGCCTCTCAAAAAAAGTACAAAAGATCTGAAACTCACCAGATCATGGTACCAGATGTCTTCTTGCCCCTCCCTAGTTCCTGTCTTTTTACACATTGAGACATTTCTTCTCTGCTATATAAACCACTAGTTTAGTCAGTCAGGGAGATGGATTTGAGACTGAGCTCCCATCTCCTTGCCTGCAGCACCTGATTAAAGCCTTCCTCCTTGGCAATACTTGTTGTCTCAGTGATTGGCTTTCTGTGAGGTGAGCAGCAGGAACTAGACCAAACTCCTGGTGTTTCAGTAACACCCTCTTGCTCTCTTGTTCTTGCACTCTCTTGACCTTTTGCTTTCTGCCATGGGATGATGCAACATGAAGGCTGTCTTCAGATGCCAGTGTCATGCTCTTGGACTTCCCAGCTTTCAGAACTGTGAGCCAAAAAGTTTCTGTCCATTATAAATTGTCGAATTTGTGGTATTCTGTTATAGCAATACAAAAATGGACTAATATAACTGCCTTTAGTCTTGAGAAACTGTGAAACTGGGAAGTTGGGTGACTTCAAATTGGACAGACATTATTATCCATTCATTATCACAGAACAGGATAATTTAATTTGTTTTTTACTAAGTGCTTCTGTTTATCAGTGTCTAGTTGAGTATTAATGTTAAGAAAAAGAATTTTATATTAAAAGAGAGAGCCATGGATCTCTGATTGCTTTGATAATGTCAAGTGTCATAGACACTTAGATTTGGCTCTGCTCCTTGACACTTTAAATGGTTTTCAATTTTCCCCATGGTAGCATTCAAATTGATTCCTCTTTCACTTCTTTCATAATATTCTTATTTCTTATTCCAGAGAAAATTAAATACAGATACTATAAACCTCAATACTCACCAAGAGAAAGATAAAGGGAGGGAGTACAAGAGTCAGAGGATGGTCTTTAATCCTGCAATCCCTACATTGCTTGCTCAAAGGATGAAGGGTATAGGCCTTCTCGGCCCATAGACACCTGACAATCAGGTTGCCCTGCTTTGCTCAGGACCAAAAGCCAGAGACAGAAGGATGAGTAAGGCCCCACATGTACATTTTGAAGTATTTTTAATGATCATTCTCTTTACTATTTTTTTCCTTGTATACAATGTGCTATTAGAAAATGTAATTGAAAAGATATAAATGAATTCAGTTTCTTGGATTTGTTGTTGGGATGGTGTATGTAACTAAACACCATGGCTTTTCATGAATAAAATTTACAGTAGTGGTTATATTAACATTTTTCTTCAAACAAGAGAAGTTCATTTTGGATTCAAAGAATACCCATTCTGTATGGGAACAGATACTTAAAAACATAGAGTTTAATAATAGTTTAGCTATTCTTCATTCACTAAGAAGTTGATCTTAATTCAGAAAAAACTTTAAATAAATTATTTGCCCTTTTCTTTTAAAAATATTTGGCACTAAATTACTCCTACTAACATTTTTAGAAAATACAGAACAAAATAGATCCTTTGATAATTCACTTTAAAAATAGTTCACTAACTGTTACTTGTACAAATAAAGATCTTTTCACATTGAATATTTTATTCACTAAAAATATCCTCTTATAAATGAAGACTTAATAATTTTGGTTTTCAGGAGCTTGACATTTAACAGCTATTTTATAAAATCTACATTGGATTTCTATTATTTACTAATGTCATTTTTTTCCTTTTTGCTTGATACCAGTTTTCTTCCACTGCATTAGCAGTTTCAGAGAAGATGAGAATCTGCACATAATCAATTCCTTCAGAGTTTCTTTATATGCAGGATTAACTGAGACTATACAGCTTGGAGAGGCAGGGTACCATGTTAGATGCCAACAAACATTCAGTGTGTTATCACATGGAAAACAGTGAAGCTTACTAATGCAATTCCAGAAACCAGGTATAGAACCAATGGGTGGGATTTTAAAAATGGGGAGCATACATTGATTCAATATAAGAGATAAATGTTTAATAAATAGAACTGTCAAAAGGTGGAATGGACTGCCTTGGAAAATAATACATTTACCAGAACAAAATGTTGGTTAACCACTTGTTCAAATATGTAACAAATAGGGAGTAGAACTAGAGGGCCTCTAAGATGGAAAAATTCTGATATATAATTTTTTTTATTGTGAAAAGCACATCAAGAAGATAAGTGGGAGGATGTATTAAAGTTTCTTTAGAACTACCATATTATTTCTAATAAGGCAACCCTTATTACTCTCCAAGCAACATAATTAACTACTTCTTTTCATAGTTATTCTTACCCCTGTGCCTTTCCCCTATGAAAATTAGTGATTTACTTAAATTTTGATTATTTTTGAAAGTATTTACTGTATGGCTTATAATAAACATTTATCAGGAATATATCTTTTCTTAACGTTTATTTATATGTGGTGAAAATAGTGGTATATTTAACAGATTTTTAATTTACTGCCTATACCCCTACTTCCCTTCCTCCTTCTCTCACAGAGTACCACTTGCTGGACTACATGATTTGGACTACATGATTCCTGCTCCCACATCTCTGTCTGGGAACCACTACACAGATATGCTTTCTACCACAAAAATTAACCTGTCTATCCAGGCCTAGGGTTCCTAGTTTGTGCTGTGGAATAGAGTTCTCCTTATGTTAGCATGGAGAGTGGCATCCAGTTGGCATGCTTAATCTTCATTATTCATCCTAAAATGAACTTGCCAGAGGACATACCCTGACACAGTCACAGAAGTTGCAGTCAGCTCTTCCATGCAGGGGAAATACTTGACCTATATCATGTAATGGCAGATAAATTTCCTTTCAGCCACTGATAGCAATTAATTTAGTCATCACTGACAAATATTAACAAAAAGCCATCAAGAATCTTTCCAATGTGTCCAGTGAGCCAACAACAAAAACAGGGATCAAACAAATGTAACTGTCAGGATACTTCAGGAAACAAGATAATTTAGAAAGCTGTAATTAAGTTCACAGAGGGATTTGAATCATAGCTCAGATGCTGCTATTAAAAAGGAATAATCATAAAACAAAGAGTATTGAAATGAAAAAAAATGTTTTCTGAAATAAAAATAATTATCCAAAAGTAGAGCTGGAGAAAAACCAATCAAGGAAACATCCCAAATATGAGCTAAAAGCCAAAAAGTAGTAAAATATGAGATAAAAAATAGTGACGCATTGGTGATCAATATGAGTGATTCGTTATATCTGTCTAATAGAATTTTCAGTGAAAAAGAACAGAAAAAAATAAGTAAAAACAAAAGTTTTGCTGCACCTTAAAGATGACACAAACCTTTATATTAAAAAGATGGGGCTGACTGAGACTTGATGAGCTATATCTCTGTGAAATTCTAAGATACCAAAGAAAACAAGAAGATTCTAAAGAACAGGTTACCTACAAAGGAACAGGAATCAGAATGGCATCACATTGCCCCTCAAGTACACTGGATGCTGAATGACAACAGAGTAGTCCCACAGGGTTCTGAGAGGCAATGATCATCAGAAGCTTTGATACTGTTAAGTGTGAGGCAGTTTAGAGATATTTCTAGGGATATATGGGCTTAGCAAGTTTACTTTTTATGGACATTTTATTTAAAAGTTATGCAAGAATGAGTTTTAGCTAAAGAAAAACAAAGTGCAAGAAAGAGAAAATTATGAAATCTAAGAAATAGTGAACCTAATCCAGGAGGTAAGTGGAAAGAAATCTTGGGGAATCACTTGTCTGGTAGGCTTGGAAAGCAATCACTCCATGATGGAGCTAGAGGAATTGTCTTCAAAAAAGAGGTAGATGTTTTCTCTTTCTGTCTCTCTTTCTTTTTCTCTTTCTTTCTCTTTCTTTTCTTTTCTTTCTTTCTTTCTTTCTTTCTTTCTTTCTTTCTTTCTTTCTTTCTTTCTTTCTTTCCTTTCTTTCCTTCCTTCCTTCCTTTTCTTTCTCTTTCTTTCTTTTTGTTTCTTTCTTTCTTTCCTTCCTTCCTTCTTTTCTTTTCTTTCCTTTTCTCTTTCTTTCTTTCTCTTTCTTTCTCTTTCTTTCTTTCTTTCTTTCTTTCTTTCTTTCTTTCTTTCTTTCTTTCCTTCCTTCCTTCCTTCCTTCCTTCCATCCTTCCTTTTCTTTTCTCCTTCCTTCCTTCCTCTTTCTTTCTTTCTTTCTTTCTTTCTTTCTTTCTCCTTCCTTCCTTCCTTCCTTCCTTCCTTCCTTCCTTCCTTCCTTCCTTCCTTCCATCTTTCTTTCCTTCTTTCTTTCTTGAAATGATAAAAGCCAAGTGATATTTAACTGCTTCACTCAAAAGTAATGGCACCGGTGATGTCTAAAGCCTCTTCTGAGCCTCACAGTCTATGATCTTTTGGTGATGTTTACCCCACCTCTAGTTCTGCCTTATTCCCATTTTTGTGTTTTTTTTTCTATTCTTCTACCTATGAACAAAATGGTAAATGTAACTCCCGCTATTACATTTCTTATGTAGTAGTACAGGTTTACATTATAGTTGCAGAATAATTATATTATTCAAAAAATCTATTCTTCCAAGACATAAATATGTTTACTTCTTTTTGAGATTGTGTGTTATAGAAAGCAAAATGTCTTTTGGGTAAATTGTTTCAGCTGTTAGGAGTAATGTCTATATACCTCTTTTTTTTCTGTATTCTAAGTACTTTATTGAAGTTAGAGACAACATTTTTTATTAAATTTAATATTTTTTTCTCAATGACATTTAATAAGAATTATTTTATTTTATTTTATTATTATTATACTTTAAGTTTTAGGGTACATGTGCACAATGTGCAGGTTTGTTACATATGTATACATGTGCCATGCTGGTGTGCTGCACCCATTAACGGGTCATTTAGCATTAGGTATCTCTCCTAATGCTACCCCTCCCGCCTCCCCCACCCCACAACAGTCCCCAGAGTGTGATGTTCCCCTTCCTGTGTCCATGTGTTCTCATTGTTCAATTCCCACCTATGAGTGAGAACATGGCGGTGTTTGGTTTTTTATCCTTGCGATAGTTTACTGAGAATGATGATTTCCAATTTCATCCATGTCCCTACAAAGGACATGAACTCATCATTTTTTATGGCTGCATAGTATTCCATGGTGTATATGTGCCACATTTTCTTAATCCAGTCTATCGTTGTTGGACACTTGGGTTGGTTCCAAGTCTTTCCTACTGTGAATAGTGCCGCAATAAACATACATGTGCATGTGTCTTTATAGCAGCATGATTTATAGTCCTTTGGGTATATACCCAGTAATGGGATGGCTGGGTCAAATGGTATTTCTAGTTCTAGATCCCTGAGGAATCGCCACACTGACTTCCACAATGGTTGAACTAGTTTAGAGTCCCACCAACAGTGTAAAAGTGTTCCTATTTCTCCACATCCTCTCCAGCACCTGTTGTTTCCTGACTTTTTAATGATTGCCATTCTAACTGGTGTGAGATGGTATCTCATTGTGGTTTTGATTTGCATTTCTCTGATGGCCAGTGATGGTGAGCATTTTTTCATGTGTTTTTTGGCTGCATAAATGTCTTCTTTTGAGAAGTGTCTGTTCATGTCCTTTGCGCACTTTGTGATGGGGTTGATTATTTTTTTCTTGTAAATTGGTTTGAGTTCATTGTAGATTCTGGATATTAGCCCTTTGTCAGATGAGTAGGTTGCGAAAATTTTCTCCCATTTTGTAGGTTGCCTGTTCACTCTGATGGTAGTTTCTTTTGCTGTGCAGAAGCTCTTTAGTTTAATGAGATCCCGTTTGTCAATTTTGGCTTTTGTTGCCATTGCTTTTGGTGTTTTAGACATGAAGTCCTTGCCCATGCCTGTCTCCTGAATGGTAATGCCTAGGTTTTCTTCTAGGGTTTTTATGATTTTAGGTCTAATGTTTAAGTCTTTAATCCATCTTGAATTAATTTTTGTATAAGGTGTAAGGAAGGGATCCAGTTTCAGCTTTCTACATATGGCTAGCCAGTTTTCCCAGCACCATTTATTAAATAGGGAATCCATTCCCCATTGCTTGTTTTTCTCAGGTTTGTCAAAGATCAGATAGTTGTAGATACGTGGCGTTATTTCTGAGGGCTCTGTTCTGTTCCATTGATTTATATCTCTGTTTTGGTACCAGTACCATGCTGTTTTGGTTACTGTAGCCTTGTAGTATAGTTTGAAGTCAGGTAGCGTGATGCCTCCAGCTTTGTTCTTTTGGCTTAGGATTGACTTGGCGATGCGGGCTGTTTTTTGGTTCCATATGAACTTTAAAGTAGTTTTTTCCAATTCTGTGAAGAAAGTCATTGGTAGCTTGATGGGGATGGCATTGAATCTATAAATTACTTTGAGTAGTATGGCCATTTTCACGATACTGATTCTTCCTACCCATGAGCATGGAATATTCTCCCATTTGTTTGTATCCTCTTTTATTTCATTGAGCAGTGGTTTGTAGTTCTCCTTGAAGAGGTCCTTCACATCCCTTGTAAGTTGGATTCCTAGGTATTTTATTCTCTTTGAAGCAATTGTGAATGGGAGTTCACTCATGATTTGGCTCTCTGTTTGTCTGTTGTTGGTGTATAAGAATGCTTGTGATTTTTGTACATTGATTTTGTATCCTGAGACTTTGCTGAAGTTGCTTATCAGCTTAAGGAGATTTTGGGCTGAGACAATGGGGTTTTCTAGATATACAATCATGTCATCTGCAAACAGGGACAATTTGACTTCCTCTTTTCCTAATTGAATACCCTTTGTTTCCTTCTCCTGCCTAATTGCCCTGGCCAGAACTTCCAACACTATGTTGAATAGGAGTGGTGAGAGAGGGCATCCCTATCTTGTGCCACTTTTCAAAGGGAATGCTTCCAGTTTTTGCCCATTCAGTATGATATTGGCTGTGGGTTTGTCATAGATAGCTCTTATTATTTTGAGATACGTCCCATCAATACCTAATTTATTGAGAGTTTTTAGCACGAAGGGTAGTTGAATTTTGTCAAAGGCCTTTTCTGCATCTGTTGAGATAATGACATGGTTTTTTTCTTTGGTTCTGTTTCTATATACCTCTTTTAAAACCACAAAAATAATACTCTTTCTATTATTATCATACTTAAATTATTACCACACTCAAAGTGGTTTTGTGATTGTTCCATTAAATCTAGGAGATTTCTAGAGTAGTAACTTCTTTCTACTCTAGTCTTCCACTTTGTTTTGATTACTGCCTTGTTTTTCTTATTATAAAATGTCAAAATTGTTTCTAAGTGTGAAAGTAATATGATTGAAATCTTAGAAAATGAGAAATGTTTTAAACAGAGATTACTGGCTTCTGTAGTGAATATATATTTCTCTTTGTTCAGTTATATTTTTGTACTTCTTCCCATTGGCCTAGGGTACTTTGACTCTTTAGTTACCTGATAATTGTTTATAACTTTTTTTCTATTTGTTTGAGACGTTAGTAGACTTGGCAATTATCTTTCCTTATTTCGTGAAAAGTGTTCATTAAAGGTGTTAAATGATCCCTACTTTAATCTTTTCTTTATGTATCCCTAAAATAACCATATTACTCATTTCCGTATAATTGCTAGGAAGACAATTTAGCATTTGCTCCAAATACTGTCTAGCTTTTGTGGCATTGGGCACTAATACAGTTTGGCTGTGTCCCCACCAAAATCTCATTTTGCATTGTAGTTTCCATAAACCCCAGGTGTTGTGGAAGGAACCAGTGGGAGGTAATTGTATTATGGGGCTGATTACTCCCATGCTGCTGTTCTCATGTTAGCGAGTGAGGTCTCAGGAGATCATGGATGTATAAGGGACTTTTCTCCCTTTGCTCAGCACTTCCTCTTCCTGCCATCAAGTGAAGAAGAACATGTTTGCTTCCTGAGGCCTTCCAAGCCCTGCAGGACTGTGAGTCAGTTAAACCTCTTTCCTTTATAGCTTACGTAGTCTCAGGAAGTTCTTGTAGCAGCATCAGAATGGACTAGTACAGTAAATTGGTACTGGGAGTGGGGCACTACCGTAAAGATACCCCAAACTTGGAAGTGACCGGAACTGGGTAACAGGCAGAGGTTGGAACAGTTTGGAAAGCTCTGAAGACAACAGAAAGATGTGAGAAAGTTTGGAACTTCCTAGAGACTTACTGAATGGCTTTGACTAAAAGGCTGATAATGATATGGATGATGAAGTCCAGGGTGAGGTGGTCTCAGATGGAGATAAGGAACTTGTTGGGAACTGAAATAAAGGTGACTTTTGCTATGTTTTAGTAAAGAGACTGGCAGTGTTTTACCCCTGCCCTACAGATCACTGAAGAGACATAATTTAGGATATCTGGCAGAAGAAATTTCTAAGCAGCAAAGCATTCAAGATGTGAGTTGGGTGCTAGTAAAAGCATTCAGTTTCATGTATTCACAAAGATATGGTTTGGAATTAGAACTTATGTTTAAAAGGGAAGCGAAGCGTAAAAGTTTGGAAAATTTGCAGCCTAACAATGCGATAGAAAAGAAAAACCCATTTTCTGAGGAGAAATTCAAGCCTACTGTAGAAATTTGCACAAGTAACAAGGAGCCAAATGTTCTTCTCCAAGATAATGGGGAAAATGTCTCAAGGGCATGTCAGAGACCTTTGTGGGCAGCTCCTCCCATCACTGGCCTGGAGGCCTAGGAGAATAAAAATCATTTCATGGGCCAGGCCCATGTGTGCAATCTAGGGACTTGGTACCTTGTGTCCCAGCAGCTCCAGCCATGGCTAAAAGCAGCCAAGGTGTAGCTCAGGCCATGGCTCAAGAGGGTGCAAGCCCCAAGCCTTGGCAGCTTCTATGTGGTGTTGACCCTGCAGGTGCCCAGAAGTCAAGAATTGAGGTTTGGGAGCCTCTGTCTAGATTTCAGAGGATGTATGGAAAAGCTTGGATGTCCAGGCAGAATTTTGCTGCAGGGGTGTGGTCCTAATTGAGAACCTCTGCTAGGGCAGTGCAGAGGGTAAATGTGGGGTTGGAGCCCCAACATGGAGTCCCCACTGGGGCACTGCCTAGTGGAGCTATGAGAAGAGGGCCACTGTCCTCCAGACCCCAGAATGGTAGATCACCGATAGCTTGCACTGTGCACCTGGAAAAGTTGCAGACACTCAATACCAGCTCATGAAAGCAGCCGGGAAGAGGGATGTACCCTGCAAAGCCACAGGGGCACAGCTGACCAAGGCCATGGGAACCCACTTCTTGTCTCAGTGCGACCTGGATGTGAGACATGGAATCAAAGGAGATCATTTCAGAGCTTTAAGATTTGACTGCCCTGCTGGATTTTGGACTTGCATGGGCCTGTAGCCCTTTTGTTTTGGCCAATTTCTCCCATTTGGAACAGGTGTATTTACCCAATGTCTGTACTTCCATTATATCTAGGAAGTAACTAACTTGCTTTTGATTTTACAGGTTCATACATGGAAAGGACTTGCCTTGTCTCAGATAAGACTTTGGATTTGGACTTTGGGTTAATGCTGGAATGAATTAAGACTTTGGGGGACTGTTGGAAAGGCATGATTGTGTTTTGAAATGTGAGGACATGAGATTTGGGAGGGGCCAAGAGTGGAATAATATGGTTTGGCTGTGTCCCCACCCAAATCTCATCTTGAATTGTAGTTCCCATAATCCCCATGTGTCATGGGAGGGACCTGGGGGGAGGTAATTGAATCATGGGGGTGATTAACCACATGCTGCTGTTCTTGTGATAGTGAGTGAGTTCTCATGAGATATGATGGTTTTATAAGGGGCTTTTCCCCTTTTGCTCAGCACTCCTCCTTCCTGCCACCATGTGAAGAAGAATGTGTTTGCTTCCCTGTATTAGTCAGGGTTCTCTAGAGAGAACTCATAGGATATATATATATATATATATATATGTGTGTGTGTGTGTGTGTGTGTGTGTGTGTGTGTATTCAGTATTAACCATCACGAATCCACCCCTTGTCAACCTGAACCCATACACATCTCCTGAGAGCGTATATAATCTTCAAATAAAGACAATAATAAGGTCATGAGTATGCCTAAGATAATACAGCTATCCTTCATACAACTGGAAATGCACCAATCCCCAACCCAAATGCTGTTACATAGAGTTAACAATACTGAAATCCTGATATGAAGTCAACAAATATTATGTCACGTGATAAGAAAAGGAAATAAAATGAAGATATTTTCTTAGTACAAGTATTTACTTGAACAAGCATGTTTTAAACAAAAGAAGTAGGAAATATTCATGACAATTACAGTCCTCGTTTCTGCAACTGGTCACGTGGTCATAGCTGGTATTGATGACTACCTTCTTCTACTACTTATTCTGTATTCCCTTTTCCTTCAGCAAGCACCACAGAAGGTCATGGTTTTTTTCCTGGTGGAGTGAACCGAACCTTCATTCCTAAAGGGTCTGGGGCATTTGTAGTCCTGCCTGGATTGGACTCTTGTAGTTTCCCATTGACCTTAATCACAGGGCATGATAATACTAAGAGACACCCTAATGGATCTCCTGTATTCCACGCATACTCTTCCTTACCTCCATTGTGGAATAGTAGACAGATTTTATCTTGATGGTTTGGGTCAATCACCCCAGCCAACACTGTAACTCCCTTCTTAGCCTGCTAACTTAAGGGTAGGAGGAGCCCAAAGTGTCCAGGTGGCAATCTTAACTTCCAGTTTAATGGAATCATTGTTGTGTCTCCTGGTGGCAGTATTCCTCCCTCTGGAACTAAGACGTCTAGGCCAGCAGAACATAATGTTGTGGGAACAGGAAGCAAAAATTTTGCTAGTGGATCACTAGGGGTGATGGTGAGTAATGCCACTTTCACTTCCACCCCTAGATTCCTGAACCCATGAATCCTGGCTATGGGAGGAACAGTACCATATATTGGATGCTGATTCAGAGCATACACGGCCTTCTGGAGAACTTTGCCCCAGCCCTGCAAATTATTGTCTCCTAGTTGGCATTGTAATTGTGACTTCAAAAGGCCATTCCACCGTTCTATCAGATGCTTATCAGATCTATCAGATCGCACATCTGGGCGTTTTTCCTTCTATGCAAAGTGCACAACCAGATGCATCCAGGTGCTTCAGGATGATGGAGAACATGGTAAGACTAGTGAATCCCGTGACCATGAGCCCACTGCTGCACTTCTTTAGCCATAAAGTGAGTGCCTTGGTCAGAGGCAATGCTGTGTGGAATAC
The DNA here is from genome assembly GCF_000001405.40 of Homo sapiens. Classification (NCBI taxonomy): domain Eukaryota; kingdom Metazoa; phylum Chordata; class Mammalia; order Primates; family Hominidae; genus Homo; species Homo sapiens. The sequence continues at coordinate 44,670,460 of NC_000014.9, read as the reverse complement.
CATGACGGTGGATAAGGCATTCCGTGAGTCCATGGGTGGTAGTCTTGGCAGAATCATTGCATGCAGGATAGACAAACTCATATCTGGAGTAAATATCTGTTCCAGTGAGAACAAACCTCTGCCCTTTCCATGAAGAGGTCCAATATAATCAACCAGCCACCACGTAGCTGGCTGATCACCCTGAGGAATGGTGCCATATTGAGGCCTCAGTGTTGGTCTCTGCTGATGGGAAATTGGGCACTCAGCATTGGCTGTAGCCAGGTCAGCCTTGGTGAGTGGAAGTCCATATTGATGAGCCCATGCGAAACCTTCATCCCTGCCACCATGGCCACTTTGTTCATGGGCCCATTGGGTGGATGCAGAGTTGGCTGGGAAAAAAGGCTGAGTGGTATCCACAGAATGGGTCATCCTGTCCACTTGATTATTAAAATCCTCCTCTGCTGAGGTCACCCATTGGTGAGCACTCACATGGGATACAAATATCTTCACAGTTTTTGACCACTCAGAGAAGTTTATCCACATACCTATTCCCCAGATTTCTTTGTCACCAATTTTCCAATCATGCTTCTTTCAAGTTCCTGACCATCCAGCCAAACCATTGGCTACAGCCCATGAATCAGTATATAATTGCACATCTGGGCATTTTTCTATCTATGCAAAGTGCACAAACAGGTGCATTGCTCACAGTTCTGCCCACTGGGAAGATTTCTTTTCATGACTGTTCTTCAGAGATATCCTAGAAAGGGGCTGTTGTGCTGCAGCTGTCCGCTTTTGGGTGGTGCCTTCATATCACGCAGAACCATCTGTGAACCAGTCCCTAGCCTTCTCTTCCTCTGTCAACTGATCATAAAGAACTCCCCAGCTGGAAGAGAGAAAGCAGGGTGGCAGGAGTGGAGACCATGGGCATTTGAGCCACTTCCTCACGTAACTTAACTTGTGCCTTCAGGACCTGCTCAAGTCCATCATGTATATACCACTTCCATTTGATGACGGAATGTTGCTGTGCATGACCCACTTTATGGCTCAATGGGCCAGAAAGCACCCAGTTCATGATAGGCAGTTCAGGTCACATGGTGACTTGATGGCCCGTAGTCAAACATTCGGTTTCCAGCAAAGCCCAGCAACAGGCCGAGTTGTCTCTCAGAAGGAGAGTAGTTATTTGCAGAAGATGGCAGGGACTTGCTCCAAATTCCTAGAGGTCTTTGCTGTGATTCACGTATGGGGGCCTGCCAAAGGCTCCAAACAGCAGCCCTATCTGCCACTGACACCTCAAGCACCATTGGATCTGCTGGGTCATGTGGCCCAAGTGGTAGAGTAGCTTGCACAGCAGCCTGGACCTGTTGCAGAGCCTTCTCCTGTTCTGGACCCCACTCAAAACTGGCATCCTTTCGGGTCACTTGATAAATGGGCTGGAGTAACACACCCAAATAAGGAATGTGTTGCCTCCAAAATCCAAACAGGCCCACTAGGCATTGGGCCTCTTTCTTGGCTGTAGGAGTGGCCAAATGCAGCAACTTATCCTTCACCTTAGAAGGAATATTTTGACAGGCCCCACACCTCTCAACTCCTAGAAATTTTAGTGAGGTAGAGAGTCCCTGAACTTTAGTCGAATTTATTTCCCATCCTCTGGCATGCAAATGTCTCACCAATAAGTCCAGTGTGTTTGCTATTTCTCACTCACTGGATCCAGTCAGCATAATATCATCAATGTAATGGACCAGTGTGATATCTTGCAGAAGTGAAAAGCGATCAAGTTCTCTCCAAATAAGATTATTACACAAAGCTGGATAGTTGATGTATCCCAAAGGTAGGACAGTCATGGTATATTGGTGGCCTTGCCAGCTGAAGGCAAATTGCTTCTGGTGGGCCTTATGTACAGGAATGGAGAAAAAGGCATTTTCCCAGTCAGTGGCTGCATACCAGGTACCAAGAGATGTGTTAATTTGCTCAAGCAATGAAACCACATATGATACAGCAGCTGCAATTGGAATCACCACTTGGTTAAGCTTAAAATAATCCACTGTCATTCTCCAAGATCCATCTGTCTTCTGCAAAGGCAAAACGGCAGAGTTGAATGGGGATGTGGTAGAAATCTTTCAAGTCCTTGATGGTGACACTAATCTCTACAATCCCTCCAGGAGTGTGATATTGTTTTTAATTTACTATTTTTCTAGGTAGAGGCAGCTCTAATGGTTTCCATTTGGCTTTTCCTAGCATAGTAGCCCTCACCCTACCAGTGAGGGAGCTAATGTGGGGGTTCTGCCAGCTGCTGAGTATGTCCGTACCAATTATGTATTCTGGCATTGGAAAAATCACCACAGGATGAGTCTGGGGACCCATTGGACTCACTGTAAGCCAGACCTGAGCTAAAACTCCATTAATTACCTGACCTCCGTAAGCCCCTACTTTAACTGGAGGACCACAATGACATTTTGAGTCCCCTGGAATCAATGTCAGCTCAGAGCCAGTGTTCAGTAGTCTCTGAAATGTCTTATCATTTCTGTTTCCCTAGTGAACAATTACCTGGGTAAAAGACCGGAGGTCTGCTTGGGGAAGGATGGGAGAAAGATTAATGGCATAAATTGTCAGTAACGTAATGGGGTCCTTCTTTAAGGGGACCCGGCCTCCCCTTAATTCAAGAGGTTCTGGGTCTGTAAACTGGCTCAAGTCTAGAAACTGATTGAGGGGCCATTATTCTCTGTTTTTATAATTCTAGTTAGTCTTTTGTCCATTTGTCCAGGAAGCTTTCTGCTTATATAAATTTAGTAGGAATGCAGTAGGCTTCCTATCAATTTCACTTCCAGGAACACCAAGATTAATTAGCCAATGCCAGAGCTCTACATGAGTCACACTATTCTGATTGCTGCTTTGCCTCTGATGTCCATTATGGTAGCTATGCCCCCCTTATCTTTGATAGCTGAGTGCCTCCACTTGGCCCCTGCCACCTTGGGATCCAATTATTCCCATTGTATTTAAATTTAATAGTGAATGACTGCAGTTCCCACTGTTAGATCTGACATGCAGAGAAGAGCAATTACACAGCTCTTCAAAGATGCAGGTGCTGCCTTCACAAACCTATTTTGCAAAGCATTGGTCAAGGGTATATCTTCTGGACCCTCCCAGCTGGGATGAATAGGTCTAAAGTGAATAATCCACTCCACCATCCCCAATCTCCCTAAGCCTTTGGATTCCTTTCTCTGCATTAAACCAGGGGAGATGAGGCATTTCCAGCTTGCTCACAGTGGGCCATCTTTTAATCCATATTTCAGCTAAGCAAGCAAATAAACTATCAGAACATTTTTTAACTCTCTGAGCTGCAACATTAAAAGCAGAGTCCCTACTTAGTGGGCCCAAATCCGTAAATTCAGCCTGATCTAACTCTATGTTTCTTCCACCATTATCCCACACACTTAATATCCATTCTCATGCCTCTTCTCCAGATTTCTGCTTATATAAATTAGAAAACTCAAGCAGTTCTTTTCAATTGTAGAGTGTGACCCATGAGGGTCACACTCTGAACTTCACCTCTAGGGGCCTAATGGGACTTTAGTTATAGGTCTAGAAGCAAACAGGGGTGTTGGGGGTGGCTCCTTAGGAGAATAAATATTATCTTGCCTGGCAACTGCCTCAGGGGAGGCTATCACTGTTGCCTCAGGCAGCACAGGGTTTATCTTCTCAGACAAAGGTGGAAAGGCTGATGGCAGCATGGATTGGGGAGAGGATGTTGCCACTACTGGGGATGGGGAAGCTGTTTCTTCTGGAAAAAAAAGGGCTTATCAGAGTTTACAAGCTCAGTGTCCTCAGCTTTATCAGGGTGCTCCTACATCATCCCCATTCCAAGTTGCAGGGTTCCATTCTTTTTCAATCAATGCCCTCAGTTTAACAGTAGACACCTGGCGAGGCTGTGCATGCACCTTTCATTGCAGGTCAGCCACTAGCATAATAAGAGCTTGTGTCTGTTTTTCCACAATTTCAGCTCTTTCTCTACAGGAGATAAGACTGTCCCTCAGGGCAATCTTAGCAGATTTGAAGCTCAGTATCTGCTTCTGAAGTTGGGAGTTAGAATGCCTGAGTTCATAATTTCCTTTCACCACTTTGGTCCGGTGAACTTAGGAGCAACCAACAAACTTCGTTATATTCCTTGGTTCTCCACATAAGTCAAAGTTATTGTGTATAGAATCACTGAACTCTTTGCCTCTCGTGAGCAGTGAATCAGGAGTGTCAAATGCATTTATTTTGCATAACTCTCTAAACAGTTCATGCCAAGGACTATCAGTGTTCTCCATACTATTAGAAATAGAGTCCTTAGCATATTTTGGTCTAATCATGTTAAGCAGCCAACTGCAGAAACCCCAAAACCAACGAAAGAACTCCATCCTTAATATTCTGTTCCTCTAGAACCACTCCCAATACCAAAAGCTGTATTAATCAGGGTTCTCTAGAGGGAAAGAACTAATAGGATATATATGTGGATATGAGCGTTTATTAAGTAGTATTAACTCACACAATCACAAGCTCCCACAATACTCCATCTGCAAGCTGAGGATCAAGGAAGCCAGTTCGAGTCCCAAAGTCGAAGAACTTGGAGTCTGATGCTTGAGGGCAGGAAGCATCCAGCATGAGAGAAAGATGTAGGCTGGGAGGCTAAGCCAGTCTAGCCTTTTCAAATTTTTTTTTTTCTGTCTGCTTTATATTTTGGCAGCACTGGCAGCTGATTAGATGGTGCCCACCCAGATTAAGGGTGGGTTTTCCTTCTCCAGCCCATTGACTCAAATGTTAATCTCCTCTGGGAACAGCCTCACAGACACACCCAGGATCAATACATTGCATTTTTCAATCAAGTTGACATTCAGTATTAACCATCACATTCCCCTTCTGCCACAGTCTTAAGTTTCCTGAGGCCTCCCCAGCCTCGCGGAGCTGTGAGTCAATTAAACCTCTTTCCTTCATAATTTACTCAGTCTTGGGCAGTTCTTTATAGCAGCATGAGAATGGACTAATACCTCACTTCTGGTACCAAAATCAGTATTAATCAGGGTTCTCTCTCTCTCTCTATATATATATATACACACACACACACACACACACATATATATATATACACATATATATATATATGAAGGGGAGTTTATTAAGGAGTATTGACTCACACGATCACAAGGTGAAGTCCCACAATAGGCCATCTGCATACTGAGAAGCAAGGAAGCCAGTCCAAGTCCCAAAACCTCAAAAGTAGGGAAGCCAATAGTGCAGCCTTCAGTCTGTGGCCAAAGGCCTGAGAGCCCCTAGCAAACCTCTGCTGTAAGTCCAAGAGTGCAAAGGCTGAAGAACTTGGAGTCTGACATTTGAGAGCAGAAAGCATCCAATATGGGAGAAAGATGGAGGGTGGAAGACTCAGCCAGTCTAGTCTTTTCAAGTTCCTCTGCCTGCTTTTATCCTGGCTGCACTGGCAGCTGATTAGATGGTGCCCACCCAGATTGCAGGTGGGTCTGCCTCTCCTAGCCCACTGACTCAAATGTTTATCTCCTTTGGCAACACCCTCCCAGACACACCCGGGAACAATACTTTGCATCCTTCAATTAAATCAAGTTGACACTCAATATTATCCATCATAGGCACCCTGGGCTATAATTGTTGAACCTATTGTTTCTATATTAAATAGAATAAGAAAACTATTACATTAAAGTTAAGTTATTATATTGAAAGAACTTGGAATTAGAGTCAGTTTAATTGCCTACTACCTAGTTTTCTAGCCGCATAACAATGGAAAATATCTCTAAGCTTTTTTTCTTCTTTTTTTAATCTCCAATGAGGTAAGGCTAATGCCATCTCCCTTACATTGTTGAGAGGAATAACATAAATAATGTACTTAAAAAGTTAACATGTAGCTTTTGAATATAGAAAGTGTTCAACAAATATTTCTTTGATTAACTGTTGTTATTATTCCTTTTCCTGATTTATTGTGTTCTGCCCTTTTTCTTCTGAATGTCTTATTTTATATTGCTTTCAAATTTATGCTACACTATATAAACTTGGAGCCATATTTCAGTTTCCCTGTAATTATTGACTAAAACAATGGTGATTGTCAGAATCTATGTCTGTTATTAGTCAAAGAGATGGGATAGACTAGCTATTCTATTCCATTGATCTACATTTGAAAGTAAATAAAAATCATTTAGAAGCCTTGATCAATATTCACTTCTAGAACTTGTACCCCAGAACAAATTTAGTGTCTGTTGTGACCACTGGATTTAATAGTCAATGTCCCTAAAGGAAGTGGTGTGGATTCAACAGGATTTTTGTCTATCTTACTTATTTTTTTAAAGGTCTGCCTTCTCATTTTGCCTTACCAAACCAACCACTTCCCAGAATAAGTTTCTCGGTATCTTTGCATATTAATAGAGTTGTTTGTTGTCTGCATTCACTAGTCTATTCACTATAGTGTATCACTGTGTTAAATGAATGGTTAACAGTTGCTCTAACTATGAAAGTTATTTTACCAGTGCAGCTTATAGCAACTTTCATATCAAGGATTTTTTTTTCTGTGGACGTTTTCTCTCTGAATTCATTTACTTCACATAGTATTTTGGTGCCCCCAGCTTCTACAGTTTCAATTAAAGATGTGCTGATAGAAGAGACGGGAACAACAATCAAAACATGTCACTGAACTGAAGTGGGGCCCACTTGTCTGGTGTAGTAAGGGGCAAACAGCCACATTGAAGCTTGTAGTGGGAGAAAGGAGTGTGTTTATTTGTAAGGCACCAACAAGGAGAATCAGGCAGCTCATGCTTAAGTCCTGACCTCTCTGACAGCTTGTAAATGAGAGTTTTTAAAGGCAGGAGAAAATTTATGAAACCAGAAGTTATAGGCAAAATTGTAAATCAATACATGGAGGTTATACATTGGTTTGGCTTAAAGAGACAAGATATCTTAAAGTAGGGGCTTTCAGATCATAGGTAGATTAAAAGTATTTTTTTTTTTTGAGTTGTAATTGGTTAAGGAAGAGAAACCTTGTTGAAAATTTGGGGTCAGTAGAAAAGAATGTTAGCTCTGGCTTATGGGTATAACTTCCTCTATGCCTCCAAGGAAGAACTTCAGAACAAAGAACAGTGGTCAGAGTTTAGCCCTCAGTTCCTCCTTATCTGAGGTCTGTGGGCCAGCAGATCTGTTTGGTGGTGGTCTGAGTTTTGAAAAACAACTCCGGGACATATGTTAACATATTATTTATAGTTTCCATAGGGAACCACCCATCTCATGTCTCTAACTTTCTTAGCTATTGTTTTAAGCTACTATTACCTTCTTGCTTATGACATATCAAGTTGATCATTTACTTCTCATGGCTAGCTAGGTGCCTGGAGTTTCCCTTTAAAGAACTCAAGATTTTTCTTTATTTTCATGCTTTGGGGACCAGGCACAGGCCCCTAAGAGGGTTCCCTGCTTCATCTCAGAAACAAAAGCAATCTCTATAATGGCAGCTTCAGATAGACTGAGAAATCAGAAATAGGCAGCATCCTTTCTTCCCATTTTTCTTCTTTATACCAACCTGAAGGGAAAAAGAAAAGGAAATGAATATGGTAGAGGAGGTATTATGAATTTATTCAAGTCAGTCTTTGGTCCATAAAAACTTATCAGGGGCTTACATTTTGACAACCAATCAGAAATCCAGAAAACTTTCCCTTATTTGTTGTTACATGTGAAAAGGATCTGACATGTGCAATATATTTTACCTTTGTATAACACTTAGAATATTTAAAATGCTTTCACTTTCATTTTCTCATCTGAGCCTCACTGGGATTCAGGTAGGCTTTGGTTGGTATATTTCCAACACTTTATAGGTAAGGAAACTGAAGTTCAGCAATGTAATCTATTTGTCTCCCTTTCTTTTACAGTTTTCTGTCTTCTCATTGTTGATACTTCCTATGAAATAGTATCTGTTACTACCAGGTTTTCCCATGGTTCTGTCTCATCTCCAGTGCCAACTTTCCTTTTCTGCCACCTTTGAGATAAAAGCAGCATACTGGTCTGCCAAAATACCTTTGTGGGCCAGGAAACTACTCAGCTTGGAAAGCAGGCAAGTTCTTTTCAGTACTCTACTTATCATTTCTTTGCTAGTTCCCTCTTTTATAACTGTCTCTCCTGTTTCAGGCCATGGTGTCTGAAGTCTCAACTGAAAAGTTTAGTTCTGATAAATAATTATCTTTTTAGTATGGGATAATAAAATATGTGCATTTGGGGAAAATATTTTCCATTTAAAAATGTTCTAGAGGGTGGATTCCCAGAAATTGAGGTTTTTAAGTCAGAAAGACAGTTTTTGATACTAAGGATTACCTGGAGACCTCAAATCTCAAAACAGAGGTGATTGCCACTCTTTACCCAAAAAGCTAGCTCATCATTCAGCAGTTACCAGCTGGTATATCATATGTTTATAAGCATATCAGCTAAATGTTTGTGACCACTAGTCTTTCACTGGAATATGTCCCAGATGTTGGGACTGCAGGATATATTTTACAATAATACGAATACAACAGCGGGAGTATGATGGAGACTCTCCTCCATTGCACCATATTTCTTGGGTACTTGGTATATATCCCATGTAATTTTTTTTTTTTTTTAGATGGAGGCTTGCTCTGTCACCCAGGCTGAAGTGCAGTGGTGCTATCTCGGCTCACTGCAAGCTCCACTTCCCCGGTTCACGCCATCTCCTGCCTCAGCCTCCCAAGTAGCAGGGATTACAGGCGCCCGCCACCACGCCTGGCTAATTTTTTTGTATTTTTAGTAGAGATGGGGTTTCACCACGTTAGCCAGCATGGTCTTGATCTCCTGACCTCGTGATCTGCCCGCCTCGGCCTCCCAAAGTGCTGGGATTACAGGCGTGAGCCACTGCGCCTGGCCTGTTCCATGTAATTTAAAGTCGCTTTTATGTAACAGTGAATCGTTGACAATCACTGAATGTGAATGCTTTGAGTTTGGGTTTCATATTCTTTATCTCTGTGGAGTGGGTGGAACTGTATACCACTAGTCCTGTGTGGCAGTGTTAGATTACATCAAATAAAGAAGTTTCTACAAAATTCTCAAAACTTTGATGATAAATTGGTAATTAAAATATTTCAGATAGTAAAACTAGCATTTCACTTGGAACATTTTGGTGATTTTATTTTGTGATTATAATTGTGATTATACTTCCTTTCCAGAACAAAGGTGCATGAGAATTTTTAGAGCAGCAGAGAAGTGCCCTGGTAGAATGATACAGCAGTCTGTGGCCGGTAAACTTTCCCACATAATACCAAATGGCAGCCAATTATAATCGATAGGGTAGGAGAGCTACAATGACAGGCTTCACAGACTCATCAAAACCCGCTTCAAGCAGCCTGCTGTCGTCAGGGTCTGTTGGCCAAGTATATCACCGTGGGACTCAAGAGACTCTGAGGAGTCATTGCTGATGTTACATATAGTGTCCATATGAACACCACTAAATGTTTGTTTCTTTGTGCTTTTTTTGGTGGAATGCAATTCCTAACCTTTGCAAGTGTCAGCTCTAAGGCATTAGTGAAAAGAACTACATTTTTATATAAAAAAGTTTTATATCTTTAAGACCTTAGACAAGTTTTTGGTTGTGAGCACAGAATTTTTACACCTTAAAGCATCAAACATATTATTTCAGCCTGAAAATATTCAAGGCCAAGAATTACCTTGCTGTAATAGAACTTTAGTACAATCTCTGTAGATGATTGAATTTTTATAAAAAGCTGTATTATTGGCACTACCAGAATGAATTAACTGTGAAATTAGTTCTTGTAAGAGTAGCCTTATTGGATGGAATTATTTTGGTTGTGTTTATTTAATTAGAGGATAATGTCTGACAAATGTAATACATTTAGGTTTGATGTCATTTATTTTTATGACAATAATTAGCCAAGATATTGCCTACTACTCCATTCCCCAACTAGCCACTTCTTGCAGGAATTTCTCATTTGGAATAATAAGAATACATCAGGACTGAGGAGAAGGCATATCATTATTTCCAAGACATGCAATATCTGGACAGGTGGGAGGTGGGGAAGTGAACGTCTTGGGGGTAGAAGCAGCTAATTGCTATCACTAGCATGTGAAACCTAGGAGGTGGTCAATAGCAGTTCCTTCTGTGATTTCAGCACCTTTATCCCCCAATACGGTGGATCCTAAGTTATTTATTGGAAACTTCTAGAAATATTTCATGTATACTCCTTAGCATACGCTTCTTCCAACGACAGCATAGACAGCATAAACCCCAATATTTTTTTATTTTTTTCTTTCATTTTCTTTCTCTCTCTCTCTCTTTCTTTCTTTCTTTCTTTCTTTCTTTCTCTCTCTCTCTCTCTCTCTCTCTTTCTTTCTTCTTCTTCTTTTTTTTTTTTTTCGATTTGGCCTCTTTCTTGTGATCTGTCCTCTGGCATTTGGGTAACCATATTCATTGGATTTCCCTGTCTTTCATTTATATTCTGAGGTCTTTTAAGGGTCAAAATCATATTTGTTTTCTCCAGTGTCCTCAGACTTCCCAATTCCATTCTGTATTGTTAACAAGCAGGAAGAAAACATGCTCTTGTTTTTAGCTTTACACTTTCCCACATGGGTACCAAAGCAGTCTTGCTTGTGCCCCTATTCTGTTCCAACTACTGATGCTTTGTAGCTGAAAGAAACTTGTTTGCCTGACCACTTTATTACTTTGGGCTAACTACTCCCAGAAGGTGTACCATTTCTTCATCCCAACAGATTTCCAGTGGGTGTCTTGCCATGTATAGAGCTATAAGTCTCCGTCTTGGACTCAAGTTACTTCCACCACCAACCTCTGTCTTGCTTGCTTTTCTCCCCCTCACCCCTGATAAGTCAGTGTGAATTGAATTTCCAAAAATAGGAAGCCCTATTGGGTGAAATCAGCTTTTTTTGTCAAGGTCAAAGCCATTTCAATCAGGTAGGGGTGCAGTACCCATTTAATGTCAAAGATTCTTGAGTGCTCACTAGGAGAGCAGGTTAAAGACACTACTAAGCAAAAAGGCAGGTGAATCAGGGTTTGACTTGAAGCAAAATTACTACTGGGTGAGCTAGGGCTGTGATTGGTTGGGGTAGGGGCTGGTAGAGTTGGGAAGGTCCAAGAAGTAGGAGAAACATAAAGCATTAACTTGCTTTCTTGGGTAGTGATGGTGGGTAGACCTTCTTCATAAGGCACTAGAAGTAATCTAAAATGAATCTTCCAAAGACAGAGGTAAGAAAACCAGAAAACTGTAGAAAAAAAATCAGCATACCATGTATTAAATTTTTCCTTCTATATATTAGAAACATTAAGTCGAATAAATGAAAAACTTTAAATGTACATTAATTTTACTTCAAACATTCCATGTTTCGGCTATGTTAAAGGAAAATATCAGGGTCATGGGAATTAACAAATTAGATCATATTTGACTCACAGTAAATATATTTTCAGCACTCATAAGGTTCAAGAGGGCAAAAATTTCAAGCTAAATGGGACAGGTATGAAATGAAAATAAAGTGAGGTTATTTTTCTTATTATCTTCCAAAGACTGTGTTTTTTTTTTTTAACCGTTAAAGCATTTTTATCTTGCTTATGTTGAATTGTTCAAGAGACCAAAGGAATTTGGCAAAGATCAACATGTTAGGATGTGCTTCCTTTTGGATAAGCCTCCCTAGTGAAGCCAGGCATCACACTCTCCAAACCCAATGTTCTAGGCCTCCTCAAGGTTTTCCTTAAGGGTGTGTGCATATATTTTTGTTGACTGCTTTTACTCTTCTGAACCTGTTCCCCCATTTAGGAAATGAGAGAATAGGCCTAAGCTAGTGCTCTTCAACTCTGGCTGTATTTCAGGATTTCCTGTGGACTAAAAAATATGCTGTTGCCCAAATTCCCTTCTGAGAGGCTCTAATTGGGAGTTCTGAGGAGGGGCCTTGAACTTTGTATTTTACCAGGTGATTCTAATGTGTTGCAAAGGTCTAGGACAAACTGACTAAATAGTCTCTTACCCCTTTAAAAGATCAAAGTGGATTTGGCTTCCGAACAAGAAATTAGGGCCACCTGTGAAGACTACTTTGAATTTTTTTTCAAGAATTCACCGGTGGGAATGAGATTAGAGGAGTTTGCTTTTCTGACCTGGTAACCATTATTGATTCAAAAGACTTTCACTTAGCCCAGCTCAATGGCCAGGTCAACATTACCATTTCATGACATGCCACTCACTCCTGGCACAAACTCTTTGATTTATGCTTGTTTGTATGAATAAAACAGATGCCCTTTGCTTACAAATAAAGGAGGAGTTTTCTATTAATATGAAGTGGTTTAGAGTTGCAAAGGGAGGGCTGCCATTGCTAATGTCAAGATATGAATTCTCAGCTCTCTTTCAATGCTCACGTGGTATTACTGATTAAAGATGGAGTTATGGCTGGAGTTTGGGATGTGGGCCAAGAGAATATGTGTCTTCCCTTCATCTCCTTTTTCAGCACTAATTTGTGAAAAAAAACCCCAAACCAAAAAACAAAACCTACTTGCATTGGGTGAATGTGTTCAGTTGGTGGCAGCAAAGTTCTGTTACAGAAAATTCTTTGAGGCCCTGGTCTTAGATATTTTGAAGACAGCCAGAGGGAACAAAGCAGTATGTATAATAACATCCATGTTTTCTGTTAACCTGCAGAGGTATAAATTTATTGCGTGTGCTTGGAAAGGAGAAAAATGTATAAAAGGAAGATTTCTTGCTGCTTCTGTCTAAATGTAATCTCCTAAATATGTTCTTTGTTTCCAAATCTGGAAGTAGTATAGGTATCAGCTTCAGGTAGAGGATTTAAGACAGGTCATGAGCCAGAAAGATGGGCCTCTGAAGATTTATTTTTGGTTGTCATGTAAATTTATTAAAATGGGAGCTTTGATCTTGAAATACATCCAGACAAGATTAATGATTTAGCATCTGGGGAAATCAAGTATTTGATGCAATAAATGGATAAGGAAGGTTTCACAATTTCATATTGGCAGAGATACAAATTCAGTATTTAAAAAGCTATTTTAGGATTTTAGCTTAATGGGAAATGTAATAAGTGCCAAAGAACATTAGGTGGTATCTGACTAATATATACACTGGCAGAGTTTGTCAGCAATAAACATGGAAAAAAATGAACAAAGATGAAATGAATTGGAAAGCTAGCACTGTGGATAGAGGCATTTTATGGTTTGTACCCACAGTTTTCTACCTATACCATGGCAGTGAATTAATCTGTAAAATTTGGTTTTAATTTAGGGACACATGGATAATTGAACCCTAAACTGGTCCATAGATTGGCTTGCAGTTGTGCTACTAACTTTAAGTGATTATCATGCAAAATGATTCATACTTTTGGGAACACTGTTACCAATACTGACACTACTATTATGAGGTGTGGAGGTGGAGGAGAAGACAAATGTAAATGGAAAAAATAGAGACTCAGGGAGGGGTTTTGGCAAAACTGCTTATATGTTATGAGAATGCTGACCTCCAAATTAGAGAGCGTCATCTAGGAAAATGGTTAAAATGTGACAACATTCAAAGTTAGCAATTTAAGCAGTGAAAATAAATGGCCTGATATGATGCTTTTGTTGTAATGCTAAGCATTAGAACATAAGGTGATTACTAATATTTCTAAATTCATGTTCAGAATTGCAATCCTTTTAAATCTTGCTTTTACACTGTTTTGATTACATAAACATTTTTTGGAGATAGTTTTGAATTTTACTTTTAAAATAATTTTTACCTAGCTTGCTAATTATTTATTGTTAAAGTTGATCAGAAACTTACAAATGTTAGATAGTTATTTCAAAATTTTGAAATACTTGAGTGTTAAAATGGCAACTTTTAAGTTATCCAGCATAAGCTTAAGTCAAATAGACACCGTCAAAAGTGAACATTCTAGGTTAAAATTTCAAAGTAGTTTGGAATGTAACCATGTAAATCCCATTTAAAGTAATATGATTTCCCAAACTTAAAATGTCATTTCATGTGCACAGTTTTGAAAATATGTCCTAAAAATGTCTCTCTCTGTTCCTGTCATCATAATGTCAGTCAGATCAAAGTTTGTTTCTTCTTCATCTTTCAATTTTGAAAATACAGAAAGGCAACAGAATATTGTGAACATAAACTTTTCACTCATGGGGAATTTATGACTGGTTATTAGAAAAAAATTGTAAGAAATTTTATAAATGAAATGTCTCTTTTTATTATAGCTGATTCTAAAAAGAACACATTGCATATAATTTCCCATTTAAACACAGAAATTAATTATTTTATATACTTGTTGAAATTGACATGAGTAGTTACCTAGTTTCAGGGTGAGCTTTTAGAAATTGACTCTCACCAATATGAACTTAAGCCAAATAGATGCTATTAACAGTGAACATTCTGGGTTAAAATTTCAAAGTAGATTGGAAAGTGGACTCACCATAGGAAATTCTGGTTTAGGTGGCCCTGATGCCTGTATTAAAAACAACAACAACAACAACAACAACATAGGTGATTCTTATGGGCATCAGGATTGAAAACCACTGGACCATTGCTTTTAGAGATGGTGCCATGGCCAGAGACAAAGGTCCACTATCCATTGGTTGATTTCCATTCTTCTGTGGAGGATCCTCCTGGTGAGTTCCTATTACAAAATTGAAATGGTAATCTCTGGGAGTTAAGGTTGCAAACAGGTAAGAACAGTTTTTTCTACATTTTTATTCCACATACTCTTCCTCTCCTAACCTCCTCCCATAACATTGGCTAACTTATCTATTTTGCCTTGCCTCTTCCCATCTGAATATTTGCAAGCAAACATATAACAATGGCTCTAAGTGGTGCTAATTGGCTTGAGTCAAATGTAAGATTTTCAGAAATTTTGTGAAGTAGTTGTTAAACACAATCATTATATTTATTTATTTATTTTTTGAAACATCGTTTTGCTCTTGTTGCCCAGGCTGGAGTGCAATGGTGCGATCTCAGTTCACAGCAACCTCTGCCTCCTGGGTTCAAGCGATTCTCCTCCCTCAGCCTCCCAAGTAGCTGGGATTACAGGCACACGCCACCACGCCTGGCTAATTTCGTATTTTTAGTAGAGACGGGGTTTCTCCTTGTTGGTCAGGCTGGTCTCGAACTCCCGACCTCAGGTGATCCACCCGCCTCGGCCTCCCAAAGTGCTGGGGTTACAGGCATGAGCCACCACCCCCGGCCAACACAATCATTATTAAAAAATTAAAATATATAAAACAATTAATTTATATTAATATAAAATAACTCAACATTCAAAACTTATTACTTCCTAATTCCTTTATCACTTTTAACTATTATCTCTGCTCTTGAGGTTATATATCAATTGTCTGGTGAAAGAGATACTTCTTTGCATCTCTTTCAAACTTGGCCCTCAGAGACTTCATGTTGGTAGCTTGAAATCGGCCAGGTGGGAGTCTTTATACTACAGCAATCAGCAAATGGTGCAAATCAGGGCTTGATTTAATGTTTTGTTGATTGCCTACATTTTAGAAATGATGGAGAAAATGTTAAATGCTGAATAAACTTAAAAGTGTGTCCTGTCTGTGGCAATGATATTGCGAATAGCATAAAAAACATGAAGAAATTTCTGCCAGTATTTACAAACTGTTATCTAATTTAGCAAAGAAGTCACTCACTTTATTGATGAATGAGTGAATTTCTAGCACATGGCTTATTTCACTTTCATCTTATTCCTTAATGTAAACAAAATTATCAACCAACATTTTGTCATAACTACACTCATTTCTTAATGATGTGAGTGATTTCCGTGCTGAATTGGATAGTAATCAAGCATATATTCATAGTCTGATTTTGTGACACTATTGTTGGCATATAATTATAAAAACTGATAGTGTTTTTAAGAAATAGCAAGTCACACTGAAGTTAAATGCATATGAAGTTTACAATAAAGAATATTGTATATTTTATTATTTTCGTGAATTGTAGGTTACATGTTTTACATCAGCACAATTTCTTATAAACGTGTGCATGTATATACGTATATGTATATGAGATATATATATGCAGACATCTTTTCCTGGAGATGTGGTTAATTTACAAGCTCATCACTGCATACAGTTCTTGAAGTGAAGTTGGGAGTCATTTAGTCTAAACTTTCTGTATTCAGATATTGACTAGATGAAAACTTAAAACCACTCAACCCAGTTAAATTTATGCAAAGGTTAATAGGCAGCTGCTAGTGTATGATTTCCCTTCCACAATGTTTATTTCCATTGCCCATGCATTAAATTCTACTTTAGTGATTTATTAGTCTGAGTTCTAATAATTTTTGATCTTGTAAGTAGTGATGACCAAATGGGAGTCGGTTTATTGGGAATACTGGACAAAATACAGTTTTCTAACAACACCTCCTCCCATCCAAACTTGCTAAATTGTATAAAAGAATCTGTCTTTTTAATGTTTCCCAGACTAGGGTTTGAGACCGTTTCTTGAATCTTGTGTTAAATATAAATAGCCCCAGAGAAGAAATCATGTAACTCAGCGGCTGCCCTAGTTAGACAGGATTAACAGATAGCAGAGATCAAGACCGTGTGGACACAACCCTTCTTCCCCACCTCCCCCAGGCTTATAAAGCTGAGTGGAATAATGAATTCTGGTAAAAGGCATGCCAAGCTAACTGCAAATGGAAATTCTCTAGACAATCACATTTAACTATCTGGAAAAATATTAGAAAGGAGTCTTTCCTATTCCCTTGGCTTCATTGCTCAGGCAGGAAATATGCTGTGTCTTCAAGTGAAGTGTTATGAAAATCAGGGATTGTTCATCCGTTTTGTGTGGGCCAGCTATATGGCTTCCCGGCATGCATGCCCATCTGTCCTGCAATAAAACCTTTAATTTTTTATGCCTGTAGTTTTTACAAAACTCTTGGCAGAAAATGGAATCAACATGATTCTACGTATCTGGTTGGTCATTTTGGGCCTACATTGCTCTTTTCTGAGACAGGTACCGAGTCTTCTAAAGGGCTTACCAGGTGTCCAATCTAAATCAATGAGAACATTCTTTTTTCTAACCCAGCATATCCAGTTTGCCTGGAAATCAGCAGGTTTTCCTTTCAACTTTCCAGTTAACATATATTTGCTTTTCTTCCAAGGAGAAGGTGAAGTTTGCTAAAACTAACAGGTAGAAAGTTTTTCCAACTTTTACTTTCTAGGCATTGGCTTGGAATTTGTAAAGAAAGGTTTCGTATGATTTATTGTATTGAAAAATGCTAAGGGAGTAGGTTTTATGTGTTCTCTCCCCAAATATGATAACTGTGTGAGATAATACATATGTTAATTAGCTCAATTTAGCCAATCCACCATCTATACATATTTCAAAATATGTTGTACACGATAAATATATATATAATTGTTATTTGTCAATTAAAAATTGAAAAGAAAAAGGTTTTGTTCAAAAATCTACTAAGTAGTGGGTAAATAATTCAAACATATATTTCTAATTTCTTGATTGGCTGGGTGTGTTAAGTGTAAAGTAACAGTTTTAAGGATAGAAACCGAGACAAAATTGTGTGTCATGAGACTATCTCCTTTCTTACCAGTTGAAGAAAAACTGGACATATTTGCTGACACATACATTTTTCTTTTGAATTTTTAGCTATGAGTTTGACATGGTTATTTTGGCTAAATTTTCTTGCCAATTTTGTGCTTTTATCTGCAACAAGTATTTATTTATTTTAGTTTATCGACTCTCAGAGCATAGGGACTATAATTATTCACACTGTTTTATGTACAGGGTGGCCATAGCATTTGGAAATACAGATACTATTATTTTAATGTATATTATAATGTGTTGCCAATAAAGTATTTATTCTGTATTTGTGTTTCCTGACTCAGTGGTCAGCCTTTATAACCTAGAGTAAGTCATGTGTAGGGACTACATATGGCTAAAAGCAAGGACAAGGTGTCTTCCCCCATCTCCTGTCAGCCATCATTCAGCTGGGGCAGGTAGTGGTCTTATATAAATGCTCTGGAGTCACATCATCTGTGGATTTAATTTAGGCAAAATTTGTAGAATGTATAACCTCAAGCATTTATAATTTTTCTGTGTTATAAACAATCTAATTATGCTTTTAATTATTTTTAAATGTACAATACATTATTGTTGACTGTAGTCACCCTGATGTGCTATAAATGCTAGATCTTAGTCATTCTATCTATTTTTTTGTATCTATTAGCCATCCCCACCTTCCCCGACCCCATCCTTCCCAGTCTCTGGTAACCATCCTTCTACTGTCTCTCTCCATTAGTTCAATTGTCTTAATTTTTAGCTTCCACAAATAAGTGAGAATGTGCGATGTTTGTCTTCCTGTGCCTGGCTTCTTTCACTTAATATAATGACTCCAGTTCCATCCATGTTGTTGCAAATGACAGGATCTCATTCTTTTATATGGCTGAATAGTATTCTGTGGTTTGCACGTACCACATTTTCTTTATCCATTCATCTGTTGATGGACACTTAGGTTGCTTCCAAATCTTGCCTATTATGACTAGTGCTACAGTAAACATAGGCGTTCAGATATTGCTTTGACATACTGATGTCCTTTCTTTTGGGAATATACCTAGCAGTGGATTGCTGGATTCTATGGTAGTTCTGTCTTTAATTTTTTGAGGAACCTCCATGCTGTTCTCCATAGTGGTTGTACTAATTTACATTCCCTTCAACAGTGCATGGGGGTTCTCTTTCCTCTACCTCCTCACCAGCATTTGTTATTGCCTGCTTTTTTTGTATATAAGCCATTTTTTACTAGGGTGAGATGATATCTCATTGTACTCTTGATTTGCATTTCTCTGATCATCAGTGATGATGAGCACCTTTTTATATGTCTGTTATTTGTATGTCTTCTTTTGAGAAATGTCTATTCAGGTCTTTTGCCCATTTTAAAATCAGATTATTAGATTTTTTCCTATTTAATTGTTTGAGCTCCTTATATATTCTGGTTATTAATTCCTTGTCAGATGGATAGTTTGCGAATATTTTCTCCCCATTTGTGGGTTTTCTCTTCACGTTGTTGATTGTTTCCTTTGCTGTGCAGAAGCTTTTTAACTTAATGTGATCCCATTTGTGCATTTTTGGTTTGGTTGCCTGTGCCTTTGGGGTATTACTTGATAAATCTTTGCCCAGACCAATGTCCCAGAGAGTTTCCTCAATGTTTTTGTTTAGTAGTTTCACAGTTTGAGGTCTCAGATTTAATCTTGAATCCATTTTGATTTGATTTTTGTATATGGTGAGAGAGAGGGATCTAGTTTGATTTTTCTGCATATGGAAATCCAGTTTTCCCAGCACCATTTATTGAAGAGACTGTTCTTTCCCCAATGTTCTTGGCACCTTTGTTGAAAATGAGTTCACTGTTGATGTATAGATTTATCTCTGGATTCCTTATTCTGTTCCATTCTTCTATATGTCTGTTTTTATCCCAGTACTATGTTGTTTTGGTTACTAGAGCTCTGTAGTATAATTTGAAGTCAGATAATGTGATTCTTCCAGTTTTGTTCTTTTTGCTCAGCATAGATTTGGTTATTCTGTGTCTTTTGTGGTTTCATTGAGCTTTTGCAAAACAGCTAGTTTGAATTTTCTATCTGAAAGGTCACCTATCTCTGTCACTTTGAGATTGGTAATTGTGCTTTATTTAGTTTGGTTGGTGAAGTCATGTTTTCTTGGATGGTCTTAATGCTTGTGTTGTTCGTTGATGTCTGGGCATTGAAGAGTTAAGTATTGTAGGTCTTTCCAGTATGAGTTTGTTTGTATCTATACTTCTTGGGAAGGCTTTCTGAGTTTTCAAAAGGAATTGAGTGTTGTGATTTAAATTATTGGTCACCGAGGCCATATATTCATTAGTGGGCACCCCAAGCCAAGTAACATTATGGCTCTTTCAGACTTGTAGAGGTACTGCTTTGGTGGTCCTGGGTAAGATCCAAGAGAATTTACCAGATTACCAGGCAGAGACTATTGTTCTCTTCCCTTACTTTCCTCCAAAATACTGGAGTCTTTCTGTTTGTGCTGAGCTGCCTGGAACTTGGGGAAGGATGACACAAGCACCCCTCTGGCCACCACCACTGGGCCTATACTGGGTAAGACCTGAAATCAGTACATTGCTGGGTCTCGCCTGAGTCCGACAGTGACCACTGCCTGGCCCAACGTCCAAGGGCTCTTCAGAGAGCAGGTGATGAATTCAGCCAGGCTTATTATGCCCTTCCCTTAGGGCAGTGAGCCACACCCCAGCCCAGGGCAGGCCCACGAATGTCACCCAGGAGCCAGGGCCTGGAGTTGGAAAACTTAGGAATTTGCCTGGTGCTCTATTTTACTGCAGCTGACCTGGCACCCAAGCCCCAAGATAAAGTCCTTCCCACTCTTTTCTTTCCTTTCCTCATGCAGAAGAAGTCTCTCCCTGTGGCCACCACCATGTGATGCCTATGGTGAGTACTACTTGGGCTCCACTGATGTTCACTGAAGGTCCAAGCACTCTTCAGTCAGCTTATGGTGAATTCTTCCAGGCATGAGTCTCTCTTTTCAGGGCAGCAAGCTCTCCTCTGGCCCAGGATGGGTCCATAAATGCCATACAAGAGCTAAGGTATGGAATTAGGGACCCCAGAAGCGTGCTTGATTCTCTACCCCCCTCTGGCTGAGCTGGTGCCTAAGCTGCAAGATAAAGTCCCCTTTATTCTTCTCTCTCCTTTCCTCAAGCAGAAGGAGCCTCTCCTTGTGGCTATTACAGCCGGGAATACACTGGGTCACCCGTGAAGCCAGCATGGGCCTGGGTCTCATCCAAGGCCTGTGTGAGCATTCCCTGGGTACCACTGTTGTTTATGCAAGGCCCAAGGGCTCTTTAGTCAGCAGGTGATAAATCCTGCCAAAACTGGCTCTTTCCCTTCAAGGCAGCAGGCTCCCTCTTGCCCCAGGGTGTGTCTAGAAATGTTTCCTGAGTGGTAGGGCCTAGAAAGGGGGCCTCGGGACTCTGCCTAGTGCCCTATTCTGCCATGACTGAGCTGGTATCCAAGTTGCAAGACAAAGTCCTCTTTACTTTCCTCAAGGAGAATGAAGAAGTCTCTCCCAGAGCTGCTACCTGGGATTAAAGGAAGAGTGATGCAAGCACTCCCTTGCTGTCCTGGCTGGTGTCTCACTAGGTTGTGCACCCAAGTTTACTGGCTCTGAGCCCAGCACAGCACAAAGACTTGCCCAGGAATTGCAGTCCTTGTGACATGGGATGCCTTTCAAATTTATTTAGGACCCCAGAACACTTTAGCTATGTGAGGGTGCTTGCCAAAACTCAGGTTCCAACCACTGGAGTGGATAATTCCTCTCAGTCTATGGCTGGTCTAAATGCTCCCTCTGTGGGCACTGGCTGAATTCTGCCTGATGTTGCTTTCTGCTCTGACAGGGCAGCACTGAGTTCCAATGCAAAGTCCCATAATCACTGAACTCTCCCTTTCTCAAGCACACAGATTCTCTCTCCACACCATGGGACCACTGTTGCAGGATTGGGGAGGGGTGATGTCGGCAATTCAAGACTGCCTTTCCTACCCTCTTCAATGTCTCTTTCCTTGATATGATGTTTAAACCAGGTACTGTGATTGCTCATCTGATTTTTGGTTCTTATGAAGGTGCTTTCTTGTAGGGATAGTTGTTTAATTTGGTATTCTTTTTGGGAGGATGATTGCTGGAGAGTTTTCCATTTAGCTCTGCTTCCTCCTATTACTACTGTCTCAATTTAAGCAACCTTAACATGAGGGGGTTAAGAAGAGACAGTGAGAAGAGACAGAGAAATAACAGAGGTGATTTCATCATTCTACTCAGTGTGTCTATGACCTCAAAGTAAGTGTGAGAGGGAAGGTGTAAGCTGCTGTTCTTCCTCAGGTGCTCTCAGTTCTTTCATGCTTCTCATAGAACGAGATCGTAATGTGAAATTGTGATTCAAACGTTCAACATTTATTGGATGTTAAACCAGAAGGTTTAATCTACTTCTGGAAGGAAAGGTATGGTTGACTTATTGAGAAATGGTATATTGTTTTTCTATGTAGGTCTTTTAAGAGGCTTTCAATAATAATTTTGACCATATTTGACTTTTTGTCTTATGAAATATAAAAACCTAAAGCCTAACTAAGGAGGTAAGTCTACTATAGTTATTTTCATTTCTACTGCATAGATATACAGAACAGAGAACAGAGAGGCAAATTCACTTATTGACCTAGATACTGGTGGTTATTGTAATTTGGCTAGAGAATGAGGAATGTGAATAAATTCAGATTTGTTTAGGTTACTTATAAATATAGATTTTTCTATATAATGAGTGTGAAATGTTTTATTTAAGTGTTCTATAAGTTTTATTTATATTCTTACCTGTGGTCTAAAATGTTCAGTATCCTGTCTTTATTTCTTAGTGTTTATACTCTTTTAGCTAGTCAATTATTTTTTAAACTTATGAGCTCATATTTTATTCCATCGAGCTCATCTTCTTTCTTGGTTATAAGTTGCAAAGATCCTGAGCCCAGATTGAGGACAGAATGGGTTTCATGGGACAGAAAAAAGAGCAGTGTGGGGAAATGAAAGGAAATGAATGAAGAAACATTATGCATATGTATTACATTGTAGTTGCAATGAATTGCCATCAATTAACCAGCAAAAGGAATCACACGAAGTCATGGAAAGGTTTTAAGTAGGAGATTATCATAGTTTGATTTACATCTTTAAAATTCACTCCTCCTGCTATGGGGAAGAAAACTGTAAAAGCAAGGAACTAGTTAGGCCACTGAGGTCATCTAGGCTACAGATGATGTGGCATATAGATCAGGGTAGTCATAGGGGAGATGGAGAGAAGTGGATTGATTGGAACATTCTTTGGAGGTACAACCAATTTCATAATGTCAAAGTAATTTATTTAAAAATCATTTTTAATTACAAAAATATATTTTGTGTGTAGTATTATAAAACATTATCTCAAAGTTGTTATAAGGATTAACTGAGTTAGTATGTGTGAACTCTCACAGTAAATGAATGAGCTTTTAAATAAATATTGGAGAAGCAGTGTGGGTAGTGGAAAGAGCATATACACTTCAACAGTTAGAAAAATCTGGCTTCTAATTCCTGTTTTACCACTTACTATCTATTGCTGCCAAATTTTCCCCCAAAATAGCAACTTAAACAATAAGTATTTATTTTCTCACATTGTAAGATATTTAGATACTTACAGTAAGATATATAGGATCAACTTAGCTGGGTGACTCTGCCTCAAGATTTCTTATGAGGTTGCATTCAAGATATTGACCAGGGGTACAGTAATCCGAAGGCTTGACTGGAGCTAGAAGAACTGCCTGCAAGCTGGTTCACTCACATGGCTGTTGGCAGGGGCCTTAGTCTCCTCCCACATTAACCTTTCCACAGGGTTGTGTTATAGACTGCATCTTTGTGTCCCCCTGAAATTTATATGTTGAAATACTAACCCCAAATGTGACTGTATTTAGAGACAGGGCCTGTGAGGAGGTGAAAAAGGTTAAATGAAGTCTTAAGGATGGGTCCCTAATATGATCAGGCTGATGCTCTTATAAAAAGAGGAAGAGACAACAGAGCTCTCCCATGAGAGGACACAGCAAGAAGGTGGCTATCTGTAAGCCAGGAAAAGAACTCTCACCAGGAACTTAATAGGTTAGCACCTTGCTCTTGAACATCCCAGTCTCCAGAACTGTGAAAAATCAATTTCTGTTGTTTAAGTCACACAGCCTATGGTGTGAGAGACCAAGCTGATTAATACAGGCTATATTTTCATGACATAGCAGTTAGTGTTCCTCAGAATGAGCCATCCAAGGAAGAGAGAGAACAAGTAGGAAGGCTGTCTTTTATGATCCAGTCTCAGGAGATACAAGCTGATACTTCTGCCATATTCTAAGTCACTAAATCCACCCACACTTAAGGAGAAGAGAATTAGACCTCACCTTTGCAATGGATTTCATGATATTTTAAAACCATCACAAGGCCTTTATATAAACTTCTTTTTCCTTTATGAAATGGAGCAAATATTACTGGAAAGTATTATTGTCTCCATTTCATAAAGAAAAAATAAGTTGTACACTGAAAAGTAAATTAGGTAAAGTGTGCATTAATATATAACTGGCTAAGTGCCTACTCAATAAATAATAATTTCCTTCCTTGATAATTCAGGGATAATCTCAAAGCTAAGAGATGAATGCTAGGACAGTGTAGTTCTTTTGGGTGGCCTCAAAGTATGTCTTTTTTCCTTCCTATATTCATTATAACTTTACTTGTATCATAGAAACATATCTTAAACCTCACTTATCTAATTTAATTAAGTTCATACATTTATTTGTGACTTTATTATTATTTTTTCTCTTTGACCTGAAAATAAAAACTCCTCTTAGTTATTTTCTGGATATATGTCAGTGATATGTTTTTTAAATTTTCTATATATAGAGTTGTAAGGAACAAAAGTTTAAATAAAAATAATGTATCTCTAATAAAAGTGAAGATCAGTACTGTCTAAAAATAGAAAAGAAATTCATAATTAAAACAGCATTTCCGACTGTAGCTTTATTATTTTAGCATGTTTCCAGCTGTGGGTGACTCTACATGTCTTCAGGCATAATCACATATCAGTATGCATGGAATGATTTTCTTAATGTCCATTAATTCTTGTATAAAGTCTTTGCATAAATCTGTACCAATCGGGGTGTGATTAGAACCTGATTGTGCTGCAAAATCTAACTATACTGAAGTGAGATTCAGAAATAATTTGTAACTTTTACTAATTTTTTTTGTTCTTGTTTTTAAAAGAAATTATTTGAACCGTAGAATTTGAATGAGATGATGATGAATACCTTATGAAGTAGGAAGCTGATCATATCAGGAAGCCATTGTATTGATTTTTTAGAGGTCAGCATTTATTGTTTGAAGGAAATATTTAGAATACTTTAAAAGTTGGAATAACTATAAGGTTTCAATATTATTTATTTCAATGTTTGACATAATTGTTTCATTTCTAGTAAGCAATTTTTAAAAATCTGGAGTAGAACAACACACATTAGACTGAAAAGAGATACCCCAGATCTGTGGAAGGTCTCTCTTGTCCAGGATCTCAAGAGTAAACCCAGGAATTGAACTCAGCTCTGCACCAAGCGGACCTAATAGACATCTACAGAACTCTCCACCCCAAATCAACAGAATATACATTTTTTTCAGCACCACACCACACCTATTCCAAAATTGACCACATAGTTGGAAGTAAAGCTCTCCTCAGCGAATGTAAAAGAACAGAAATTGTAACAAACTATCTCTCAGACCACAGTGCAATCAAACTAGAACTCAGGATTAAGAATCCCACTCAAAGCCGCTCAACTACATGGAAACTGAACAACCTGCTCCTGAATGACTACTGGGTACATAACGAAATGAAGGCAGAAATAAAGATGTTCTTTGAAACCAACGAGAACAAAGACACAACATACCAGAATCTCTGGGACGCATTCAAAGCAGTGTGTAGAGGGAAATTTATAGCACTAAATGCCCACAAGAGAAAGCAGGAAAGATCCAAAATTGACACCCTAACATCACAATTAAAAGAACTAGAAAAGCAAGAGCAAACACATTCAAAAGCTAGCAGAAGGCAAGAAATAACTAAGATCAGAGCAGAACTGAAGGAAACAGAGACACAAAAAAACCCTTCAAAAAATCAATGAATCCAGGAGCTGGTTTTTTGAAAGGATCAACAAAATTGATAGACCGCTAGCAAGACTAATAAAGAAAAAAAGAGAGAAGAATCAAATAGACACAATAAAAAATGATAAAGGGGATATCACCACTGATCCCACAGAAATACAAACTACCATCAGAGAATACTACAAACACCTCTACGCAAATAAACTAGAAAGTCTAGAAGAAATGGATAAATTCCTCGACACATACACTCTCCCAAGACTAAACCAGGAAGAAGTTGAATCTCTGAATAGACCAATAACAGGAGCTGAAATTGTGGCAATAATCAATAGCTTACCAACCAAAAAGAGTCCAGGACCAGATGGATTCACAGCCGAATTCTACCAGAGGTACAAGGAGGAACTGGTACCATTCTTTCTGAAACTATTCCAATCAATAGAAAAAGAGGGAATCCTCCCTAACTCATTTTATGAGGCCAGCATCATTCTGATACCAAAGCCTGGCAGAGACACAACCAAAAAAGAGAATTTTAGACCAATATCCTTGATGAACATTGATGCAAAAATCCTCAATAAAATACTGGCAAACCGAATCCAGCAGCACATCAAAAAGCTTATCCACCATGATCAAGTGGGCTTCATCCCTGGGATGCAAGGCTGGTTCAATATACGCAAATCAATAAATGTAATCCAGCATATAAACAGAACCAAAGACAAAAACCACATGATTATCTCAATAGATGCAGAAAAAGCCTTTGACAAAATTCAACAACCCTTCATGCTAAAAACTCTCAATAAATTAGGTATTGATGGGACGTATTTCAAAATAATAAGAGCTATCTATGACAAACCCACAGCCAATATCATACTGAATGGGCAAAAACTGGAAGCATTCCCTTTGAAAACTGGCACAAGACAGGGATGCCCTCTCTCACCACTCCTATTCAACATAGTGTTGGAAGTTCTGGCCAGGGCAATTAGGCAGGAGAAGGAAATAAAGGGTATTCAATTAGGAAAAGAGGAAGTCAAATTGTCCCTGTTTGCAGACGACATGATTGTATATCTAGAAAACCCCATTGTCTCAGCCCAAAATCTCCTTAAGCTGATAAGCAACTTCAGCAAAGTCTCAGGATACAAAATCAATGTACAAAAATCACAAGCATTCTTATACACCAACAACAGACAAACAGAGAGCCAAATCATGAGTGAACTCCCATTCACAATTGCTTCAAAGAGAATAAAATACCTAGGAATCCAACTTACAAGGGATGTGAAGCACCTCTTCAAGGAGAACTACAAACCACTGCTCAATGAAATAAAAGAGGATACAAACAAATGGAAGAACATTCCATGCTCATGGGTAGGAAGAATCAATATCGTGAAAATGGCCATACTGCCCAAGGTAATTTACAGATTCAATGCCATCCCCATCAAGCTACCAATGACTTTCTTCACAGAATTGGAAAAAACTACTTTAAAGTTCATATGGAACCAAAAAAGAGCCGGCATTGCCAAGTCAATCCTAAGCCAAAAGAACAAAGCTGGAGGAATCACACTACCTGACTTCAAACTATACTACAAGGCTACAGTAACCAAAACAGCATGGTACTGGTACCAAAACAGAGATATAGATCAATGGAACAGAACAGAGCCCTCAGAAATAACGCCGCATACCTACACCTATCTGATCTTTGACAAACCTGAGAAAAACAAGCAATGGGGAATGGATTCCCTATTTAATAAATGGTGCTGGGAAAACTGGCTAGCCATATGTAGGAAGCTGAAACTGGATCCCTTCCTTACACCTTATACAAAAATCAATTCAAGATGGATTAAAGATTTAAACGTTAGACCTAAAACCATAAAAACCCTAGAAGAAAACCTAGGCATTACCATTCAGGACTTAGGCATGGGCAAGGACTTCATGTCCAAAACACCAAAAGCAATGGCAACAAAAGCCAGAATTGACAAATGGGATCTCATTAAACTAAAGAGCTTCTGCACAGCAAAAGAAACTACCATCAGAGTGAACAGGCAACCTACAAAATGGGAGAAAATTTTCACAACATACTCATCTGACAAAGGGCTAATATCCAGAATCTACAATGAACTCCAACAAATTTACAAGAAAAAAACAAACAACCCCATCAAAAAGTGGGCGAAGGACATGAACAGACACTTCTCAAAAGAAGACATTTATGCAGCCAAAAAACACATGAAAAAATGCTCATCATCACTGGCCATCAGAGAAATGCAAATCAAAACCACTATGAGATACCATCTCACACCAGTTAGAATGGCAATCATTAAAAAGTCAGGAAACAACAGGTGCTGGAGAGGATGTGGAGAAATAGGAACACTTTTACACTGTTGGTGGGACTGTAAACTAGTTCAACAATTGTGGAAGTCAGTGTGGCGATTCCTCAGGGATCTAGAACTAGAATTACCATTTGACCCAGCCATCCCATTACTGGGTATATACCCAAATGACTATAAATCATGCTGCTATAAAGACACATGCACACGTATGTTTATTGTGGCATTATTCACAATAGCAAAGACTTGGAACCAACCGAAATGTCCAACAATGATAGACTGGATTAAGAAAATGTGGCACATATACACCATGGAATACTATGCAGCCATAAAAAATGATGAGTTCATGTCCTTTGTAGGGACATGGATGAAATTGGAAATCATCATTCTCAGTAAACTATCGCAAGATCAAAAAACCAAACACCGCATATTCTCACTCATAGGTGGGAACTGAACAATGAGATCACATGGACACAGGAAGGGGAATATGACACTCTGGGGACTGTGGTGGGGTGGGGGGAGGGGGGAGGGATAGCATTGGGAGATATACCTAATGCTAGATGACGAGTTAGTGGGTGCAGCGCACCAGCATGGCACATGTATACATATGTAACTAACCTGCACAATGTGCACATGTACCCTAAAACTTAAAGTATATATATAAAAAAAAAAGGATGCAGAGGATGTTAAGGTAGCAGATTTGCTAATATAATAAACAAGAGTTAACAGAGCAAATAATATTTCATTCCACTAACTGGTAGATGTTGAATAATATAGTTAAATGGATTGGTAAGAATTAAAATGAAAAAATACTAAAAAAAAAAAAGAGTAAAGTCAGGAATAAACACGTAAGGCCATTGATATTTGGGTTACATGAATTAGGAAATACATAATAAGTGTAATGCACAAATGTCTAAAACTCAAGAGAAGAGAGAGTTTGCTTTTGATAAATGGCAAGGTTAAGAAAGATATCATCATTTTTCTTGAAGGAATTGTATTGGTTTGTCTTAGAAAACAGAGCCAACTGCCTGAGTGACTAAATGATTGTTAATGTTAGTCTCCATTTGGGCAGGATTTCTGCATATTAATTTCTAAGTCTGATCCTTTTGGATTTGGTTTCTACTTCACCCTATATAATTAGCTTGATTGTAGTAATTACTTTACCATATATGTGTATATATATATATATATATATATATATATATACACACACACACAGTAAATATATATATATAAACATTCTGCTAAACACCTTAAATTTATATAATAAAAACTAAAACAAACAAAAAACTGCTACCTATATGTCTTATTCGTCTAGCTCTGATGTCTTACCTGTCTAGCCTTTCCCCTGAGATGCTGACTTATGTATAACAACCACCTGTTTATCTCTATTAGGCTATCTCATAGACTATTCAAATTCAACATTTCCAAAACAACTCTTCCTCTTGACCTCCAAACTTTCCTTCCCCTAAATTGTTTAGCTCAGTGAAGCCAAAGCCATCATCCAGCTTTTCATGTCGGAAATCTGGGCATTATGCTAGACTCTTTCCTGTTTTGTTACTTTCTCCTCTGCCCTTCCTCCTCCTTCACATACAAATTAATCACCTGATTCTGTTTATCTTATCTCCTAAATGTCTCTCTAGTCTGTCTCCTCTGCAGTCACCCTCTGGCCACTACTAGGATTAGGTTCTTATTATTTCTTTTAGTTGGTCATCTGGTTTCTCATATTATCTTTCTCCAATTTTTCCCCTATTATGATCAAAGTGATTTTGTTAAGTGCAAATCTGATCATGCTACTCTCATGCGTAAGAATCATTGAAGCATGCGTGCTCTCATGCTTCAATGATTTCCATTTATTCCTCAGGTTAAAAGCCAATCTCTAGTATGGTATACAAGATCATTCTGAATTGCATCCTTGCATTTCTCCTGAACCTTATTTCCTTCACTTAATTATGTGCACCTTGTTCTCTAGATCTATTGTTAAGCTGTTCTTCCATGCCATGGTATACATAGTTTCTTTTCTCTCCAGCTCATAGATTTTCAGCTTGGCAAATTTGTATTCTTTCTTCAGGATGTGGCTCAGATGTCACACTTCTTCTGAGAACTTTCCAGACCCCACGAGGGAGAGTTAGATCTGCCTTCCTCTGAGTTTCAATTGCACTTTGTGTTTGTTTCTGCTGTAGCACTTGTTGAATCATATAAAAATTACTTGCGTACTTGTACATTTCCTCTGTAGACTGTGGGTTTCCTTAGGAGACAAAACTATAACTTACTTATCTTTATATTTCCTATCATCCAAAGATAATAGGAACTTGGCAAATGCTCATTAAATAAATGAGTAAATCAAAATGTCTTATTAGCAACACGAATAGCGACAGTGTCTAGACAAATGATTCTGCTGAATCAAGACATGTTCACCAAACACCATTTCTTATATCTACTCTTAATAAAAGCATAGACTTGCAAATTCATCAGTGTTGGAACTATGATAAACAAACTTGGAATTATTACATTCATTTACAAACAACTTTGGTTATCTTGTACTCTCAAGCGTCTGAGTGGCACTGAGCCCAGAAGTAAGAAAAATAAAAGATAAATGTATCTTTGTTTGGAAAAATATTCTAAACCCATTTATGCAATGAGTAAGGAAACTGAAACCTTGCAACTCTAATGATTAGTCCATTCTCTGCCTAAACAGGAGGCAAGGGGGACTATAGAGCACAGAGATGTTAGTAGAAAGCAGACTTTCCTGTGTGAAATCTGAGAGTCAGAGGAGAAATGACAGGTGACAGAAGAAAAGAAAGAGGAGATAAAAGAAGGGAATAAATCAGAAGTAAGGGTGGTGATAACAATGACAGTGGCAAGGATTTTATGTCATGTACTCCAGTTGTCTCCTTATAAATCCAGAAATGCTAAGTTTGAAGTTTGAACAGGTTTTCTGTATGTGGATGTGTGTGCATGTCTGTATGTGTGTGTTTACATTCACTTAGCGAAGCTCCAGTCCCTAAAGTGAATCCAGAAAACAAGCTTTCCCAGAGTTATGCATTCATGCTTAGTGTTAGATAATGGAGGACAATGGAGATTTTAACATGGGAGTCCTTTATGGGCAAAGATTGTGTTTTTAAGAGAGATCTAATTTTGTACTCTTTGCTATTTGTATTTAAGTCCTTGGTAAGTATTTTCCTGGATAAATGATGGAATGTTGTGGCCCCTAAGAAATGTCTGGGTTCAGATGCTATTTTTTTGTAATGTGTCTCTTAGATCAGTAGTTCTCAGGTTAGACAGTTTGGCCTGGCTGTAGGAGAAATTATAAAGAGGTAAAGTTTATTTTCAGTATTTCAGCCTTCCTGGTGTTCCTATCACTGAAGCCAAATCTTCCCGGTATCTTCATTAAAACTCATCCACCAATTTGAGCCTGCTGCAGGGATTTCCACTTGACACTGTTTTCAGAATTATTCTTGAGTGAGACTGTATTATGGCAGCAATGTCTTCAGCAAAAACTAATGAATTGGGTTGATTAAATTTGTGAATCAGGCTCAGGTTTTTCCCTTCTTTATAATCTCATCTAAAGAACCCCTACAAAGCTACAGGAATGAGTTGAGAGGTTGTAATCACTGCAGTGGAGCTAGGCAACATCAAGGTCTGGGTCTATCTGTATAACTTACTTGTGCCTGTGTAACTTATTGCTCAGGCCTGATCTTGAGATACGGGTTTTTATCATATGACTTGCTGCTGTGTCATTTCACTTGGTGGATCACTTGGTGGCTGACAATATCCAGTTTATTATGAGCATCTCCAATTGCATAGTGGCTTGATATATGCTACTCAGGCACTCATAGTATATTGGGGTTCCGTATCATGCCAGGAACTACCTTTCAAATAGAGAATGATTTTCTGCCTGCAGACAACGTAACCGTGCTCTAGAACCACAGGTGTCTGCACTGTGTTTCTCCTGTTGAAGTTGACCAGAAATCCACAGGGCATCTTTATAGATCATGGGCACCTCTAGCACCTTTGGAGCTTCTAAGTCACATAGCCCAAGGGGCAGGGCTGCTTGTACCATAATTTGAATCTACTGCAGAGTCAGCTATTGTTCTGGGACTACTCAAAACTGGCGGCCTCCTAGATAAGTATTAGGAACAATTTTAAGTGTGTGATGTAGTCTCTATAAGGTAAAGGTATAAGCCAGGTGCAATGGCATGTGCCTGTAATCCCAGCTACTCAGGAGGCTGAGTTGGGAGGATCCCTGGAGCCCAGGAGTTAAAGTCCAGCCTGAGTAACATAGTGAGACCCCCAGTATCCAAAAAAAAACTTAAGATATATGATATATACTAAGTACTGTGCTTATTTATTAGCAACAGGGAAGAAAGATGCTGTAACTAATTACTTTTTTTGTTTGGTTACTTATCCTTTACCATTTTATATACTTCTTATATACTTGTTCAGGGTTCTTCCTCAAATGGACTTGGTCTCCGTTTATACCTTATTCCTTTCAATTCACCCCAAGTCAGAGCCCTAGTAAAGGTGATGTTACAGCCTGATCACTTGGTGGCTGACAATATCCAGTTTATTATGAGCATCTCCAATTGCTTAGTGGCTTGATATATGCTACTCAGGCACTCAGAGTATATTAGGGTTCTTTATCATGCTGGAAACTACCTTTCAAATACAGAACCATTTTCTGTTGCAGACAGCATAGCCTTGCTCTAGATCCACAGATGTGGTTATGTCAAAGGTTATTGCCATCTTACTTACGCCTAGAAATGCAATCGTTGTTGCCATTTGGCAGGCAAGCAATTGGGTTCCAGAATGTCATCCTGAAGATTGCTTCCTAGGACCATTTTCTTGATTGGGTTCTATCAGAAGCACATGCCAAGACAGGAATCCTTGTGTAGGTGATTTATTTGGAATATGAAGGAAATACTGAGACAGGGAAGGGACAGCTGCCAATAAGTGCACATCAGCAAGCCAGTTACCATTGGGGTAATCGAACTTAACTCCTTTGGGGAAACTCTGGGGCCAGTGTAGGCACATGCCTCAGGGTTATCTCACCAGAGGAGCTACACCAACTGCTTTCAGTCATTGATTGAGAGTTTCTGGAGCCAGTGGATAATTAATTCTCCAGCATTTCTGGCCTGCTGCATGGGTTGGCAGAGTAGACATCCATGTCCAGAGAAGACCTTTATGTCTTCAGTTGGGAATTGTATTGATGTGTGCTTAGGTAGGAAGGACAAGGAGATATGGGCAGTGCACAATGTCTGCTGCAATGTCCAATTTATATATTTAGCAAAAAGATTTAGGGCCTGTATATTAAAATTTGGAGTGTAAAGATATCACATTCATCAAAATATGGTATTCTAATAGTTAAGATTCAATCAGTAAGGCAGTAGCTATTTTTTAGCTAATGTAAAAATATCTACAATATTACTGAATTCTTCATAGGCTCTCAGGCCACTGTGTTTCCTTTTTGTTTTAAAATAGATAAGAAACATTCAGCACTTACCATAGTGAGTAGCTAGATCAAAGAATTATGTAGTATAGATAGTTAACAGAAAGGGCAGTATTGTAATAGCATGCTGGATAAATGAATAGCTAAGATGGATTCAATTGATATGCTCATAGAGAACCTTGAATTTTTCACTATTTCCACTAAAATAAAAATTCTAGCAAAAGTTTATGTCAAGTCTTTAAAATTTTCCATATGTTAGGCTATTCCTTCATATAGTGGTTCATTCCATTAAAAAATTTCTAAATTTCCTTTCACTTTGCTGTTTCTTAGCCAATCTGCCAAAAGTGTAACTTTAAATTTACTATTGTAATGTACAAACTGCTATAACTGCTATAATTACCTCTAAGTATTTCTAATATTACAGTGTTTATCTCACAAATATTGTTTTTATGGTCTGTGTTTAGAGCTGCCAGGAACTATTTGGAGGATCAGAATTTATATTTTCCTCCAAAAAGATGGCATTTGAAAAAACTTAGAAATATTTAGAGATAATTTTTGACTTAAATCCAACATTCTTTCCCAAATGGTCTTATAAACACTAATTGTTTCTCTCAATGATAAATATGAAAGTATTACATTGATTTTACATTAGAAGACAGAGAAAATGGTCAATAGTTTCACTTTGAAGCTCTCTAGAAAGATTTCTTTGAACAATTAGTATGTGATAAAGGATTTTTAAATAAGAGATAAATTCAAATTCCTGAAACAATTAGTATGTAATAAAGGTGTTTTAAACAAAAGATAAATTCAAATTTGGAAAACAAGGTTAGCAAGCCTCTTTATTCTTCTGCTACCTGAATATATTTAAGTACCATTTGCTAAAGTATGTAATGTTTTCTTACTCTTCATAACTTTTAAAATCACAGCTAATAATGCATAAGATGTAGTTCAAAATCTATAAATTCAAACTATGTAGCTTCATGCATAGAGTGACTTTGCTCCTGTTTAGAAGATTTAAAAAATTTGCCTGTGATTATGTTACCTTGAGGACAAGGAAAGGACAATATATATTAGAATAGTGCTATGATTGTCTCTCTTTTAATATGAGAACTACATTCAAGATGTTTAGGTGTAGAAACTGAGTATTCCCTTGTCTAGATTGAATAATAAATTAGAGGTAATTTGGTACAGGTTAGTATGACCTAGTCTTAATTCTACCATTATGAAATTTTGTCTTCCTAAAAGACAAAGCACTGAATTAATCATGATTCTCTGAACTGGTCTGAAAAGTAAACAAGCTGAAGAGAACAAATCCTGTCTTGAAATGCAATAGTGTTCAAGTTGCTTGGAGAAACTTGGAGTTGCTGGAGAGAGGCCAGGAGGGAGAACATTATGAGGACTGAGCCTGGGTCCTCACTGACGGGACCCACTTTGATTTCTTTTTTAATTTCTTCAAATAATGGTTTGAGACTGACATTGGACTGTACTCTTAGTCTTTCCTTCTTTTTTTTTTTTAATTTTCTTTGGCTGTTCTGAAATTTCACAAGCACGTATCTTTGAAGTCTTTACTACTTGAAATGTGGCTGGTGGACCAACAGAAATGGCATCACTCGGGAGCTTGTTAGAAATGCAGCATCTCACATCTATGAAATCAGAATTTGCATTTAACATGATCTCTAGGTAACTTGTATTCACATTAATATTTGAGAAGCACTGGTCTGTCTCTCATTTTTTTTTCTTTCACATTTTCATTCTCATTTTTTTCAACTTCAGCTCTTCTGTTTTTTATCTCCTAAATTTCAGCAAACATATTTTAGCTTTCCAAGGCAATATTAAAAGTTCTCTAATTGCTCCATTGGCATAGAATCCTATTCTAATCTTATGGTTACAGTATGTTTTCCATCCTGAGAATCCTCATTAGGACAAAAATTAAGTTGTTCTCTGTTTTTCTGAATTATCAATGCTTTTGGGTAAATTCAGTTTGTTGCTTTAGTTTTTCACTTGTGTGTGTCTTTCTCTGAAATATTAATGAGTTTTGATTTTCTGTTCATATTCATGGAGAAGGTGTTGCATCTGGAAGTGCTGACTACGATTTTTTTTTGTATAAGGCAGAGAGGAGCAGCCTGCAGGGAAGTTGCAGGAATTATTTCCGAAAGGATAAAGGGTTTACTCTGATGGGCCAGAGGTAGAAGATCAATTTCTTTAAAGCAGATGGCATGGCTTGTGAATGGAAGTAAACACAGCACCTCTCAGTCGAGAGCCAGAACGGGGAGCAAAGAGAGAAAATGGAAAGGGTGTAATTCTACAGGCAGACTTTTTTTTTTTTTAATATCAGTACAGATTTGGGTGCATTTAATGTCTTTATCTCAGAAATTTTTTGTAATATGCAAAGTGTCCAACAACTCCCCTTTTTGCATAGCAAAATGATTGAAGCCATTCACAAATTTGTGTATATAAAGTGGCCAGAGGTATTTGAAAAACGTTTTTTTTTTCTTTCCTTTTCTTTTTAATTATACTTTAAGTTGTAGGGTACATGTGCACAACGTACGGATTAGTTACATATGTATACATGTGCCATGTTGGTGTGCTGCACCCATTAACTTGTCATTTAACATTAGGTATATCTCCTAATGCTATCCCTCCCCCCTCTCCCCACCCCACAGCAGGTCCCGGTGTGTGATGTTCCCCTTCCTGTGTCCATGTGTTCTCATTGTTCAATTCACACCTATGAGTGAGAACATGTGGTGTTTGGTTTTTTGTCCTTGCGATAGTTTGCTAAGAATGATGGTTTCCAGCTTCATCCATGTCCCTACAAAGGACATGAACTCATCATTTTTTATGGCTGCATAGTATTCCATGGTGTGTATGTGCCACATTATTATTATTATTATTATTATTATTATTATTATACTTTAAGTTTTAGGGTACATGTGCACCTTGTGCAGGTTAGTTACATATGTATACATGTGCCATGCTGGTGCGCTGCACCCACTAACTCGTCATCTAGCATTAGGTATATCTCCCAGTGCTATCCTTCCCCCCTCCCCCCACCCCACAACAGTCCCCAGAGTGTGATGTTCCCCTTCCTGTGTCAATGTGATCTCATTGTTCAATTCCCACCTATGAGTGAGAATACGCGGTGTTTGGTTTTTTGTTCTTGTGATAGTTTACTGAGAATGATGATTTCCAATTTCATCCATGTCCCTACAAAGGACATGAACTCATCATTTTTTATGGCTGTATAGTATTCCATGGTGTATATGTGCCACATTTTCTTAATCCAGTCTATCATTGTTGGACACTTGGGTTGGTTCCAAGTCTTTGCTATTGTGAATAATGCCGCAGTAAACATACGTGTGCATGTGTCTTTATAGCAGCATGATTTATAGTCCTTTGGGTATATACCCATTAATGGGATGGCTGATTTTATAAGTCTTATACCGATTTCAGCTCCTCTTTCCATTACCATTCTTTATACCTCTGGCTTGACTCTCGTGCTTCTTCTGGGCCATTTAGATGGATCAGCCACCACCTACACATCAGGCCTTGCTGGAAGCTTTATATAATAGTTTGCTGCTTCCTTTCCACCTTTCTGAAAAAATCATTAAGATCTCTGCTCAGTGAACGTTCCTTTTCCCATAATTACTGCTCTTAGGTTTTTTTTTGTCATATATGTATATACACATATATGTATATATATATATGTCAGGAGTTTGAGACCAGCCTAGTCAAAATGGTGAAGCCCCGTCTCTACTAAAGAATACAAAAAATTAGCCGGGCGTGGTGGCACGTGCCTGTAATCCCATCTACTCGGGAGGCTGAGGCAGGAGAATCGCTTGAACCCAGGAGGCAGAGGTTGCAGTGAGCCGAGACCACGCCATTGCACTCCAGCCTGGGCTGGATAGCATATATATATGGGTTTTGATTGTTACCAGAAGATTAAGTTTTTCGATGGTGACAATATTCTTATGCAAATTTTATCCTTCTTAACTCACTGGATAATCTCTCAGGAATTTTTCTAAAAATGATAGCAAGTTGTGTATTGACATAATTTTCAGATAATCACACACACCAAGAAAGAAACTACAGTTGTTTCTAACTGGAATCTCAAGCAACTGAAACAGAGTGAAATGATTTTGTTCACTCAGTACCCACACGCATGCACACATGCACAAACACACATTTCTGTGAGCAAATGAGCAGGCATAATACTAGCTGGATAGTGATTGGCACTCGAATGATAACAAAATGATCAAGTTTTGAATTTTTATTCAAAGTGTGCTTTTTATCGTGTCTAAGGATAGACTTATGACTTATTTTACAACTTACAGAGTTGGCTTTGTATACCTTTGACAGTGATTTTATATTTCTTTTTTTTGAGACGGAGTCTTCACTCTGTCGCCCAGGCTGGAGTGCAATGGTGTGGTCTTGGTTCACTGCAACCTCTGCCTCCCGGGTTCAAGCGATTCTCCTGCTTCAGCCTCCCGAGTAGCTGGGATTACAGGCACGTGCCACCACACCCGGCTAATTTTTTGTATATTTTGGTAGAGACGGGGCTTCACCATTTTGGCTAGGCTGGTTTCGAACTCCTGACATCAGGATATCCTCCCACCTCGGTCTGCCAAAGTGCTGGGATTACAGGCGTGAGTCACCGTGCCGGGCTTTTTTTCCCCTTTCTTCTTGAGACGAAGTCTGGCTCTGTCGCCCAGGCTGGAGTGCACGATCTTGGCTCATTGCAACCTCCGCCTCCGGGGTTCAAGTGATTCTCCCGCCTCAGCCTCCTGAGTAGCTGGGATTACAGGCGTGCCCACCACGCCCAGCTACTTTTTGTATTTTTGGTAGAGACGGGGGTTTCGCCATGTTGGGCAGGCTGTTCTCGAAACCCGCTGCGGCCTTCCAAAGTGTGGGGATTACGGGCATGAGCCACCGCGCCGGCCTGATTTTATATCTCTGACATTACAATTTCTTTTTCCTTCAAGAAGTTGTATGTAGGTGGGCTATTTTCTCTTTGTAAGATAAACCATTCCAATTCTACCTTTATGTAAGAGAATTTTTTTTGTCCATCTTGTGATCAATTCCTTGAGGGTCTCCACTCTTTTCTCTACCATTCATGGGTTGGTGCTATTCATGTGGATTTCTTATAAAATCCTCTAGGACATGTCAGAATGCTTTGACTAGCACTTCGTCAATTTCTCTCTTTACCTTTGTACTTTCCCTTTACGTTTCCTGAAGCAAAAACACCCACATCTTGTTTTATCATTTACTTCACTTTTTCCTTTCTCTCCCTAGATCTCAATTTTCTGTTGTTTTTGTTGTCAGTGTTTAACACAATGATTGGTTTTCAGGTGTCTTATAGGAAAATAATGTATTTTTAAGAACATCAGGCAACTAAGCAAAATAAAGCAGGAACATCTGTCAACAACATCAGTTGTAACTAATTACAACTGATGTTGCTGAAGCCAGTTCTGAGCCCAGGCAAAACTAGTGGTCTGCAAGTAGCTACAGAATGATTTTATATCCATAAGTAGCTATAGACTTATTTTATATAATATGTATTAAGTGTTTTTGCATTATTTCCTGCTTGTTTACTATGTCAAGTATAACTAGGTTAGGGCTTGGGATTCAAAGTTAAATAAAACCTAGATACTGTTCTCCTAGAAGTCTGTAATAAATGTGTGGGATATGACAATGTGTATATGCATATATATGTGTATATATATATATATATAACTTTTGTTAGAGACTTAACTATAGAAGCCCATGCAAAACAATGTCATTACTCCTATTGTACTTGTATCCCTTTAATTTCCTATAATCTTTCTTTCCTTTCTCCCTCCTTCTCTCCCTTTTCCCTTCTTTCCTTCTTCATTTTTCTTTTTTCCTTCATAATAGACCTAACAACATTGAATGGGTGATCTCCTTCTCGAACTGTGAATTTGACCTAATTTGACCTTATTTAGAAAAAATGTCTTTGCAGATGTAATTAAGTTAAAGGTTTTCAGATGAAATCGTCTTAGATTACCTGAGTGGCCCCTAATTCTAATGACAAATATCCTTATAAGAGCTAGATGAGGAGAAGCCATAGACATACAAAGGAAAATACTATGTAAAGATGAACATTGGAGTGATATGGCTACAAACCAAAAAAGCCAAGAATTGCCACAGCCACTAGAACCTGGAAGAGGCAAGGAAGTTTTCTCCTCTATATCTTCTGGAGGGAGTGTGGTTCTGCCAACATCTTGCTTTTGGACTTCTGTCCTCCAGAACTGTGAGAGAATAAATTTCTGCTGTTTTAAGTCACTAAGTTTGTAGTACTGTTTTAAGGAAGCCTCAGAACAGTAATACAACAGGTGAGAGCCCAATCTAAGGTTTTCGGTTGAGAGTAATTCCTCTGATATATTTTACTGATTAAAAAAATTAACTGAATACCAAACATTTTTGTGAGTTTTAGAGAGTTTAAAACTTCTTTTTAATGCATTCTCAAAGTAGTATTTTAATTAGCAATATTCAACCTGAATGCAGAGGAAATAGTGCTCGTATATGCAGAGACTAAAAATTAATTGATAACATCATGGTTATATCTAGGTATTTAAATATTAACATACAGTTGGGCTGGATTGTTGAGAATTATTTGGATGGACATAGTGATAACAAAAATTTGTATCTCTTGAAAGCTTGTCCCAGAGTAAAGGGAGCAGGATATCATAGCTGAAATGGTTGCAAGAAAGAAGTAGGCTATATAATAACTTATAGCAGGGTGGCAAACTTAACACACTATTACTTAAATATGCAAGGAAAATGTTAGCTCTTTTTTCTAGTGGTTTTAATTATAGACTATAACATAAATACAGAAAAATGTATTAAGTGTAGATAAAGGCTTAACAAATTATTTTAGCATTGTCATGAACTTTAAGTAATACTTATATAACAAACAGCAGAAAATCATACCAGAAGTAAATCTTATAGACATAGGAGTAACAAGTACTTCAGATAGTCCAAGCCTTATTCAACATCTTAGGATTCATATTTAATAGAAAATTTTAAAATAGAATAAATTTGGGAGGCCCCTTAGCAAATACTAAATTCTTAATTCTCATTAGAAAAATAAAACTAGAGAGAAACTTTATAAATATGACTGTGGCATACCCTTTAAGTAATGGTTAAGACAAATAAATGTCAAAGAATTCTTGCTGCATAGAAAACTTCCAAATCTAGTAAGTATGCCATAGCATTTTTAAGGCTTTATTGAAATATAACTGATTTACATAAAACTGCACATATTTAATGTATACATTTTGATGCGTTTGGACATATTCATGCACATGTGATGCCATTGCCACAATCAAGACACTAAACATATCTGTCCATTCCAAAACTTTTCTTGTGGTGTGTGTGTGT
This sequence comes from Homo sapiens, assembly GCF_000001405.40. Taxonomy (NCBI): domain Eukaryota; kingdom Metazoa; phylum Chordata; class Mammalia; order Primates; family Hominidae; genus Homo; species Homo sapiens. The sequence continues at coordinate 44,629,583 of NC_000014.9, read as the reverse complement.
TTATGGTAAGAACATTTAACATAAGATCTATCCTTTTAATGTCTGTTAAAGTTCTCAATACCCTATTTTTAACTTTAGGCACAATGTCTTACAGCTGTTCTCTAGAACTTATTCATCTTATGTAACTAAAACTATACTCAATGAGCAAAAATTCCACATTTCTCCTTCCTCCAGTCCCTGGCAATCACCATCATATTTTCTTCCTCTAACTTTGACTATTTCTGAGACCTCCTAAAAGTGGAATCATGCATATTTGTCCTTCTGTGACTGGACTGGCTTATCTTATTTAGCATAATGCCCTCCCGTTTTATCCATGTTGCCACAAATGGCAGAACTTTCTTCCTTAAGTGTCAATAATATTCCATTGTATGTATATGCCACTTTTTTTTTTTATCCATTCATCCAACAGACATTCAGGTTGTTTCCCTATTTTGACTACTGTGAATAATGCTGTAATGAACATGGGGGTGTAGTTAGCTCTTTGAGATCCTGATTTCAATTCTCTTGGTTATATACTCAGAAGTGAGATGCTGGATCATATAGTAGCTTTATTTTTAACATTCTGAGAAACTTCCGTACTATTTTCCATAGTGACTACACCATTCTACATTCTCACCAACAGTGTATAAATATCCCAATCTTTCACATCCTTGCCAACACTTATCTTTTGGTTTTTTTTTGATAAGAGCCATCTCACAGGTGAGAGGTGTTATCTCATTGAGGTTTTGATCTGCATATTTCTAAGTGCATACCTAGGTGAGGAAATTGCTTAGTGTTTTTCTTCAACTTTTGGTTGATAATGGCAAATTAATTTTCAAATTGATTGCACCAATCTGAAATCTGTATGAAGATTTCTTGTGATTTAATATCTTGACCAAAATACGGCATTGTCAAGTTTTTCCGTTTTATGCATATCTGGTAGATGTGTAGTCATATCTCATTGTGGTTTAAATTTGTATTCTTATGATTATAATAAGGCTGAGTATTTTTTCATATGCTTATTGACCATTCAGATTTGCTCTTTATAAATTTCCTGTTAAATTATCTTGTCTATTAAAAATTGTATTGTCTTTCTTTTTCTTACTGATTTGTAGCAGACTTTTTAAAAAACATTTTGTCTACTGACCCTTTGCTAGTTTTTTGTGTTGCCAAAATATTTTCCCCCTCTGTGGCTTACCTTTAATTTTCCTAATAGTGCATTTTGATGAACAAGAGTTTTAATTTTAGTGTAGTAAAATTTATCATTCTTTTTCACTATGATTAGTGAATTTTCTGTCCCATTTAAATAATCTTTTCCTAACTTGAGTTAAGAAGATATTCTCCAATAATACCTTATATCTTAGAGCTGTCCAAGAGAAATATAGTGAGAGCCACATATTTCGCTTAAAATTTTTCATACTTAAAAAAGTAGAATCAAGTGAATTTAAACAATGTATTTTATTTTACCCAATGTACCCAAAATATTAGCATTTCAACATTTATTCAATGTAAAAATTATCAGTATTTTACATTTTATAAATCATACTGAGACTTTGAAATCTGATGTGCATTTCACACTTATAGCCACAGTAGAATTCATACTTGTCAATTTCAAGTGTTTAATAGCCACATGTGGCTAGTGGCTATCAAATTGAGCAACACAGTTCTAAAAGACATCTTGTTTCACCATCTAAAATTGATATGTGTGTATGGAACAATGTAGGGGTCAAGCTCTGTTTTTCCTCATAAGATAATCTAATTGTTTCAGCTATATAAATTGAAAAGAAGATCTTTTCCCACCACTTTGCAGTGCCATCTTTGTCATAAATCAAATGTTTATATATGAGTAGGTATATTTTTGGGCTTAATAAATGTTTGTTTTCTACAACAGGTACAGTTTTTCTCATGAACCCCGTTATCCAATGGTGGAGATAAAAAGGAAGAAACCTAACTTTTGAATCAATTGAGTCTGAGTCTCTGCCAGTTTAAATAGTATCTTTTAAAAAATTCATTCTCTTTTTGTAAATGCTCAGAGATTCATATTCCCATTCCTCTTTTTTCTCCTTCTTTAAGTCTGAATAATATTCCATTGTGTGTATATACCACATTTTCTTTGTTCATTCATTCAACAGACACTTAGGTTGTTTCCACATCTTGGCTATTGTGAATAATGCTGTTATGAACATGGGGGTGTAGATACCACTTTGAGATGGTTGGTGCCTGGTATGTGGGGACAATGAAAGCACCTTGTGGAGCTGGGTAGGAAGAACCTTGAATCTACCAGGAGGTTTTTTGCTTTCCTTTGCGCCTTTTTGGTTCCTACTGCAGTATATACATCATGATACAGGTTTTGGCCCCTTGGAGTGGGGTCTGCCAAAGTGTGGCAGACAAAATCGCACTTTATTTTCTTGCATCAGGCAGAGCTTGGTCACCCTTGTAGATTTGGCACCACCATGGTTGTCAGGTCCAGGGTCGGGTTCCAGCTCATGCTGAGGTCTGGAAGGAAATGGGTGGATGAGTGACAGATAGCTGAAAGAACACTCGGGGGTCCAGAGGTAGGTGAAATATGGCTTTATTTAGTAGCCCTCTTACGCTGTCTGTCTGTCCCTGTCTCTGTGGCTGCCTGCTCTGGCCACTCTCATGCACAGCTGCACAGCTGGCTCTCTCTTGACTTCAGGGTCAGCAGCTTAAATCTTTCCCTCTGGGTGCAAATAAGCTGAGCTGTGTCCTGGCTCCCCACTGTCCGTCTTCAAAGATGGACCGTTTTGGCCCTCTATCTCTTTCTCTCTCTGGGTGTGAGTATGCCTGTACCGTGTCAGCAGGGCAATTATACCTTTTACAGACAATAGTGGCCTAGAGCCAAGTGATGGCCTTCCCATGTTATGACTACATAGCTGTGTTTACATTTTACATGGAATTGTGCGCCTATGTTATAAACTCACTGAGTCATGCAGGATGTTTACCTGGGCCTATTCTTTGACCAAAGCACAGCCATGTACCTTACAATGGTTGTCACTGAACTGTAGTGCTCTTTGAGTCTAAACCATGCTCTCCACCCAGCCTGTGACTATCAAGTTTACAGCTGCTGGAACAGTCATTGCTCATCACCAGTATGGTTCCATGAGAGTTCCACAGGCCTTCATCTCAGCTCCTTTCCCTGGACTTGCAGTGACTTTAAGGTCCCTTCTATATCACCTAACAGTGAAGGGAGGCTAAGGAGTGCTTATTCTAGTCCTCTCTCTACCTGTTTATGTCATGTCACTGACATCGCTTTGATGTAGCATCTTGCATTTGTGTGGGGCTATCCTGTGTTCTAGTTTCCAGAGTTCCAAATGGGGTATGTCACACAAGATTTCTCAATTTCTCTTATATACCTCCTCCCTGAAATTTTATGCCAGGTGTATGTCTTTATGTTTTCATTTATTTCTGTCTCCCTCTCCCTTCTGCAGTCTATGGGGCCTCAATGGGCAGGGTCTCCTGCTTTTGGTGTGGCAGGAACAGCTTAATATCACAGCCCAAGCTATCTCTCCTCATATCCAGAGACTGAGGCTTAGCTCTTGATATGTTAATTGGAGCTTTAAGAATTTATAAAACAGGCCAGGTGGGGTGGCTCATGCCTATGATCCCAGCACCTTGGGAGGCCTAGGCAGGAGGATCACTTGAGGCTGGGAATTTGTGACCAGCCTGGGTAACATAGCAAGACCTCATCTCTAAAAGACTTTTAAAAATTAGCATGGCTATGTGGTACACACCTTTAGTCCCAGCTACTCAGGAGGATGAAGTAGGAGGACCACTTGAGCCCAGAAGTTTGAGGCTGTAGTGATTCATAATTGCACCACTGCACTTCCGAGTGACAGAGTGAGATCCTATCTCTAAAAAACTAAATAAATTACAAAAGCTAGGTGCAGTGGCTCATGCTTGTAATCCCAGCACTTGGGAGGCCTAGGTGGAAGGATTGCATGAGGCCAAGAGTTCGAGACCATCCTGGGCAACATATCATGACCCTGTATCTACAGAAGAAAAAGTAAAAAATTAGCCAGGTGTGGTGGCACCTGCCCATAGTCCAGCTACTGGGGAGGCTGAGGCAGGAAGATGGCTTGAGTTGAGGAGTTCTAGGCTGTGGTGGGCCATGATGCAATTCAGCCTGGGCCACAGAGCAAGACACTGTTTCAAAAAAAAAAAAAAAAAGAGTTTCTTTTTCTGTCAAGGCTTGCTTTCTAGACCATTATCTTCTTAGGGATTTTTTAAAAATCTAATTTCTCAGTCAGTGCTGAGCAGTAAGTATACTGTTCCAGTTGGTGTCAGTCCTTTCTAGGTCAAGGAGTGGGCAGTGAGTCACAGGACAATGTTATTTACATGATATCAAAATGCATCTGAAAATATTTTAAAAAATGATATCTCCATTACACTACTGAGAAAAGGGAAAAGGAGTGCCGAATAAATAAAAGTGAAAGCTAAGAGGGAAGCCTGGAAACAGAATTGTGAGTCTGTTATTAAAGCAAGGATACCTGTATGGGAATTCGTTTTCTACATGACAGCAGCTGCAGAGTTTTAAAGTCCTAAGGAAACAGGGAATTCACTTGTACAAATAGATCATGCTGACTTGATTTAGCACAAGTAAATACCAAATTATGCATAGGTAGGAAATAATAGCATATGCTCTGAGATCTGTTAAGCATTACAACATTAAAAATGATTATTTAAAAAATTCACATTTGTTGCAGAAACTTTAGAAAATACAGATAACAATAAAGATATAAAAACTACCCATATTCCCACCAGGCAGAGAATCTGCTTCTTGTCCTTGTTTTTTGTGATGATCAAAGTGATGGTTGAAAGGGCGAGCTCAAGGAAATAGAGAGGCTAGCTTATTTAAACAGAGAGTTGTTGGTGAGGAAAAATAAGAGACGTGAAAGAAGGGAAAACTAGCTTGTTTCCAGAAGAATTTGAAAATGTTTTGCTGAAAAGTTTGCAGGGTGGATGGGAAAGAGACTTTGAGGGAAACTGCTATTTGTAGCCAGGAGAGCATGAGGGCTAGGGACATGAAATTTTAAGAAATTTTTCTGTTGACTTCTAGTTCCAGTTATGGTAGACCTGGTTCTCTGGAACAGCCCTCCCATTGGGGAATAGTAAAGTATCAGCCCTGCTACCCAGTTTTATATGTATACTTAAAAATCTAACAAGGATTGAGAAGAATTAATTATGAGACTAAGATCTGGCAGAAGATGGAAACCCAGATAGGCAAGTAAGTATGGGACAACTTTTCCCTTAGGGGGCCTTTGGTTATTCAGGAAGAGATAGATGAGGCAGCAGTTTTCATAGTTTCCCAGAGAAAGGAGGACAAAAATAGATGTTTAGGGGTAGTCAAGTGGGGGCCCTGGTAATTCTTTCATACCTTGAGTTGGCATCTTGAAATATTTTACCCATCATTTTTCTTATTGCCACAGCCACACCAGCCTTTATCAACCACCACTCTGATCAGTCAGCAGCCACCAATATTGAGACAGGATATTCTACAAGCAAATAGATGACTTGCTGAAGCCTCAGATGATTGTTAGCATTTTTAAGGAATAAAATATTTTTAAATTAAGCTATTTGTATATTTTTTAGACATTATGCTATTTCACACTACAGTATAGTGTAAACATAACTTTTATATGTACTGGGAAGCCAGAAAATTCATACAAATTGTTTCATTGTGATATTCACTTTACTGCAGTGGTCTGGAACCCAACCTGCAGTGTCTCCTAGGTATGCTTGTGTTGTTAATTGTTGCTATCTTACATCATGAAGGTGCCCATTTCTTGTATCCATTCTACTTTCCAATTTTTTTCTTGTTTTTATTTTTCTTTTGCTTAAGCCACGTTTGATCTTAAATTTTTGGATTTGATTCATTTTGGTCTTATTCTGTATCTACTGATACACATTCCGTTCTGCAGGAGAGTAGCAGAAAGGGGATGTGATATAAGCAGAATGACTCCTTAGCAACCCCTTCTTCTTTAATTTTTGAAGTCCCACAGATACCATTGCAACTTTTTTTGAGTATAATATATATTATTTGATTTGAAATAGACAATTCTCTAAAATAAGTAATTCAAAAATATTTGTGGTGATCATAAACCTTATTTTCAGTTATCTACAACCAATTTAAAAGTAACATTTTAGAAGAAATACTTCATTAGGAAGCATAGAATTTGGATTCTAATGTTATTTCCTCAATTTACTAACTGTGACCTTGAGAGAGTCACTTAATTTCTTTTGTTTTTATTTGCTAAAGTCAGGAATCCGAGTAAATTAATTTCTTCCCTTTTAGCTGCAAGAGCTGCAATCACCTCAATGTCCTATGTCTTTGAATATTATGAATAAAGTCAGTAAGTATAGTAGATGTCTGTATTTCCTAGATTATTTTTCCAGAAATGCCAGTGTTCTGTAAGATGTAGTCCATCTGCACTTTTAATGAAAATTTCTTTCTGATGAAAAATGCATTTTCAGATTTTTATTGCATTTCAAAAGGAAGGGATTTTAAAAAGCTGGTTTATATTTCAAAGATAATGTGATCATCAAATTTAACTATGTTTTCAAAGATGTTTGAAACTTGAAGCAAAGGCTATTTGATTTCATAAATACTATGTTTTTTTTTTAAAAAAGAAATGATGATGATCAACTAATTATTATGTTATTTACCTACTTGGGTCTACAGGGAAAGAGTTGGTTGTATTTAAAAGAGCAGAGAGTCATTTTTGCTTGAATCTGTAGGAAAACCGTAAAGTAGGGATACTCAACCTGAACTTTGAATTTTTTTCAGTCTTCTGAACCTATACCTAAGGCAACTTTGTTTTCACTGAAAGAGTTTAATACCTTTGTCAAAATGATAAATTTTCTCTAAAGAATAAGTCTTTATTGTTATAAGTTTAATACGTTTTTCCCAATACCTAATAGGAGGAAAGTGAACTTCATTAGAGGCTTCTTTATGAGATCATGAAAAGCACCTTTCTCTCCCAGAAGATGAGAATGACCAATCTAAGTTGTTTTTTTTTTAAGAGGTTCACACTGAAAACACCTATTTATGAATTTGCAGATAGGAATTGGGATTCCAGTAACTGTTTCTAGGCCCTCTCTTCCTATTCAAGACAGCCTAAAGCCACCACATTCTGAAAATCCAAAATTCCAAATGCTCCAAAATCCACAATTTTTTGAGTGTTGATGTGGCACTCAGAGGAAATGTTCACTGGAGCATTTCAGATTTCAGATTTTTGGATTAGGGATGCTGAACCAGTAAGTATAATGCACATATTCCAAAATCCTAAAAAAATCTGAACTTCAAAACACTTCTGGCCCCAAGCATTTTGGATAATGGATACTCAACCTGTAATCCAAGCAGAGACTCCTGTGAGCTTCTTATGTATATCTGAGGCAGCTTGCCACTCTAAATAGGCCCTCCCTATCTACTGCCAGCAGTCTCAGGTGTTCTTAAAAGGGCATCTTGGAATTGCAATGAGGTTTAGGGGACCATTCCATTTCAAATTCTCTTCATCTCTGCCATATATTCTTGTCTAACATTTCCAGCTCACACATGGCCTCTGTCTCTGTGCCTAGTCCCCATGTTGTAATGCCTCCACTAGACTGCGTAGACATAGTGTCTTGATAAACCTTGTGTCTATACTCTGGACCTCTGGTCAGTATACTCTACTTTCAGCCTGACCTAGGCCTCCAGCCTCCAACTCAGATCAGTAACCAAATTACTTGAAATATCAGCCATTATTTATGGTAACTGAAAAATATCTTCATTTCTCAAGGATGTTTACTAAAGTGCTAATAGTAATAGCAAATTAATAAAAATCACTATAATTGCCTCAATTGTCCTATGCTATCAGCTGCCTTTCATAATTAGAAAACAAATTTACTCAAACTATGACTTTTCTTTGCACCATTTAGCAAAATTCATTTTTGGAAAGCATGTTTTCACTGAAAGTATAAGTTCTCATAAGAAATGAGAAACAAGAGGTCTGCAAGAGAGAGAATATACTAAGACTTCCAAGCTGTTGCCTCTTTTATCTAAGACTTTTCTTTGACCTTTGCGAGGGAGACTAGAGGGAAAAATATTTTGAGAGTGAAAACAATTTCTTCTTAAAAGACAACATGTTTATTAGTAAAAATTTGTGAATGAAAGTTGACAAGATTCTATAATTCTACCCAGTAATAATGGCTATGTGAGAAATTTTCTAGCTTGGAGCACAAAACCATGATTCTTACATTATCCAGTGATTTTTATAGTGTGCTAAATAACAAAAAAGCAAACAGACTAGCATTCAACTCTTTCAGCATGTTAGTAAATTCTTTCATTGGATCAATAGTAGAGGTAATCAAGGTGGCATTTAAATTAATTAAGCTTTTTGAGTTTAAATTAGAAAATGTATTTTGGTTACTAGACAAACAAATCATGTTTTAATGAGATTTTAAAAGCTTTGCTTTGCTGGTTGATGAATTTTATGAAACTTTGCTACATATATCATTTATAAATCAGGGTTCAGAACACAGAAGTCCATTTGAAAGTGAAAATAAGTGTTGTCACATAAACAAAGATAAAAGGATATTTAGTTGAATGTCATGGTTATGTGTGTAGATGACTGCTTATTTTGATGATGATTTTCTCTTTTTGAAATGAATTGCTCAAACTGAACCATATTCTGTTCTTAAATAGGCATTTTCTTTGTTTTCTTCCTTTATAGATCTTTTGTTTCCAGGGTAGGGTTTTTATGCAGTTTGTTTTAGTTGGCAAAATGTACATTAGACACATAGCAACTAAAATATGTACTATTAATTTGCCCTCTTCCAGAAAATAATGTCTCCTTGAGGATATGAGCCAAAGCATTTTTTTGTATTAATGTAATAATCATTAGTGTCACAGTCTTCCACTGAGCATGTATCTGGACAGGTTGGCACCACACAGATGAATATTGCTACCAGTTTATGAAAAAGGCGGAATTATGCTCTGCTGCTCAGGTACCTGCCCCCAAGGAAAATGCCCACAGGGTCTGGACAGGCTGGCTGTGCTCAGAAATGTGGAGCCACTTATTTTTCCCTCTCTCACTATCTGTGTATCCCTTTTGGAATGCCAGTGTTGTAGCATGTCAGTGTATGAGTCCAGGAATCTATGTTTGATAAGCTAGTATATGAAATACTTGGTTATAATTGGTGGTGCATTTTCTTACTTTAACTTTGATTTACAGTTTGAAGCCTGCTTTCACAGTCTGCTTACTCCGTGAAATATGAGGAAGGACTACAAGTCTGCTTATGTTCATGGAATGTAGAGGAGGAATCTAGGGGAGTAGCTGTTGGAAAGATCCTAGAACATTTTGTGGATTAAAGGATGATGTAGACTTACAACAATTTATTGAAATGTAGAAAAAGACTAGCCAGTTAGGATTGTATAGTGGATACTGTGGTTGTGTCCTCACTATCTCTTATTTCTTGCTCTCATTTTGTATTATCCGTGCAGTTGGGGTATAATGAGAGGGCTAGAAAATGACTGTATCCACAATTCCAAGGTGGGTTCTAATTTTTTAAACCCTGACATGTGAATCCCATCTTCTTGCCCCTGTATTCAGAGTATAAAAGTGTAAGCCAATCAGTCAGTGCTTTCTACAGTGGCTTAGGAAATCTGGGGGAAAGGGATGTTTGCTGGGATCTGAAAAATCAGTACTTTCACTCCTTCTGGACAGTGTGATTTCAATATGTGGAAATGATGCAGGAAATGTTTTTTTGTCACCACCAGAGAAGAAAAAATATTGGATGGTGCTGGTTGAAATAAAGGCAGAGGGGAAAGGGAAAGAAATCAGGGCCTTGATATTGTTGTTGAGTTGATAAATCAAACCATGCTGAAGTCTTCCATTCCTCTGAACCTTCCAGTTACCAGAGTCAATAAATCCTCTTTATAGTTTTTAAACCAGTTTGAACTGAGTTTCTCATTACTTATAAAATGAGGGGTCTAGACTGATGCAGAATGATAGTTTTGGAAGGACTGTAGAAAGAAATTGCTTTAATTATTTTGATTGCTCAATTTTAATATTTAGCAAAGAATAAAATACAAAACTTTCATTTTGCATGATATCCTCAACAATACACTGAATGAAACCTAGAATATAGAATAAGGAAATAAAATCTTGCCCAGTGGTCTTTTAGTTCAAATTAAAAGACAAAAATGAATAGCTTGCCAGATGGAAGAATATAATAGTCAGCATTAAAGGGCTAATGGTTTGTCATTTAACCAATTGGAAATTTCTCTTTATTATTTATGAAGTCTTGTTTTGAAAGTATTCCTTTAGAGTAAATCCTTTTGCATATTCTGAGTCTTTTAGGAACTCATAACTATTTGATAAATCTTCATTTAGAGAGTTTTACATGGCTGATTTTCAAATGGATTCTCGATATGAACATGGTTCAGAGTGATGATAACATCAATAGGAACTCAGAGTATCTGTTCCTATGTATGTCTGGGTGATACAAACTAAATGTCAAACAGGGCATGTAAATTAGAGAAGAAAGTTTATTTCATCAAGGAAAAGATAGAACAATGAACTTAGAAGGTAGACTTCTGAAATTAAATGCTCTGTATCAGGTCTAGGAAAATTGCTTTTATTTTATTTTTTCAGAAGCATTTATTAAGTATCCATTCTGCGCATAGTCTACACTCAGTGCTGCATGGAATAATAATCAAACTACAAGTTTACACTTCATATTCCAATTCGACATCACTGCTTCCATGTAGCCTTTCCTTCTTGGTCCAGATCCTTTCTCTTATTGCAGTTAGTAAGGTACCACATCATTTTGTTTTGTTATATACTATTCTTTGTTGTATTCTAATGTATATGAAGGAGTAAATTACAGGGGTTTTGGAGACTGTACAAACTATGTGTTAATCTCGGGCTTTCTACTTATTAGTTGTGTGACTTTAGCAGGTATTTGGCATTCTCTGAACCTTGAATGCCTGACTTATCTGTAGAATGAAGAGAATGAGTTCTATCTCTTATGGTTATGGTTGTTTTGAGAATTAAATGACATAGTACATGTGAAGCACTTATCATAGCAACTCAATGCTAATTAGCATACATAATATTAATACTGTATGCAATTAATAATAATAGATTTACAATAAAAATAAAATAAATAAAATTTTTTATCTTGGGCTGATCATGTTGAGTCAGATACATTATATTTGGTTAGTCAATAAATGCTTATTGATTTGAAATCAATTTTGACTTAGACTTTGCAGTAATATAAGATTTTGAACCCCTGTTATTCAAGCATATAGTATATAATTTATCATCTCAATTTGCTAATAATTAAGTGCATTGCATTTATAAAGCGCTTTGCTGCTTTTAAAATAACTTTAATGCATTTGGCATAATTTTATTCTGTGACCTTTGCTGGGTAGGTGATTACCTCCATTTTATAGATATGGTAATTGGGGATTAGGAAAGAGAAAAGATGGAACTGTCAGTAAGTGGAAGAATTGAACTAAAACCTAAATTTTTTATGACCCATGGTTTTCCTCTGTAAATATACATTGAAGTCACCTATTCTTGATTGTTTTTACTGATTTATATTTATGAATATGGCAACTACTGAAAACTCTTTTGGCATAGCCTTAACTTCCTGGAGGAAAGATGGCAGAGGTAGGAAAAACATAAAGCAGAAAAAATGGCCTTAAAAAGTGCTTTTTGGGAAATGAGTAGAAGTCTTTCAGAGGCACAGACAAATTTTCAAGAATGTATTTGTGTCATATAAGTCTAAACTTCTGAAGATTTTTGAAGGAATATTAATTGTTATTTTTAACTATTCTCTGCTTTGTAGCAACAACAATTTTTTGAGACAATTGTTTTTCTGCAGATATTTATCTTGGGAAGAACTAAAAGGGGAAAACAAAATACTCAATCACTTCAGGACAGAGCTGCAACAAAGGGAGAGGCAAAAAATGTTTTGCAGGACAAACAATGATTTCAGATGACCATAAATCTGCAGATGACTGATTGCTGCCCAACCAGAAGCATATCAACAGTATATAAATATAATATTTCTACATTAAGGCCTTTACATTCTGAGAAGTAAAGGCTGCTGAAATAATTTCTCAAGAAGCAATAATAGCAGTGCTAAAAACAGCACCCTGATATAGTTCAGCCTTAACCAGAGAACACATTTGAGCCCACCTGGACTTCTGAACTACAGAACTATATATATATATATATATATTTTAAAGTGATGTTTTTTGAAGCTGCTAAATTTGTGGTTATTTGTTACAAAGCAATAGAAAACCAGTATAACAGTATATAATTAGTGTCAGATTAGTTACAGGAATGAGAAAGCATATGAAAACTTAAAGGAAGGAAAGATTAATGTGGCTGAAATGGAAGTGTTGTGCTTTTTCCTACCTCCAGGGCCTTTATACATTCTATCCTTCTTGCCTCCAGCGGCCTTCACTTTCTCTATTAACAGTGAATCTAAACAAGACCAACCTCTTCACAGAAGCTTTCTTGACATTTGTATCTTATTATGCTATCTCTTGTCAATGAACTACTGTTGACAAGAGATAGCATTATAGGAGTTATTTCTGAAAATTTTCTCAGTAATTTCATTGTTTTATGTATTCTCCTGTCTCAACCCCTAAGCTTGTAAGCTCAGTTCTCTTTTTGTGCTCTCAAATAGTTAAATTAATATTAAACATCTGACTGATTAAAATATGCCCTGAATACTCTGTAGAGAAAGTGTTGAATATAATTTGTGAATTTTTGCATTAACCTTACTTAAACCAAATGAAGGTTATTTTTTTCCCCATCACACAAATTGCTAAACTTCATCTCCTTCTGAATCAGGTATGGGAGGTAATGGAAGTCATCTCAGAATTCTGCCTATCACAATTACAGTATTGTCATTTAGCGATTTCATGAATAGGCATGCTTTCTCCATACTATTTGATTGTAAGCCACTTGAAGATAGGATGCCATCTCCTACTTTGCTAAAGCTCCCCACAGCATGTATAACAGTACATTCTTGTTAAATACTTCTTGAATTAAATTGCTTCTTGCTGGAGGGAGAAGAATAAAATATGCCTATTGTCTTGAAAGCTTTTTATTTATTAAATTTGGATCTCCAGATCTAAAGCTAAGTGAAATGTCACTCAGCTGTCTAAAAGTATTCACACTGATCCAGCTAAACTGTCCAGTTATTTCAGGCAATTTGTTTTTGTGCTTCGACAGTGATTGCTGTGGGACATTGGGCTTTAGAATGCAAATTTCTGAAATACAGAGAAGAAAGTCATGCATGTTCTGTAAAATGTCATCTACTGTTGAGGCTCAATGAATAAAGGTGGATTGGGGTAAAAGAACAGGTTTATGTGTTTTATCGTATTGGTGTCTCTGCTTTTTATCTTACTAGAATCACTAGATTATGTGATTCGAAAAGTCAAGCCTATCTTCCCAATTTTTTGAATGATATGTTTAGAAAAAAACTAAAAGTCCTGCTACTTTAAGTTCAGTAAAATATGTTTTAACACACTAAATATTGTATTAGTTCATTCTCACATTGCCATAAAAAACTACCCGAGACTGGATAATTTATGAAGAAAAGAAGCTTAATCGACTCAAAGTTCTGCATGATTGGGGAGGCCTCAGGAAACTTACAATCATGGCTGAAAGTGAAGGGGAAGCAAAGCATGTCTTTTCATGGCCAGAGAAGGAGGAAGAGAGAGAGTAGGGGTAGGTGCTACACACTTTTAAACAACCAGCACTAGGGGTAAAACAATAGAAACCGCCCCGATGATGTAATCACCTCCCACTAGGCCCCTCCTCCAACACTGGGAATTACATTTTGGCATGAGATTTTGGTGGGGACACAGAGCCAAACCATATCAAATAAATATGAATTAAGTATATTTTAAAGAAATGCAGTAGACATTTCTCTTCTATAGGAAGGAACATATGCATGCTGACCTGACCTCTGGTATCATCAGGACAGTTAGCCGTGTGATAAAACTTTTGAATTCCAAGAAAGGAAAAAGAAATTTTCTTTAAGAAACATATTCTTCAAGGAGAAAAAGAGAAAAAACTTACAATACATGGGCAGAAGTATCAGAAGGGTTAATTCTTTTAGCAATTAGAAACAGCATTGAGAACTGACTTAGAATGATCAGAAAGAAAACAAGTTTCTGCTTCATCATTGGTATAGATTGCTCAGAAGAGATTTCAATTTTTAAAAAAATCTCTGAGTGAGTCATCATTATTTTATATGATCTTTATTTGCAAGTCAGAAAATCCCCTGCCACAAGGAATTTATTTCATCACATAACTGTATGTTTCCTATCTCAACCCCAAACCTAGGACTATCACTATTTTATCCCTCCATAATTAACTCCACATGAAGGTAGCATAATAATGTATCTTCAGTACTTCTCAAAGTATTGTGTAAGTATGATGGCTTTTTTTTTTTCAGTAGAGAAATTGATAGCTGGATGCATCTGAAATCCCTTAGCAAATTTATGCTGGAGTTTGCAGGTTTTGGAGTCTCTGTCACCTGGCTGCCATTCCTCTAGTCATTAACTTCCTTTATGATTAGCCCTAATAATTAGCTTCTCTAAGGAACAAAGAATGGAATAATCATCTTTCATATTCGAAGGTGATGCTGCCAACTTTTATTGTCTGTGCTATATTTATCATCACTGCAAAACTTGTGCTTGACATTTTATAGAGATGAGAATTTGAGTCATGTCTTCCTCAGTTGCCTCTTTTGGCCAGTGACAAGAAAAAAGAAAGCAGAAAAAAGGTTATAGCTGTGACTATAGAGCAGTAGCAGTTCTCTGATGCCTTCAAGTAAAAAAAAATTAAGAAATGAATCTTATAATTACAAAGGCTATTATTATATACAAATGCAATATTTGCAACATCATCTGTCTCTAAATAGCACTTAGGTATCTGTAAAGATCCCTTCACTGTAAGGAACACACCAATAACATTGACTTGTTCACTTGCTATGTTTTATAGCTACCTTTCTCATATTTTTAATGAAACCTTTCAATAAAACTATCTCTTTGAAAAGGAGTGCATTTAAACTCAGTAGTGGCACTTAACAATGCAAGAGCAGTTTTTTTTCCTCCCTTTGGTGCCACTATCTAGACCAGAATCAGAACAAATTGTAATAGCAAGAAGTTAAGCTCTTAGAGGAGTTTTCATTAGAATTGTAGAAATGGGCAAGCTGGTGTTTTTCCTAAGCTGAATTTCAAATAGCTGACTAGAGATAACACAGTTAGACTGCTATTTTCTTGCAAACTTACTACAGAAAAGGCTATAGAAATGTCACTGATTACTTGTGGCATCATTAATATTTTAAAGTGTGATGTTATAAAATATTTAAATGTAAATATTTTGATGTGAGTGTCTTAATACAGTTGCAGCACAGTAAGATTAGAAAGGTCTTATATGCAACATTTTAATTAAATCCATAAAGAACACTCCTTTAACTTCGATGCAAGCTCTTGTTTAAATCCAATATAAAGCTTGCATTTTGTTGATTGCTTCTACAAATTATGTGCCTCACAGTCATACTTTTTTTTCCCCACTTTTTCAGAGACAAATGATCATTCTTTGGTTTGGAGTTTTTTCTAAACAATTTATTTAGAGAATTGAGTTTACAAGGCCTGATTACATGAACTTTAATTATCATATGCCTCTTTGGGCTCAGAAGGACAAGGTTCTTCTTATCAGTTTCCTATTTAATGGACGAGCCTTTGTGTATTCATCGAGCCAATAAATCTACCTACTTTTAACATTTATTAATATTTTGATATCAGCACTGTTATTTTCTGCACAGAAGTGTCTTGTAGAGACTTTCAGCATTATCATAATCAGTAACACTATTTACTGAATGCCTAAATTGGGAATAAAGAGTAGAATATTTTCATTTCAGAATGCTGGTGTGTTCAGACTATGCATAAATATTGATCTCATATCCTTACACAAGTGTTAACTGTGTTGATAGATAGCTGGCAAGTTAAAATTTCCTTCCTTCCTTCCTTCCTTTCTTCCTTCCTTCCTTTTTTCCTTTGTTACTCACTGAGTGCTTGCTGTGAGCTAGGCACTGTGCCAGGCTCTGGGGGAATAAAATAGTGAAACAGATATAATCTCAAGAAGCTTACATTTAATTTAAGAAATAGAGAAACATAATAAGCCTTTTAGTTTTAAAGTCAATATTTACTTTGCATTTCTTTCTTGCCCCATCCCGTGCCCAGTTCCAGATGGTGTATCATGGTGTATCATGATTAGTCTAAGGCTGAGACTCTAAGCCATTTATGGTCAGGCTGTCACCTACTTATCCGGCCTTCCTTGAAGTGAGGGCTGGCCACCTGACTCAATTACGGCGAATGAGAAATAAGATGAAATAAATTTCTGGGAGGATTTCTGGAAACATTTTGTTGCCTTGGTAAATGAAACAGGCACTGATAGCACCATCCATTCTCCTCTCCTTTACCCCTTTGTTTCTGTCTTAAATGTGGACGTAAATCATTGGCAGGGACCTAGTGACAACGAAGGAAATGCCCAGAGAATTGGAGATACCATTGAGTTACTGAACTAATACCTGCAGTCTCTTATCTGCAAACTTACTTTTATTTGAGAAAAATAAACTCCTATTACTTGAATCACTATTGGTTAAAGTCTTTGTTACTTCAAGTTGAATGCATCCTAACTAATACAAAGAGTAAGTGGGCAATTACGTACAGGGTAATAAATTCTGTGAGAGGGTATTTACAGGTGCTGTTTTAACATCTCAGGATAGTCTTGTCGTTTGGGTTCAGAGCAGGCTTTTTGGAAGACTGATGCCTAAGATGACCCTCAATTTAATTTAGGCTCCCTGGCAAATTCATTGCACTGAGTCATGGATATTGGAATCCTGATATTCACTAAGGATTTTGTAACTTTTGTATACATGTGTCAACTTCTCTTTTTGTAGATATGCAGCAGTGCTCCTTGGCATATATGTTTATATTTCTAAGAGGATTTTGTTTTCTTCCAACTTATAAATGAAGATGATAGTTTTTGTTGTAGGATAATTTGGTTATGATATAATCAGAGGCTCCAAAACTCCTGGTTGAAACAAAGGTAGTTCTAAGCAGTACTTAGAAATCAAGGGAGGGCACTTAGTTCTCAAGGGAGGGCACTTAGCTACTCCTTTGGCCGCATCTGTTCAGAAGTGGCATTGCCTTCGGGTCAAATCTTTTTTAAGCGCCTCAGTTCCATTAGAGGATGGCAACTTACCCTGGCTTGGCTGGCTGTTAAAGTCAAAGGAGCTGTGGTTAGCCTGTAACATAGAATAATAACAGTATAGGTACTTGAAAGAGGCATTATCTGAGCTCATCATTGCACAATACTGAAAACTTGGTTGAGAGAAAGAGTATATATGCAGGTTTGCCGAAAGGATTTAGTGTTCATTCCAAAAATCAGTCCCTGGCTCATACCAGGGAAGCAGAGAGCTGGGAACCTCATTCCATTCCTGGTCTCCTCTGTAGAAATGCTTTTGCTAAGTTGCACTTTGACATTACATCACTGGATTACTTTGAAGGTGTTAAAGGAAACAGTCCTATAAGACACACTGCCACATTTGTTAGGCTGTTGTTAATGGTGCTGTTTACCATCTTATGCAATTTACTATCTCTCAGATCTACGTGAAACTATCTTTTTTTGTTCTTCTATGGAATTGGTGGATTTCATCTTCTGAACACCGAGAAGCATGTACAGCAATTGTTCATGTTTTCCTATTTGGTATGACTTATGTAATTCCCAGTGTTTGGCTTATTTTTGACAAATGAACAGGCTTTTGATATCCCTTTTTATCTTTTAAGGCTAATC